>NC_000005.10:142578659-143203659 GCF_000001405.40 Homo sapiens
ACTCAAAGTCTAATTAAATGTTAACCTTACATAGAAGATATCTTTACAGAAGTATCTAGAATAATACTTGACCAAATATTGGGGGACTGCAGCCTAGACACATTGACACATAAAATTAACCACTATACAAATTAATAATAATTCCCTAATATCCTTCAATAAATCCTTAATAATTTTTAAATATCATTTAATGCCCATTTCATATTCACATTCCTCCAATTTTTTCAAAATTGTCTTTCATAGTTGTATTTTGCAAATCAAGTTCCAGTCAAAGACTAAGCATTTATTTAATTATTACGTCTTTTAATTCTTCCTTAATTTAAAACAAGTAGAAGAAATCTTCCAGAGAATATGACAAAAAACACCAAAAGATGGAAAATAAGAGAGAGATAGAAAAAAAAGAACATTAAAGGATCAAATCAGGAAGTCAAGCTTCTACTAACAGTAAAGCCGGGTTGGCGGGGGATGCTTAATAAATGGATAGGAGACAATTATCTAAGAAATTTCACCAGAGAATTTCCTAGAACCAAAGGACATACGTTTCTAGATTGGAAGGGCCCACCGCAAACTCAACACAGTGAATAAAAAGATCCACACTAAGACTCATTATTAAAACATTTCAAATACTGATGCAAAGAAGATACTGAAAACTTCCAGAGGAAAAGAAGGCATGCCATGTAATTGATCAGAAATCAGAATGACATCACACTTTTTCATTTCAATACTCTTAGGGGACAAGAGAACAATGCCTTCATGTTTATGAGGGAGAATAATTTCCAACTGAAATTTCCATACCCAGCCAGACTGTCACAGAAATAAAAGGTTAGAATGAAGACATTTTCAGCACAAAGCCCCTTTAAAAAGGGACTTTCCATGTACCATTTATAAAAAAGCTACTGGAGGATATTCTAAAAGATGGGTAGGTGGGTGAAGAATAAATCAAGAAAGAAGATTCTGTGGGATCCTAGAAAAGCCAGTTTAAAACAGGAGGGAGTTATAAGGAATCCCAGGAAAATCATGGAGGGAAGCCACAGGGTGACTGCTCTGCAGAAGGCCCCAAGAACAGCCTCACGAATTGGAGAAAGAGATTGGAGGGCTTCAGAACGGATATTGCAATGAAAAATTGAAGTGATAAGCAATGTAGTTGACTGTACTGAGAGGCTTTTTAGAGTTTTACCAGAAAGTTTGGGGCTGAATTAATGACTTTTTATTTTTTTTTTTGAGAGGGAGTCTCGCTCTGTCGCCCATGCTGGAGTACAGTGGCGCGATCTCAGCTCACTGCAACCTCCACCTGCCGGGTTCAAGCAGTTCTCCTGCCTCAGCCTCCTGAGTAGCTGGGACTACAGGCGCCTGCTACCACTCCCAGCTAATTTTTTGAATTTTCAGTAGAGACAGAGTTTCACCGTGTTAGCCAGGATGGTCTCAATCTCCTGACGGTGTGATCCGCCAGCCTTGGCCTCCCAAAGTGCTGGGATTACAGGTGTGAGCCACCGCACCTGACTTGAGCTAATGATAAGTAGGTTGAAAATGGAGGAAATAAAAACCAGACACTGATGTAAGAAAAGACACGTAATCATCTGTGTGGTCTTTATGCAACTAACAGTTACATAGTTTTACTAATGTAAACATTGAATGTTGATCTAACCAACAGTGTGCTGTGGCTACATAGGGAGGGTGCAAATGGCACTGGGATGCAGTAGAGTCTATGTATACATCTGGCTGGCGGATAGGGCAAAAAGCTAAATCCTTATTTCCCATAATGAAGCAAATAGACACTGTTTAATATTGAAAAAAAGATCAGGAAATGCAATATCAACATGACGTTTAGAAATACAAAGTTATCAAAAGAAATATCTAGAGGAAATGAAAGTAGTTGCCTCTGGGGAGCAGGAAGTGGGTGCAATGGGAGGGGAAGCTGCTGTTTTTTGTTATAAACCCTATAGTATCGTATGACTTTTTAAACTATGGATCTGCAATCATTTGATAATATTTTAAAATAAAAAATTTAAAATTCATTAATTTCAGATTTTGTTTGTTTGTTTTGCGATAGGATCTCACTCTGTCGCCCAGGCTGGAGTGCAGTAGTGCGATCCCAGCCCACTGCAGCCTCAACCTCCCAGGCTCAACAGATCCTCCTACCTTAGCCTCCCAAGTAGCTGGCAATATAGGCGTGTGCCACCACACCTGGCTAATTTTTGTATTTTTTGTAGAGAGGGGATTTCGCCATATTGCCCAGGCTGGTCTCAAACTCCTGGGCTCCTGGGCTCAAGCAATCCACCTCGCAAAGTGCTGGAATTACAGGCACAAGCCACCACGCCCACCCTTATTTCAGATTTTTAAATACTCTTAGTAATTTACTGTGGCACACATCACCATGCAGTATAACATCATCATGTTGGTGAAGTTCTAAGTCACCATCACCTTCTTCAGTGCAGGATAGTCTACCTCCTAAATTTTCATTGTTCAGTACAGTAGCCACTAGCCATGCATTGCTATTTCAATTTAAATTAATTAAATTTACATAAAATTCAAATTTTAATTCTTCAGTCACACAATTCACATTTCCAAGTGCTCAAGAGTCACATGTGGCTAATGACTACCATACTGCACAGCACAGATATCATTTCCATCATTATAGAAAATTCTGTGGACAGCACTACCCTAAATTGTTCTCAGATTCATCCCTTATTCCCAGCATGCTGCCATTCTCTCTGATGCAGTATGGAGTAGTGATGGAAGATGTGGACCCCGGAGTCAGAATACATGATCTCAAGTATGGGTGTCATCACTTACTTGCTGTGTGAGTTTGGGTATATCATATATCCTCTTGGTGCTTCAGTTTCCCCATCTATAAGATGAAGATATAAACAGCATCATCACCTCCTGAGGGTTGTAAGGGTAGACTGTGATAATGCATTTATATGAAGTGCTTAGCACCATGCCTGGCCCATGGGAAACACCCAGTAAAGGTTGCCTGCTGCAATTACTCTTCCTCCTCTTCCTCCGCCTCCTCCTCCTCCTCTCCAACCCCCCATATCCTGTCAGCCACTTCTGAGCTCTCATGCAGCCCTGAAGGACAGTTCCCAATCAAACTCAAAGCTTCCCACCTCAAAGCCCACCTGTCTGTCTTTCTCTCCCCAAGGACTTCCTTGAGTGCTCCAGGAGCTTGTCATTCCAGAGACAGAGCAGCCCAGAAGTCCTGGGATTTACACCTCTAGTAGAAACCCTCAACCAGAGAAGGATGGAAGTCAATGGGTAAGTACCCCAGCTTCCCTTTTTGGGCAATTCTTAGGTGTTTCATCCATAATTCCTCAGAGTGCCCCCACTGGAATTAAGGCCAGTTTTCTACAGCAGTGACCTGCTCAGGGATATGCCTTTTGTTGGCCCTTCTCCCTTCCATGTCTGACTTTCTCCTCCCTCAACTTGTACTTCTTGGGCTTTCCTCTCAACCTGCACCCAAGTCATGGTCTCAGGGTCTGTTTTTGGGGGACCCACGCCAAGACTATTATTATCATCGTCATTGTCATCATCATCATTGTCAATTCATTTTCTTTCTTTCTTTTTTTTTTTTTTTTTTTTTTTGAGACAGAGTCTTGTTCTTTTGCCCAGGCTGGAGTGCAGTGGCGTGATCTCAGCTCACTGCAACCTCTGCCTCCTGGGTTCAAGTGATTCTCATGCCTCAGCCTCCTGAGTAGCTGGGATTACAGGCATATGCCACCACGCCCAGATAATTTTTGTATTTTTGGTAGAGATGGGGTTTCACCGTGTTGGCCAGGCTGGTCTCAAACTTCTGGCCTCAAGTGATTCTCCTGCCTCGGCCTCCCAAAGTGCTGGGATTACAGGCGTGAGTCACTGCACCCGGCCAATTTATTTTCTCCTTTTCTCAACACCAAGCTCCTGCAGGAGCCTCCTGGCTGATTTTCCCATCTTCTTTTCCATACTACAGCTAGAGCTATCTCAGTTTCATCAAAATGTCAAGTTATGACTTACCTGCTTAAAATCTCCACTGGTTCCTTCTTGCCTAAAGGCAGAGTGGAAGCTTAGTCCTGCAATAAAGAACCTTCCCAAATTCCCCAGATTTGTGAAGTAAGTTTCCTACTTTACAGGCTTCACCTCTGGCAAGTTGTGCTGCTCAACATCCTTTAAACCTGGTGTTCTTGTGCTTGTGCCCAAACCCGTGCTGTCTCCTCTGACTGGAGTCATAATAATAGCAGTAATAGTAGATACTCATGGACCACTTTCCCTGTGCCTCACAGTGTTTCTGTGCAATCTGCATGGCTTAGTTCACTGAATCCTCCTGCCAACTGTGTGAAGAAGCTTATGCTATTCTCTCTGTATTAGAGATAGGGAGACCAAGTCTTAGGGAAATCACAAATACAGTATTGGCATCAGAGGACTCCAGAGCTTGTGCCCTCTACTTGGCAGGAAAGTGACATCACACACACAGTTAACTCACAGGAAAGAAACTTACTCAGGAGAGAGAAAAGAAAAAGTCACAGTTAATAGTATGGGTGATCTGCTCATCCTTCTACTCCTTGCATTTGTGCTCCGGGCAGTGAGAGGGGAGGTGGGAGTCTGCTGTTACCCCAGTTTTCTGGGCCTCTCATACCAGGAGCACTTCTTGGCCAAGGGTGATTATGGTGCTTAATTATTCACTATATTCATAGGATGTAGCCCCCAAACACATGTCAGTGACTTCCTCTGGTGCTCAGCTGAAGAAGCAGTGATCTGTAATCTGTTTCCATGTGGGAGAAAGGAACGGCCATGTTGGATTTGCCCAAGGATGGTACATGCATTTCCCTGCAGGCTTGTCGGGGGTGACTTTGACCACTTGTGGCTCCCTTTCATGCGTGACTCTCTGGTATCTAATCCACGAGTGAGGTGAGACTCCATGGTCCTGCTTCCCTTTCCTACTTCCCCACCTGGTAGACACCTGCTGTCTTAGTCTGTCTAGGCTGCTGTAAAAAAAGAAAACCCACAGACTGAATAGCTTGTAAACAACAGAAATTTATTGTTCACGATTCTGGAAGCTGGGAAGCTCGAGATCAAGGCACCGGCAGATTTGGTGTCTGGCAAGGGCCCACTTTCTGGTTCGTAGAAAGCGGTTCATGGCTCCTTTTGGCTATGTCCTCACAGTGGAAGAGACAAGGCAGTTCCATCAGGCCTCTTTTATAAGGGCACTAATTCCATTGACCAATCACCTCCCAAAGGTCCCACCTCCCACCACTATCACTCTGGTGATTTGGTTTCAACACATGAATTTTGGGGACATGCAGACATACAAACCATAGTGCCTGCTTGTCTCTTCTGATAGAACTGAAACGTTACTCATCTGGGAAGTCTTCCCTAACTCCCCTGGGAAGAATTTTTCCTCCTACCTGTGTTCTGGTAGCATCCAGTCCATGTTCCTCTTAGTGCTCTCCTGTTACATTCTAATGATTTGTTCGTATATCACATTCTCCAGCCAAGTTGTGAGTGTGAAGCTCTCAATAGTGTCGGTTTTTTGTTCTCTGGATTCTTTGGTGTCTATTACAATCCCTTCTTCCATACCAGGAATTCAGAAACTACTTTATTGTTTGGTTGTCAGGAAGGCGGATCTCCATGCCTTTTAAACTTTTATTTATTTATTTTTTCTGAGATTTTCCGAGACAGTCTCACTCTGTCATCCAGGCTGTAGTGCAGTGGCACGATCTCAGCTCACTGCAACCTCTGCCTCCCAGGTTCAGGTGATTCTTGTGCCTCAGCCTCCCGAATAGCTGGGATTACAGGCATGCGCCACCATGTCTGGCTAATTTTTGTGTTTTCAGTAGAGATGGGGTTTCTCCATGTTAGCCAGGCTGGTCTCGAACTCCTGACCTCAAATGATCCACCTGCCTCGGCCTCCCTAAGTGCTGGGATTACAGATGTCAGCCACCGTGGCTCACATGGTGAGGCATGGCACCCAGCCCCATGCCTTTTAGAAAAAGGAATGAGATCAATTCAGAGTGGTTATTATAAAGAATCAGTCATGTTTCTTATAGAACCTGGAATACCAAAAATATTCTGTCTCTATTCACTTGATTTCCCTTTGGTTTCTTTGTTCTTTCCATGGGATCACTATTTGACCTTAGGACTCTAAGGTCACATTCTGAAAAGTAATGTGAGCTGTTGAGTTTTCCTCCTTAGATCTATAAAAACATATGTATGTTGTCTATTTTCATACCCAGATTAAGACATTGCCTCCAGCCAGCCAATTTCCCTTCTCCTGTCCCTGAATCATGAAACTGGCACCATCTCTGAAAAGTTTCCAAGCTGTCTTTCTGTTTTTGTAGCTTGTGAAAGATGTGGTTTTTGGTTGTGTGATTCTTTTTAAGCTGCCTCATTTGTTTTTGGACTGAATAGTAGCATAGCTACCCAAACTTGGACAGAAACATCAAATTCAGAATCTCTGGAAGTACAGCAATAAGAAGCTAATTACTTCATGTTTTCAGTATGAATGAGACTCAGATACAGAACAGAATCACTGCTTCCCTGTTCTAACTCGCACCTCAGCTATGCTGGCAAACCTTGTTTTTCCTTTTGGGTTTAAGGGAATATGCTGGGAATAAAAAGCATTTTCCTCTACTCCACCTGCTGAATGGAATGAATAAAAGCCTCCATGAAAGATCTAAGTATTTAGCAAATACAACTTCAGCTTCCAAAGTTTCACGTCTGAAATACATTTCAGAGTTTCATATTTGATTCTAGACCAGAAACGTGCATGCTGATACTGATTATTTGTATCCTTTGGCAGAGGGTCTAGGGAAGTGTTATAATTCAGCTGTGTGGGGAGAGAGGATGATCGCGTATATGTGGCTTCTATGTGGTTGTCTGCAGATGGTGGAGAATGAAGTCCACCAGCTTCCCTCTTCTATCACTAGCTTCTACCTCCCTGGCTGGCCTCCCTTCATACCATGCCCTGCCGCCCCTTGCTTTCTATACTTGAGCCTCGCTGGCATCATTCTTCTTCCTGCCACAGGGCCTTGGCACATGCTGCTGCTGCTATCTGGAGTGTTCTTCACAAGCCTTGCCATATCTCTTTAACTAGTCAACTCTTACTCTTCCTTCAGATATCAGCTCACTTACTGGGGGAAGCTCTTAAGTGAAATGAAGTGAAATCCCCTTCTTAAATGGTCCAAGGACACTGGATACTTCTTTGCAAGCAGCTGTGACAGTTGCAGTTTTACATTTCTCTGTGTGATTCCTTGGGTAAATTACTTGCTAAAGTGTGGTATCTGTATGATGGGAGAGATGATATGTGGATGTCCTTTTATGATGTTAAAGTTATATGTTTATTTTAATGTGTATTAGAAGAAATATCTATATAGTACTACTAGTAATGAATACTTACACTTTTATGAGTATTTTTGCATAAAGTGGGCCTTAAAGTAGATAAAACAATCCGTCTTACATAAATTATATGAATTAGAAGTACCATAATCAGACAATAGGTATATATGGCAAAAATTTTGGAAGTAGTATGCAAATGATTGAAATTTGAAAAATGAGGTGTTCATCAATATCTGTCTCCCTTTATGAGAGTGTAAGCTCCAGGAAAGAGGTTTACTGTGCACCCTTGCACCCACCAGACCGAGTGCATATTTAGGTCTTAAGAAATATTTGTTGAAAGAATGGACAAGCGATTGAATGAAAAACCTAGTGACTTAACCAGTGCCCCTCCCAAGTAACATTAGGACAGGTGATTAGAAAGAAGGTTAAGGTTTTATTGAGGATCATCCATATAGATTGCAGACAGGGGATAGGCTGGAACTTTGTAGAATGCCTATACTCATTTTGATGACTAGAGCAAGAAAAACGATATGATATGACCCTTGAACTAGCTGAAGAGAGCTATGGTATCTTTTAAATCTTCCCATAACTAAACAAGTCTCGTTTCTTTAGTTGTTTTTTGTTTGTTTGTTTTGTATATGTTTTTCTGGCCCTTTACTAGTCATCCGTTATTCTCCACATAATTTTGTTTTAAAATTTATAAAAGTTTATTTAATATGCAGCATCTAGAATGAGATACCATAGTCCATATGTGGACTGACCAGCTGAAACTACAATAGGGAAATTATCATCATCTGGGTCTTATTAAACTTGGAGTCAATTAAGATTCTCATCTTTTTCATACGCACTGCTGTGGAACAAGATCTCTCCAAATATGGATTCATGAAATTGATCATTCGGAACCTAAATGGAGGCTCTAAAAGGTTATTTTTAGTCCTATCTTATTATATAATATATAGGATATTTATTATAAAAATAATGGCACGTTTATTTAATCCTTATTATATGCTAGATATTTTGTTAAAAATACTTGCATGCCTCCCTCTCAATCTTCCCAACAACTCTGTGAGGTTGATACTATTTGTATCCTCATTTTACAGAGGAGGAAATGGAGGCACAGACAGATTAAGTAATTTGCCCAAAGTTACAAAGTCAGTAAGTGGAGGAGTCAAGATTCCAACTCTGGCTGTCTGACTTCAAAGCTATCTTCTTCTGTATCTGTATCTCACGTTGATTTGTGTTAATTTAAATTAGGGAATGACTTAACAATATGTAAAGATAGTACCTTGAACATACCTAGTGTTCTTCTGAGAATCTCAGAAGGCTTAGAAAGATAGCATTTTTTTTAAAGGAAATAAAGCCAAAAAGATTAGCACTTTCTCCACCACTATAAGCTTTTTCAGAGAAAGGACCACCTTTTTTCATCTTTGAATACTCTGTATCTAGCAGAGTATCTAAATCATGTTTATGACAGTTACCAGTTTATTGCTTTTCTGCTCCAAATCTACTCTTTGCATCGTTTTGCTACAGTGAAGCGGAACCCTGAAAACATTTCTATACGAGCTGATATGAAGTAATGTTTGTCAGTAGAGGGCGCTGGGGAGACACTATCAGAAGAAGGGGCATTTCTTTGGGGTTCTTGTGCTTTTCTTCTTGCTCCTGTGTTTCTTCTTGCTCCTATGGTGCACACCTTTTGGTGAGTTTTACTGGCACCCCAGCAAGTTGCTTCCAGAGAGTTTCACCAGCATTCTAGTGGGAATGAAGCACCTCGGTGAAATTCTTCACCATCCAGTGGGCCATGGCCACATCTCGAATGCAGCCTGAATCTCATCTTCACAGGGTGTCCTCTTTCAAGTGAGTTCCTTCCTTGAGTACTCTCCTCAGCTTTGAAGATAGTAGTTGCTCTCTACACCTGCTATTCCAATGTTCTTTAGAGATCTCCTTACCCTTCTTAGTAGTTAATCCCTTTTACTAGTTAACAATTCTTTCCATTAAAATATCCCCCCTGTTCAAATGATTTGTCTGGTTTCTGTCTCCTGACTGGACCCTGACTAATATAGACAATAAATGGTTAATGGATGGGCTGGGCATAGTGGCTCACACCTGTAATCCCAGCACTTTGGGAGGCTGAGGCGGGCAGATCACTTGAGGTCAGGAGTTCGAGACCAGCCTGGGCAACATGGCAAATCCCTGACTAAAAATACAAAAATTAGCCGGGCGTGGTGATACTCGCCTGTAGTCCCAGCTACTCAGGAGGCCGAGGCAGGAGAATCACTTGAACTCAGGAGGCGGAGGTTGCAGTGAGCCGAGATCATGCCATTGCCCTCTAGCCTGGGTGACAGAGTGAAGTTTTTTGAAGTGAAGTTTCTCAGAGTTATACATTTTCTCTCTCTCTCTCTCGTTCGTTTCTTCCTTCCTTTCCTTCTTCCTTTTCCTTCCTTCCTTTCTTTCCTTTTTTCTTTCTTTTCTTTTTTTTCTTTCTTTCATTTCTTTCTCCCTCCCCCTCCCTCTTCTCTCTTCTCTCTCTCCCTGCCCTGCCCTGCCCTACCCTGCCCTGCCCTGCCCTACCCTGCCCTTTTCTTTCTTTCTCTCTTTTTCTCTCTTTCTTTCGTCTTGCTCTGTTGCCCAGGCTGGAGTGCAGTGGCATGATCTCAGCTCACTGCAACCTCCACCTCCTGGGTTCAAGCAATTCTTATACGTTTTCAAGCAATCTATAAAACCTACCTCTTTTTGACTGGGCACTGTGGTTCACACCTGTAATCCCAGCAGTTTGGGAGGCCAAGGCGGGCGGATCATGAGGTCAGGAGATCGAGACCATCCTGGCTAACATGGTGAAACCCCGTCTCTACCACAAATACAAAAATTAGCCGGGCGTGGTGGCGGGTGCCTGTAGTCCCAGCTACTCGGGAGGCTGAGGCAGGAGAATCACTTGAACCTGGGTGGTGGAGGTTGCAGTGAGCCGAGATTGCACCACTGCACTCCAGCCTGGGTGACAGAGTGAGACTCTGTCTCAAAAAAAAAAACAACAAAAACCAAAAACCTACCTCTTTTTCACCTCAATTAAATATACAGCAGATTTCAGTAGCACCAAGGATATAGAAACATATTTCCCTCTCGTGTGCTCTCTCTGCACAACCATCTTGGATTTGCAATTTTGTCCCATATTAGTAGAAACAATCTGCCCAGTCTTAAAACTTGTACCATTTCCTGGGTCAATAGCACTGTCCCTACTGCAGGTGTTCTATTTTGAGAATGCAATAGATTTTACTATTCATTTCCACAGGAAGTTGCTAAACTCTTAATACAGTTGATATTCCCAGGCTCTGAACAGTCTTGTTTTTCTAAACCATGCAAAACAAGGTAGTATATAATACGTTCCTATAACTTATTTTGGAGAATAAGGCATGTTAGAAAATAATCCAACATCTTACTCTTATGTATCTATGGGTCAGACTAAAAAAAATTATTTCCTAAGAAAACATGAAATGTGAAAATCACAGTGAAGTGTGTCTCTGTGACAATTCGCACAAATTGACTATTTACATCTCTATCCCCAAACACTTTGGCCAAGTGAACCAAATCCTTAAATTGAACACAGTTCCAAACAGGGAATGCCCAACCTTTCATTAAGGCTGATAGAAAAGCACATCAAGGACATGTGAGGTTTTCCTTGTTTATGTAATAAAACAGACACCAATGTTTAGCTGCTGAATGTGTAAATATAGCCTGCGTGACAGTGGGGAGCTAAGAAGGAAGGAAGCAATTTGGGAAATACCTCCTTCCCACATCACAAACATTCTCAGAACCATCAGAAGACCCCAAAGCAAGGTCCTACAGTATGTGCATTTTATAAAGCAAACCCACCCTCTGGCTTCAGGCTGTGTGTGACCTGGTTTCTCTTTTTAATTTTATAACTAGGGTGGAAAGCTAACAGTGTAGTATGTCATGGTCAATATGTCAACCGCAAAGTGGGTCCAATGTTGCAGAAAGATTCCAATAGTCATTTAGTACATTTCCCTTGTTACTTGAGAGAATGGTAGTTCAATCACTAGGGTCTGGAGTCCCTAGTGTCAGATCCCCAAGCCTAAAGCTCTGAGTTCTCTGAGTGGATTTTAGTGTACATTTATATACAATGGCAAAAGGAGTTTTTTCTGGGGGGTGGAGGACAGCTTTGGGGAGTGGATTCGAAGGAGGGGGTGCCACTTTTTAATAGCCATTATTTCAATTTTAACGGTCATCAAACAAATCATCCCTAGTCATTTTGAAATGGAGAACATACAAGTCTTGCTGCTCAGTTGGGCTTAAATATTTCCACATTGTCACTACTGCTTCTAAAAATATTTTTTGTTAATTTGTGAAAGTGTAGTTGACAGCACATTTTTGTCTGATGTGCTACTACTACCATACTAGCTAATATAACAACCCAAAAGTGCTTAGGATTGGAGATTCCTCCTCTCTTCCCACCCCATGATAAATGGGACATCACTCAGATAAATATGAAAAGTGAAGACTATATTTATATTTTTCTCTTTGTGGTCAAGTTCACTGACAGGAGGTCCATTCTCAGCCACCCACACCCCACCAAATATTTAAGACATAGAATTACTTTGTTTAGTTGGTTCAGCCAAGATGGAAAATGCAGATCCCTGTATAAGCTGCATACCAGGAACAATGGTGTTTAGCTTATGACTGAGCCAGGAATGGCACACTTTTTAAAAGGTAGATAAGAGGTGAGAGAGGATCATTTCCAGAAAGTGATGGGAGCTGGGGAAGATGCATAGAGGCCCCAGGTTATAGCCTTTTCTTGGTTCAATCTGCTTTTTATGTTTTTATTAGATATGGTTAAGAACTAGGAATTGGTGAGGGGTTGGGGAGGCAACAGAGAGGAATGAAGTGAAGACTGTGGGAGTTAGGGAGGGAATGACTTCAAGACCCAACGTGATGAGAATTCCAAAGGAGGGGGAGGGGGGGTCAAAGTCTCCAGGGCTTCCAAGAGCAGAAAAATCTGCTAGACCAGCCTTGGAGGCAGCAGTGGGCGCCCATGGAATCTGTTCCATTACATTCATTTTGCATGATTAGCAGCAAACCAGGCTAAAAGAATTAACAGAGCCTTCAAAACAGATGGTTCCTGGGTAACAGGATGTCCTCTTGTCTTGTTTACTCAAGAACAAACTGCGTCTTTGAAAACACTAAAGTCATAACACAAGATCCTCATTGGGTCTCGCCATCTTTGGGAAGAACAGTTGCTTTAAGTCAGTGTTTTTCAAACTGCGGTTGTGACCCATGAATGTTGTCAACCAAGTTAAATGCTGTTTGACTAGTGTGTTTTAGTGGAATGTAACTGAAGAATCAAAGTGCCCCTCATCTAGTTTTGCGAAATTTTTGTTTCAGTGGTGTGTATGTATAACAGTATGTATGTGCCAGTTTGTAATGGAAAATTAGTTCTTATGGTGGAGCAAGATCCAAAAAGTAGAAAAATATTGCTTTAGGCAACTTTAGAAGGAAAAGAAAGGATTGACTGTGGTATACCAATATTGTGGTATGTAATTAGCAGAGTGAGCACACTCTCCCCACCTTTTTCCTTAGACGATGCGTGTGCATCTGTGTGTGTGCCTGTGTGTGTGATTCTGCATGATGTACTAGGCAGCAGCGTACTTCCTCCTAAGAATAAGATGTCATAAGATCCAGAGGTTTATTTAAGGAAACACTGCTTAAAATGATAATTTAGAAAATCTGAGAAGCAAATCTATAGCTCCACACCAGGGCTCTTAAGATGAAGAGATCCACCCTCTTGCCATTGACTTAAAATTGTAAATAAGTCCTTAAATGTTTTTTTTTTTTTTCAGGCCATATCATATCTTTGCCTAAGCACGAGCCAGTCACCTCAACAATAGTAGCATAATTTTACATGGTTTATGTTAAGAAGAAAAAGTTTCACCTGAGTTATTTATGGTGCCTGGCTCCTCAGGAGGCGAATTTCCTGTATATGTATATTACCCTAACAGAAATGTAGAAAATCACCCATACTGCCTTCTGTTTCCAAACACATTGAAAAATGTTTCTACCTTCGCATTCCCTGTTAGCCTTTAAAGTCTGACATCTGGTAACAAGGTAAGTATCGAAAACTAAGCAGCCACACCTCAGGGATGCTGGGGAGGTCCTTTGATAGAAAGATGAGGCAGCAGGATGCTCAGAAACTCAGAGACATTATCACCTATTATTGGAACATTTATTAATATTTGTAAGGTGCAGACTATGATACACAAAAAGACAGTGATGTGAAATAACAGGCATCTTCATCAGAGGTCTGCTTTGCAGCCTGTGAGTTTAGTTGTCAGCAGTACACTCAAGGCTGAGGACTTGGCGCCTTGGGTTCCTTTGCCTCTGACACAAAGCAAGGACCTTCAGTACTAGCTGATGCTCCAATCAGTTTTTTGTTCATACACACTGTTGGCCATTGTGAATCTTTCTTATCATGCCTTCCAAGGAAACCAATACCTACCTCCACCACCATCACATTGCAAACGACCAAAAGCACATATGTTCATGATGCTTTGTTCAGAGCTGGCCCGAAAATGAATCCATATGAGAGTCACGTGACAGGAGCTGGCTATGAGACTTACTTAAGACAGCAATGGGAATGTCCCCAGGTTAATAAACTAGAGCATGTTCAAAACAGAGCAGGGAACTACCAACCTCTTCCTTCTAAGAAGATCTGACAGGCTCTTTGGCTGATTTGAAAGCAGTCCCCCTGAAGCTGACCCGGTTCTAAAGTTGAAAATGCTAAGTTTACCTTGCCATGTCCTCTGACATTTTGATAGGGGTTTATTTTATGCTGGGGTTGCTGATTCTTCCAAAATCTGGGTTTCTGGGATTTGCTTTATTCAGCAGGAACCTACAAAGTCTGTGTTTATTCTTGACTGAAAGAATTGAATCCACAGCATCTTTCATCATAAATATAATGCCCTGGGAGAAGATACAGCAGCAAACCAGACAGACAAGGTCCCCAGTATCCAGTACAGTGCCTAGCACACAGTAGGCACCTTAATAGTCATTGAACAGATATATGAATGATATCTGGGCTGAGATGGTCGAGGTCACATTGGTGTTTTTACTACAATGCTTTGCATCTCCGAAATCACAGACTTCCATTTCACAAGTTAGCAATGGTATTTAATTTTCCTTGGCCAATGTTATGCTTGAGTTTGATTCATACAATAAAAAGTATGGACCATTATAATTATCTTAGATTTCCTCTCTGGGTATCTTTTTCTGGCCAAATCTTCATACTAAAGAGACGTTAAGCCACACTGCATTTTCTCTAACTTGCCTGCAAAGATTTACTAAAATAAAACAGATTGATCTTATCCAAGTAACAAAAACAAAAAAGTTATGAAATTATTTTGCTGCACAAATCTAAAATACTATTATTAACCATAATGTCAGCTTACTTAGGTCAATTCTTCAATTGCACTATTGCTTTGAACTTTCACAAACTGTCATTTTCCTTCCATTCTAAATATGACAGTTCAGTTACTAAGGAATTGTTTTTAGTTAACAATTACTTCAATTTCATATGAAACAGGAGCTAACACTCTCATCAATTTTTATTCACAATTACCATTGCTTAAGAGTTCCTACTTTCAAAAGAAAATTTGTAATAGCACAGTGGAAAACAAAAATCTCATTTTATAGGTAAATAAGTATCAGATAAGTGAGTAGCTTATACATTGTATCCTATTACTATCATTCTCAGTGCCTGAATACTAATCAGTTTAACTGCTTTCAAGCTATATATTTTTAAATGCAATTAAAACATACAGTCTCACAGTAAATTTCAATGACTTATTAAAGGCCTTTACATGGCATCAGTATCATATGTTAGAGATGAATGGTGTTTCTAATTTGCTAGCCACCTGGGTCAAGTTTAAGCAGGAAGTGTATTTATACAAGTAATGGTAATACAAATGGTCTCCTGGGAAAAGCTGTTGGTAAGGGTTTAACATTTTTGAAGTATGTTTTTGTATATCTTCGAAATGGGCATTTTATAGGCATTGGGCCAAAGCCTCTTAAAATCATGCTCCTTAGTACAGGCATAACTATTGTCAGTGCTGCCTGAATGCTCAGGTAGACTCATGAGGTGTGCATTTTTAAGGGTTAGTTGAGGTCAGGTGAGGTTCGGGGCGTCGAACCACCTTCATTTGAATAACTCTTTAGGACCAGGACCCTGCTCCTTAATGTATGGCGGGTAAGGCAGCAGTATTGTCAGCACCTGCACCTGGGGGGGACCTGATGGAACTGCAGAAACTCTGCCCCCAACCCACTGAATCAGAATCTCCATTCAAACCAGGTCCCCAGATGATCTGCAAGCACTTCAGTGTTGGAGAAGCACTGGGCTAGGACCCCAAAGCCTCTGCTTACCAGGGGCCAAGCACAATGTGTGGCATTACTTTCTTTTTCCTTCTCCTTCTGAAATCATCCTCTTTTTATGGTATCCCCTCAGCCAGTTTCCCTTTCTTTCTCTGCACTCCCACACTCAGTCCCCAGATCCACATGAATTTCCCAGCTCTGATATCCTTGCTTGTTATCAGGAAACCACTTCTAGTGCTCTCCACCTGAAGTCACCCAGGGCTCTCTGCTGCTGAGTAACCTTGGGAAGGTCAAGGCGTGGTAATGACTCCCAAGGATTTATTCTGCCTTCCTGCGGCTGGGCCTCCCTTTCTTCATTTATTCTACATGGAGATGCCATCCTTCTAAGTTACCCACCAAAATCCAATCTCTCTTTTCCATTTTAAATGCCTCTGTTCTGAAGGGGGGATTTCTTTGTCCCTGTTTCTGGTCATGGAATGCTGCCTTCCTAACCTGGCATGAAGCTTCTTTGCTAATATTTGCAGGGCACAGGAAGGACAAAAGGGAGCCATGCCAGATGTTTGGGGGAATCACAGATAGGGTTTACTCAGTAGAGGGAAATAGTGTGCAGTTACTAATGTCCCACTTAGCCGACCCCTTAACACACTTCATTTAGCCCCACTTTTGCATGGAGGGACTCAGCCTGCAAGAGGCAATTGGAGATCCAAACCCAGACCCAGACTGGCCAGCCAGTTGACTCCTAGAAGCAATTTGGTCCCTCTGTTCTAAACTGTGCAGGGGTAAAAGGCTCTGCAAAGAAGTGAACTGGGCATTTAGAAGCAAGTTGCTTACAAATTCAGGCTCTGTGGGCTGGGGGTTAGCGCAGCCAATGGTCAAGGGAACATTTTTGGGTCAACCAGGTGAGGACCCCTCGAAACTTCTCTGGAGTGGTCAACACCCAGAACAGATCTCTTTAATCAGAAGAGACTGGCAGGGGGAGAAACAAGATTGCTTTCTGGCCATAGTGAGTCCGAGGACCGCGTTTGCAGCTCCCATTCTTCTTGAGGCCAACAAACCAATTCTTCTCTGCATGCTTCTTGGATATATAGGTGTTGTAATGGTTCTCCTCCAGCCTTTCCAGGAACAAACATTCCTCATTTGGTGTCTGCTAAAAAGATAAAACCAAAAGAGAGTAGGACAATCAGTGAGTAGTTTCACATGGGGGTCCCCATTTACTAGCTGTGTGACATTGGGCAAAATACTAAAGCTCTCCATGCCTCAGTCTCCTTTTCAGGAAAATTGGGGTCATGGTGGAACTTATTTCACAGGGTAGTCATAAGGACTTAGAACAGCACCGGGCACTAAAGAGCTGTCAATATGCATTTGCTATTATTGTAAACTTCCTTTCCATTTAAAATCCATTGTAAAGTAATTAAGATGCTACTGATAAGAGCACTTCTAAGAGTCCTCAGGACTCTAGAATCTCCCACTGGGGACATTCTGCTCGACTGTAAGTACCTTGAGGGCAGGGCTGGATCTTTCATCTCTGTAGTGGCCTGGCACACAGGCCTGACCATGGAAAAACATTCCAAATAGGTAAAAACCAGACTGTGATGTAGTGGGTTGTTGTTGTTGCTGTTGTTTTAACTTGAAGGCTAGACTTAAAGAATAAACAAAAAGCTGCTAAAATGCCTTTTATCCTGGTGATTTTCACTAACGTCAGGATTTTACCTGAGTATTGTTATGAAGATATGCTTGTGCAAAATTTATCCTAAGCATGAAACATATCCTAGAATGTAGATTTTTTAAAATGAAAATAGCTTTATTTTTTGCTACTTATAAAAAGAATCTTATAAATAGATGCTACTTGTGGTCAGGCACAGTGGCTCATGCCTGTAATCACAACACTTTGGGAGGCTGAGGCAGGAGGATTGCTTGAGCCCAGGAGTTTGAGGCCAGTCTGGGCAACATAGCAAGACCCATTCTCTACAATTTTTTTTTTAATTAGCTAGGTGCCATGGTGTGTGCCTGTAATCACAACACTTTGGGAGGCTGAGGCAGGAGGATTGCTTGAGCCCAGGAATTTGAGGCCAGTCTGGGCAACATAGCAAGACCCATTCTCTACAATTTTTTTTTTTTTAATTAGCTAGGTGCCATGGTGTGTGCCTGTAATTACAACACTTTGGGAGGCTGAGGCAGGAGGATTGCTTGAGCCCAGGAATTTGAGGCCAGTCTGGGCAACATAGCAAGACCCATTCTCTACAATTTTTTTTTTTTAATTAGCTAGGTGCCATGGTGTGTGCCTGTCCTCCTAGCTACTTAGGAGGCTGAGGTAGGAGGATTGCTCGACCCCAGGAGTTTGAGGCTGTAGTGAGCTATGATTGTACCACTGCACTCTAGTCTGGGTGACAGAGCAAGAACCTGTCTCTAAAGAGTAATAAAAATGCTACTTATAAGAAGAATTGTACTTTTAAAAATATACCTTTACTTTGTAAAAAGAAAAAACTATCCCAAAACCCACCACCCAGATATAGGCAACTGTTAATCACTGATAAACATCCTGCCTTACATCTCTTTATGTACATACAGACTAGATAAGGCTATATGGATATAGACTTATGATATCATCAAAATGTCATGTTTTATTTGATGTTTTAAAAATGAACAACAAACCTATGAAAACATTCAATACTGCTAACGAGAAAAATGCAAATTAAAAATTATTTATCATATGTTAGCTATCCTATGTGCAAAGATAAAAAAAAATTTGTGCAAAGATAAAAAACCATTTGCAAGACTTAGAATGTGGGAACTAGGCACTGCCATGCACAGTTGGCGAGAAAAATTAGTGGAAACTTTCTGAAGACAATTTAGCAATATGTATCAAAATTTACAAGATGTATTACCTTTGACTCAGCAATTTCACTTCTAGGAATCTACCCCTAGGAGATGGTTGAGTAAGTGTACAACTGTATTTTTGAGGATGGTCTCTGAACCAATGGTTATAGGGGCAAGCGATTAGGAGTAACCTATATGTCCATGGAAAGGTGATTGGTTAAGTGGGTAAAAGAATATCCGTACAGTAGAACCCAGTGCAGCTGTACATTTATTAAGTTGAAAATCAGCCACAACGTATTAAAGAGTGCAGTTACTTGAAAAAAATCCAGCAACCACTATTTTGCTTACTTGTAGTCAATCTGTTGGTGGAAGGGGAACTCAGTTTTTGAACTTTCTATTCGTCAAGATCTTAGAATATATTTATTACATTTGGGTCTAAAACAGGTATATTAAAACACTTATGCTGGAACTGAGACATCTGACTTTGCTTTGCCTTTTTCAAGTCGTGTGACCCCTGCAGTCTCTCTTCACCCACAGTGGTTGGTGATTCCCTGTCTGGCGGTTTCCAATTATATTGTTCATTGTTCTCTATGTGTGAGCATGTTTGTTTCTTTAGATTATAAACCCTAGTGAGGAAGGAGATGGAATCTTGTTGGTCTTCTCTCCATCCCCCAGACACAGAGCCTTGCAAATAATAGGTGCTCACCAGCTAAGTAATGCATTTAATTTGATTCTTGAGATAATATAAAGCAGTCAGTAAAGTCAGCCTTTCTTAGTAAGGAACTGTGTAACAGGAAGTATCCTGCTTCTTATTCATTCATAATCTAGTGAAATGACAACAGGGTGAGACACTTTAGATCATATTGGAACAAGATGAGATATAAATATAATATTTTATTGGATGACTCTGCTGCCTCTAGAGGAACTTGGTGCAGACATTCGTGTTTGATGCATGTTGTTGGGGGTAGAAGGAGGTAGACAGCTTGGACCTATGTGGGTTGCCCACTCCCTTGTAGGGAGGACTCATGCCTGACACCTCATAGTGGGCATCAGGCCTGTGTTCTGTGACGAAGGTGAGGATGGCCACATTCCCCACCTGATGTCTCTATTATACTGGAGGAGTTGACACACACAAAATAGCTGAGTCACAGGCTGAGTCAGCAGGCCAGATCAGCGGTGCTCCGTCCCTCCACCAGGATTTGTTAGCACTCATTATGCACTTGGTACAATGCTGAAGACATGTGGCTTAACTATTGATTCATGTCTATTGTTTAAATTGTCTTCTTTTTTATATTTGGCATGTTTCCCCTCCCACCCTAAATTACATAGGTGACATATACTTACTGTAAAAAAAAAATTGGAAAATACAGGAAGTTATTCACATATTATAAAATCACCCATTCTCCACCCCCAGAGATAACTATATCAGTATTTTGATATATAGCCTTTCAAACTTAAAAAAAATATACATATCCTTTCCACACACACAAGTTTGAATCAGGATGGATTAGTGCCTAAATTTTATGAAGAGCATGAAGCAGAGCTTTGAGATATCTTAGAACTTCTCTTTATCAATGGGGAAAATGCAAACATTCTTAGGCGTAATATACTAAGATCATATTTCAGGTGAATTGTAGTGATGGCCACGGCTATGGTGGGAGAAGGGGGTGCCTGGAGCCTATCGGAAATTAGATTCTGGGAGTTCTCCCTCAATATTTTTATATAAGTGAAAGCAGGTTACAATAAACGTCAAAATTTATTTAAAGAGGGAAAAGCCATAAAACTGTGGCATAACCTAAGACACAGTGAGGGTGAGGGGCTTCTAAGCTGATGACTTGTCTTACAGCCACCACTGGTCTGTGACGTGCCAGCCACTCTGATGGGCGCATTCTGTGTGTTGCACCACTGAACCCATGTACGCTCTGTGTGAGGCGGTTATGATCCATGACTGTCCTCATTTTAGACAAAGCTCAGAGTGGGTAAGTGACTTGCCAGAGTGGCAGAGGCGTGAGATTCAATCATGAGTCTGAGACTAAGCGATTGACTGATGGATTGATTTTACTACCACTTGGAAGAACTACCTTAAAAAAATCCCCTACTGCCAAACCCCTTAAAGCCGTCCCAGGTGATCTGTACTGAGCACATAGCATTTTAGAGGTTACCTATTACGCTGATGATTTAATCTCCTGATCCCTAGTGGGCAGTGAGAGGAAACGAAGCTGTGTTCACATTGGGACCCTTGGCTGAGATGACAACTTCAAGAGAGGGTTTCTGTGCCCTCTGTCACTTGGCAATTCGATGTAAGTTGAAGCTCCAGACTAAAATTCCCCCTACTGACTGTCTTTTTGAAGACATCTTCATAAAAGGGAGGAAAGGGGTGTGGATTGGGCTAGGAATTACAGCCAAGCCTTAGTTTATCAACTGTTAGGATACAGAGGAGGGAACATTAAAATCTAGAAATAACTTCAAAACCCGCAGTCATTGGTTTAAGCTGTCTCTCCAGTTAACTCCTGTCACAGAGATACCAATAGGGGCAAAATCACATTGCCTCTATTTCTATTCCTTTCCCATAAAGACCTATCTATACATGGTCAAACCTGTATAAAGCACTAGCTATGATAGGGAAAGGGCAGGGAACATGGAGGATTTTAGCTACTGAAGAAACAATTAGACTATGCCTCTCCATTGCAGCTCATTCATCCTCACACCCTTTCAGTACCTAACATGGCACTTAGACACAGGAGACATTTGATAAATGTTGAATTAAGTTATTAAGCTTTCTATCCTTTTAGGTGATCCTTTCAGAATAAAAGGGGCTATTTTCAAAGTTTTGTGCATGACATATAAACTATGAAAGCCCAGGCTCTGCCATTTGTGTAAAAAGCAATAAGAGACACACCTATAGCACGTAGTACCTAGGTACTCAAGAAACATTTTTGGGCTGTGTGTGGTGGCCTATAATCCCAGCACTTTGGAAGGCTGAGGCCGCTCGAGCCCAGGAGTTTGAGACCAGCCTCAGCAACATAGTGAGACCTTGTCTCTACAAAAAATAAAAACATTAGCTGGGCATGGTGGTATTCATCTGTGGTCCCAGCTACTCAGGGGGCTGAGGGGGGAGGATTTCTTGAGCCCAGGAGTTCGAGGCTTCAGTGAGTCATGATTGTGCCACTGCACTCCAGCCTGGGCGACAGAGCCAGACCCTGTCTCAAAGTGAAAAAAAGAAAGAAAAACATTTTTGGAATGAATGAATGAATGAATGGAATGGGATTAGATATTCTAAAATGAGTGATTGAAGAGTTACCAAAACATCAATCAATCTTTACTCTGTGTTTATATGATAATACATTTGAGAGTTTTGAGAGAATACTACAAGAAACTCTTTTATGTTTGTGCCTAAAATAAAGCAGAGTGAGGGTGGGAATCCTTCTGGAAAAAATAACAAACAGAGACTAATTGTTGCTTTATAGTTTGCCTCACTCCATGTAACAAGATTTCTGGAAACCTCAAACCTTGGCCACGTCTGGAAGCATGTCAGCTTCATACTTACTGAGCCGTATAAAAGCCCGTCGGTGTCCATGGCCAAGTACTGGCCAGTCTCGGTACTCTTTATATACACCTCCCCCACGCTTTCCGCACTGAGCTGCAGCTGAACTGGAATAAAAATAACACGAGCAAAAGTAAATAAACACTACGCTTTTGCCGATAGGACCCGGCAGCCAGGACAGTTGGCCATGGAAAATTCTGCTCATTCATTTCACGGAGCCCTCAGGGATGAGCCTCAGATTAATCAAAACATAGAAATACAGTCCCTTTTTCTTTGCCTTCCAAAGAAAGCTGTCCATTGGGAATTACGTCCTTGGGAAAGGAAGGAGAGACAACGGCCGGCTCACCTACCTGTCCACCCTGTTGGTTACAAAATGACCCTGAGTGCACCTTCACGGTGCCTCGCTCCTTTCTTTCTGTCACTTGTAGGAAAATAATCACAGGAGGAAATGGCACTCACTCCCCCGGGCTCCCTCATCCCTGCAATCTTGGGATGCCATAGAGTAGGATCTGGCCAGCCTGCATGTGTTCTGCTTTCATTATCAACCTGCACAGGGGTGCCTTTTAATTGTCTGGGCCTTCTAGTCATGGGAGAGATTCCTGTCCGCAGATCGTTATTTTATAAAATCTGAGATTGCTGTTTTCCCTGAGACAGAAGAGGTTCCCAGGGAGTTAGGACTGGTTGCCACATATGAAACTCGGGGAACTCCCTCACAATGAAGTTTCCGTCAATCCCTCAGCCTCTATGGCAACCCACCTGGGGTAGAGGCAGAGGGGAGATCACCAGCTTCTGATGGGGGGAGAATGAAGCCGTTACCTGGAAATGCAGTGATGAGAACAGTGGTTCTCAACTGGGGGTGATTTTGCTCCAAAGGGGACATTTGGCAATCTCTGAAGACAGTTTCTGTTGTCACAGCTAGGGGGGGCGGGTGCTACTGGCATCTAGTGGGTAGAGGCCAGAGATGCTGCTAACATCCTACAATGCACAGGGCAGCCCCCAACAGCAAAGAATTTTCCAGCCCAAAAGTCAGCAGCGTCCAGGTTGAGAAACCTGGAGATGGAGGGAAAGGACTATGAGTTACAGAGTCACACTCTCCTCATTCACACTGATTGACACTCCCAAGGTGCTGGACACTTAATTGGAATCCAATGTCCATTTGATAATTATTAACTTGTTTATTCACCCTAGGGTGCCCTCTTGAGAAAGGTGCTTTGATAATTCACATTTGGGAATTGGAATTAATTCTAGACTCTTCGGGATAATTTATTTGGTCACTAGACCGTCACAACCATCATTACAACTAGGAGTGAAATCTAGACCAGGAACCAGTGGCTGCCCAATAGTTAGTTCCCTAGGAGGATGAGGGGGCATCTCTGAGGTTCATCTTGGCAGAGGCCAAGGGGCAGGAGAGGCTGGAACACACAGAGCTTTGGTTGGTAGATCTCGACCCCTCATTGCCTTTTCTTTGTGTTCTTTTCTTTTTTTTTTTTTCTTTTGAGACGGAGTCTTGTTCTGTTGCCCAGGCTGAAGTGCAGTGGCGCGATCTCGGCTCACTGCAAGCTCTGCCTCCCGGGTTCAAGCAATTCTCCTGCCTCATCCTCCCCAGTAGCTGGGATTACAGGCATGCACCACCATGCCCGGCTAATTTTGGTATTTTTAGTAGAGATGGGGTTTCACCATGTTGGCCAGGCTGGTCTCGAATTCCTGACCTTATGCTCTGCCTGCCTCAGCCTCCCAAAGTGCTGGGATTACAGGTGTGAGCCACTGCGCCTGGCCTGTTTTCATTTTTAATTTAATTTCTTTGAATAGGAAATATACTTCCATTTTCCCAAACAGCAGAGGAGATAGTGAAAAGCTTCGTTCTGGAGTGCACATCTCCTGGGGGGATGCAGAAACAAGGAAACCCCTCCTAGACACCTTGTGTGTGTATCCTTTCTAGAGAGCTTGTGTGCGTATATTGCAAAAGACATACTATCTCATACTAATGGTAATGTACTGAGCACACAGTTCTGCACCTTGCTTTTTTTTTTGCTTAACAACTAATTGTAGATCTTTCTACATCAGGATGGAAAGAGTAAACTTCTTTCTTCTTGCTGATTGAATTGTGTTCCATTATGTAGCTATACCATAATTGTTTAACCATTTCTCTGTTAATATGCCTGTATTTTCTTATTTCTCTTTGCCTTCCTTATCTCCTGATTCACCCCCAGGATGATTCATAGTTTCATCACCTTTACCTAAGATGCAATTCTCCCTTCCTTGGAAGTCTTTGCTATAGAGACTCAGGACTTCCTCTAGCTTCCAGTGGCAACTGGAGTTTATTTAATTCACAGGAAGGAACTGGAAGCCACTGATGCACTTTCTCACGGGTCCTCCTAGGAATGGTTAGCTCTGAGAGTGTAGCCGTGAGGGAACAGGCCTATGGGCCTCCACTGTAAGCTGGGCCCTGCTCTCTCGAGCCTTCAGTCACACCACTTGCTCGCTCTTTCTGCTCCTATTAAACTTCAAACTTTCCCTGTTTTCCTGGGATCTTTGCACATGCTATAGCCTTCTCTCTGGGACATTCTTCCTCCAGATATTCACAAGGTCCTTCTCCTCCAGGCCTCAGCCTAAATATCCTAAAAGAGGCCCTCCCCAGAGTGTGTGACACTCTGCGCACGGGGTCCTTTCATCCCCACCCCATTCTCCCTGCCAATACCACCCTCCCCCACATCCTCTTCCTCCTCTGCCCCTTGTTTCTTTCATGGCACTTAGTACAACATGCAATGATTTTATTATCTAGGGAGCTACTGATCTATTTCTGCCTCCTCAGGAAAGTGTACACTCTGAGAGGAAGGGCAGAGATCTTGTCCTGTTCCCTCTGGGGTCCTCAGCACCTCCTACAGTGCCCTGCACACAGGGGGCAGTCTACATTATTTGGTGAATGAATGGTGTTGGGCTAATATTGGCAGAGATGATTCTCCTGGCCCATTATCAATAAGCTGTGCACTTTGAATTATGTCTCCAATAACTCTCTGAGGGGGGCAGTAAGATGGGACCACGTGGAGAGTTGTAAGGCTCAAGGCTGGGCTCTGAGCTGAGTGATCTTGGCTAGGCTGCATAGCCTCTTAGACACAGTCTCTTTTTCAGTAAAATGAGGGGTATTTGCGCTCAGTCTCCATAAAGTTATTTCTCAGTCTAACAGTCTATGGAGCAAGTAGATACATGGAATGCCAATAGAATATTCTTTGGCAATAAAAAGGAACAGAGTTCTGAGGCATGCCACAACACAGATGAGTCTGGAAACAGTGCTGAGTGGGAAGAAAGCATCACAAAGGACCATGTGTTTTATGTTTCCATTTAAATGAAATGTCCAGAATAGGCAAATCCATAAAGACAGCAAGTAGATTCAGGGTATCCAGGGCCAGGGTGGGTGGAGATGGGGGAATTATGGTTAAAAGGCATGGGGCTTCTTTTGGAAAATATTCTAAAATGGATTGTGGTGTTGGTTGCACAACTCTGTTAAGTTGTAAGAAAATCCATTGCATTGTACAACTTAAATAGGTGAATTGTATGGTATGTGTGTTATCTCAATAAAGCTGGTTTTTTTTTAAATGGTTATCAGACTTTATGGTTTTCAGAGAACCTTCACATATACTTTTGTGTCAATTTCTCAGCATAATCCTATATGTTTAAGAGAGATCAAAGGAAGGGGCTAACTTTTATTGATCACCTACAATGTGCCAGGCACCATGCTAGTTTCTATCTTGATATAAACAGTATAAAATTAAAGAGTGTGGGCTCCAGAACACAACTGCATGAACTCAAGTTCTGCTTGGCTGCCTATTAGCTGTGTGATCATCGGGCAAAGTATTTGCCTCTGTTTCCTTATCTATAGTGGGAGTTGTTGTAAGGGCTAATGCATGGAAAGTGGCCAGTACTCGTATGACTGTTTCCTCTGTGCTTTTGTGGCCTTTTCTCCTCGAAGTGTTCCCTGGAGGAAGGTGGTGCTTGCTCTGTCCTTTGGTGAAGAGCTGAAGTTTGGTGAGAGTGTGTTTTATGCAATGTTATACTTCTAAGAAGGGGAAAAATCATGACCAGACCCCAGGTCGAGTACTCCAAGTATCCTACTTTTTCCTGTCTTTCACACAATCTCTTGGGCTCCAATTATGGGAATGGATTGATCCAAATCCAGCGATACTCTCCTGCTTGGACCCTCTTGTGTTCAAGATCACACATGGACAAGATGGTGGGTGGCCATCCAGGATCCCATCTGTAGCCATGGAATGGAGTGAGGTTAGTTGCCTGGGACTCTTTTCAACCTATCGCCCATATATGTAGATATTTAGTCAAACACATTATAGGTGCGACAGAAACCCCAAAGGGGAGGTCTTTTTAGGTAATCAAGGAAGTTTTTTTTGTTTGTTTGTTTCTTTTTTCTTTCTTTTGAGATGGAGTCTCACTCTGTTGCCCAGGCTGGAGTGCTGTGGTGTGATCTCAGCTCACTGCAACCTCCACCTCCCAGTTCAAGCGATTCTCCTGTCTCAGCTTCCCAGGTAGCTGGGATTACAGGCACGCACCATCATGCCTGGCTAGTTTTTTTTTTTTTTTTTTTGTATTTTTAGTAGAGACAGGGTTTCATCATGTTGGCCAGGATGGTCTTAAACTCCTGACTTCAGGCGATCCACCCCCCTCGGCCTCCCAAAATGCCGGGATTACAGGCATGAGCCACCGTGCCCAGCCAATCAAAGAAGATTTTTAAAAAGCTTTTCATTTCCTATGCATTTCTGTTTTGCTGCCTTCAATAGCACCCACTTGTCTGGCCATGGGGCTGAATAGGGTTGGCTTTGCCATCTGTGGAGTTCCATCATGGCCATGAAGAGGCCTCATAGAGGTAAACAAGAGCCAGAGGCCTGCTTAGCACATGACTTCAGCCCTCAGCCATGAGTCCCGACACCAGGTTTGTTGTGCCGGTGAGAGTTCGTCTCAAAAGTTTCCTCTGTAAATATTATTTCTCCAGGATGTCCAAGTTTCATAGCTCATTTTCACTAGATTTCTTTCTGGCTAAGTTTCCTAAACATATATCCTTCTGCAAGTAGGGCTGGCAGGAAGGAGCAACACCCAGGCTGAGCGGCTTGTGTAGCTGGCTTGGTGTCCAGCTCTCTAGTGTGACTTCATTCCAGTTTTCCAGACCTACATCCTCTTGCAGCTGCTGCTGAGGACAGGCAAGGAAGGAGAGAGCATGAGAAAGTGGGGCCTTGGGAAGAGAGGGAGGGGCTGGCCACACAGCAGCAGCTTTTTCCTCGGGTAGCAGCTCAGGGTTGGGGGACAGAAAACCATTCAGTCAACACATATTCATCTACTAGGTGCTGGGACTTACGCTCAGCGCCAGCCATGGTCCCTGCACTTGGGGCTTCTGCATGATTAGGGATACAGACAAATGAACCTGGGAGTGATACAGCAACACAATAACAAAAGCTGCAATTGTTTTTGAGCTAAAAGCAAACAAAAGCACAAAATCTGCAACATTCTTTCTCTCTCTGTGTGTGTGTGTGTGTGTGTGTGTGTATGTAGTTTTTTTTTTTAATCCCCTTTCAAAGAAAGGTAGAATATAACATACAGTGAAAAAAACTAAATTGCAATGGGAGAATATAGTAAATCCTTGATGAAAATCATATTAAAAAACACAATGCATTCAGGAGGCCGAGGCAGGTAGATCACGAGGTCAGAAGATCAAGACCAGCCTGGCCAACAGGGTGAAACCCCGTCTCTACTAAAAATACAAAAAAAAAAAAATTAGCCAGATGTGTTGGTGGGCGCCTGTAATCCCAGCTACTCGGGAGGCTGAGGCGAGAGAATTGCTTGAACCCGGGAGAAGGAGGTTGCAGTGAGCCGAGATCGTGCCACTGCACTCCAGCCTGGCGGCAGAGCGAGATTCCATCTCAAGAAAAGAAAAGAAAAAGAACACAATACGTGTGTAGCTCATGAATACATCTATAGTAAAATATAAAACTGTGCACCAGATACTGACCAGATTCATACAAGTAGCTGCTTTGGGAAGGATAAGAGGAACTAAGACTGGGAGAGGAATTGAGGAAATGTTTCCTTCATCCTAACTCTATTTCTTTATAAACAGTTCTGAGGTAAGAACAGCCAGCTGGTGACACTGGAGGACTCTGAGTGATAGGATTCCTAGTGTTTGCTGGTGTTTAGTCTATATCTAGTGCATAGTTTTCTATTTTACTACGTATGCATGAACTATGCATATTGTTTTGTGTATTTTACAAAATTTTCATCAGGGATTTGCTATGATCTCCCCTGATTCTCCTTCATACATTTTAGGATGGTAGCTGATGTGTTAAAGCTCCGTTCATAGTCAATGGGACACTTAGAGCTGGCCAAGACTCCCACTTTTTGTTCCTCGTGACCCCTGAGATGTTTTATGACCCAGCTTAGGTTTGAGTCCATGTTGCATCTAGACCAGAGCATAGGCACTTATAAAAGGTGGGTCTTCTTGGGGGCAGACAGGGACCCAGGAGAAATGGGGAGGCAGGACGGGTGGATGAGGCACCTCTAAAGCTCTAACTTCTCTGTCCACTCCCTTTTTCAATACCCCCCGACCAGGTTAGCGCACAGAGCAAATGAGGAGCAAGCACTCTTCTTTATCCCATACGGGGATCTAGGAGTTGCTATCTATGAACAGGAAGGTCAGTGTCTCTCAAGTATCCCAGGGATGAAGGGGCAAGTACTTTTTGAAAAACAAGATACGTCCATGGTCTGTAGGGTACTTCATTTTCCCCTTCTGAAATGGGGACATTAACAATTAATTTAGCTGAAGAAATGGAAAGCAACTTTTAAAAAGGTACTCTAACGATAGAAATTTCTTGGAGAAATTCAAACTCAGATAAAGCATTGTAAAAATGTACGGGAAGAGGGCTGGAAGTGTTTACTTGGTGGATTTGTGACTGTATGTGCCCGCAATAGAATCCAGAGTCCTGCTCCTTTACTAAGAATGAGTTAAGAAGTGTTGGTTTGAAAACAGCCTATTTGTCAGAACTACATGTCAATGAAACTGAAATGTGCAAACTCACCTTTGTGGGTCATGGTCTTCCTTGTCCCATGCTCATTATTTAAACTGCTTCACGAGTCCCTGCATACCTGGGAAACCTACATAAAGGGGAGCCCAGAGCTTTTGCATGGCTGTGCTAGCCCGCAACTCACTGTTCACACCTTTTGTCTGAGGAACTAAGTTTGTAGCTTTGGTTTTCTCCTCTGCTCCCCAAAGCCTTCCATTAGGTCTTAGCAGTAGTTTGTTCACAGTAAGAATAGCAATCCCTTACTTTCCAAAGGTAGAAAAAAGGAAAAAGGGTTATGATCCTGCCAGTGCCAAGAGAAGTCAACTTTGAGGTCTTGCACCCTGTTTCTGAGCCCCAAGCTATCCTAGCATCTTCCTGTCCCATCCCAGGCAAATGTAACGATAAGACCACAACTGGTGCATTCAATGAGGAAAATGCCTGGAGAGAGAGGTTCTGCTTCTGTAGCATGTCTGTCTGTGGCCTCTAAGCCTGCTTTCCGCCTCTGCTCTCCAAAGAGAGGCCAAGAGAGATTATGTGCCTGGTTTATTCTGGGTTGGAGACTTCCCGTCCTTTGCCGTGTTTACCCAAAGTGAGGTCAGCCTCATTCAGAAATTGGTGCGGTTGTTTTATGTCAGTGACATTTATAATTAAAATGTAGCCACAAGCCGGGATTGGTAAAACATTAGAGAAAGACAGAGAAGGGGAAAAATCGAATTTGGGGGAAAATAATTCCAGTGGTAAAAAATATATATATATGCATATACATATATATAAATATATATACACATCTATATATATATATATATATATATATATATATATATATATATACACACACACACACATATATGTAAATATATATGAAAAAAAAAACCTTATCTTAAAAGGTGTCTGCTTCTTTAAGGTCTGAAAAAGTTGTCTGGAAAATTTTGATACAGTCCAGAGACTGAATGACATATATATATACACACACACATATATATCATATATATATAGTATATATACACATATATATCATATATATATAGTATATGTGATATATTATGTGTGTGTGTGTGTGTGTATTTTAAAGTTTATGTATAAAAATCCTCTATGTAATCAGATGAGGGTTGTGGGGAGGAGGGCAAGGAGTCCTTCCCATCACATATGACCGAGGTGAGAGAACCCTGTCGCGGAGTACATTCCTGCCTGGAGACCTCCCCTTCTCTCTGACTTCTGGCAGTGGGGTCCAGCTCTCCCCATCGTGGTCATTTGAAAAACTGTTTTGACTTCGGGTCTATGTTGGTGGGGAATAAAGTGCCTTAACTGCTAGGTGCTGAGTGATCCCAACCAGAAAATAGAAGTCTGGACTCCCCTAAAGCAACAGGGCAGGAGGCATTTCATGAAGAGGAATCTGCCCTTTAGAAAGGGCTGCAAGGTAGGATTGTTTTGACCAGTGAACTCTGCTAGCGCCTTTAGGATGTGGCTTGATTTATAAATATTTGATTGGCACGCACTTTGCTTAAGAACATTTCCATTTGTGCAGTGAGTGGTGCCGGTAATTCTGCTCCCCACGTAGTCTCTTGCGTGCTTGGGGAGCTGAGGAGTTGTGGGTGTGGCAGGCAGCTGAAGGTTTGGAATGCTTGTGAGGAAATTATTCTCTAATTATTGTTGCAGTTATTAATCCCATTGAGGGATAAGTCATGGTCCCCCTTCACCTGAGAGGAAACTCCCCAGAAAGATCAGAGTCAATCACAGAGCAGACTTGCCCTGCCAGAGGAGTGAGATGGGGCGGGGCTTGCTGCACCTGTGTCTGGGCACATTATGCCTCTGTGTCAGGCCTCAGGGGCTTCAACCCAGATAGTCCCAGAGAAGCTGGGACAAAGAGTCACCCTCAGTTCTGCGAGCAAGCATAGCATTCACTTAATCTAACAGACTTGAAAGGTCAGCTGGTTAGGTGAGGAAGGCTCAGGAATCCCGGAAGAATGATGATCAATACCATTTTTTTTGAGCACTTATGTGCCTAGCAGTGTGCTAAACACTCTTACAAACATTATCACATTAAAACTCCTACGTTCCTATGAGTGGGTGCTGTTGTCATTCTTGTTTTTAAAACAAGGAAACTGAGGCACATTGAGAAGTAACTGTCCCAGGATGATACAACTGGTGAACAGCAGTGTTGGGACCCGACCTACACCCATCTGATCCATAACACAGATGTGTTTATTGAATCAGTTTGTGGGGCGGAACCACTGTCATGATGTTGGTGTCGGATGGTTGTGGGATACAGAAGGAGCCTTAATCCTGGAAGCAGAAGATGTGGTTGGTGCCAAGCCCTCCCAGTTAGGAGCTGGTCACGCCTGTCAACTGCAGTGTTCTTAGAGTGATAATAATTAGTAACTTCTCAAGGTTGTGGTTAGGTAGAAGTGAAGGAGTTCAGCATAATGCCTAGCACATATCAGGGCTCATAGATGTTTATTGAATATATTGTTGACTTTGAATTTAGCTGCCACCAATACAATTCAGTCACTTATCAAATTAATGTTTACTGGACATTTTACCAAGTGGCAGGCAATGTGCTAGACACAAAATTTGTAGTGTTGAGCAATGAGAGACAAAGTCCTTGTCCTCTAGGAGTCCAGTAGGAGGGAAAACCATTAAATAATCGCACAAATAAATGGAGAATTATAACCCTGAGGACAGCTGCATGGTACGTGAGACACTCCTCAATGCTTGTGTCCAAAATGGAACTGGCCATCTTCCCCTGGACCTGATCTTCTTCCAGGACCTCCCCCTCTCATGGTGACACCACTTATGTGTCCCCCTGAGCTGAAGCTTAGGGGACAACATGAACCTTCTCACAAACTGTGCCCATCAGCCCTGGAATCTATGCAGCACTCCCTGGCTGATTCTGCCTGGCCTTCCTAGCATGGCAGCGTAACCAATGTTCACAGTCCATATTGGTAATTGCCTGCAGCAGCGATCTAAGGAATGGAAATGGGACAAACCAAAACCACCTTCTCTGCAGGCTAGAAGTCCACCAGTAGAGACATTTTACTCAGGTCTCTATTAGAACAGCCCACACACAAGCATCTGCCCTAGGGTTATACCACTATAAGGAAGGTTAGGTACTTGGAAACTCATTCTCCTAGAGGTAGGAAGAAGATACATTTGCCCAGGAATGATCAATGACTTGGGGACAAAGAGAAGCCGTGAAAGGAGTTATTTCTGCCTTGTAGAGCTCAAAGGCATACGGTTCTATCTTGTGTGATTTGTTTAAATTTTTCGATTGGCTTTTAGAAACGCTCTTTCTGAAGGAAGTCTTAACGTGTGACTCTGTCACTTCAGTCTCTAATTATGCTCAAACTAGTGATCAAGGAATCAAAAATATCTCCTTGCCAGGCCGTGTGGATCACATTTAGTCAGGGAGCATCCGTCTCATGCCTGGCCGAGGCAATTCTGTTTCTGAATAACCCTTGAAACTCAGAAGGGCTCTGGCAGTACCACCACTGGGCAGAAGAGGGCAACAGAACCACATTCAGGGAGTACATCCGTGCCCAGGACTCCTCTCACCTGCAGAACCCTAGTAAATAGAAGTTTCGCCCTTGTGAGGCACACTGGGCAATGCTGCCATTCCCATTCCACAGGTGAGGAAACTGAGTCTCAGCGAGACTAAATGATTTTCCTGAAAATTATCTGGGAACACTAGAGACACTTCAATTTCTAGTCAGGAAAGGACTGGAAGCGTCCCAGGGCTGGGGGGCTTGAAGCTTCTTTCGCAGAGTTTGCAAACAGAAAGAATGCATAATGGCAAGAACGTTAATTGTCCAGGGCTGCTCCAGGTAGAAAGGGGCAGAGTAGGCTTGAACTCGAGCCTGCTGACTCTTCAGTGGAATATCCAGTTCCAGTACTGACAGGTACACGGATGGGCTTCTGGCCACCCACCCCACTTACTCTGATCTCTGTCCTCTTGGTCCTTGTTCTTAGTTCCAGAGTAAGCAAATAATAGGCCCACACAACAACTCCGAGTGTTGGCAGAGAGATGCTGAATCTAAGCCTGCATCTAGCCCCTTGACTTTCCTGGGTGGCAGTACTGTTAAAAAGAGGAGTCTGGAAGGTCCTTCAATACGACCCTGTGTTACCATATGCTAGGCTGATTATATGGAAAGCTTGATGATGATAACTGCAATATGAACCAACACGTGCTGTGCTGTTCCTCTGTGCCAGCCACTGTGCCAAGAACTCTCACTATATTATCTCATTTAACCCTCCCAAGAAACCTGTGAGGCAAGGAATATTAGTATTCTTTTTGTACAAATGAGAAAAGTGAGGGTGAAAGGTGCAGTTGCCCAAGTTCACTTGGAAAATAATCTGGCATTCCTTGAATGCAGAAATCCTCACCTGCACTCCCAGGGCTACGTTGTGCTGCTTTCTAGGGGCTCCTGACATCTTAAGTCAGGCGGCCAAATCCACTGTGGACTCCAGAAGTTGTGCCAGTGTTACACACCCAGAGTGCAGTCTGTTGTGCTAATGATGGAATGGCAACAGTTAAGCCATTTTCCATTGCTACAGAAATTCCAGTATTGGAGCCTTTTTTTACTCCAGAAGTCAAGGTTTCCAGAAGAGCTAGCTTAACCCCAAGGAACATATCATGAAGTTTGTCTTTCCTCTTGGGTTCTGAGGACCGGAGAGCATTCCCTACTTTTTCAGAAAATTGGTTAAGACGTATTAGGAACACTTAAAACCCAGAGGAATTAAAGCTTGTTCGTGTTGTGTGGGGCAGATCACGTGAGTTGTGTATCATGCCTGACACAATGGACTACAATCTAAGTTTGCTAATTTGCAGTGAATATTGCTTATGTATGCTATTTAACAAACTAGAGTCTTTTTTTTTTGCCTCATTCTGACACCTGTTTTTCACTGAGTATAAGACATTCAGCAAGCCCATTTGAAGATAAGCCATCAAAACAAAGCCCAAAAGAGCTAATTCTGCAGCTGCAAGCCCCAGCCTCAGCCTTCCTGCTCCTCATCTCCAGGGTCTGTGCAGTGGGTGGGGAGGAAGGAACAACGTCACCTCGTGTAAACGCCAGCATCCATCCCCATTACCTGTGCATCTGAGGGTACAGCGTGAGCACCAGCGAAGTGGTCATTTGTTCTTAGAGCCTGCAACCTCTGGTGCATGGTCCATGAATAATTAAGACCACCTGATGTATAAACCATCATGTCAAAGTGAGTGTTTTGCATTGCATTTTGAAGCCAGTCCTACAGAAACTTCCTTCCTGCCTGTCTTCTTCTATGTCTCCTGATTTTCCTTCTCTTGATTTGTGGCAAGTTTGACTCTTGAGATTGCTGACCCTCTAAGCAGGGACTGGATCTGACTTTAGGCTTCTTTGTAACCTCTGATGCTGCAGTGGGACTCAGGGAATCTCAGATAACATCACGATAGGACCTGGACACCTAATATCAAACATACACACCAATGCCAGAAGTACCAAAGCAGAAGGAAGAGATTTTTTTATACTTAGATAGTCAAGAAGATTCTTTTCTCTAGAGTCATACCTTCATTTGTCAACACCTCTGAGAACCGGGCTGCCAGGAAGTCCTGGAAGAGATATTCAGCATTTGGCGCTAGTCGCTCCTACTCTCCAGTTTCTATAAGGTCTGGAGAATGACTTTACCACTGCTGGTTACCACAGCCACATCTGCGTGATACGCAGAGGGAAAGCTGCATAATTTATGATGTGTAAGACTACGATTATGAACTGGGATTTCACAAATCAAGCCCAGTGGAAACATAACCAGGAGAGTCAGTTGACTTGAAACGGAGCCCACATCTCTGTGCAGGATTTACCACCATGCCTGTCTGGTTCATCCCATCATGAAGCGTGCAGGCCCCTGACTAGCCTTCGGGGCCAGATCTTTCACTAGTTACAGAAACCTGGGAAAACATACAGCAATTGAGCACCGGCAGCCCGTTCTGTTGGGTCAGCAGAGAGTGCTTTAAAAAACTTGAAATAGGACACGTTTGGGTAAGTGGTGGCCCCCACAAGTCCCTATTTTCTAAACCCAGACATTTTACGCATTTATGTGACTCCACCTCTGAATGTGTCATGCCTGAATAGAACCTTGGAGAAGCAAGTACCTGTACTTAAATGTGCACCTTCCTCCCACCTTGACTACAGAAGATGTCAGAAAGGGAAGGGGGGTGCCATAGAGATGGGCTTACTGTGCTGGTCGCTCCTGTCCCTTGTCCCATCCACTGTGCCATCCGGAAGGATCCTCAGGAAGTGGCCCCCGTTGCTACAGTAGAGGAGTTTGGGCTTCTTGTAATTCCCTGGAGGCAGATTAAACTTCTCGGTCAGGGCTGTGAAGGTGGTGATTTCCCCTTCAGCCATGGCTCAGCAGCTGCTGCTTGTGGCGCTTTCAAGACTGTAAGAAATTGAACAAACCTGTAGTCGGTTCTTCCAGCAAAGGCACAAAATGCACTTTGAAGAGAGGAAGGACAGCTCCAGGGCACAGGGTTCCCGGGTAGTGAGTAAGCACAGCCTGCCCAGGTGATGCCCGCAGTCCGCGGGCCTGTGAGGTGGCTGGTGGTTAAGGAAGGATGGTCCCAGGCCTGGGAGGGGTTTCCAGGGCATTTTTCTCTCTTCCCAATTGGACACAGCTTTGGACCAAACTGCATTTTTTAGAACTTCAAATTTAATCATCTGACCATGGGGAAAAGAATCATGTTTTGGTCCCTCCTTCTGGTCCACACACATCCTCAAATTAAACACCAAAGTTGCACTAAAATAACACCTAGGGTCTGGCTGAAACCCACAAAAGCTGAGAGGCCAGGACCAAGGTTCTGCCCTCCACCCTCACGTTGCGTTGGTGAGGTACCGCGAAGCAGATAGCACAGATGGCCTGGACGTTCGGGACCTGCAGCCAAAGGCACAGGAGGCCTTTCAGGGACACAACAGGGAAAGTAAAGGGTTAGTATGTTAAGGGAAGCTTCTGGATTTGCTGGGGGAAACAGAACTGGAACCAGGGAAAAAGGCACAGAGTGGGAGTAAGTGGGGTTTTTAAAGGGCAAATACCATATCAAAGGAAATGTTATGAGACAGATCATTATGAAGGCTATGCCTGGTTCCTGCCCATTCTGCAGCTTTCCACATAGCTTCATGTGGCACAGAGAAGGTGGGTCTGTCCCTTGCACGCAGGCTGTTTTCATCCTAGCTATTTTCTAATGTGAGATAGAACACAGAAACCACCATATTATATATAATATACCTTTAACATTATATGTAGCCACTACATACAAACTTATATTATTAATGTGAAAATGCATCACTTACACCTCAAAGGATTAAAAAACAAAACCAATGAGCATTAGAATTGGTTAAAACATATACTTGCCCCACCATTTAGGAGAAGGAAGTGCTGGTGACTCTAAAAACTGAAAAGAAAGAGGCCAAAAAGAGACCAGGAAACTAACGTGTGAACTGCACTTTTTTTTTTTTCTCCTGAGACGGAGTCTCTGTAGCCCAGGATGGAGTGCAGTAGCACGATCTCAGCTCACTGCAACCTTGGCCTCCCGGGTCCCAGTTCAAGCAATTCTCCTGCCTTAGCCTCCCAAGTAGCTGAGATTACAGGAATGCGCCACCACACCAGGCTAATTTTTATATTTTTAGTAGAGATGGGGTTTCACCATGTTGGCCAGGCTGGTCTTGAACTCATGACCTCGTGATCCGCCTGCCTCGGCCTCCCAAAGTGCTGGGATTACAGGCGTAAGCCACCGCGCCCGGCCTGGGAGCTGTACTTTGTAAGTGTGAGTAGTGAATGTGATCATCAATACATATTGATTATCAAGTGGTCTTAGAATAAAAATCATCACCCTCATCATTAACGTATTTTGGGCTACAGGTTATCTCAAGTAATCTCACCATAATCCCTTGAAGTGGACACTAATATTATCATCATTTTTAATAAAACCAAAGCTTACAGATGTTCAGTGACCTGCCCAAGGGCAACAGCTAGTAAGCGATGGAGCTGAATCGCAAAAGGAGTCTGGGAACAGAAAGCCCCAATTTGCCCTTGATCACCATGAAAAGGTTTAGTGACTTTATCCACACTAGTCTTTTTATGAGGAGTGGGGTTTTTACCCATTGCCTGACATGTACATCTGCCACCATTAACTTGTCATTCATATATTTATTTGTGACCCAAAGGTTGGCTAGTCTCCACCAACAGCCTCTCCTTTTGCCCCCATGCCATCTGTGAAACAGGACTCCATGCATCTCCACCTTCTCCAGGAGAAGCCCACCCCAGCAGCTTCGTGAGCATCATGGAAGACCAGCAGCTACCCTGCCTTCCCTGCACTAACCATCCATCAGTGCCTGTAGCAGCTGTGCGGAGCTGCTCTCATAGGAGATGGTTCCATCATAAATCAAGACACCAATTACAATAATTTGTCCTTATGACTTTAAAATGAGGGCTCATGTTGGAAGCCTCCATCTGTTTTCTCTGCTCCTGGCATTTTAATGTTTCTGGTACATTTTTCCCACTCTGCCACCACATGGGCCAGCCATTGTCCCTGGTTTCAACTAGTGTTGGAGGTGCCTCCAAGAATCCCAAAGAGAATTTCGCAAATACCATATAAACTATATTTAAAGTCAGATCATCCCAAATGTCCCCTCCATCCCATATGGTGAAACTTCGATTAATTCTTTTCACATAATACAGCAACAGACAGAAAATAAATATAATACCACATATATGTAATTTTATTTATGTCAATTTCACAGAGAGGATTGCAGAGTTTACCTTGCATAGTACAATCTCTCTCCATCCTCACTGTCTCTTCCAAACCTTACTTTCTTATCCATAAGCCTCTAAGTCCTTCTGTGTCCACCTCTGGCTCTCTTACTCTCTGTCCCTCTGTCTCTTCCTGTCTCTCCACTCACTCCTCTCTCCACCCAGCCTCTCACTCTAACTCCTCACTCCACTCCCTTCTGGATCCACTTCTAATGTAAAGCAATTTAGCTCTTCCCAGTGTGGATATCTTTATCCCTCACCTCTCTATTAGCACTCAACCATCACCAGATTCCCCTTCCTTAAAATACAACTAAGAGGTAATGATTTTTTTCTTTCATTTATTTTTTCCAAGCACTTCCTAAGTTATGTACTTCATTTGGTACAGGAGACAATAATTATATACCAGTGGTTGCCACTTAACTGCACAAATAGTCATTTGTATTGTCAATCTTAGGTGGGCCGAATTTTGTTTCTCCTTGTCTCTGGACTTCCTCCAGTGTAGGTCCCATTTGCCTCTGATTGTGGGGCAATTTCATTTTAAGAATGGCCTTTCAGGCCAGGTGTGGTGGCTCATGCCTGCAATCCTAGCACTTTGGGAGGCCGAGGTGGGTGGATCACCTGAGGTCAAGCGTTCAAGACCAGTCTGGCCAACATGGCAAAAACCCATCTCTACTAAAAATACAAAAATTAGCCAGGTCTGGTGGTGCATGCCTGTAGTCCCAGCTACTCGGGAGGCTGAGGCAGGAGAATGGCATGAACCTGGGAGACGACAGTTGCAGTGAGCCAAGATTGCGCCGTTGCACCCCAGCCTGGGCGACAGAGCGAGACTCTGTCTCAAAAAAAAAAAGAATGGCTTTTCTTCTAGATTCTAGACCATGTGTGTATGAGCCATGCAGCCCAGACTTCATCACTGTGGAGTTTTCACTGGCTAAATAACCTCAGCCAGAGCCCAGCAGGTCCTCAGGGGCCCCTCCCTCCTGACCACAGTGTACCTGCAGTCATACAAGGCCACAACTCTGCTCTCTGCCTGATCCCCTCAGTGAGAGGGAGCATCATGAGGGTGCCTATACTGATGTCAGATGGCTCCCCAAACCCTTCAGATCCACAACTGAAAACCTGAAGGAGACATGTAGGCTTCTGAAAATAAGCCTGGAGTCAACATGAAACTGACAGACCATGGTAACTGAGATTGATGACTCAGCTGAAACATATAAAAAATGAAATCCCTTTTTGTTGCTAAAGGAAACCCCAGGGGCATGAAAAGCCCTTATTTTAAACTTTATTTGTAATTTACCTATAGTTTGAGCGGTAGTTGGTCCAAAGTTCCTTGCCAATCCACTATTTGTTAAAGGGTAGAAATAAAGGAAGTATATGGCGTGATAAAACCATAAGGCAGCAACGTTAGCAGGTCCTTGGAGATTTACACAAATTGCTTTAATAAATGAATCCATTAACTAAGTGAAATCAGGCATTAAGTGTAAGGAAATTTATAAGCTCTGCTTCTTGTTACTATTTTCTTTTTAGTGGCTGTCAGAGGAGGGGATTGTCTGTGTTGTGCTGGGAAATGGAGAAGATCAAGCCCAGCGAACTCCGTGTCACCATTGTGCACGAAGCCTAGCCCTTTGAGATTTGGGGTACGGGTGAGATTTTAGGAAATCCAGATGATTTTTTTGATTTATCAGTGACACCCAGGTTAGAGGAACACCAAGCCTATTGGAACATCTGTGTTAAGGCTGACATACTTTGTCAGCTGTGGCCTCTGGAAGGGAACCTGAACTCTGACACATGAACAGGATGTGGATAGTAAGCAACCACTTTGGCTCTGGGAACCCGGGCGAGTCATTCACTCCTTCTGAGATGTTTCCTCTAATAATTCTCATCCTGCCTCTCACACAGTTGTCTAAAGGATTAAATGGGTACAATATTGATACAGCGCTTGAAAAATTGGACCTGACCTATAGGAGATAATAGTAACTGGTTATGTTGAACTCGTTGGAGCCTGGTGTGATCTAAGTCAGCTGTGATTAAATGCTTAATTTAAAATAATTTTTTAATTGGTTTGAAAATAGAAGTTTTTCATTCCCATATTTGGCAGAAATTAGCTAAGCTCCTCCCCCTGTGCTGTAAGCCACAAACATAGCAGAGAAGATGAAAGGCACAAAGGTAAGCCATGGTTATGTAAGAAAAAATCCTGGTCTGCATTTCAGACTCAGTTCTCAGCTTATCAACAGTTAATATAGTGACAGTTACTATATAGTTATTACAGTTATTTGCGAGGCCCATTATATCTAGGAGACATTTGTGCCCAGCTTGGCCCTGGAAACTAAGCTGGAAGGAAAGACTGTGATGTGTTAAGAATCAAAGGAAGGCAAACACTGACATTTATTTTTTAGTTGTTTTGTTTTTTTTTTTTTTTTTTTTTTTGAGACGGAGTCCCGCTCTTTAGCCCAGGCCGGATTGCAGTGGCACAATCTCGGCTCACTGCAAGCTCCGCCTCCCAGGTTCACGCCATTCTCCTGCCTCAGCCTCCTGAGTAGCTGGGACTACAGGCGCCTGCCACCGCGCCCGGCTAATTTTTTGTATTTTTAGTAGAGACGGGGTTTCACCGTGTTAGCCAAGATGGTCTCGATCTCCTGACCTCGTGATCCACCCGCCTCAGCCTCCCAAAGTGCTGGGATTACAGGCGTGAGCCACCACGCCCAGCCTTTAGTTTTGTTTTTAATCCCTGTCACTGTGTAAGCAATGTGGAATACCCATGAAGGAGGATATTTTGCAGAGTATATAAAGCCACTGAAGGTAGATGTGTAGACAGACACCTGCTAAGGTGATAATTGGATGTATCCTCAAACCCAGCATATACAAAACAGGCCTTGGCTTTGGTTCCAAATATGCTCTAAGTCCTTGCTGCCTGTGGCTATGAATGGCATCACCCAAAATCTTAATTCTTCCTTAGAGATATTAACTAAATTTTGTTAAGTCAAATATACATGTTAAATGTTAAAGGTAACTACTAAAAGAAAAGAAATAGAATGTATTTAGTCCAAGCGGCAACTGGTAGGCGTAAGGGGGATAAGGTGGAATAAATAAAACTGTGCTTATCTTCGTGACCAGCCTGACGAACATGGAGAAACCCCGTCTCTACTAAAAATACAAAATTAGCCGGGCATGGTGGCGCATGCCTGTAATCCCAGCTACTCAGGAGGCTGAGGCAGGAGAATCGCTTGAACCCGGGAGGCGGAGGTTGTGATGAGCTGAGATTGTGGCATTGCACTCCAGCCTGAGCAACAACAGCGAAACTCCGTCTCAAGAAAAACCAAAAAACGAAAAAAAAACAAAACCCTGTGCTATTCCAAAATAATCTAGAAAAAGAAAAAAAGAAAATAAAGTAAAAAAATTGCTCAGAATTAGGTGGCCAAAATAAATCCAAATATATGTATAATCACAATAAATGTAAATGTGCTAAATTTACTAGCTACTGTTTTTTTTTTAACTCCATCTGCACTCTGATTACAAGAGACACATTTAAAACATAATGACATAGAGAGGTTAAAAGCAAAAGAATGAAAAATAGATACCAGACAAATGTTAACAAAAAAATTGAAAACTCGGCTGGGCGCGGTGGCTCACGCCTGTAATCCCACCACTTTGGGAGGCCGAGGTGGGCGGATCACGAGGTAAGGAGATCGAGACCATCCTGGCTAACACAGTGAAACCCTGTCTCTACTAAAAATACAAAAAAATTAGCTGGGCATGGTGGTGGGCGCCTGTAGTCCCAGCTGCTGGGGAGGCTGAGGGAGGAAAATGGTGTGAACCCAGGAGGCGGAGCTTGCAGTGAGCTGAGATCGCGCCACTGCACTCCAGCCTGGGTGACAGAGCAAGACTCCGTCTCAAAAAAAAAAATTGAAAACTCGTGTGGCTATATTAATATCAGATAAAGTAGGTCTAAGGCAAAAAGAATGACTAAAGATAAAAGGGATTGCCACATAATAAGTGGATTAATTCAACAGAAAGATATACAAATTCCAAACATGTATATATCTAATGACATAGCCTCAAAATACATAAAACAAAAATTGACAAATATGTAAAGAGAAAGTGACAACTCCGCAATTATGGTGGGAGATTTTATAATACATTTCTGTCATAAATGATAGAGCAAACAGACACCAAATATTAATATGTAGAAGATTGAAATACACAACTAGTAAACTTAATTGATGAGTGTATAAAAGAACCTTGTACCCAACAATGAAGTGAACATCATTCTTATCAAAGATACATGGAGCATTTACGAAAATTGACCATGTACCAGGTCATAAGGCAAGACAACCCAAATAGAAAAATTTGTTTCATTCAGACTATTCTTTGGGCAGAATAGAAATCACTCCCACCTGTTCAGTTGGTGAAAATGCCCTTTCAGTTTTACCTTTTTAGTGTCTCCTAAAGCCATCCTCTTTTCTCCAGCCTCACTTCTGTTGCCTTAGCACAGACCCAGCACCTGTCTCACCTGGGCTGCTGCAGCAGGTCCCACCTTTCCAGCACTGCCTTCTTTCAATCCACTGTCAATTCTGCTGCTAGTGACCATTCTAACTCATCACTCCCCTGCTGTAGATCTTTGACTGGGTCATTGATTTCCCGTTGTCTTTCCAGATAAAACCCAGACTCCTGCCATGACCTGTGAGGCTCTCATCATTTGACCCCTTCTTAACCCTGTGACTTTTTCTCTTATTGGCCTCTTTTTATAGTCCCCCTACACCCTCATACTCACCCAGGTCTTAGCCCAAACATTGTGCTGCTGCCAACAGTATTTTTTCTCTCTCTCTTTTTCTCTTTCTCTTTCTCCCTCCCTCCCTTCCTCCCTCCTTCCCTCCTTTCCTCCACCCTTTCACCATGGTCTGACTAAGTCACACTCACCCTTCAAAAATTTAGCTGGATATTTCGGATATTTCCTCCTCGAGCAAGCCTTATTTGGACACATCCCCCAACCCTAACCTCCCTACTCTTTCTTAAAATTCACATATACCAGTTTAGGTGGGTTCATTCCCCTGTGCTCTCCCAACAGCAGACAGCATTTCCTTTACTTCACTGCAGCGCTGGGTGTAATTCCCATCTATATCCCCCTGCCTAAACTCTTCAGTGATTTCCCATTGCTCTGGGACAAAAACAAAAGCCTTGCTGTGGCCTGCAGGACTCTGGGAGGTTCAGCCCTTACTCCCCCTCTGCCTCATTTCCCATCACGTCTCCCTCCAAACTTGCCTTCCATTTTCTGATTCCCCCCACCCTAGGACCTTTGCCCATGCTGTTCCCTCTGGAGTGATGTTCCTCTCTTTCTCTCTACCCTACTCCCCTGGTTAACTCCTAATTTTTCTTCAAATTTTAGTTCAACTCTCAATTCCTCATGAAAGCCTTTCCTGTCTTCCCTGAACTGAGTCAGGTTCCTCCAGTTCTCATAGGACCATTTAACATTTCTTCATGGCTCTTACTACCAGTGTTTAATTACACATTCACTCTTGTGATTATTTAATGTCTCTTTTCATGACTGGACTGTCAGCTCCATGATAGTACAAACCAATTGGTCTTGCTCACAATGGTATCCCAGTGCCTAGCAAAATGCCTGACACCTGATGGGCATTTGATAAACATCTGTTGAATGGGCAAATGAATGTAATTTAACTACGTTTACTTCACTGACTCCTTCATTAGTCTCTGAGACCCTGGGACAGAAACTATGCCTTTTCTTTCTGTATCTAGCATTGAGCAAATACCTATGCATTATTAGTGTCCTGTGAATTCTTGTTGATTGAAGGGCCAGTCCTTTCTCAGGAGCCTCTTGTGGAACATCTTATCAGACTACCTAATTAGCAGGTGATGTCCTATAGGTATTGACAAAGAAGCTAAGCCAAGAGTCTAAATGTATTTTAATTGGGTTCAAATTAGGCCAGAATACCCTACCTTTGGTTAAAGGCAGGCTCAAACCCTGTCCTCATCTTGTAATAAATACTTCCTTATTTCTTTAAAGAAAATACTATGGAAACTAAGGATCTCAGAAAGGAAGTGATCAGCTCCTTTAGTCTCAAGTCTGAACTTATCTAACCAAGAAAAATATTTGTAGGGCCTGGAAAAAACATCCAGGCTTTTTTTATTTCTGCCACAGCGTGTTAGGCTGGCAGGGCCCCACCTTCCACTCCCTGGTGAAGGAAAGTTTGCCGAAGAAAGGGAGGCAGTGTGTTCTTTGCTTTCTATTTCTTTTGCTCCATGTTCCATGGTCTGTACTGGGTCTGAGGTAGGAGTGTAGCCATGGCTGATTGGCCTGGGCTAGCATCTCAGCATGCTGCCCCCAAACCAGTTCTGTTCCATGAGCTGAAATCTCATCTTCCGTGGTTGACAGTAAACTGTGGACTTGACTATGGGATGGACTTGACAATGGTGTGCAGGAGACAGCTCCCAGAAGCTCATGAAAGCCAATTATTAAATATTCAGGAATTTTACTATTATTAAACCATTAATATCTTGAAATCAACCCTGGTGAGAGTATTTATATCATAGAAATTGGCAAATGCCAGGGCTTTTAAAATTCTCCTTTTTTTTCCCCTCTGATAGCTGGTTTACCCAGCATACTGCTAAACTTGGGTTTGAATCCTGGTTGGACACTCACTAGTAAATGACTCATTCTCACAGTGCCCCAGTTTCCTCATCTGCAAAATGGGGCTGCATAACAGTAGCTACTGAACAGAGTCACTGTAATCTCAGCACTTGAGAACTTGTAAGCATTCGATAGATATTAGCTTGACTATCACCAGCTGTGTACCCTTTTGACACTTTTTTTTTTTTTTTGAGACAGAGTCTCGTTCTGTCGCCCAGGCTGAAGTGCAGTGGTGCGATCTCTGCTCACTGCAACCTCCACCTCCCGGGTTCAAGTGATTTCTCCAGCCTCAGCCTCCCAAGTAGCTGGGATTATAGGCACATACCACCACGTCCAACTAATTTTTGCATTCTTTTAGTAGAGACGGGGTTTCTACCATGTTGGCCAGGCTGGTCTCAAACTCCTGACCTCAGGTGATCCACCTGCCTCAGCCTCCCAGAGTGCTGGGATTACAGGCATGAGCCACAGTGCCTGGCCCCTTTTGTCACTTTTACAAATCATCTGGTATTGATTTAGGATTGAACAAGCTTGATTTTTCATATTTAGAAATATTTTGTGTCATTTCATTAAAAAAATTTTTTTTTTTTTTTGAGATAGGGTCTTGCTCTGTCACCCAGGCTGGAGTGCAGAGTGCAGTGTACACTCATGCTCACTGTAGCCTCAAATTCCTGGGCTCAAGCGATCCTCCCACCTCAGCCTCCCAAGTAGCTGAGACTACAGGCATAGGCCACCATGCCTGGTTAACTTTTTTTTGTTTGATTGTTTGAGACAGAGTTTCGCTCTTGTTGCCCAGGCTGGAGTGCAATGGCACAATCTTGGCTCACTGCAACCTCCGCCTCCTGGTTTCAAGCAATTCTCCTGCCTCAGCCTCCCGAGTAGCTGGGAATACAGGCACCCGCTACCATACCTGGCTAATTTTTGTATTTTTAGTAGAGACGGGGTTTCACCACGTTGGCCAGGCTGGTCTCGAACTCTGGACCTCAGGTGATCCACCTGCCTCAGCCTCCCAAAGGGCTGGGATTACAGGCGTGAGCCACCATGCCCGGCTGTCTGGCTAACTTTTAAAATTCTTTTTTGTAGAGATGGGGTCTCACTGTGTTACCCAGGCTGGTCTTAAACTTCTAGGCTCAAGCAATCCTCCCACCTTGGCTTCACAAAGTGCTGGGATTACAGGCATAAGCCATCACGCCTGGCCCATTTAGTAATATTTTAGGAGTATTCGAAAAATACCATGTTCTAAGTGATAGGTTAGAACTTTCCATTGTCATTTATAAGCACTGATGCACTGCTCTCATTTGCTTAGGTGCTCAACATGACGTGCTAGTGATGAATTTTCAGTATATTTCATGGGTCTACATGTGTTACTGTTCAGGATGACAGAGAATGTGCTTAATAGTCTTTCTCTTCTGCTCTTTAATTTAGGATACTTTTAATTCTAAAGACTCCCCAAGTCACTGAGAATAAACTGTCCCCTGGTTTCTAGAATCAAATATTATTTGAGGGAGATCAAGATGTCACATACTCTAGAAGTCAACAACTTCTACTCAGTGCCTGCCATGGGCAGAATGCTGTAGACATCCTGGAAATTTAAAAAAGAAAAGAAAGAAAAAGAAAGACCTGAGATCCCTAATCCACAATTCTGAAATTCAAAAAGCTCTGAAAGCTAGAAGTTCTTTCATAACAGACTGTGGCAAAACCTAGCCCAAACTGTCCTGAGACTTAAAGTCTATTTGTTCTGCATTGTGTTAATAATACTTATATAATCTGGTACAGTTACTAATGTGTTTGATTCTAGGGTAGTGTCCCAGACACCACTGGAGTTGTTCCATAATATACAACATATGCACCATACTACCTCGCTAAAATTACCCAAATTCTAGATTCTGAAACATATCTAGCCCAAGGCTTTTCAAATAAGGGATTATGGGTTGGTAGTAGAAATCAGTTGCTGCCTTTAAGGAGTTTACAGTCTAGCCACACCAGACTCATCAAGCCATGTTTCAGATAAGAGGGACATAGATGCTTGCATCTAGTGTAACTGGCAGGAAGTGGGGCTGTTATCTAATCCAGCTGTGTCACCAAACAGCTCAGTCCCAGCCCCAGCTTGCACACTTCATAACGAAGAGAGAGAACTACAAGCGGACACACACACACACACACACACACACACACACACACACGTGTCCTGTAGTATCCTTTATTTCTTCCCTTGATTCTGTATGTTTTTTCCCTGCAGTCTGGCTTATTCATCCACAAAACACTCCCCCTCATAGAGCATCATTCAGTTGGAGGTCAGGAATTCTTTTAAGTGCTTAGAGAAAACAGTATCCACTCCAGAAGGAAAAACAGAGTGCTCCCTGGTGCAATGGTGTGCTCTGCCGGCCCCCATTCTGTCTGAACTTTAATGGTACACCACGGTCCAAACCATCCGGCCGGCCCTGGGCCATCCTGAAGACCTGCACACATCTTAAATGGAAATATCCTTCCTGCAGACGGACACATTAAAGCCCCAGGGCTTCACGCCAAATGCAAAGTGATTCTGCAGGGGCTCTGGCAGCCCTTCGCCACCTCCTTTAGCCTTCTCTTACTGATGTGTCTCCAAAAATCTTTTGAATCTGTTGTTGTGCAAGTTACAATTTCCAGAACCAGCCTGGCAAGGACATTCCTTTCTCGAAATCAGCCAACATTCCAGCTTATAGGAAGATGGTCTGTTGGCTGCATCTTTTTTTTCTTTCCCCTTGACCTAGAAAATTTAGCTTCTCCAGATGCAGTCTTTTGAAGTATGTGTTTGTTATCTCTTTAGAAATGCTGAGGGCTTGCCCTACCATTTGTTACTCAATAGCCGACTCTGGACCTATCCGTAAATAATAAAATATGTCCACAAATAATAATATAATGACCCTTCTTGAACATTTACTGTATGCCAGATATGGTTCTAAGCACATTACATTAATTAATCCTCAAATTCTGTTAGGAAAGTATTTTTGTTTTTGTTTTTGTTTTTGGCTAGGAAGGAAATGAATAGAATAGTATTCTCTGTGCAATCACCTACCCTAGCCTGTTTTAATGCCCCAACATTCCAAAGTTTAATTAACAGAAAAGGGAAGCTGTCCTCGACTGAACTCAAGGCATTGTCTGAGTTCCCCCATTTGGCAGCTAAGGAAGTGAGGCTCAGAAAGTTTATGTCACTTTTCTAAGATCATACCACTAAATATTAAAAGTAATGGCAAAAGCGCAATTACTTTTGCACCAACCTAAAACGTGTTGGAGCTGAGATCTGAAGGTAGGGTTTGCTGACTCCAGAGTCCACTATTTTCATTGCTGAATAAATGTGGATAAGAGAATAAAATGCCCCTTGAACTGAGTGACCCTTGAGCTTCTCTATTCTTTTTACTCTACCAGCCCCCGGAACGTGTACAGCCCATTCGTTCATGTTCTAAAGGAGATATCTGTTTTTATTGAATGGAACTTTGCAAGTTCCTCCCCTGATGGCCTGTCCTCTTCACCGGGGTGCAGCGTCCCACCATCAGCACTTTCCTGATTGTCACTCCTGTGCCTCCTTTAGGTGACCCTGCAGCCTGTGAGACCATCTTGGCCCTTGTCAGGGCAGCCATTTGCCATTGCAGATGAAGGGTGGGGGAGAGGCCAGAGACTCCTTCAGACTGTGTTGGAAATGTCATGAAAATGGAAATTCTCACAACCTGAGAGTCATAGACCTGGATTTGGGTTTCTGCTGTGTCATTAAGTTCTTGCAAACCAGGCAAGTCATGTAACCTTTCTGGTCCCCAGTTGTCTTCTCTGTAAAATGAAGCTGTTAAGAGCTCTGATCTCATCACGTTGCCATGAGAAAGGAATAGGACAAGGTCCAGGAGGGAGCTTGCATATAATGAGTGCTAGGAAATGTCAGCTATCATTATCCTTGTTAATATGAACCTGTGTTTAGTGGGTTGATTTTCTGAACTTTGATAGCAGTTGGGGTTTCACGGAGCATTTGGGATGAATAAACAAGCATCTCTGGATAGCTGTTGTGTAGACACTATATGAGGTACTTCATAATCATTTTGTATTTGCTGTTCCTCTATCATATGGGCTAGATGAACACCTCTCCTTCTTCTCCAGCCAAGAGAAGTGTGATGCAGAGAGAATGGACAGCTTACCAAAGCAAATCTGTGGCTTAGTCAATAATAAAACCCTCAGTCCCGAAATACCAGTTTATAATGTCATCCCCATTTCCAAGGGGCCCAGCCTCCCTCAAAACATTAAAAAATAAAAAGGACAAAACTCACATTTCTACTAGACAGACAATATCCCGGCATCTCTGGAAGAACAGTTAGCAATCCCAGCATGCGGGTTTGTGTATTAAGGTGCTTGGATATGAAGAAGGAATGTCAACCCTGTGGAGCTCATTTCATATGTCAGACTCCATTCTGGATCTTGAAAGGGGGCCATGGAGGCCCCAGCATGCCCCAAGCACCACGCAGGAAGCAGGCAGGGGAGCAGGGCCCAGGATATGCAAAGCGACCCAGTTGGTATCACAGCCAAAGGGCAGGAAGAAAACAGTCACTTGCCCCAGTGCTAGCCTTCAAGGGCCAAGTTTTTGCAGAGCCTACACTAGGACAATGTAAAACTTGTTTCTTTTTGCATTTTTTCTTTTTAAGGATGTGGTCTATTTCTAGAGGTTCCATGTACTTGCCAGCTCCCTTTGATCCCACATAAACAGTCCAAAAGGAACCATTCTCCCATTTGCACTGTTTGCTCCCTGTTTCAGCACCACCGATGGCTCTCATGGTCCTGTGACCACATCATTAGTATTCTACACCTGGCTCCACTCACAACCCAGCTGTTGGCAGGCAAAGGAGTCCTCCTTTATGGGAAGGAGATGATGCAAGAGAACATCACCAAAGGCCCCAGGACATGACTGGTGTCTGATAAGGGAGGAAAAGGCTTGGAGGTGAGTTAAAATCTTGAATCCAAGAAGCTATACTAAGAGATAAGTCTGCCTTGGTATCTAGCATCTTCAGGAAGGTGCACATTGCAGTCAAGATGTCATTTATCAGGGCTGGGCGTGGTGGCTCACACCTGTAATCCCAGCATGTTGAGAGGCCGAGGCAGGCAGATCACGAGGTTGGGAGTTTGAGACCAGCCTGACCAACATGATGAAACCCCGTCTCTACTAAAAATACAAAAAATTAGCCGGGCGTGATGGCACATGCCTGTAATCCCAGCTACTCAGGAGGTTGAGGTAAGAGAATCACTTGAACCCAGGAGGCAGAGGTTGCAGTGAGCCGAGATCGCACCATTGTACTCCAGCCTGGGTGAAAGAGCAAGACTCCGTCTCAAAATCATGAGGCTAGAGATAGTTGCCAATAACTATGTCAGTAAACTCATCCGTCAAACATGGCCTCTCAAGGGAGTTTTCTTTAACTTTGGCAGGTAGCTCAAAACATGGTTTGCTTTTATCCCTTCAACTCCTCATGGTTTTTCTCCTTGTTTCTTTTTTTCTAACTGACCTTTCAAAGCCATTTATATCCTTCATGTCCACTGCCCCCTGTCATGTTTAGAGATTAAAGAATCACTATGTTGGGCGGGGTTGTTTGAAAAATGGAGAATTTTGAATTTATTGGCCTTTGAAAGCAGATTAGGCAACAAGAGGTAAGGAGGAACGTCAGAGTGACTTCTTGCTTCTCGGAGCTGCCATCTTTTCGCACATAATTCCTCTTCACATTCAAGATCCTGCATTCCTTGGCTCCTTCTTGGCATTGTCAGGTTCAGTGGGCTCTTATGAAGTTTGATAAATCTAGATGTTTAGATAGGCCCCTGGGGTGGGGAAGACAGAAGGCAGAACTTTTCCTAGTGTTTCACGATATTGTACTCTTGAACCCTCAGTGGTGAGAGCAACTTTTCTACAGATCTGTTCCAACCTTTCCAGTTACTAGATTGTAAAATTTTATACAATGTAGGAAGTTTGATAGGCTTGATTTGCAAAAATTATTTTTCTGTGTGTAACAGGTTCTTGCTCTGTTCCCCAGGCTTTAGTGCAGTGGCACGAATACAGCTCACTGTAGCCTCAAACTCCTGGGCTCAATCGATCCTCTTGCCTCAGCCTCCTGAGTAGCTCAGACTACAGGCACGCACCACCACGACCAGCTAATTTAAAAATATATATATTTTTAGTAGAGACAAGGTCTCGCTATGTTGCCCCGGCTGGTCTTCAACTCCTGGGCTTAAGCAGTCCTTCCACCCTGGCCTTCCAAATTTCAGGGATTATAGGCATGAGCCACTGCGCTGGGCTGCAAAAATTTTCATTAACACATAACATTTCCAGGCAGAGCATTTGCCTCCAAATCTAATTGCGTTAGGCCCAGCCTATCTAAGGAAGCCCTCCTGACTTCCTTGTCCTCTATCTCAGACTGAAACATGTTTCTTTCATGACAATTATGATAATTTAGGATTGTGTTTACTTTTTTGTTTACTTGTTATTGTCTGTCTCACTCCACACAACTGTATATGCACACTAATGTAAACCTCGTAGGGGCCCATTTCAAATTTGTTTTGCTCACATTATCACTGTTACTCATCCTGTCTTTATTATTATTATTTAATATTTTGCTATATTTAATATTTTGTTAATCACAGATATTTTTGCATTAAATTGGATTTTTGAAAAATACTGCATTAAAATATGATATTATATATACATATATATTATATATATATATATATATTTTTTTTTTTTCTTTGAGATAGAGTCTCGCTCTGTTGGCCAGGCTGGAGTGCAGTGGCATGATCTCGGCTCACTGTAAGCCCCGCCTGCCGGGTTCAAGTGATTCTCCTGCCTCAGCTTTCTGAGTAGCTGAGATTACAGGCGTCCGCCACCACTCCCAGCTAATTTTTGTATTTTTAGTAGAGACGGGGTCTCACCATGTTAGCCAGGATGGTCTCGATCTCCTGATCTCGTGATCTGCCCACCTCGGCCTCCCAAAGTGCTGGGATTACAGGCGTGAGCCACCATGCCTGGCTTAAAATATGATTTATCTTGAGTGCTTGAGTACATTTTTACCCAAAGCAAGTGCCTCCCACACCTCACCCTAGTCCCAGCTGTGTTAGCTGGCTGACTTCTCTGAGGTCTGCTAATCGAGCCCTTGGACTGCCATGAGGGGTTATCACGTTAAGTACTTATTACCAACCCCACTGTCCACAGCAGGTCCAATTCACGAGCAGCTCCTATCTTACCTTCTGAAATAGCCCCATCTTTTGCTCTTGGCCCCCTCCCATCACTTTTACACATAGAGCCAGAGAGATCTTTTAAAGTTTATATCAGATTGGCTACTCCCTAGCTTAAAACCTGTCATGGCTTTCCATTTCCATAAAGTAAAATCCAAACCCTTACCATGGCCTATGAGACCCTGTATGGTCTGGCCTCACCTACGGCTCCTCCCTCCCTTTGCCCCTCTATTCCAGCCACTGCATGTACCCTTGGGTCCTTGAGCCCACTATGATCTCCTCCATATGGCTGCCTTCCTACAAATTGGTCCCTCTGCAGCAGTGCCCTTCCCTAACAGTTTCCCATGGGCTGCCTCCCATGCCCCTTTCAGAGGGCAGCTAAAGTACCACCACCTCAGAGGTCTTCCCTGGTCTCCCCAGCTAAGGTAAGTTCCTTCTCTACCTCCATGATTCTCTTTTGCAGCCTCTTGTTCTCTTTCTTCCAACATTCACCATCATCTGTAATTAATTATATATCCATCCATGCGTTTTCTTGTTTGACATCTTTTTCCCACGCTGGACTGTAAGCTGCTGGAGGACAGAAGCCATGTTTATTCAACACCTTCTGCGCAGCCCTCAAACGATGGCCAGCACAGAGGAATTGCTCAGATATTTATTGAGTAAATGAGGGAGGGAGGGAACAAATGAACAGATAAATTTCAGCTTGTAGAATCTTGACCTAAGGACTCTGCTACGCACTAAGGGACTTCAGTGTCCCATTCTGCTCTTTGTTGTGATGAACTTTGCTCTTCTAAAGCAAGTGTTTTTCCCCTAGATTATTTTTATAGAAAAAAGTGAAGCAAATATAGAGATAATTATTGATTCTTGCTCATCAAGTCCCTGTTCCCTATCACCAACATCCTCCTGAGAGCCTGCTGCAGAATTCCTGGGAACCACAGGAAATACGTCCACTAACCACTTGAAAAACACTTATAAAAATAGACCGGACTTGACCTTCTTCCTGTGGAAGGGCCTTTTTCCTCAGGGCAAACATTGCAAAGAAATTTTGTCTCTTCTTAGGAACCTCTCTTTCCAATCACTTTCCCAGCAGGATTTATCTGGACGTTCTCAGAATCCTGTTCTGAAATTATTTCCCCACTGGCTGGGTCATCACTTGAGCAAATTGCTTATTTATTATTTCCATGCTATTGTTTTTATATTAAAGTGATAAGATAGAAATCAAGACCTGGGGGAACTATTGGGATATTTCACAGTAGGGGTAGCTTTATCCTCACCAGGGGTTAACACCCGTTGCCTCAGACTTCAATACAGGTGCACTGCCTTCCTTACTTTGATCATTATCCTCTCAACTCATTCCTTACTTTTAAATTTTATTTAAATTAGCTTTTTTTTTTTTTTTTTTTTTTGAGACGGAGTCTTGCTGTGTTGCCCAGGCTGGAGTGCAGTGGCGCAATCTCGGCTCACTGCAAGCTCCGCCTCCTGGGTTCAAGCGATTCTCCTGCCTCAGCCTCCCCATTAGCTGGGACTACAGGCGTGTGCCACCATGCCCAGCTAATTTTCTTGTATTTTTAGTAGAGATGGAGTTTCGCCATGTTGGCTGGTCTTGAACTCCTGACCTCAGGTGATCCACCCGCCTTGGCCTCCCAAAGTGCTGTGATTACAAGCACGAGCCACCACGCCCGGCCTAATTTTCTTATTTAAAGCAAGCTTTATCTCCCTGGTGTAACTGCAAAAATTTCCTATAAATAGAAGGCAGTGATAAAGATCAATACAATGAAGCACAGCAATGGCATTGACTTCTGCTTAGATGCTGCCTCCTGTCTGCTGGGCTCTTTTGGTTATAAAGAGAGAAGAGCAGTTCTTCTAGGGAAGTTGAAAACATAATTGTCCCAAGCCAAGGTTTTCTCCTTGAGTAACCAAAATGACTAAGGAGACTTAAAGATGGGGGCTTCTTTTCTCTCTGCAGTGTTGTTCAAAGATACTTCTCAGTACCACTCAGAATTTCTCTTATCAACAGGGGCACATGTACCATACTTTTGGGAAACAAAGAAATAATATTTAAGGTCTGTTGCTTTGGTGTTTTATCAATTCAACAAAGCAGGGGACATCAGTCCACTTACAAACCCTTAACCATAAGGGGATGATATAAAAATTAGAAAATACAGATAAACAATAAAAAGTTTTAAGAGATTGTCCATGATCATATCTGCCAGAGATGCCTTCTGTTAACTTTTCTGTTCATAGAGATGTAAGCATCTTACAAAGCAGAATCATATATAGTGAACTGTTTTATAACCTGCTCTTTTATGATCTGACTTTACTCAATACATTAGGAATTTCCCCCTCATTAATAAACAGAAACCTACACCTTCATTTGTAATGGTTGCATACAGATGGTTCATTTGTAATGGTTGCACCTTCACTTGTAATGGTTGTAATGGTTGTAATGGTTGCACAGGAGTCCACAATAGGAACATGCAAAACTGTGTCAACTAACCTTTTATTGTTGGACATTTAGGTTGTTTACTTTTTTTTTTTTTTTTTAGACGGAGTCTTGCTGTGTCGCCAGGCTGGAGTACAGTGGCACAATCTCGGCTCACTGCAACCTCCACCTCCCAAATTCAAGTAATTCTCCTGCCTCAGCCTCCTGAGTAGCTGGGACCACAGGCGCCCGCCACCACACCCGGCTAATTTTTTTGATTTTTAGTAGAGACGGGGTTTCACCATCTTGGCCAAGAAGGTCTCAATCTCTTGACCTCGTGATCCACCTGCTTCGGCCTCCCAAAGTACTGGGATAGGTTGTTTACTCTTTATCACTATTATAAGCAAAACTGCTGTAGTCATCTTTGCCAACTATCCCATTACTTCCTTGGGAAGAATTTATGGAAATGGAATTACTGGGGGAAAGCACATGCATTTTATTAAGGCTTTTACTCAGACATTTCCGAATGTGTGTACCTTTTACAGGCTTGAGTTCCATTTTTATTCCTTGACTTCTCTCTACTTCCTTTCTGATGTATATGTCTGCTCTTTAAGGTAGAAGAGAAATTAATGTGAAAGTTTTAGATCTGCTGACTTTGGTGTCAAAATCTCCTTGTAAAAAAGAGGCTTGCTTCCTTTGCCTAAACTTCCTCTGAAGACATACAGTAGCATTCATGGAATTTCCCTGCACCCATTTTTGTGCACGTGCCCTACCTGAGGGATGCTCTTCCAGCAGTGTGGGCCTGTGACTCTTGCCGGAGTCCAGTGTGCCCCAGGCTCACGGGGAGCAGAATGCCCACTGCAGCATTGGCTGAAAGCAGCTTTGGACTTGCCTTTTGCCTTTGACTCTTTGGGGCCCAATTTACTGCTTTGCTATACCACCATTAGAGGTGTCTCAGCTCCGACCTCTGTTCGAAGCTCATCCCCTGACTTCTGACCTCTCCTCCACTCCTGGCATCTGTTCAAAGCTCAGCTCCTCCATGAATCTCCAGGCACTAATGACTCTGTTGAATCAAGACCTCCCTCGGCTGGGCGTGGTGGCTCACGCCTGTAATCCACGTACTTTGGGAGGCCGAGACGGGCGGATCACGAGGTCAGGAGATCGAGATCATCCTGGCTAACACGGTGAAACCCTGTCTCTACTAAAAATACCAAAAAAAAAAAAAAGTAGCTGGACGTGGTGGCGGGCGCCTGTAGTCCCAGCTACTCGGGAGGCTGAGGCAGGAGAATGGCGTGAATCCGGGAGGCGGAGCTTGCAGTGAGCCGAGATCGTGCCACTGCACTCCAGCCTGGGTGACAGAGCGAGACTCCATCTCAAGAAAAAAAAAAAAAAAAAACTCCCTCTAGTGAAATCACCTCTCTAAAGTTTTATGTGTGCTCCTTTTATCCACTGTGACCACATCTCCCACTTATTAAATGCAGGGCTTTTGTGCCTGGCACAGAGCATAGTGTATTGAAGTAATACTTGCTGAAATAAGAATCCAGCCAGTCTCCCAGATTGAAGTGAGGCTTGGCACAGCCAAGTTAAAAATGGCAGACGGTTGTGAATTCTTGCTCACTTAGCATTCCAAACGGTATCCTTGTATTTAAAATAAGAGACAGCCTAGATTCAGGGTAAGAACCATGGCTGGAATTCAGACCCCTTGCCACTAAGCAGATGTGTGACTATAGGCCAGTTGCTAGCCGCTCTGAGTCTGGTTCCTCATCTGAATAGTACTTACTCATAGAGTTGCAAAGATCAAATTTGATAATAACGTGTAGAGGGAATAGTCCAGTACGCAGCATATGATAAGCTTACCACAAATAGTATTATTAATGTCTTTCATCCTTTGGGAGTTCACAAAATAATGAAGCCTCCCTCCTCAGTTTGGACTGCAGAGCTCCTGGCTCCTACACTTTTGTGGATAATGGTACTGTTTGACTTTCTCTAAAAATCTGCTGACTGTGCCTTTCCATGGAGAAGAGAAAATAGTTGCTTTGGTTATTGCTTTTTTTTTCTTTTTTTTTTTTCCACGACTCCTTGTAACAAAGTAACAAACAGTCAGGCTGAGTAATTAGCCAGAACAGGATAAGTCTCACCAGATGTCCCCAGGTCGATTGCTCGTTGTTGCACAAAGCTGTATAATTTGGAGTACTTCTTTTGATTTTCTTGTACCTTTTCCACTTAATTTAAGTATCGGAAAGGCAGGGGCTGAATGTCTTAAGGGAGACTTACACTATAATGGTTGATACTAGACTCCAGAGTCCGGGAGACCTGGCTCCCCCTGTGGCTCTGCACTAACTTGCTGGGTGACTTTGGGTAAGTCACTCCACTCCCTTGTGCCTCAATTTTCTTCAGTTTTCTTGTCCACAGAATGGGGATGATAACAGTACCTCGTAGGGTGTTGGGGAGGATTAAATGAGATAATGCATGTAAAACACCTGGCACATACTAAGGTCTCAGTAAATGTGAGTTACCGTCATCTTCATCTTGCTCAAATCCACCGCCATCATCACCTTTCTATTGTACCTGGCACAGGCCCTTCCCTATGGGAGCAGCTCAGTCAGTGTCGACTTAAGTGAATAAAATGAATAGAATATGCCCCCCCGCCCCTTCCACAGAAGGTGAAATCAACAATCTTCATTTTTCTGCATGTCCGAAGTCAAGCTTATGGTGCTTTATTTTAAATGAGGTTTGCAGCGCCTGACGCTGGAATTCCCAGTTACAGACCTGAGCTTCTTACCCAAGCTGCATCTTGTGTTACAAGGCACAGGACATACCATGGCACTCCCACCCTGAGCTTTCTTCCCCAAAGTAGGGCCCACCTGCCTGGGAATCACATAGGTTCCCCCAACAAAGGGTTCTGACTTGCTGGGCTGAGTCGGGGCTGGCACCCACATGTTCAACAAGATTCCACAGAGGATTCTGATGTGAGACTCCCTAGTCTGGGTGATATTTTTTCTACATCAAGATAGAAGAAAGCAGTGCAGCCTAGAAAGGAAGGGAAGGCTTGATTATTTTTCTCTTTTTAGCAAAGCCACTGAAATATGTCCAAATCTACTCTTGTTTTATTTAAAAGCGGTGGCCCTGGGGACACTGCCCATTTTGATATGTTTATTTTTTTCTATTTCTTTCCATTACTTGTATTTCCTTTATTGAATTACTGTTTGTTGCTGCTGGTGGGAAGAAAATAAAACAGAGGGTGAGGCAACATAAGTGAAGACTCCCCCTCCTTCTTGCTCTGTTTTGCTGTGTGAGGCTGGAGCCGGATTTTCTGCTTCTGCAGTGAGACGGGAGGCACGGGCCACTAGCAGGTACACCAATGCATCTGCACCTTATCTGATTTGCTCCACAGTTCTGCTTTGCTGACCATGATGGTGCCTGGTGGAAAGGCCCAGCTTTCTCTGAACTGAGCCAGAAACCGGATCTCAAAAACTGGGACCTAATCACAACACACAAGCCCATAATATGATGACATCAGGCCTTTAGGGTGAGGAAGGGAGGTGGCTCAGGATTACCATGAGGTCCTGTTACATTTCAGTTTGTCTCTGCCTCTTATTTTATTTGGTAAAATTGTTCCCAGCTGTTTAACAATCGGAGGACTCATTCATTCACTTGTCACATATTCAGTGAGTACCTACTATGTGCCAGACATAAGGAATATTGTGAATAACAAGGCAGGCACAGAGAGGCTCTCTTGAAGTTTGAATTCTGGTGGGGAAGACCTTTCCCCATGCAAGCGATTTTGAATGAACTGAGTATTATAGTGGCAAAGTCCAGGTTGCCCTGAGAGCCAGGTAATAAGCAATCTATAGGACCTGGGAGACTTCGGAAGACTTCTTAGAGGAAGGGGTATTTCTATTACTAGTGAGTAGAGAGAGGGAGGTTGCAGGTAAATGTGCAGAGGTCATGAGTCCAGAAAGAGCAAGTTTTACTTGGGGGAACTGAACAGAGTCCATTATGGATGAGGGGAGAAGGCTGTGGCTGGGGAAGCTGGCAGGGCCAGGCTACACAGGGTCCTGTAGGCACCTGTCTGAAGAACTGTGGGAAACTATGGAATACTCAGGCTGGGATGTGATGTTATCAGATTTGCATTTTTAAAATGTCATTCTGGCTGCTGAGTGACTAATTGGAGGAAAGGCAAGGAAATCAGCTGCAATTGCCCAAGTAAGAGGTCTTGGGACCTCAGATCAAGTGGTATATGTGGGTATGGGCTAAATGCTGTGTCCACTGCTCACAGCTTTCCAGCCAGGACACCTTGAGTATGTCAGCCCAGCGGCCCTCTCTGGGAGAGACAGTGGCATTTAGCCAGCGCACGGTACTGGCAGATGAACTAAACTCGAATTTTAAAATCCCAACACCAAAGATACAAGGAATATAATTTCCAAACAAGATGTGCTGCTTTGAGAATGTGGAGGTCATTGACCTCCAGAGGCAGATTTGGAAGTGAAGAACCACGGCGTTTTTGTTTTTTTTTTTTTGAGACAGAGTCTTGCTCTGTCGCCCAGGCTGGAGTGCAGTGGCTCGATCTCAGCTCACTGCAAGCTCCGCCTCCTGGATTCACACCATTCTCCTGCCTCAGCCTCCCGAGTAGCTGGGACTACAGGTGCCTGCCACCACACTCAGCTAATTTTTTTGTATTTTTGTAGAGACAGGGTTTCACCATGTTAGCCACGATGGTCTCAATCTCCTGACTTCGTGATCTGCCTGCCTCGGCCTCCCAGAGTGCTGGGATTACAGGTGTGAGCCACCATGCCCAGCCACCATGGCATCTTAATAGTTGACAAACAGTGCTGGGAGCCAGAGCTCCCTCATTGCCTGCCATGCAGCCTGGGCATCCAGGACTGTCGTCCCTGCTCTTCTGCACCCTGCCTTGGACTCACCAGATGACTGGACACATTGTCTCTCCCTTGGTGTGAGTATGATCTCAAGAACCCAATTGACAAGTCATGCTACTGTAGTTTATAACATCTACAAAACAGTGCCATTTGTGAGGGAGGTTTAAGGGCAGGACAGAGCCTGGAGGGGAAAGGGTGGACCAGCTGGCTCTCAAGTTGCCTTCTGGTCTTATGACTCTGTGGGGCTTGGTGATGCTAGAGGAGAAAGCTGAGACCATCTGTGGGGGCTTCATTCACCTACTCAGCAAATGGTCATTAAGAATCTACTATGTTCTGGCTGCATCCTCAGACAGCGAACAAAGCATGGCAGTGAACAAAGCCGGCAGAGCTTTCATTCCAGTCATTTCCTGAGGACAGCTGGTGACCCACTCTGCCCCCAAGCTCTCCTGGTCTTTGTACTGAGTAAAGACAGATGGCCTGAGAGTTCCCCAGCTTTGAACCATCAGTGGCCTCAAACAAGAGTGAACTCCTTTTAGTTCTCACATGTGCCATGCTTACTCTCACCTTGAGCCTTTGAACTTGCTTTTCCGTTGGCATGGACCTCTCTTTGCCAACAATGCCACCACCTCCACCTGCTACGACCCCCAGGATATTCCTTCTTCTCCCTCAGACTTCACCCCGGAGGCCTCGCACTAGTTATTTGAGTGTTTCCTCTGACTTTGCTCCATAGGGCAGAACCCCTATCTTGCTCAGCTTTTTATCCCATGTCTAGCATAAGCCTGGCACATAATATGTGCTTAATAAATATGTGTTGACTCACACAAAGTACAAAGATCAACTCAAAATGAATTGAAGTCTCACATGTAAGACCAGAGTTTGTAAATCTGCTAGAAGAAAACATAGGGGAAAGCTTCTTGATGCAGGTCTGGGTAATCATTTTTTGGATATGATTCCAAAAGCACAGACAACAAAAGCAAAAATAGTTCAATGGAATTGCATCAAACTAAAACGTTTCTGGGCAGCAAAGAAAACAGAGTGAAGAGAAAACCTATGCAATGGGAGAAAATATTTGCAAACACATCTGATAAGGTGTTAATATCCAGAATATATAAGGAACCCAAACAACTCAACAGTAAGAAAGCAATCCCATTAAAAATGGGTAAATGACCTGAACAGATAATTCTCAAAAGAAGACATACAAATGGCCAGCAGGTACAGGTAAAAATGCTCAACATTGCTAATCATTAGGGAAACACAAATTAAAACCACAATGAGATACCACCTCATGCATGTTAGAATAGCTAATATCAAAAAGACAAAAGATAACAAGTATTGGTGAGGATGTGGAGAAAGGGAAACCCTAATACACTATTGTGGAAATAAAAATTGGTACAGCCATTATGGAAAACAGTATAGAGGTTCCTCAAAAAAATAAAAATAGCACTACCACATGATCCAGCAATCCTACTATTGGGTATATATTCAAAGGAATTGCAATCAGTATCTCAAATAGATATCTGCACTCCTGTGTGCATTGCTACATTATTCACAATAGCCAAGATATGGAATCAACCTAAGTGTCCATTTACAGATGAAATGGACACTTCATTTCATCTGTATCACACATGAAATCTGTAACACATTTCTTCTAAAGAAAATGTGGTATATACAGACAATGGAATACTATTAATCCATAAAAAGAGGAAAATCCTGTCATTTATGACAACATGGATGAACCTAGAGGACATTATGCTAAGTGAAATAAACCAGACACAGAAAGACAAATACCACATGATCTCACTTATATGTGGAATCTAAAAAAAGTCAAACTCATTGAAGTAGAGAGTAGAATGGTGGTTGCCAGGAGCTGGGGAGAGGTGACTGGAAATGAGATGTTGGTTAAAGGGTACAAGGTTTCAGTTAGACGAAATGAATAGGTTCTAGAGATCTATCGTACAGCATGGTGACTATAGTCAGTAATGTGTGGTATACTTGAAGATTGCCAAGAGGGTAGATCTGACATGTTTTCACCACACACACACAAAACGATAATGTTGCGAGGTGATGGATATGTTAACCAGCTTGATCATAGTAATCATTTCACAATGGACACATAGATCAAAACATCACATCATATTCCCTAAATATGTGCAACTTTTATTTGTCAATAATACCTTAATAAAGCTGGAAAAAAATAGTTGTTGAGAGAAAGGATGGTGGGAGGGATAAATGATGATCTGTCCCATCCAGTGTTGCATATCAGTTTACCTGAAAAGATGCATGCTGGCTCAAGTCTCTTCACAAACCAAAGTCTGTTAAACTCTGCTAATTTGTCAGTTGCCATACTGAACCCAAGTATGAGTATTTTTGATTAAGTCACTTTGGAATGAATCATATGTATTTTCTAAAACCCTGGACCCCTCTTCACAAAAACAAACCAGAGAGAGGAAGAAACTCGAGAAGAAGAGACTGAATTAGACTATTATTCATTAATTCGTTCAACAAATATGTATTAAATACTGTGATTTATCAGGCACTGGGAACACAGGGGTAAACAAGAAAAGCAAAGACCCTGCTTTCCTTGTCAATTTTTATTCCTATAGGGGGAGGTATTAAATTTTTAAAAGTGAACAGCTAAGAAAATCTAAAATGGTGCTAATTCCCGTATCTCCTGGTAGAAAGGAGCCCACGGGGGCTGGAAGGGGAGAGTGCACCAGGAGGTGGAGTATGGTGGGGGGGGGGGTCTCTCTGAGAAGCGGCATTGGAGCTGAGGCCTTTGCCAGGTGGGGTCAGGGTTGTGCACAGAGCCACATGCACCTAAGCCTGTCTTGTGGGCTTGTGATGCGCATGAGCAGGGAGATGGCCTGTCTCAGAGAAGAAACAGCAGGATGCGGTACCTTCTTCCAGCTGTTATCCAAGAATAGGCAAGAGACTCGAAATAATCCACCAATTGAGGGGTAGGGCACAAGAGTTAATACAATCTTTTTAAAGTCAAATGCTTCTCAGAGAACCAATGCTGCCTCCATCTGAACCTGTCCTCATCCCCACCAAACCAAAAGTCATTTCCTCCTGTGACATCCTGTGCATATTGGCTGTGGCTGTTTGTGGCAGTCACTGTATCCTACCCTGCAATTAGAGCTATTTGCATCCTCCGTTTGGCCTCCCTTGGGAATCTTCAACTCCTCGAAGGCAGGGATTGGATCTTGTGCACTCCCTTCCCCCACAGACATAGACTCTCTCCATATACTTAGTAGATGCTCGGTGAATATCTGTTGGTGTTTATTCAGTTGAATACTAGGATTTCTGGATAACACTTTGGAGACATACATATTACAAAAGGAGAAGAGTTTTGATTGCAGGGAAGGGAAAGATAATTTGGGCGTATAGAGATCCCACACTTAGGTGGTTCTTCTAATGGAGAATGTTGAATGCTTTGAGACTTTCCAGTGGAGATTGGCCAGGATAACAAAAGAAGTTGTGAGGGCCACAAAAAGAAGATCGGGCAATGAGGACTAACTGCCTATTTTGCTGTTTTGGTCTTAGTGGTTAAAAAGCCATTGAGAATTATTTTGCGTGCTTCCTCCAACTCTTGGTCCTTGTTTGATCTGAGATTTCTGCTGTCTGGTTAGCTGGTTGATTTAGGGTTCACTTAGGGTTTCTTTTCTTCTTGTGTTTGTCATTTCCTTTTTCTGTGGGGGTTAATTTTCTATATATTCAGAATGTTTTTGTCTTGAATAATCTAAATATATACAGCTAGAATGTATTTTTTATTTAATTAGTATTTTTGAAGTATTTTCACTTTAAGCTGAAATTCATTTTAAATGGAACTTGACATCAATAATGAAAATGAAAAACCAGTATCACTTGCCACAGATGGTCATTGTAAAGGTAAATTTGTTGTAAAAACATATTGTAATGAATTGAATCTAATTTATTTGTACTATATTATTGAGTACTTTGTTATCTCATGATTTATTATAGCAGCACCACCGTATAAACAGTGTTATTTCCATTTTTACAGATGATAAAACTGAGATCTTGAGAAATTAACTCCCAGGGCTAAGAGGTATTTTAGGCATCCGAATAATTATTCAATTTCGGTTTACAAATGGAATACGTAAAGAGAATCTTATGATTCCATTTTTACAGATGATAAAACTGAGATCTTGAGAAATTAGGTCACTCCCAGGGCTAAGAGGTATTTCAGGCATCTGAATTATTATTCAGTTTCGGTTTACAAATGGAATATGTAAAGAGAATCTTATGAATTTCATGGAGCTGAAAAATGGATCTGAAGGTGGCACTGGAGATGATTAACCTCTCAAATAGACACATAAATTAACTGGTTACTTTTGTAAGTAAAAAGAAAATCAAATGAAGCATGGGAAAACAAAGCAGAAAAGCAAGAGTTAAGAGAACCCTCTTCTAGGAGGAGCACAATAGGGCATCCACCACTGTCAGAGAAGCCAGCTGACCCTTGGCTTCCTGGGTCACCAGATGGGTGCTGTCAGCAGTGACCTTACCTCCAGGACCAGGAATGGCCCAGGAAGAAAAGGTTACATGGAGACAGGAAGGGAAGAGAAGAACTAGGAGCTTTGGTTCCCTCTTGGCTGTCACTTATGAAGTACACTCAAGTTCATTTTCCTTGTCCCCTTGGCCTGGGGGTAATGTCCTGATCAAGGCCTGAGGGGATAGTTCTGTGGGGCCTTTTCAGGGTCAGAAAACTCACATGCCAGCAACTTTGTTTGCATCAGCAAACCCACCTGCATCATGCAAGCACTTGACTGGCCACTGACTCCCAACACAAAGCAGATATCAAGATATGAAGAGGGAACACACAGGGCTTCTGAACTGGTAGGGCTTTGTCTTGATGATCTGGGTAAAGGACAAGAATGGGTGGCATACGGTATGCCAAGAGTGAACAACAGCAGCCACCAAATAGATCTGGCTTTGTGCTGGCTTGAGCCACGTGGGCTCCCAGAGGAGACGCTCACTGAGGTCTGTGAAGGCCTTGCTGCACACCTGCCTGAGAGAGCCAAAGAGCTGTGTGTGTTGGACTGTGGCTTTTTGAAATATGTTTGGCTGGGAGATGGGAAGACCTGGGATCCTGTAGACCAGTGAAGGGGAGGTGGGATCAGGACAGACTCCACTTGGAGCTGAGTCCTAGAAACTGCTCTTCTGTTTTTTTTGTGTACACAACATCAATGAATGCCATGCATAGCCTAGAGTATGGAATAAATCTCTCCTAATAAATATATGGTTGCCTGATTAGGTTAGTCATTATGCTAAACATTTGTTTAGGCAATGCTTACCAGCTAGAAATATTAACAAATAAGGAAAAACCAAGTTTTTCTTAAAGAACTAGGCACTTTCACATACACTATATCCAACGCACCCCAGGAGGCTCCATGGCTTCTGCCTCCTCATTTGAAGAAACCAGCTTGTACTGCCTATCAACAGATTTGCAAAATTGAATGTTGTGATATAATTCTCCCTTGAGGAAAGGGCTAAATCAAGGTCATAACAATTATCGAAGATATAAAGAACTGTAATTTAAAAGACAGTATCACCATATATGCATCAGAAAAAGAGACTACAAATTACACACACACACACACACACATACCCCAAAATATGACAAAAGCCATTCCTGGGTGCTAACAGTAAAGATGATTTTTGTTTTCTTCTTTATGTTTTTCTATTTTTTCCTAATTTTCTACAAGGAGCATGTATTATTTGTATAATCAGAGAAATTATTATTCTGACAAAATCAATTTTAAAATGCTATATATACCTCTTGCTGCAACCTAGGAGGCAATACCCTGAGTTACTGGCTAAAGTTCCTCACTCAAGTCTCCCTCTAGGAAAATAGGGCTTTTCCATTTTGGATTCTATTTGAAAATTTCTCAGTAGGGACCAACAGCTGACCTTAAGTTTCAAAATTGTACCCATGAGAGAGGTGACCGCTAAGGAATCAGGCTTCCTTCCGATCGCTTATTATGCACAGAACATTCTTCTTCATCTGGCCCTCACTTTTTCATGTTTTCTGTCAACAGACTCTTAGTTATAGTAAAACAGATCTACATTTGCATACCAGCTCCACAATTTGCTAACCATGGGATCTTAGCCAAGTCATTTAAAATCCTTGTGCCTCAGTCTGTTCATCTAAACTGATAGGTTTATTATGAGTATGAAATGAAATAATGCATGTAAGCTCATGTTAGCGCAAGCAATAAAAGTTGGCTATTATCATTATCCTATTGGCTTCCCCCAAACATCTTTTCCAATTCTCATGCAGAGAACATTTTCCCGACTTAGCTAGGCTCTGTAATCTCAAGGCTTGTAGTGAGAACTGTGGCCTTCCAGAATGTCCCCAGGAGCCCTAAAACAAAAAAGGAAAGCCTTAAAACATGCTTACCTGCTGGCCCGTGGCTGGCTTCCCTGCAGAAGTGGCAAAGCCCTTCTTTGAGCAGTGAACTCACTCACTAAGGAATCCCCCAAGAGTCTGGCCAGCCGGCCCCACTGCCTGGTTGCCTCACTGAGTTGGTGCTCTCTTTAAGCTGTTCCTTTTGTTTTCTCTGACTCAGAATATCTTAGGTCATTTTGAGACAGCCTTCTCCTCCACACCTTCCCTAATTCTACCTGCTGTTCTGGAAATTTGTCATCATTTTTGACGGCCCGGCATCTGAATCCCCACCCCATGTATTTGAAAGTTACACCCGCCCCCTCATTCCCCACCACACACATACACACGTACATCTTGGTCTGGCTGGACCATTCCTGCAGTGTGATTTGGGGCCACCACACCTTCCCAGTGACTCTGGGAGCAACCCCAGGTTCTCTGAACTCTCCTTCTAGAGTCAATTTTGGTTGCTTACAATTAAGAAACCAAGCCAGCTCCTCCTCATCCTTCATACCTACCTTAGTATAAATCCTCTGGCTGTTGGTTTCCAAAACTCCCTGAGCATGCATGTCATATGATTTAGCATATTCTGTTATGATATTTTACTATAATTGTCTGTTTATCCCCACACCCCCAGACTGTTAGCTCCCTGAGGACAAGGACTAAAGCTGTTTAGCTTGTGATAGTCTCTCCATCATGGGCAGAGTGCATGGCACATAGTAGACCCTCAGCAAATGCCAAATGAATGAACAAGCAACAAAACCTTAGCACACATGAGAGGACCAGAAACAAGCACGGTAGCTCCACTTGGAGAACCAGTTAACTCGCCAGCTTTCTGATATTCTGGCACCACTCCTAGTCGGATTCCAGGGGAAATCAGATTTCTTTTAGGCTTTGGCAAGGAAGAAGATCTTCCAGCAGCATCCTGAGTGGGAGGGTGCATTGTGGGCAGCGTCTTGAAATGGGTGAGTAATCCCCCAGGCAGCTCTTAGCTTTAAACCCTGGCTTGTAATGCAGTCATCTCCTGAAGCTCCCAGCTTAAAATGGAAAGTGGCATTACTCATGGTGAAGGGCAGGCAATAAAAAAACATTTAGGTGGGGCCAGCACAATGGAGTGAGTATTCCCTGATGGCGGATGAGAACGTCTCCACTCTGAGCACTCACAGCCCTGGCAGACGGCTCAGTCATAGCAGGGCTTTTGAGCTACACCTCCGAGTTAGCTCATCACACGGCACCTCACTCTTTGGGGTGCTGGGAGACATCGCATTCCTCAGCCTACAGCAGGCGTGGTGGGAAGAAATGCCCCTGAGTCAATATTGGAAGGTGGTAGAAGGAGTGGATGAGAACCTGGGCTTTGGCATCCAACTGACCTGGGTTCCAATCCCAGCTCTTCTAGTTACTAGCTCTGTGACTCCAAGCAAGCCCTCTAACCTCTCTGATCCTCAAGTTCCTCATCTGTAAAATGAGTAAAATAATAGTACCTACTACAGAGGCATTGGGATAAGTAAGAAAGACTATCCCTACAAATCCTTATCACAATGCCTGGCATGTAATCAACATTCAGTAGGGTGACAGCTGCTGTCATTGACAGAGTTGTTCTTTTACCACCTTCCTCCAACGGCCTCCATTACTCCTCCATCCTTTCTGTTTTATTTCTGTGTTAATCTCACTCAGCTTCCACACCCTTACTTCCTCCAGAAGTCATCCTTTACCTCTGATATTCTCCTGAGCTCAGGCCACAGCCCAACCTCCCTCCACAGTCACTGCTCATTTCTATCTTGTCTTTCTCTCCCTTACTTTGTTTTTTTGTTTTTTTTGTTTGTTTGTTTTAGACGGAGTCTTGCTTTGTCGCCTAGGCTGAAGCGCAGTGGTGCGATCTTGGCTCATTGCAAGCTCTGCCTCCCGCGTTCAAGTCATTCTCCTGCCTCAGCTTCCCAAGTAGCTGGGACTACAGGCGCCTGCCACCACACCCGGCTAATTTTTTTGTATTTGTAGTAGAGATGGGGTTTCAGTGTGTTAGCCAGGATGGTCTCGATCTCCTGACCTCGTGATCCGCCTGCCTCGGCCTCCCAAAGTGCTGGGATTACAGGCGTGAGCCACCGCACCTGGCCTTTTTTTTTTTTTTTTTTTTTTTTTGGAGACAGAGTTTCACTCTGTCACCCAGGCTGGAGTGCAGTGGTGCAATTTCAGCTCACTGCAACCTCTGCTGCCTCAGCCTCCGAAGTAGCTGGGATTACAGGTGCCTGCCACCGTGCCCAGCTAATTTTTTTTTGAGAGGAGACTTGCTCTGTCCCCCAGACTGGAGTGCAGTGGCGCGCAATCTCGGCTCACTGCAAATTCCACCTCCTAGGTTCAAGCAATTTTCCTGCCTCAGCCTCCCGAGTAGCTGGGATTACAGGCCTGTGCCACCACGCCCGGCTACTTTTTGTGTTTTTAGTAGAGGCGGGGTTTCGCCATGTTGGTCAGGCTAGTCTCAAACGCCTGACCTCATGCTCTGCCCGCCTTGGCCTCCCAAAGTGCTGGGATTACAGGCGTGAGCCACTGCGCCTGGCCCCGGCTAATTTTTTATAGTTTTTAGTAGAGACGAGGTTTCACCATCTTGGCCTGGCTGGTCTTGAACTCCTGACCTCGTGATCTACCTGCCTTGGCCTCCCAAAGTGCTAGGATTACAGGTGTGAGCCACTGCGCCCGGCCTTTTCTCTCCTTTTCTATGTGTCTGTGAACCTGTGTGCTAAGACCTCACCACCTGATGTCTGACCCTGTCATCGTTTCTTCCCCACTTCAGAATCTGGGACCTGGCCCACTGTGAAGCAAAATGTATTAGGATAAATCAATCGGAGTTGAAGGAAGCCTCATGGACAGATTGGGCATAAGGTCATAAAACGATCAGGGCTCAACACCAGTTTTCAGCACCCAATACCAGTTTCCAGGGCCCCAGTATAATGTACACGCACCCACAGAAAGAAAAGTGGTGAAGAGAGGGAGGGGAAGGGTGGCAGAGTATGCAACCTCCAAATAAGCCAATTTGGCATATCGATTATTTTTAGTTGAAGACAATTGAGAAGAAGCAGATAAGGCTCTCTGCCATTTCTCATTTGCTTAAAAGCAGAGCATAAATTTGTGAAGTTGCCCCCTCACCACCAGGAAAGACTGAAGTTAACCACTGGAACAAACCTTACCAACTAGCCCTCCTCTCTGTTCATTTCTCCCATATGTTTACTTTCAAAATTTGCTGCTCTAGAAACTTGAAGTCCTTTTCCTTTGTCTTGTCACTTCTCTAAAAATCTTTCGCCCTTCTGTTGAGCTGCTATATAAACCCAAGTTCTCACCACCGCGTTGAGGTAGTCAGTACTGCGTGCTCCCATGTGCACACACAATGCACATGTTCATAAACTTGTAGTTCTCCTCTTAATTTGTCTTTTGTCAGTCTAATTTAAAGGGCCTCACCAATGGGCCTAAGATGGTAGACCACTCCACTCCTACCTGTTTAGATGGGACCCAAATCTAAATACTAAATTCATTTATGTTTCATATACACTTTATATACCTAGTCTGAAGGTAGTTTTATACAATACTTATAATAATTTTATGCATGAAACAAAGTTTTGACTGCATTTTGACTTTGACCTGTCACATGAGGTCAGGTGTAGAATATTCCACATGTGGCATCATGTCAGTGCTTAAAAATTTTGGATTTTGGGTTGGGCACGGTGGGTGGGATCAAGCCTGTAATCCCAGCACTTTGGGAGACTGAGGTGGGCAGATCACTTGAGGTCAGGAGTTCGAGACTAGCCTGGCCAACATGGTGAAACTCCATCTATACTAAAAGTACAAAAGATTAGCTGGGCGTGGTGGTGCGCACCTGTAATCCCAGCTACTTGCGAGGCTGAAGCAGGAGAATCACTTGAACCCAGGAGGTGGAGGTTGCAGTGAGCCTAGATCGTGCCACTGCATTCCAGTCTGGGTGACAGAGTGAGACTCTATCTCAAAACAACAACAACAACAACAAAACTTGGATTTTGGAGCATTTTGGACTTAACGATTTTTTGGATCAAAGATTCTCAGCTTGTACTGTGTTCACACCAAGAGAACAAGTGTCTTCACACACACGTATGTTTATTGCAGCACTGTTCACAATAGCAAAGACTTGGAACCAACCCAATATCCACCAGTGATAGACTGGATAAAAAAAAATGTGGCACATATACACCATGGAATACTATGCAGCCATAAAAAAGGATGAGTTCATGTCCTTTGCAGGGACATGGATGAAGCTGGAAACCATCATTCTCAGCAAACTAGCACAAGAACAGAAAACCAAACACTGCATGTTCTCACTCATAAGTGGGAGTTGAACAATGAGAACACATGGACACAGGGAGGGGATCATCACACACTGGGGCCTGTCGGGGGTTGGGGGGCTAGGGGAGGGATAGCATTAGGAGAAATACCTAATGTAGATGACAGGTTGATGGGTGCAGCAAACCACCATGGCATGTGTATACCTATGTAACAAACCTGCATGTTCTGTACATGTATCCCAGAACTTAAAGTATAATAATAAAAAAAAAGTGATTTGTCCCCCACCAACCAAAAAAAAAAAAAAAAAAAAAAAAGAACAAGTGTCTTGAGGAGGAATGGAGAGAAGCTTTTCTCAAATGAGAGACCTGAGAATGTTTGTCACTGGAGAATAAGCCTGCAGGGAAAGGGACTGAACGGTTTGAAGATGGGGAGAGAATTTAATCGATAGGACCAGGCCCTGGAAGAGGTCGGAGAGAATCAGATGAAGAATATGGATGAGATGTATGTGCTTATTAATGCATGGGCAGGCCTAGACCTAGACAGATCCAGGAAAACAATAGCAGGACGGCCGAGAGAGGAAACAAGGCGACCAGGGGCGAAGGGACTACTTTTATTTTTAATTTAAGAAAAACAAAAAGGAAAATAAGAAACACCTGTGTGCACTTTACTCTGATTTAACAAATGTTCATGTTTTCTGGAATTTACCTCAGATCTTTATTTATATAAAAGAAATAAAATGTTAGAAAGTTGTGATCGCTCTTGATTCCCTTTTTCATAACATTTCTATCCCCCTTCCTTGAGGCAACTGCTCTGATGAATTGTGTGTGTGTGACACACATCAACAGCTTGCTCCAGATGGATGGTTCTGCAATTTGCCTTCATTTGTTCAATATTATTTCTGGGATTATTCACTTTCATACATTATTTATATTTATTATCACTACTATAAGTACATTCTCATCTTGCAAATAGCCTACCTTGCATTTATGTATAATCTCTAGGGGTGGACATTGTTTTTTTTTTTTGAGACGGAGTCTCGCTTTGTCGCCCAGGCTGGAGTGCAGTGGCGCGATCTCTGCTCACTGCAAGCTCTGCCTCCCGGGTTCACGCCATTCTCCTGCCTCAGCCTCCTGAGTAGCTGGGACTACAGGTGCCTGCCACCACGCCCGGCTAATTTTTTTGTATTTTTAGTAGAGATGGGGTTTCTCCATGTTAGCCAGGATGGTCTCAATCTCCTGACCTCATGATCCGCCCACCTCAGCCTCCCAAAGTGCTGGGATTACAGGTGTGAGCCACCACGCCCGGCCGGACATTTTGTTTTTAATTTTTCACTATTACCAAAACTGCTGCCATGATCATCTTTATCCATGGGGAGAGATGCTTTTTACTGTCTACTCTTTTAAACTTTCTGACTTTTGTTTTACCGTATACACTTTTAACAGTTCTCTTAAGTAAGAAAAAAACAATTTTCTTTAAAAACCCACAGATTGGTGTTTGCCAAAGTATGACCCAAGGAACAACAAAATCAGAATTACATGAGACATTTGATCACATCTTGGCCTTTTGGCTAAGATCAAGTGTAGTCCATGGGACATTTGTTTTTAAAATGCAGATTCCTGGGCCCCACCTCAGCTCTAGTGAATCAGAATCTTCATGGGTCAGGCCTGGGAATCTACATTGCAATAAACATCCCCAGGTGATTTTTAGGCATCTTCCAGTTTGGGAGGCACTGGATAGACAGATGTTTCCTCTGAGAAGGAGAAGGGGAAAGTGGAGTAAGGGCGTGCAGGGGGAGGGATGGAGATGACATTGACTGACTGCTCTTCTATGCCAGGCACCATGCTAGGGCGTGACATTTGTGTTACTCATTCTCCTTTAAAGAAGAGAGAGGGAATCCATGACATTTATCAAGATAACATTGCAAAAGGTTCAGAAAGACAGTCAAGGTGAACATGGTAGTTTAAAACGAGGTCTGTGAATTCTGATAACCTGGCCTCACCACTCACTTAGTGGCTGTGTGCCCTTGGGAAGTTATGTAGCCTCTCTGAGCTTCAGTTTCCTCATCGGCAGAAGGGTAGTAATTACAGTACTTACCTCCTAGGAATTTTAAGAAGATCAAATGATTTAAGGCTTCAGTAACCTGCTTAACCCAGAACCTAAACTTCTTAAGTGGCCAATAAATGATGATGGCAGGGAGAATGATGCTCATGACTGTTATTGTTTGACCCCTTTATAATCAATGCATATACACTTTATATGTGTGTGTGTGTATATATACACACACACACACACTATGTATACTGTGGTCTCATTATTTGAAACTATAGCAGTAGTTAAAGTAGCTGGATATTGCTGTAGTATTAATTGATAGAAATCCGAAACATGCAGTCCCCATTACTCTATTATTCTCACAGGAAAATACGAGCAACAGTCTTAAGCAGCTGGTTCCAGAAATGCATTCAGGAGGGACATGGAGATTTCCTATGGTGGGGTGGGGAGCAAGTCAGAAGGGTGAACATTTTAAAATTTAAGTAAAAATATATAGTTTAACACTCATACTCATTCCTAGCGTGCACACAGCCCAAATCAACACCCACTGAGAGCCAAGTGTGTTAATGGGAGGGTGGTGCAAACGCAGCTTCAATGTCTCCTCCCTATTCGTGCTTTTGCTCAGAGAGAGGTGAAGGAAGGCGGCTGCGAGGGCTGGGGATCCTGCCTGAGTACCGAGAAGGGTGCAGTGATAACCCAGGGGCACCTGGTATCTTTCCTCCCTGGGTCTCCACCTCCTTCTTTTGGGTAACCTTCATCACCCACGGGAGCCTGAACCCACCACGACTTGCCTAGGAAAGTGGGCAAGACCCCTGGCTCTGAGTTCAGATTTGAATCTCATCTCTGCCTCTTAGGAGCTGGGTTGCTTAACCTTTTTACCTTTTTATTTGAAATTCATAGTCTTTATTGTTTGAGTAGTTTCAGGTTCCAGCAAAACCGAGCAGAAAGGACAGAGAATTCCTCTTCCCCAGTCCCACCCCTAAACAGCACTCCCCACCAACCACACTGGTCCATTTGTTACAATCAATGAAGCTATGTGACACATCATTATCACCCAGGGTCCATAGTTTATTTTAGGGTTCACTCTTGTGTTATACCTTCTATGGGTTTTGACAAGTGTATAGTGACGTATATCTACCATTATCGTTTCCTACAGTGTAGTTTCACTGTCTTAAAAATCCTTCATGTTCTACCAATCCATCCTTCCCTCCCTCCTAACTCCTGAAAACCACTGATATTTTTACTGCCTCCATAGTTTTGCCTTTTCCAGAATGTCTTATAGTGGACATCATGCAGAACATAGTCTTTTCAGATTGTCTTCTTTCATTTAGTAATATGCCTTTAAAATTCCTCCATATATTTTTTGTGTCTTGGTAGCTCATTTTTTTTTTTTTTTGTGCTGAATAATATTCCACCATGTGGACACTTAACCTCTTTCCAGCCTCAAATTTCTGGGCTGTAGTACAGGGGTAATAGGTGGCCTAATCTGAGAGAATTTGTAATAACGATAAACATGAACGTTTATTAAGTGCTTCGTACCATGCGCTCTATTAAATGCCTCTTTCTGCACTGCCTCACATAGTCCTTTCTGAACGCTGCAATGGAGGAATTATTAGCACTTCCATTTTCCAGACAAAGAGACTCAGACCCAGAGAAGTTAAATAATTGCTCAGGGCCACATGTCCAGGAAGGAATGGGTCTGGGATTTGAACCCAGACATTCTGAAGCCAGGTCTTATTATTTGGGCTATAACCTCCTGGGAAGGTTCTTAACAGTGTTTGCACATAGTAAAAACATGTTGCCAAATGGTGCTTCTTCTTGTTAACGTTTTTGAAGTAGAGCCATTTAAATTGTAAGGTCGTAGTTCTTCTCTAATGGCTGAGGATGAAGAAACACAAGAGGCGCTGGGACATTCAGAAGTCACCTAGTGCTATGGGGCAGGTGAGTTTTAGAACTGGACCTAGAAGCCTTGGGTGATGGAGGCTCTGCACTGCTCTGAAGAGAGCGCTGATTCATTACTTACTAGGCCCTTCCTGTGTAGGTCATCCCATTCAAGGCCCCTCACAAGGACCCTGTGAGCTAATTACCCTGAAGACCCCCTTTAGGAAACAGAAGGGCCCAGGAGCCCCATGGTGTTCTTTGCAGTCCCCTTGAATCTTCTCCCCACATTGCCTGTGCCCACCCCAGGCCACTACTCTCCATCTCAGCCCTGGGCCCACACGTGCAGCCTGGCACACATCACAGCACAGAAGCAGCCCAGTAGTGCTTGCGTCTGTCTGGGTCTGGCTGGAGGAGTGGGTGCCTCGGCGGTGGCCGCAGCCCTTCCTCATCACCTCGTCATAGTGCACACGTGTGTCCACGCCAGGCCCCGGGCGGGCAGGCTCATGCTGGGCACATCTGCTCACTCACTCCCTGTCCCCTCCACTTCCTTCTGCCCTGGATTTCCAGACAGAGTCAAAAATGGGTTCACATCAAATAAGATTTGTTTTCTTTCAGTGTCACTTTCCATTTATAGACAGCCTTCTCTTGGGAGGCTCCATCCTCCTTCCTCTGTCTCGTTTTCTTCCCTGGGTATTTGGGGATAAACTCTTGGTGGCTGTTTTGAGCCCTGTGGTCGGCAGCCCAGCCAGTCATTCATGCAGAGCGTCTCCAGAAAGCCAGCGGTTACCTTTACAGGAGTTTATGCTCATTTCTGTGGCCTCTGAGACCTCTGTGGAGCTGTGCCCACATATCGAGTGTGAATTGTTAAAAAGACACATCCGACCTGAGCCAGCAGGGTCCTCCTCCACCAGCTCAACCTGGCGAGGATGACGAGGGGGATAATTACAACAGTCACGGCAGCCGGTAGTTGCGGCACCCTCCTCTAAGTGCCTTACAAAAATGGACTCACTTATTCCTATGAGGTAGGTGCTGTTCTGATTCCTTCAGGCAGAAGAGGAAAGGAGCACATAGAAGTGAAGGCTGTGGTCCACCAGATGCTACATGGGGTCCAGCCCTGCTGACCTCTCCAGCCCGGCCTCCCAGTCTCCCCTTCTAGCTTTGTGCATTCGCCATACCAGCCTTGATTTGGCCCCTGGGATACGTCACGTGCCTTCCTGCCACAGTTCCTTTGCACACACTCTCCTCACTGCCTGGACCACTGTTCACTGCCCCCTACAGCGAATTAACCCTGACCCATCTTTCAGATCTCAGCTGTGACTTCTTCAGGGATGTCCTCCTCTACCCCTCAGCTCTCATTGTGCTGCCTGCCTGTCTTCTACGACACCGGTTGGGGCTTAAATTCTACTTTTATTTTTGTATTTTCTGATTAAGTCAGGCTCTCCCTCCAGACCATGAGGGCAGAGGCTTGAAAGTTCCACCTTGGGCCTGGTGCCGTGGCTCACGCCTGTAATCTCAGCACTTTGGGAGGCTGAGGTGGGTGGATCACAAGTTCAAAAGATCAAGACCAGCCTGGCCAACATGGTGAAACCTCATCTCTACTAAAAATACAAAAATTAGCTGGGCGTGGTGGCGTGCACCTGTAGTCCCGGCTACTCGGGAGGCTGAGGCTGGATAATTGCTTGAACCTGGGAGGCAGAGGTTGCAGTGAGCCAAGATCATGCCACTGCACTCTAGCCTGGCAACAGAGCGAGACTCTGTCTCAAAAAAGAAAAGTTCCACCTTGTATGTAATTCTAACATCTCATTTACCATGCTGGACTGACATGATCTGTTTATTCATCTATCTCATCTTTTGGTCTGTGAATTTCCTGAGGGCAGCATCCAGGTCTTTTTCTAACACAGTGCTCAGCTCAATAAATATCTGGAGAGTTAAAATGCATTTAAGTGAACAGCATAATTTGGGAAAGGGCACATGAAATTTGGGGACTTTTGATGCAGCAAGCTCACAAAATACAATCCTTTTGTACCACCTTCTTGGAACTCAATGATTTTAGAGAGAACGTTAGCTTTAAGAAGGCAAGTTCACTTATAATGAACTGCTCGATAGTTCATTGAACTTTGGATAGTAGAAAGATTCTTACTTTTCCCAAAGAAATATCAAGCTGTGGTTATAAAGCCAAGATAAGTGAGGAAGAAAGGATGTCTGCCCCTTCGAGGTTCATCTGAAGTTTTAGCAAAAGTGGGGCATAAATAACTAGTGGAATCTTGGACATTGTGTTGCGATTTGATACCTTCCAGCCCTTGGCCTTGTGTCCTTTCCTTATCTGTCTTGGATGACATTGCCTGGCTCTTCCACCAGGGCTGCCATCTGCTGTCTTCGACTCCATGAATGTTGTGGCCTCGTTGGAAGGAAACACTCCCTCTTTAGGGTTGGCTCCTTCCAGGGGCCAATCTCCCTTTGCCTGGCGAGTGGGCCCCAGGCATTCACACGGGACTGAGAGAGAGAAAGAGGGAGAAGGGGCTTCTCTTCTACCTGCAGGAGGAGCAGGCAGGGGAGAGCAGAGGGCTGCAGGCCTGTGGCTCACCCAGCAGGGTTGATGAAGATAGAGCCAGGTAACCGCAGGCTCCCACATCCAAACAGGGCCGGGCCTCAGCTCTGGCCCACCCCAGCTCCAAGGAAAACAGTCAGTTCTTTGGAAAAACTGTTTTCGTTTATGCTGCTTCCTCCTTCCTATCATAACAGATTACAAGCATGTTCCCTGGAGGACCGAATGGTGCCTTTCAAGAAGTTAGGAAGGAGCCATTGCTGAGTTGAGAGGATTAACTTGGTTCAACGTGGTAATAGCAGCACAGGATAGATTAACTGGGAATTTGAAAGAACATGATGGAGGCTTCGGTAACCCTTTATGACGCTTGTAAAATTCCAAGCATTTTGCAATATTAACACTGCCTAGGTATCACACATAATAAGTGAAGCGGCCCTTCCCTCATCTCGTCCACCATTGAGACCTGCTCCCAGCACACTCCCCACCACACCATAGGTACTCAGCAAATAGTTGTTAAATGAATACAAGAACTATGAGGCTGACCTAAGGTTCTGACAGCTTTCCAGAGTGGACAGAAAACGTCAATCTCAGCCATACTTTGCTCACAGGCATTGGGTAATGACACATAGACCTGCTTGCTGTTCTCCTTTGGCTTCTAGATCTAGTTCTTGCTTATCCAAAATTACTAATTCCCGACAGTTAACAAACGTAACTGCAATCCCAATAGCTTAACTCAGATCTAAGAAGGGTGTTTTTAAAAACTAGTCATCAAGAAATCCTTCTTACAGAGGAGGCAGAGCCCAGAGTAACTTGAAAATATTGCACAAATATTGAGAAAGAACATCTTGGGGTTTCAGTGGCCACAGCAGAAGAAGCTGAAGGATGTGCTGATATTGGAACGGGAGAGCCAGAGCAGCTTTCCAAACACTGAAAACCCGACTTATCCTGTGGGCGGGAGCCAGGCTGGTGCAGGGGAGCCCGCAGCCAGAAGAGGGCGCTCCGAGCTCAGTGTGCTGGCCGCGCTGGTGAGATCAGAGGACCCTTGCAAAGAGACTGTTTACACTTCAGCTTTGTTTTTCCTGAGTGTTTTTGCGTTCTCTGCAAGAGTGAGGGAGGGTTTTCCTCACTCTGTGCCAAAGAATGATCTGAAAATATAATTAAACTGATGACTTCACATATTAAATACCAAGTCCTAGGAATATAATTGTTTTTAAAATTTCTAATGGACTTAAGTCTTTGATCTCCCTGAAATCTGTGAACAAATTTCCCACATCATAACTCTTTTAACACATCTAAATGTGCCCTCAGGAACCAGTATCTTCTTCCAATATTGACTCTAGCCATAGAAAATGGATGGTTAAACCGAGAAGAGCAGACTGTTACCTCTCTGAGAGTTATTTCTACCTGGTCCATCTTATCAGGTTAATAAGTGTTACTATGTATAAATATAGTAACCCACAATATCTTGATTAAAAAAAAAGCTGTTATTCAGTTGGGATACTTTAAAGCCTTGTTTTCCATTTACATGCCTCCTTGGAAATCTATCTTCTTCCCCACATTTTTCATTCCCAGTCCATAAGGGAAGAGCAGACCAATCCAAGAAGCCCTTCAAGGAAAACAGCATACTTATGTGTAGACCCCGTGACTGACAACTCCAGCATTAAGAATTTGTCCTATAGAAGGACTCACACAAGTGCCCAAACATCAATGCATGAAATTCACTGCAGTGCTGTTTGTAATAGTGAAAATTTGGAAACAATGTTGCTTCAGAATGGAGTGATAAAATAAGTTATGGGTCTAAGCAAATAGCAGGCAGCCATAAGAAAAAGAGCACTAGACACACATGTACACATATGAGTGGGGAAAAGGAAGCCTCAGGACAATATATCCAGAATTATCCCATGGCTTAATTTAAAAATCATATATCTATGTGTAGACACATAGATAGAAAACTGAAAAAATGATTACCCCTGGGGAGTGGGATGGGGTGGCTGAGGAGGAACTCACATTTTATTTTGTTACTGCAGGTATTTTTTTTTATTTTTATTTTTATCTTTTTTGGGACAGAGTTTCGCTTTTGTTGCCCAGGCTGGAGTGCAATGGCGAGATCTTGGCTCACTGCAACCTCCACCTCCCAGGTTCAAGCGATTCTCCTGCCTCAGCCTCCTGAGTAGCTGGGATTATAGGCATGTGCCACCACGCCCAGCTAATTTTGTATTTTTAGTAGAGATGGGGTTTCACCATATTGGCCAGGCTGGTCTTGAACTCCTGACCTCAGGTGATCCACCTGTCTCAGCCTCCCAAAGTGTTGGGATTACAGGTGTGAGCCACCGCACCCAGGCCTACTGCAGGTATTTTCTAATGTAAAGGAAAAAACAACAACTTTTCAAGAGGGCAAGGATGCTGTCCACTGAATCTTTCCCTTCAGCCCCCAAACTTGCTAAGTTCTCTCTCCCTGGAGAATCTTGCCCATCCACCTGCTCCCGCCCCGTTCTCTGCTTCTCTGCACAGCCCAGCTTTCTGAAGGATGTCAGCACCCCCCCAACACCTCTCAGGCATCCCCAGCCCTCTGCAGTACCCCATCTAGCCCACCCCTCCACCAAAACAACCTTGGAAAAGCTTGTCCATGGTCTCCTCCCACACCTGATTGCGGTGGCCTGAGGCCGTGTGGTCAGCTGTGAATGTTGTTCTTTTTTGACTTGACTTTTACTGATTCAGAGATTCCTGCTATCTGGGTTCCCTTTAACCCCCAGGAGACCTGGTCCACCACACTCGCCATGCTGCTGGCTGCTGGCTGCGGCTGCGGCCGAGTGTCTGCCCAAGACTGGGTCTCTACCACATTCTCTGCTGGACTCTCAGCCCAGTGGGCAGCGGAACTTTCCAACCCACTCTGGACAATTCTTGCCCCTCTGGTTTCAATAATAACGCTGGTGTCTGGGTCTTCTTTCTCCTTCTCTTGCTTAGTATCTTGCCCTGGCTTCTCTGCCTTTCACCACCTTTTGGAGTGTGGTGTCCTCAGGGGCCTGTCCTAGGTGGTTCTGTCTTAAATGCATATATGCTCTCTGGGAGTGCTGGTCTGCCTCACATTCTACCCAGGACTCCCAAATCCTGCCCTGTGCCTCCACCCTGGTCTTTGCATTCAAAGCTCCCATCACCTCCAAGAAATCTTCCAGGACATTCTGCAGATAACAGCCCACGGTGGACGTCTTGCATTCTCCTTCTTCCATTGCCTTTGCTTAATTAATGACAGTGCAGTGGTTACAAAATAGCCCAAGCCACTTAATATGCCCTAGTCATATTCCCTTTCCCTCACTCCCACAGGCATCTCCAAATGATTCTACCTAAATATTTCTTAAATATTCCTTCCATCAGTGTCTCAGGTCAGGCCAGCAAATTCTCAAGCCTTATCCATGGCAATTGCTTCTAGTTTTTCTCTCTGTAGCTTATTCCCCTTACCTCATTCACAACATGGCCATCCTTGGCTTCCCATTCACAGATCTGTTCATGCCTTGCCCCTGATCACATTTCCTGTTATTTCTCACTGCCTAAAGGCCAAAGGCCAAACTTCTTAGCATGGCATTCAAGGCTCTTGACTATCTGGTTGCAACTTTTTTTCATTCAATCAACAAACTAAGCACCCAGGATGTGTCATGCCTTGGAGATACCTTTGTGAATAAGAGAGTGTGGCTCATGCCCTTATGGGACCACATTGTAGTGGGGCTTCACAGGCAGCAGACACACACACGCACACACTCACGAGTTAAAGGACAAAGAAAGAAAAATTGTCAGTTGTGTTTTGGAGGATATTTCCTTCGGTATCAAGGAACTGAGGTAGAAAAATAGAGTAAGACCGACTAGCAAGACTCCTTGAAGAGGTGACATTTAAGTTGAGATTTGAAGGAAGAGAAAGTATAGGCTGCGGAGAGTTGCCGTCCTGGTACCTGTGTGCATGGTGCTCTGGGGATGCTTCTGCCGTGATCATGAACTCTTCCAGGGGAGGAACTGCCAGGTCACTTGAGTCCCCAGTGCCTGGCATGTGGTAGGCTCAGTAATTGTGAGAAGAAAACCTGGATGGATAGGCAAGCGGAAGCATGCACTCTGAGATGAGCTGGGTATAATGTCTTTGGAGAACAATTACATAACCAACAATGCTGAAGCCTTGCATTTGCTGGTGTTGGCGTGTGTTGGGGGAAGAATGTCTGAAATGAGCTCTCATTCAGGTTCTTTATCACTTTGGTTCCATGGTCGCCATCCTTGTTATAGTGAAACAGGCATGTATTTTTTTTTTTACAAATAAAAGATAATAATTTTTTTTGTATTTTTCTTTGATAAAATGCTTCACCAGATCTTGCGTCAGTTTTTTTTTTTTTTTTGAGACAGGGTCTCGCTCTGTCGCCAGGCTGGAGTGCAGTGGCGTGATCTCAGCTCACTACAACCTCTGCCTCCCGGGTTCAAGCGATTCTCCTGCCTCAGCCTCCCGAGTAGCTGGGATTACAGGCACCCACCACCACACCCAGCTAATTTTTGTATTTTTAGTAGAGACAGGGTTTCACCATGTTGGCCAGGATGGTCTCAATCTCTTGACCTCGTATTCCACCCACTTCAGCCTCCCAAAGTATTACAGGTGTGAGCCACTGCGCCCAGCCCTTGCATCAGTTTTAAGGGGGAACTTTGAAGCAGAATGATGAAAGGCAGTGTCAGCGGTGGTTAAGTGCCCAGCACAGGCAGTTACATCACTGAATTCAAATGCTGCCTGACAGCAGATCCCAGGAAACCACTCAGGCTTCATAGCTTTATCTATAAAATGTGAATAACAAAATCTTTCAGAGAGTTGCTGGCGGGAGGATTCAGTGACACATGTGAAGAGTTAGCCCAGAGCCTGGAACACAGCTGAGGGGTGCCATTGTTGTGGGAGTGATGTTTCTCAGCCTGGCCCATCCAAATGTCTCCAAATGCTTCTGAGAGAGTCACGGCCAAAGATGACAGGGAACATGCCCTTTGGTCTGTTTCTCTAGTCGAAGGGGAGAAATTCTCTTGCTCAGATCAGAAGCTCTTTGACTCCAGAGCAGGCCTCTGAAAGTGGCCACTGCCACAGCAACACTAATGGGACTGCATCTCTGGTCTTGCAGGCCCTGCGTCAGGCGATTTCACTGCTGAGCTGACCGGTCCATAAACAGGCCATGGGCAGTGTCACACGTTTTCTCACACAACATGACTGTGGTTTCTCTTAATTTGTCTCTTCTCTGGGCTTCTTCCCGAGGCCTCAACTGTGCGGCAGCTGAAAACCATCTTCACGCTCATCCGGGGTGAGAATTAAACAGTCCTGTTAGTAAAGCTCTGTCCTTCAGCTCCTCTGTCTTTAGCCGCCCTCCCTGCGGCATGGTTTTAGGAGGAGTGGGAGCCACTCAGCCTCTGACTGGAAGGGAAGAGTTGGCCCCCGGCACAGGGTCTCCAGCATGGAGCCTTCAGCCTGCCCTGTGGCTGCCCACCCTTTGGCCTTCATGACTCAAGTTGGGGCCGCTGGTCTCTCTTGGCTGGGTCAGGGCCCAGGGCGGCTCCTTGGCTGGCCAGCTCTTGTTGGCTGTGGGTTTCTCCTTCCCTGCCCAGGAGGTCTGCCCCCGCTCTGCTGCAGGGTCACCCCACAATGGCCTCTGGCTCTCGTCTCAGCATCTATATCACGCAGGAGCAGCAGAAATCTGGAGTGTAACGCACACCCACTCGCCTTCTGATCACACCCATTCAGCCTCTCAAACTCTGCAGGCCTCCCCATGCTGCAGGGCTGCCCTGCCTTCCGTGTTCTCCTCAGCTCATCAGCAAGTTTTTAATGCCAAAGACACACACTCCATATCTTCTTTTCTAACCCCATACCCCATAGCCCAGTGACAGACAGGCATCCCCTACCATGGTAAAAGAAATCCCACAGTCTATCTGCCAGGCCTAGCCCCTGCTATGTTACAATGGAGTGAAAGCCATTTTGCAAATCTTTCCACAAATCTTGGTGGTTGAGCCAGCTGTCTTCTTTATTCTGTGTTCCTCCTTCCTTCTCTGGCTCCAGGCAACAGGACTCCTGGCCCAGGCTCTGAGAAGAGAGGCTCCAAATGGAACATGGTTTAAAGGCAGGATATGTGGTAAGAGGGGGAAAATGCATTGCTTCATATCTGCAAAATATTATCCATCATACACCATTCCTCTTGCAGGCTTGCCATAGCTAATAGAAGCCTTGTCCTTCAAGGTACTTTTCTTTGCTCCACTCTTACATTCATTCAACAAATATTATTGAGCACCTGTGACATGCAGGCATTGTGCTGGACACCAGATCAATAGCTGCCTCACAAACATGATGCAGATGTTCTCATCTCCACCTGAAAAGATGCTCAACCCCATTTGCCACCAGGGAAATGCAAATCAAAAGCGCAATATCACTTCACACCCACTAGGCTGGCTTTCATCAAAAAGGCACCCAATAACAAGTGTTGGTGAGGATATGGGGAAATTGGAACCCTCATACACTGCTGGTGGGAATGTAAAATGGTGCAGCCACTTTGGAAAACAGTCCCTCAAGTAATTAAGCATAGCGTTACCATATGACCCAACAATCCAGCACCTAAGTATGCAACTAAGAGAAATGAAAACATATTCATGCAAAAAAGAGTACATTAATTTTCATAGCAGAGTTACTCATAAAGCCAAAAATGGAAAGCAACAAATGATGAGTGGATAAGCAAAAGGTAGCATATCCATGCAAAACATTCAACCATAAAAAGGAATGCAGTACTGATACATGCTACAATGTGGATGAACCTTGAACACATTATATTAAGTTTAAAAAGCCAGTCACAAAAGACCACATATTGGCCGGGCGCGGTGGCTCACTATCCCAGCACTTTGGGAGGCCAAGGCGGGCAGATCACGAGGTCAGGAGATTGAGACCATCCTGGCTAACACGATGAAACCCCGTCTCTACTAAAAATACAAAAAATTAGCAGGGCATGGTGGCGGTTGCCTGTAGTCTCAGCTACTTGGGAGGCTGAGGCAGGAGAATGGCGTGAACCTAGGGGGTGGAGGTTGCAGTGAGCCGAGATTACACTGCACTCCAGCCTGGGCGACAGAGCAAGACTGCGTCTCAAAAAAAACAAAAAACAAAAAACACACAGACAAAAAAAAACCCACATATTGTACGATTCCATTTACATGAAATGTCTGGAATAAGCAAATATCTAGAGACAGAACGTAGATTAGTGGTGTGCCCGGGGCTGAGGGAGGGGGAAGCGGGGAATGACTGCTGATTCATATGTGTCCTGAGATTAGATAGTGGCAGTAGTTGCATGACACTGTGAATATACGAAAAGCCATTGAACTATACACTTTGAACGGACGAACTGTATAATTGTGAATTATATCTCAAGCCGTTAAAAATGTTCTCACCTCGTTCACTAATAGTGTCTCTTTTTTCCCAATTTCTTAGCTCTCTTGGAGCAAATGTGAATTCAACTTTCTGTAATTTTGAGACTTTCTCCAACATGCTTATTAGAGTTCAATATTAGGTGGACACCAATTCAATGATTTTTGAATGGTCATTTTCCATTAGAAGATAAACTTCAAGAGGGGAAGGATTTTTGTTGATGTTGTCACTATTATACCCACCATGCTTAACACAAGGCTTGACACACAGTCGGGTCTCAATAAATATTTGTTGAATGAATGGATACCTACATGAGCTTACTTTGTAAATGGACACAAAAGCCCAGTGATGACTGCTGGTCATTCATTCATTCATTCAGCACATATTTTCTGCAGCCTCCTCTGTGTATGGAGTGCGTGAATGAAACAGACATCTCTTTGCCCTGGGGGAACTTAGAACAAAGGAAACCTGTAGGTAGCACTTTTCATACTTTGATTAAATACTGAAAATAAATAAATCTAACATCCAGTAAAGGTTTAGAGTATTAAAATTGTAATTTTTTTTTTGAGACAGCATCTCACTCCCTCACCAGGCTGGAGTGCAGTGGCACAATCTCAGCTCATTATAGCCTCGACCTCCTGCACTCAAGCAACCCTCCCACCTCAGCCTCCCAAGCAGCTGGAAGCACAGGCACGTGCCACTAGGCCCAGATACATTTTTTTGTAGTTGTAGAGATGGGGTCTTGCCGTGTTGCCCAGGCTGGTCTGGAACTCCTGGGCTTAAACAATCCACCTGCCTCAGTCTCCCAAAGTGCTGGGATTACAGGCGTGCACAACTGTGCCTGGCATACAAAATGTTTTAAAGTTCTTCTCAGCAGGGCTTTGAAAGAAAGTTAGGCTGAGTTGAGACAGCCATACAAAGAAAAAGATTCCGAAGGACAGAGGATAGGTGAGAAGCAGGTTAATCAGGAAAGAAAAAAAAAAAAAAGAAAAAAGATAATGAGCTTTTCCAGCAGAACGATTTTACCAGTTAGGAAGGCTTTTCAAGTTGTGATATTAATTTCTTGTTGAAGTAGGAAGTAAAATCAGAAAAGGAGAAAGTGCCAAGTCCTAGCCCTCATCTCCAGTGACAGGGAAGTCTTTGAGAAGATGGGAAAGTATGACTCAGTGGCTTGGAGGAGAGAGAACAAGGGTGTTTTAAAGAGATGGGGAAGATCTAATTTAAGTACAACTGCCTTCTTCACTATGGAAACTTATTGGAAAGATAGCCAAGAGGTCGAGACAGAAGGCAAGAAGATACTCCGTGATGACCCGAGTTGAGAAACCAAGAGAAGCCAGCTTATACGTACACAGCCCACAGCGGAGGAGGGAGGTCTTGGGGTCAAAAATCAAAGCAAGGAAACTTGTCCAGTTGACTTTTTTTTCCACACAGACAACCTCTTCGTTCCACCTCTCTCGCCCCAGATTTCCATCTTAACATGCAGGAATTCTAGAAAACCATTAGCGATTTGATGTGAACAGAGCTAGGAAGTGGTTAAGACATGAATAAGGCTTTCGAAGAGGCAGGGTGAGGCTGAAGAGTTAAGACACTTGGAGAGATGAGAGAAGGCAAGGAAGATGTGGGAAGAATAAAGTTCAGCGTCAGGGATGATGCTTCCAAATCTGGCGCAAATCACAAGTGGAGCTCGGGAAAAGAAAGAGATGGGCCCAAGAAAGAGCCTATACCATGGAGGCTTATGAACTAGGAAATCAATGGCCAGAGCTGCTGCTAGGGTCCTGCTGAAGGGGTCACCTGGCCTCACAACCAGCACCCCTAAAGTCCAGGGGGAGTGAGCAGTTCCAAGTGAGCCCAAGCACAGATGAGCCCCAGGGGGAGGAAGGAGGCAAAGTGTTCTTTTTTCCTGCAGTTAGATGCTCCATTGTGTTTTCTGTTTGCCAAGCTGGCTGCCCACCTGAAGGAACAAATAACAAAGGCGCCCCCCACCTCCCAGGCAGCGTGCACTGATGGGTCAGGCAAGGCAGGGATTTGGGCCCAGGAAGTTGCCAAGGACAGATCTAGGCTCTGCGGCTCCCTAGCGCCGTGTCACTGGCTATGGGCACGGACGCCACTGCTCTAAGCCCTGTATTCTCTGCAAATGTAGTGGTGATACAAAAGGGCTGTCTTTGGGACGAATTAGATCGTGGAGGCAACGCTCCTAGCATGGTATGGCGCTTGTAATATTTTATCAAGCCTCAGATGCACATATTTTCAGTATTTGAACGTCTCTAAAATCAGGCCGTGCAACATTCTTTTTCTTCATGGTACATGAAGTGACGGTCTAACTTCCAATTTACTGTATCTTAGATCTGATAAAATATGGAAGTAGCCATCCAGTAAGTGGCAGTGGGGTGTTTTGTGATTGCTCTGCTTGTGTTTCATTCATGACACCGTCGATGTCCAGGGATTTCCTCTTCTAAGCTGGTTGAGTCTTTTTCCTGGTGGATGGGAGCCTGGGCTCTGGAGTCAGCCCAGCTGAGGACAAGTCTTGACTCCGCTGCTAACAGCAGTAAGATGTGGGCGAGGTGACGTCACCTCTCTGAACCTCAGTTTCCTCTTTTCTATAATGGAGATTACAGTATTACCTAAACTCATAGGGTTATTTTGAGGATAAAATGAGGTAAAGTTACGTAAGGTGCTTAACACAGTGCTGCATTGTATAAATGTTAATGAGGATGATAAAAACAAATTATTAAACAGTAACATTGAAAAACAGTAACATTGCCTTATGTAACAGTATTACATTTTATAAAAAGTGTTATTTGTGCTGCAATCTCAGCTGCTCTGAAGGCTGAAGTGGAGGATTGCTTGAGCCCAGGAGTTTGAGATCAGCCTGGGCAACATAGCAAGACTTCATCTCAAAAAATAAAAAACAAAACTCACAAACTTTACTTTAGAAAAATATTCCTGAGATACCTTGGGAACCTCAAGACAACACAAGTGCTCTATCTCACCTCACACCCCTCACCCCTGCCCCTCGTCCACCCCCTTGCCCTTCCATCCTCCGTTCTGGGTGGGGCTTTCCATCTCCCCCTGTCCCACTCCCCTCCTCAGGACTTTGGCCCCTTCTGGAAACATTACTTTAGAGCTGTTTACCTTGGAAAAAGTACTGGCTCACTCCTCCTTGGAAAAGGTCGCCACAGGTTCTGGCTGGGATTTTCTCAAGCAATGAATGACCCAGGACCTCCCCCCAACAAGGCTTCTCTGTCTCTTCATCTTCCTGTCTCCTCTCCCACCCTGGCTCACTGCATCCAGCTAGCTGCCTCTGTCCTCCCGGAATTCCCTCAACACTCAGTGACCTCAATATGTTCTCCTCAAAGCCTCTCATCTCTACCCATTGAGTCCTGTCTACCAATAAAGCTTCATGCTTTTAACGTTAATAGCTCACACACTTAGAGCCTCCCCATATCTTCAGAAACCCATGGTCCTTCCCACTGAAGGTTCTACAGTGATCCTAAGAGGATCACAGGTACGTAGCTCTCCTCTTCAAGCACAACCAATAAGCTTTTCCTTTGGGGAGGCTGGAGAGGCCCACAGGTAGTCAAGCGTTGCCTGTTCTTTTCTCGATCCCCAGTCTTTCTCATCATCTCATGAGCACTCAAGATGGAGCTAATGACTTCCCCCTAGGTTGGCTCTCTGGCAAACCCTTCTTTTTTCAAGGTGAGACCCCCTGCTCCTACAGCCTGCCTTTGATAACTGGCCTGCTCCACCACCCAGGGTCAGGAAAACCCAGACTTTTGCCTGCCACTTTGACTGCCAGTGGAATTGCATCATAACACAAGCTACTCTAGTATGGCACTTGCTGAAAAGTTCTCAGACTTGATTGAACTTTACCCAGTGCTCACCCTTAAGGTCTTGTTATATTAGGGTGAAATCTGTATCAGCATCATGGCCCTCGCGAAAAAGGACTTTTCCCTGGTTTCATAACCCCACCAGAATGACTCTAATGGTCTAAGGAGCATGTAATACACACACACACACACACACACACACACACACACACACACAATCTTAGCTTTTTAAAACTTGTTTCTGCTCCTTTAAATTTCTTAAAGACATGATACAATGTACTGGATAGGATGGGGTGTAAGATTTCATGAAATCCAGCAGCAGTGTGGTGTCGTTGAGTCAGAGTCTAGAAAGCACAGTGTGTTAGACAAGAATCCCAACATTTACTTATTCATCAGTCTGTCCATTCACCAGTCTGTGTATCCTCTGACATGTTCCCCACAAAAAAAACCGTAGCATTTCAGCCAGGATATGGAGGACAAAGTGGCATATAAAGATGTCTACATTATAACAAGAGAAGCCAAACTCAAGCCAAGTAAAGAAATGGAGCAAGAGGCCTGGTATACCAGTTCACGCCTACAATCCCAGTACTTTGGGAGGCCAAGGCAGGAGGATCACTGAAAGCCAGGATTTTGAGAGCAGCCTGGGCAACACGGCAACACTTTATCTCTACATTTTTTTTTTAATTAGGCAGGTGTGTTGGTGAGTGCTTATAGTCTCAGCTACTCAGGAGGCTGAGGTGGGAAGATCTCTTGAGCCCAGAAGTTTGAGGCTGCAGTGAGCTGTGATAGTGCCACTGCAGTGAGGCCTTGTCTCAAAAAACAAAAACAAAAACAAAAACAAAAATGAAGAAAGAAAGAGACAGAAAAAAAAAAGAAAGAAAGAAAAACAGAAAAGAAGCCGGGCACAGTGGCTCACACCTGTAATCCCAGCACTTTGGGAGGCCAAGGCAGGCGCATCACAAGTTCAGGAGTTCGAGATCAGCCTGGCCAATATGGTAAAACCCCGTCTCTACTAAAAATACAAAAATTAGCTGGGCAACGGTGGTGACGGGAGCCTTTAGTCCCAGCTACTCGGAAGGCTGAGGCAGGAGAATTGCTTGAACCTGGGAGACAGAGGTTGCAGTGAGCTGAGATCATGCCACTGTACTCCAGCCTGGGCAACAGAGCGAGACTCGGTCTCAAGAAAAAAGAGAAAGAAACAGGCCGGGCGCGGTGGCTCACGCCTGTAATCCCAGCACTTTGGGAGGCCGAGGTGGGCGGGTCATGAGGTCAGGAGATCGAGACCATCCTGGCTAACTCGGTGAAACCCCGTCTCTACTAAAAATACAAAAAATTAGCTGGGCGCGGTGGCGGGCGCCTGTAGTCCCAGCTACTTGGGAGGCTGAGGCAGGAGAAAGGTGTGAACCTGGGAGGCGGAGCTTGCAGTGAGCTGAGATCGGGCCACTGCACTCCAGCCTGGGGGACAGAGCGAGACTCCGTCTCAAAAAAAAAAAAAAAAAAAGAAAGAAATACAGCAAGGAAAAATCGCCGGCTTTTAGTCCCTCGCAGGCTGATGGGGAGAGAGAAAGGGAAGATGACAGGAGCGGCTGTCCTCCCACTACCAAATGTCCCATGCTAAATATGCTGAAGGCCTCGGCGGGCTCTGAAAATTCCGAACTCTGGACTCTGTTCCTCCAGGCTCCCTGGGGCTACTTCCAGCCTCATCCACATGCTGTCTTGTTCATGCCCTGGAAAGGAATGGAGGAAGCGCCCTGGCTAGCCTGACGGTGACTGTCTTCCCTTTCTCAACCTTCCCATCCTGACTGTCCCCTCTGGCCTCGCTCCCACTGACTTGGGATGCCACAGCGGTCTTGCAGTCCAAGAGCCTTCCTGCCCGCCAGCCCACCCCTGCTCACAAAGGCAGACCTGTCTGGAGCTGAGCAGGCAGGCCCCTGGGGGAGGGCCTGGGCTCCACGCCACTCCCTTTCTTTAAGAAAAGGGACAGGTTCAGTCCAGTGAGGGAGGGAGAAGGAATTTCCCTTGTTAAATGTCTCCTCCCAGGCTCAGGCAGAGGCCATGGTAGCTGGGTGCAAGGAAAGTTCTTTGCTTCAGGCACCTGGTCCAACAGGGCTGTGTGACTTGGCACATCACCATCCAAATTAAATCAGACTCAATCAATTTGCATTCAACATACTGTCATCTAATCCTTTGCACAGTCAAAAACGTTTAGTTTCCCTTTGAAAACTGTGACTTCCATTTCCTAGGTAAAAGGTGTAGGAGAAAATGTGGTCGCTAAAGCTCCCGCATTCGTGATGTTTATGTGACCGTGACTTGTCACATGACCTTGGGGAGGCTGCTCTTGTCTTCACTGTCCCATCCTCTTGACACCCCTCCCTGCCCCGGCCCCAGTAAGGACTTATATACAAGGAACTCACCCAGACACAGTTAGGTAATAAAGGTGAAGTCATGGTCAAGGGCATGGGTTTTGAAGTGAAGCTTCCTGAACTTAAGTCCAGAAAGTCAATTCATCTCTCTGAGCTTCCTTTATAAAAGGAGGCCAGTGATATACCTACCTCACGTGTTTGTCAAAAGGTTGCAACAAGATAGTGCAAGGGAAGCACCTAGCACATTGCCTCATATAAATAAAATATGCATTCTAACATCTCATAATTTTAGCTATTATTTTTGTTGTGATTATTCAGGATGAATGAGATAAGCTTCCTGTCCTTGAAAGAAGGTGAGAAGCTAAGTCATAAATACCATGACAAGCTATGATAAGTGCTGTGAAGGTTGTGCCAAGGGCTGGGGGGATGGATGGAGGGCTGAAGAGGAAGGGGTCAGGAGGACTTTCTGGAAGATGTGGCATCTCAGCAGGAAGGACAAACAGGTTTTACATATGTGGGCATGGAATAAAGGAATCACTTGAACAGAGGCCCAGGGGTGGGCAAGTAGAGGGCATCTTCGCCCAGCATGCATGGCTGATGCCGCTGAGCGGGGGGTTTTCAGGGACACACAGGGTTAGTGCAAGCTAGCTTGGAGTCAGATCATAGAGGACCTTGAATGATGCTGTTCCAAAGCATTTAGACTTTTTTCTGCAAGCAAATGAAAGTGGAGCCAGTGGAGACTTTGGAGAAGGGAATTTGGAAATTCTTCTGGAAAATTGTTGGTTACTGGTAGGGGGCTGGGCAGAGCAGAGGCCACGGGGCACAGTATCCTCTATTTCCATCTCTGAAAAGCTCATCAGCCCTCAAGTCTTCTTGACTAGACTACAAGCCAGTCGAGGACAGAAGCATGAGCTTCCTTCTCACGATTATGTCCCCAGCACAGCCCCTGGGGCTCAATAAATGGCTGTTGAATTGAAATAGACAAAAGATCCTAAACTTGAGCCATGAGAGTGGAAGGGAGAGATGGCTCCAAAGACACTCCAGGAGAAGAATGAAGAGGATTCTGCAAAGGAGTAATCAGAGGTGACTCGGGCATAGAGGGACCGGAAGGATGAATGGAGAGGCTATTTACTGAGAGAATGGACGCAGCCAGGAGCAGCCCATCTGGCAGGACGACTGCTGCACTCGCTGTGGGGCGTGTCGCGGCTGAGGTGAACAGAGTCATCCATCTGCTGACTGGCAGGCAGTGGACGCGAGCTCTGGAGAGAACCCAGAATATGAGGCAGGCACAGGAGAAGCAGAGCAGAGGGGAAAGATGAGATCTGCAAGGAAGAACAGCCTGGAGCCTGAAGAGCGAAGCAGACAGCGGCAGCCACCCTGGGGGTCACTCCACACTCTGAGATCCCCAGTGCAGCCGGTTACCACAGAGGAGCAACCCCAGGATCCTGGGGAGAAGAGGCACAGTCAGGAGGAGAGCCAAGAAGTACAGGATCACAGCCTTCAAGGGAGAAGTCAGCTGGTCTGCACTGCCCGAAGCTACAAAGAGGTTAACCAGAGTGGAAAGTGGGTGCCGGAGCCTCGGGATTGATCTCCTGCCCCACAGCTTTGCTGTTCCCGTCACTTCTGCACACTGGCACTGAGGTCATGCTTCTCAAGAAAGATCTGCATGTGCCAACCATTGGCTCAGAAACCTTCCCTTGTTTCCTACTTCCCAGCTAGGAAGGCCAAAGTCCTTGGCCAAGTGACCTCAAATCTGGTGTGAAAAGCCTCACCTTCCACTACGTCCTTCCACATCCCAGCAATCTGAGCTGCTCCCTCTCCCCTGTTGCACACCAAGAACTTCCATGCCTTCCTATGTTGGTTCTTGCTGTTCCCTCAGCTAGGAAGGCCATTTTGCTCAATGTTCTGCTAATTAAAACTCTCCTCATCCTTCAAGGCCTATGTCAAATGCTACCTCCACTGCAAAGCCTTCCTTGGTCTCTCCAGTCAGTAGGGTCCTTCCTTCAAGGACCCACGGTGTGGTGCTTTGCCTAGTCATTACTTCATTCTTTCTACAATTGAGTTGTTGGCCCCCATCCACTCACACATGACAGCATGAGAGCAGAGAACATGTTTTATCTTTGAATCTCCCATGGTATAGATTCTTACATGCAGAAGGCACTCAACCAACGCCAGCAAAGCATATGAAGAAATTAGGAAAAAAACCCCACAAAAACCTGACAGCAGTAGATGCTACCACTTCCAATCATTTATTTGGAAATTACGATGTGCCTCACAGTTATTTGGACTTCAGGGGTTTTGCCCTGCAATTAATGTCTCGGCCCGATGTTGGGTTGCCTTACAATCACATGTGTTATCTGTGATCTCTAGGGCCATTTCGGTTTTGAGAGCACACTATTGCACATACACTAAGATGTTTCTGAGTATTTCCCATAGTTAGACAAAAATGGAAAAACTTGGCCCAGCCTTCAGAAGCGCTTTATCACATGTGCTGCCTATGACAGTGGTTTAGGGAAATCTCTACACAATTCCACCAGGATCATAAACACATTTCCTGAGCTATGAATTAAGAGGAAAAAGTTTCTCAACATGCAACACAAACTCAAAAAGCAGCTGTTCATTTAACCATCTATCATCTTCTTTTGACCCTTTGAACAGGCTCTGACAGTATTTAGATTACATGAACATACTGTTTTATTCCTCAATAGCTTGCTGTTTGTAAGGAAAACATATATTCAAGAAATATATTCAACATGGTTCAGGAGAACCTTCTATGTATGTGTCAGTGGAGTGTCTGTGTTAACAAATGATGTCCAGTATATGAATCAGGTTAGTTCTTCTTTGGTCTGTGTTTTAGGGGTAAGACGTCTTCTGTATTGTTATATAAAACTGAGAGCAACTTAGGATTGATCTAAACAGTCCTGCTTTATTTCTTTTTCTTTTGCCTGCTTTGTTTTTGCTTTAAGACAGACAATCGTAAAACACAGCTGCTACATAGAAAGGAAGGCTACATTCCTCTTGCAGCTGTGAGCAACAGAATTATTCAAATGTTTTCTAATCCAATAAACCTGGTTCTTCGTAAGGAAGAGAAAAAGAGCTAATTGTCTTTAACACTTAAGACTTTAACACTCCCCTCCTTCAAAAAATTAGGGGAAAGGGAAATATGGTCAGAGGGTATTTTGAGTGATTTCTAAATTCATTTTTCTTGGATCCTGCAGAGTAGGATGGGAGGGAGTTTTCGAAACCACTGGACTTGTGAAGAAACGCTTCTTCTAGCTTCATAACGATAGCAATGAACACGTTCTGCACATTTGTTTCATTCCAGGCAGAGTGCTCGGGAGACCTTTACCTGTTTTACCTGATTACATCCTCTGAGGTATGTGCCATTTATACCTGGGGAAACTGAGGCTCAGAAAAATGACCTTGTCTGTGGTCACACAGCTGGTAAGGGGTAGGAATGGAATTTAAACCCAGTTGTCTAACTTCAGGGCCCACATTTCAGCCACAACTGAGGTTTTTCCTAACCTAACCCCATTGTGGTGGAATTGCACAAAAAACATACTTGAGAGGTGAGTAATGTCATCATTCCATTACATACAAGTTAAAAGACTATGCAGTATGATACCTTTTTTGCTATGCACACACATATATGTGCATAAATAGATAGGTAGATAAAGAGACAGACACAGACATAAACAGGAAAAAACTGAAAAGGCATAAATCAATGTTACCAATATTTTAACAGTGATTACCACTGGATGATGAATAAATTTTAATCTTAAAATTCCTGAAATTTTCTATTTCCTATAATGAGATCTATTACTTTAGCTATTCAAAAATAATGTTAGAGTAACATATACTCATTAACTGAACAATTTAATTAAACAAATAGATGTTGAGCATCCACTCCACCAAGTACCAGGCACTGTATATTCAAAACAATAAAAAAAACTACATGAAATACACAGCAAATTACTCACATCCCTGCTCTGCTAACGTTTTGGATGCTCTCCTTCAGGTCTTTTTCTGTACAGTTTTTTTTTTTTTTTTTTTTTTGAAACCAAGTCTCACTCTGTCGCCCAGGCTGGAATGCAATGGTGTGATCTCGGCTCACTGCAACTTCCGCTTCCCAGGTTCAAGCCATTCTCCTGCCTCAACCTCCCAAGTAGCTGGGATTACAGGCACGCACCACCATGCCTGGCTAATTTTTGTATTTTTAGTAGAGATGGGGTTTCACCCTGTTGGCCAGGCTCGTCTCGAACTCCTGATCTCAGGTGGTCTTCCTGCCTCGGCCTCCCAATGTGCTGGGATTACAGATGTGAGCCACCGCCCCCTGCCTTCTATGCAGTTTTTAAATTAACTAGCAACCAAGGCAGATAGTCAAGCCCTGGTTTATAGTTAGGAGTTTGACCAGCTTCCGGACCTGACCCTCTGCTCCTACCGTGAGACTTCACATCACTTCTCTCTAAGCTTCAGTTCCATCATCAGTGAAAAGGATTAAGAGGGGGACTTACCTCATCAGTGATTAAGTGAGTTAATGTAAGTAAAGTGCCTTGAAGCAAACAACAGATAATAGCTATTGTTATTATTATTCGATGCAGAATCTCTGCATTGTGGTACTGTTGTTTTCCATCTCCTTTCTTCTGAAGAGCAGTAACACAATAGTGTTTTTCTTGGAGAGCACGGAAAACTGTTCAGGCTATTCAGGCATCTAAAGTCACCTTTGAGTTTTGCAGGTGAGTGGCATCACTCAGTCAAGGCAAATTCTATCAGAGTTGAGAATTTGGGCCTTTTCTCATCTTTTATTCTTAGTTGATCCAAAAATTCCTCAGGAATAGTGGAGTTGGTCCATTTGGTCTCCTATCTCAGCCAATGATACAAAGAACAGAGATAGCTACCATGGTATAAAGAGAGAGGAGTATTTACACACCATTCAGAAAATCAAAGAGGCAGATGTTGGACAAAGATCTTCCTTGTGTTTGGAAACGTAATAAATATGACCAGTTACAAGCAATAGGCTATCTAAACTCTATTGCTTATACAATTCTATGACTTCAGGCCTTGGTGTTCTGTTCTGCCTGATGATTGTGGGATATGGTTCTATGAGCTCTTTAGAAGGAAGATGTTTGGTATCAAGCTAATTTCTGGAAGAACCAGCCTGACTCTTTTGTGGTCCTGCTCCACTCCAGCCTCAGCCACCATTATCTCTTTTCTACATGACTCGGTAGCCCCCTAAATCATGTCCCTGCCTTTCCTTCACCCCACTTAGGGTGATTAGGGTCAGTTCTCCACTCAGGGGTCCACCTTCTTTATAGGAGAATATCAATCTTCAGCGAGGGTCTTAAAATGTCAATCATTGCCTGACCCCTGCTACATCCAACACGCCCAGTGACTTTCCACTGCACTCAGAACAAAGCCCCAAACTTTTTGCATGGCTCCAGGGCCCTGCATGAGGTCTTTGCATGCCTCACCAGCCTCATTTTGACTACTTTCCTCCAGAACCCTGGCCTCTGTGGCATTTTAGCACACACCAAGCTCATGCCCACCACAGGCCCTCCCACCTGTTCTCCCTCCCTGAGGAACAGTCCTCACCCTGCTTCATGTGTGCCTGGTGCCCCTTGTTCTACTGGCCACCACTTCTATGTCACCTGCTCAGAGAGGCTCCCCTCCCCTCCCAATGTATAATAGCTTTCCCTGTCCTGGTGCCTTGTTTGTTCTCTTTGGAGAAGACATCTTATCACAATCCCTGTTGACTTGGTTTATTTCTTTGTTGGCCTACTTTTTCGTGTGTTATGCTCTATCTGTCACCCACTCCTCTGCCCCATCAGAATGTCAGTGGCTCAAGAGCATGGATCGTATCTGCTCTTGTGTTGTTCTACCTCTGGGGAGGGCCCACCTGGGGTAGGTGCTCCCTAAATATGAAAGGAAGGGAGGCAGGGAGGGAGAAAGTCCCTGGAGAGGGGGACACCTTTCCAAGGCAGCCCCATTTCCTGTGAATGTAGGTGGTATCCCTGCTCAACCCTAGTGTTACTGTGCAAGTTAAAAATAAAACCCTTGGGTAGAGTGAGAAGCCTTTAAAGAGGCTGGGGGAGAGATAATGAGAAACATGAGCCAGCCAACGCAGGTCCAGCAGGATGTGGGACCGGCCAGGAAGCAATGGGATCTTGGCTCCGGAAAAACACTGACTTTGGGGCTGCAATAGTCTGACCAATGCACGACTCCCGATTAGTCACCAGAAGCCTCTCTCTGGATCTGCAGTGTATGAAAAGACTTTAAAGTGGCCAATTCAGGATATGCTTCCATCCTAGAGCAAGACGTGGTTAGAGGTTTCTAAAGAGATATTCTTTATAATTCTTAGAACAAGGGACTCCACACCCCTCCTCTGCCTGCCACGGGTCAGAATAAGAGGGAGAGGCCTGGAGGGAACGAGAAGCCATAAGGCCTTCCTTGGCTCACCCTCCCTCTGACCTCCCCTAGGGCCCATCCAGCGTGGGAGCCGAACCTCCCACCACAGTAGGGCTGCAGCCAGGGATCCCAAGGTGAAGCCGCCCTCCAAAGGCTTGGCTTGGTTCAGGGGCGGCGTGAGGTGGGGAGGGTCAGGTCAATGGGTCGTTAGAAACAACCCGGCCATCGCCTTGGAAACGCTCCCCCCTGCGCCGCATGCATCTGGATCCACCCTGAACCAGCTGTGTATTAAACCCTCAGACCTCAGTGGGAGGTGGGGAAGCCTTAGGGAGGGTCATAGTGGGACAGGAAGAGGTCCACCTTCTGTACAGGAGAAAATCTTCAGGCCTTAATGAGAGGCCTAACGACCCAGGGGAGCAGCAAGTGAAAATCCATATTCTGGCCTCCCTTGGTGAAAGGATGGGCTGAGGGGAGTGTGGGGGCTGCCAGCATCCCCTCCTCCAGACTGCGACCTGGACCCCTTCCCAGAATCCATCTCTCTGTGCTGGTGCGGAAGCCAAGTGATGTGCTCATGGTCACCTGGTGCAAGGGAATATTCTCAGACCTCGAAAACATTGATCACCACTGGGTTTTTCCATATCCACAGCTATGAGGCAGTCAGGAGGACCACAAAAGAAGGGGAAGAGAATTAGCAAGAATCAAGAGAGACAGCTATGCTGAGAGCTTTACATGCCACCTTGAATTTAACCTCCACCACCGTCCGTCCGCTGAGACAGGAGCTCTTACAGATAAGGCAACTAAAATGTAAACAGGACCTGTTCCCCACCCAAGGTCACCCAACAAGGGAGGGTGGAGCATCGGGCAGCCAAAATGCAAAATGGCTGTGCAATTTACCACCTATAATAGCCTGTCCTTTTATCTCTGCAGTCACTGTCCAAATGATTTGAACTCAAAGCTCAGTGCCAGGGGACATTGAGCAGAATTTTCAAAACGTACATATATTGAGGAACTGAACACCCCCTGGCTGGTTGGGAACCCCAAAGCCTTTTTGTGCATTGAGCGAAAGGGATCTATTGAAGTCAACTCTTCTTTAATCATTTTTTGGGAACATCTACAGCTTAAAACTTCGGAACAAGTAGCCTGTGTCTGCCCTGGGCGTAACCTCTTTAAGGAGGCTATTTCTTTCTCGGCTAGTTCTAGGCTCCTGACATGAGGATTTCAAGTGCTTAAAAGGCACAGGATAATAATCTTCCCCTGGAAGAAAAAAGGCCGACAAAGGAACAGCAGGGAAACAGGTGACCTGCATGTCCTAGTACCATTTTTTGAATTCAAGTACATTCTCATGAAGACTTCCAAAAAACCTTTGCCAGAAAATTTGCCAGCCGCAACAATCATTCATATCTTATTGAGCAAATACTAGGTGCTGTGCATTGCGTGCTAAAACATTTTAGGCACTCTACGTGGATTCTCTCCCTACATTCTTACACCAATCCTATGAGATAGGAACAAGTTACACTGATGCAGTGCTGGCATGTAGTATAGACTTTAGATATATTAACTCACATCTTCCTGTCAACAACCCTAGGACAGAACCGCTGCTATTATCTCTATTTTATGGAATCAAAGAGGTTGTGTAACTTGACCAGGGTCACGCAGCTATTGAACGTCAGATCCAGAATTCACACCCAGACAGTCCCATTCCAGGGTTCATGCTTTGACCAACATGCTACCCTACCAGAGTGCCACAGGCTGTGGCTCTGAAATAGGGAAAGGTTAATGAGAGATGGGTCAGAACTGTCAGAAGTATTCCTGTCTTCTTCTGTGTGAGCTAGCTTTCCAAGGAGCTTAGGGCTCTGCTTCACATGCCTTCAGCTAAGACATCCCAGGACCAGCCTGGGAGAATGGCAGTGAGCTTTGTGTGGCCAACTGAGTGAAGATTTCATCCTTGGAAATAACTCTCAATTGAAAGAAACCATTCTGAAGTCACCCTGCATCTCTGCCATTTAGAAAGATCCCCATTTTTACTTCAAAACAAAAACAAAAAACAAAACAACAACAACAACAACAACAAATCAAGGCTCAAGGAGGAATGTTTTACTCCTATAACTTAAATACCACCTTATCACCAAAGGCAATGCAGCCAACTGCAAAAAGCCTGGACTGGCCCGGGCAGCAGCTCTCTTCTCCTCTGGGCTGCGAACTTGCTCTGCGTAGACTCCAGGGAGCGACTCTGGAGCATTCATTCTCAACTTTCCTTTAGTTGCTGTTTCTTAATTCTGATAGATATTCTGACGAAGGATAAGAAGAGTCTCATTTTCTAGAAGCTCTTTATGTCCTTAAAGGTATTGGTTCAGCACTTTGCACACATTGATTAATCAATGCAAACTGCTTCCACTATTCCCATCAGACTGATGGGGAAGGCAGAGATGAGCTACATTGTCTGTCTCCATGGGTGCAAGGGCTGGAACATGCTGGATCCATGTCTCCCTTCTGGGTGCCTGACATCACTTGTTTGTCTTTGATGCCCATCAGCCAAAAGAAGTTATTCATCTCTAAGCATGAATAATACCACTAGGGTGGATTTTTCCAGGCTTCCGAAGTGAGTTCTCTGCAGAGATGACACTAAGCCGACTAAGCCAGAGCAGCTGACACATAGCATAGGGTCCTGGGAACTGCAAGAGGCCAGCCCACCTGAGTTAGGGTGAGAGGCTCTTGATGCAAAAGTCTCAGCTTTACTTTCCAGGCCCCTTTCCAGAGCTATAAGGGACAACAGAGGGTAGAAGGTCCCATTGCTGTCCTGAGTCTTGGCTTTAACACTCCCAACATTTAGTGATTCACTCAGTCATTCATTAGACTGATATTTGAGCACCTACCCTGTGGCACGGCTCTGTCCTATTCACTGGGGATATAGCAGGGAGCAAAACAGACAAGGTCTTATTCCTGCCTTCATAAGGCTTACATTCTAAGGGAGAGAATGGGTAATAGAAAGTTTTTTTAAAAATTGACAAGAAAATTACGAATTGAGGTAAGCGGCATGAAGGAAAAATAAGTCAGAGGGGAGAAACAGGGAAAACTTTTGGAGGAACTGACAAGAGAGGCAGGGCCTGAAGGATGGAAAGAGGCCTGCTACCTGAAGAACTGGGGGGAAAGCATCCCAGGCAGATGAAACAGCAGTTGCAAAGTCTGAGAGTCAGGAAAGGGCCTAGAACAGCAGAGGAGCAGACAGGAGGCCAGGGCTGGATGGGTTGGTGTGATGTCGGATGGGTAAGAGTCAGATGGATCTTACCCCCCAAGAGGCCTCCTGTCTACTTTCTCACCTTCCTGAAAATCACCACTCTCCCTTACAGTATGCTTCAGGAACTCATCATTGCTAAGCCAAATCCAGTCCCTCTGCTCAAACTGAAGAGAAGGGAATTATTTTTGTGGCAGACGGGGTATGTGGTAAAGGCATGGCATTCGGTTTTATATGCAGACTTTTTACATACGGATCATGCCAACAACAGCTGAGAAGCTCCCCAGTGATGGATGTGTTTGCCTCGGAATGGAGTCATTCAGGCACCTGCAAGGCTGCAAACACCAACCTGGGACTCTCCCTCACCCGCAGCACCCACCTTGCTGCTTCTTGGTGACATCATGAAAAAGGCAAATTGGGCTTCGGGTACTCTGCACTCCTCCTTTCAGCGCCCTCTGCCCCTTTCCAGGCTTGTCTCCACCCATTCTCTCCCCCAGTGCTCTCATGGGCTCTGCCTGGACTAATCTCTGCCATTCGCCACAGTCCCTGATGAATAAATCACCTTCTGAATGCACGCCTGCTCCTGCAACTTCAGGCAAAGTACAGGCAGGCAAAAGAGAGGCTAGATTTATAAGACCTTTCTGTGTCCTTCAAATGATGCCAAAGAAGGGGCTGCCTAGTCCACTGCAGTCTGAGCCTGGCCCGGCTGCCTAGCTTACTAATTAGCTGTACTGACAGGAGAGTCCCTATTCAGACCCTTCCCAGTGGAGCCATTGCAAATTCCTAGAGCATACTCTGTTGAGGAAGGACTATGGCTAAAACACTTTGAGGAGTGGCCTGGAACTTCACTCCCTAATGGCCAGGCACCCAACCTTGGGTGTGTGAGCTCAGAAAGCCTGACGTCTCTCTCCAGGGCTGACCCACTGCTAAAACTTGCCATCTGCCCTTCTAGCCCATCGTTCCCTTCGTTGAAATGAGAGACTGCCCTACATAGGATCACTTTCTCCCCTGGCTTTCTAGGGCTCACAGCTTAAGGAACTAAATCCTCAGTATGGCCGCACAGTCTGACCCCGCCTGCTTCTTGGGTTCTGGCTCTCCCCTTCATCCCTGCACTCAGCCACACTGGCCTTCCTCCCGCTCCTTGGTGATGCCAGGCTTCCTCACACCAGGCAACCTTTGTGCATGCTCCTCTCCCTGCCACCTGAAATATTCTGCCCTCACCAGTTGAAATCTGCTGATCCGTCAGACCTCAACCCAAGCCTCACCTCCTCATGGAAGCTTTCCAGGACCCCCTGTTGGGGTCAAGTTCCCCTGCCATGTGGTTTTTCAGGACCACTCGGTAGAATTGCTGCTTGATTGATGTCTATACCCCCATCTAGCCTCTAACTTTCATGAAGGTGGGGGCTCTTGTCCTCAGGCACTGCTGTAGCCCAGTGTCTCACATGCCCTCTGGCACACAGGAGGCATCCATGCTGAGCTGAATGAACCTGACATGGCCCTCAGTAGGCCCATCCCAATCCCCTCTCCCTTTCCTCTTTTCCTCCAGCCTCCCTTCTCTTATTTACATTTGCTTCCTTCCTCCCTCTTCACTCTTTCTGTTCATTCCTTCTTCCCTCTTGGGCCTTGGGCCTACTTGTTGCTCCCAATTTGCCAAACCTTTGCAGCATGTGTAGGCCTTCAACCAGATCACCCCAGAGCCATGGCCTAGCGGGGGAACCTAGGAATCTGGCTTTCTACGGGGTTAGTCTGTTATGGTTGCCATAACAAGCACCATAGGCTGGGTGGCTGAAACAACAGAAACAAGAAACTTATTCTCTTACAGTGTTGAAGGCTGGAAGTCCAAGATCAAGGTGTCAGCAGGGTTGGTTCCTTCTGAGGCTATGAAAGAAGGACTTGTTCCAAGCCTCTCTCCTTGGCTAGTAGATGGCCATCTTCTTCCTATGTCCACTCACTTTGTCTTCTCTCTATGCATGACACCAGTTATAGTGGAGTAGGACCCACCCTAATGATTTCATTGTAACTTGATTATCTCTGTAAAGACCCTATCTCCAAAATAAGGTTGCATTCTCGGGCAATAGGGGATAGGGGGTGAATTTCATCTTATGAATTTGGGGGTGGACACAACTCAACCCTAACACCTACCACCACATGTCCATTGCCACAACTGTCTTCGACTCATTGAATGAAATAAAAATAAGGAAACACCAGACACGTCTTCTGAAGAAAGGACACAGGAGTCTGGGAATGGGATGGGCATGACAGGAATGGCAACTGGAGAAAGACACCCCACTGAAGAATGAGAAAGGAGCGTGGTACTGACAGGAGCTAAAACTACTCTCATTGAATGGCCTAGCAGTTAGTTACACATCTAGGCTCTGGTAAGCTGCTAGTTCTGAGTTCAAATCCCCACTCAGTCACTTACTACCAGTGAGGTTTTTCCCTTGCTCATAAAATGTGGGTAAAATAGTAATACCTCACTTATGGGATTGTTGTGAAGATTAAATGAGAGACTAGCCCAAGCATAGGGCTTCACAGTGTACCCAGCACATAATAACTCAATATGTACCAAATGTGCTGTTATTGTTATCATAATAGGGGTGGTCTCACCAGGTATTTCAGGAAGAAGTGATGACAAAGAAGAGGGTAATTGCCATGACTGAGTCCACACAACTCTGTGTTCCCTCTCATAGTCACAACGAGAAAGGAAGCCGAGCAACAGCCAGACCTGATCTTCTTTAATTGTGCTCTGTGGACCAAAGGCAACAGAATTACCTAGGCCCCACCCAGAAAATGCAGAATCCTGGGTCCCTTATGAAGCCACCGAATCAAAATTGTGGGGAGCAACCAGGAACCTGATTTTTAAACAAGTTCCCCTGTGATTCTTATGCACATTAAAATTTGAAAACCCCTGGACAAAGCCACAGTTCCTGGAGGAGCAGAGATGAGTCATGTCCATGAGTAATACCCCATGTTGACACAGCCCTGGTGCAAGGTAGGCACGCCCCTCACACCTGTTCTCATCACCAACATTCCTTGGACAAGGTCAGGAGACGGTCTTGAGCAATTTGGTATAAAACAAATCTCTGTAAGTCACATTTTAAATATAATATTTAGAGGGATTGCATTGGCAAATCAAATTGTTTTCATTATTGTAAATTGTACTGTGCTCAGATACTTACCCAATCTTGACTTCAAATTTAGCTCAACATGACCTCTGGCCTTAGGCTTGAGGATTGTAAGGCCCCCTGGCCCAGCACGCTTGCTGTGCTTGGGGCTCTGTTGTTAGCACTCTGTTTATTTTGTTCTTGGGCACCGTCCACTACCTGGTCAGAAAAACCTTAGCCCCACTGTTCCCCAGTGCCTGTGTTCATGTCTTGCCCCAAAGACCCAATCCCAGAGGCTATGGGTCCTCAAGGTTGAGATTCTACCTATGGCCCAAGCTAAGGTCCTGCCATCTCTTAGCAGAATTTCCAAATCCTGGCCTACTTTCTAGGGTCTTCCAATATCATCTGGTGCTGAATTCCTATCACCAAGCTCCATGTGCCTCTCAGGACACCTCTCATAATCCCCCCAAACCATATACAGCCTATCAGTGAGGAGCACAGGCTCGCTGGACAGCCTAGGTATGAAGCTTGGCTCTGCCACTTGGTGGCTGTGTGACCTTAGCCAAACACCCCACCCAACAAGCCTCAATTCCTGCATCTATAACAGCCCCTACTATTATATGCAGCGTTGTCATGAGTATTGAGTGAGGTGATACACTTACAGCCAAGCACAGTGCTTGGGCACAGCAAGGGCTCAATAAATGTTGGGGACCGGTCCAAAAGCTGTTCCATGTCTGAGTGCGCGTACATGTGAACAAAGCTCCATGCCAAAGCAAATGTGTCTCCAAGCTACCCTAGCAGTGGCACCAGGGGTCACTTATAGAGTGTCACTTTGGGCTTTGGAACAAATGGACTTGTAAGCAGCCTTTTCTCCTCTATTTTTTTTTTTTTTTTTGAGACAGAGTTTCACTTTTGTCACCCAGGCTGGAGCGCAATGGCGCGATCTCGGCTCGCTGCAAACTCTGCCTCCCAGGTTCAAGTGATTCTCCTGCCTCAGCCTCCCAAGTAGATGGGATTACTGGTGTGTGCCATTATGCCAGGTAATTTTGTATTTTTAGTAGACATGGGGTTTCACCGTGTTGGCCAGGCTGGTCTTGAACTCCTGACCTCAGGTGATCCACCCGCCTTGGCCTCCCAAAGTGCTGGGATTACAGGCATGAGCCATCGCACCTGGCCAAAGCAGCCTTTTTAGAATTCACCTTTGAATAATAATAATAATAATAGCAAATACATGGTACTCACTATGAGCTAGACCCTGTGCTGATAAGGGCATTACTCATTTGATTCCTTCCATAACAAGGCTGGTACTTTATTACCCCCACTTTACAGATGAGGAAACCAAGGGCCAAAGTCACAGGACTAATAAGTGGCAGAATTTGGATCCCAGGCAGCCCAGCTACAGAATCTATGTACTTAGCTAATGTGTTATGCTCCCTCTCGTAAGTAGTATAATTTAATTATTAAAAAGGAAAGGGGAAAACAACGAAAAAGTTAAAGACAGAGAAATGTTTTAAGCAGTTAGCATTGGCACCAGGATTCTTGCAAGTGAACTCAAGAAGCTCACTTCTGGCTGGGTTTAAACCATGGTGTATTTAATAATCAAAATAATTGCTATTCCTTCCCTCCCCTTTTCTCTCCCTGTAGGCCACTGGCCCAGATGCTTGTTCTTGTTCCTGTACCTTGGACTCCTTTGCTTATCTTTCCGCTGAGTTGGACACGCTAGCCCAGGCCCATTCTCTGTTACCTGCCCACCCAATCAGTCCCCTTCCTTCTCTGTGGTTGTTTGGGCTGGATCCAGTCATATCTCAAGATGGGGACGCCTTGCTGGTACTTGAACATTTGTTGATTAGTGAACCCTTTCTTCAGAAAAAGTACTCTCACCCACATGTATAGATGTTAGATTTACCTAAAGCATGGTATGCCTGTGGCACAAACAACTTCAGATTATTTTTCCAGCAACCTAAATCAAGGGATACTGCATTAGCCATGCACTGCTTATTTAATGAGGTGGAAATGGGTGTGTCCACTCTGCACAATACCTAACCCCTGGGAGCTAGCATACAGGCTGACAGTGTCAGAGGCGTTCGAACCAGAGCAACTCCATCTTGAGTGAGGGCTGGGAAAATGAGGCTGGGACCTGCTGGGCTGCATTCCCAGAAAATTAGGCATTCCTAGACTCCAGATATTTATGGTTAAGGGAATAGATTGATAATGTTTACTACACAGACTCAGACTTGGGAGTCTCCAGGTAGCCCGATATTTTGAGAACAAATGCATTCCTAATTTTGCTTTAAAGATAATATGGATTCTTGCAAAATATAGTAATTAAGAAAATTAGGCCAGGTGCAGTGGCTCACACCTGTAATCCTAGCACTTTGGGAGGCCGGTTGGATCACCTGACATTGGGAGTTAGAGACCAGCCTTAGCAACATGGAGAAACCCCGTCTCTAATAAAAATACAAAATTAGCCGGGCATGGTGCCGCACACCTGTAATCCCAGCTACTTGGGAGGCTGAGGCAGGAGAATTGCTTGAACCCGGGAGGCGGAGGTTGCAGTGAGCCGAGATTGTGCCATTGCATTCCAGCCTGAGCAACAAGAGTGAAACTCTGTCTCAAAAAAAAAAAAAAAAAAAAAAGGAAAAGAAAATTAATCCTTTATCCTTTATCACAAACCCTTGTAGCAGAGCACATCTCCCCATGATCTTTTTAAAATCCTATATATACGAGCATGGTACCTAGGATGGATGTGTTCCTCCTCTTACTTTTGGGAACACCCTACTCTGTCAGTGGAGCAGCTGTGCTTTCACCACTTTACTTTCTTAATAAAAAGAAAGTGCTTTTGCTTTGCACTGCGGACTCGCCCTGACTTCTTTCTTGCTTGAGATCCAAGAACCCTCTCTTGGGGTCTGGATCTCTTTCCTGTAACAGCAGTCCCAAGATCCTAATAGTTTATGTGTAGTTCACAGAATGCATGTCACCTAAGTGAGTGGCTGCACTGTCCCAAGATGAGATGTCCCTTCAATGTAGATACGGCATATGGATGTCCGCCCACCATCTCCACTGAATGTTATCATCATGGCTGGTGCTACTCACCTGTAAAGTCAAACCACTTAACCAGATATGGCTTCCTTGATCCTTTGCAGAACTAGTCAAGTCATATGTAAACAGCAGATTTGAGAGAGAATTTAAAAGAAACTCATTGTGTTTTCTCTTAAAGTTTTGCATACTAAGTTTGCTTTGGATTACATACTTCATTTGCAAACCCATTTATTCACACTAACAAAGGCAGGGGCAACAGAAGAAAGTCTCTCTGAGTCCCTCTGCCAACAGCAAATTGTTGATCTTGCCTTCAGATCAACATCTCAAGAGGGGACTTTCCTCGGAAGCCCTCAAAGACCAACACAAAGAAAACAAAGGAAAAGGGAATTTGCGACTGTGAATCAGAGTCTCCACCAAAATCCTCAGTCATCCACACTGACAAACAGCTCCAGTAAACTGCTGGCCACCCTTCACTAGACATCACTTCCCAAAGCGAGGCCCACTCCTTTCAGCCCTGATGCCACTGCTGCTGGCTCACTGTTACACAGAGCTGGTGGAGGGGCAGCCTGGCTCGCCCTCAGCCGGGATGCTCAAGTCCTCCCACTGGGTCGGGGAGCTAACTCGTAAACAATCGCATCCCTGTAGAGAATGAAAGGAAAAGTGCCAGTCACCAGTGCAGAAAGGAGGGAGGCAAGCGGGGGTGGTGGGGTGGTGGGTGGATGTAACATAGCTAGAGAATAATGGAGTGTTTGAATTCTGCTGAGGCAGAGTGAGCCCTTGGGCCTCCCTTGGGTCTCTGAAAAGTGCGTACTTGATTAAATGCCTGAAATTTCCATCTCAGTATCTGGAGGGCTGCATTTCTGAAGTGCTCCTCTGCAGCAGCCTTGCATACCTTTGGCATGTAATTGTGATGTGGGTGTGGATAGTGTATGTGCCAGAGACTCTGTCCATTCTGACTCCTTCTTTCCTAGTGCCCATCGGAGGGGTACTGAAACGAGGATGTGATATTCCAAGATCAGAAAGGAAGGAAAGAAGTAATCCGAGTGACCATGGGGCCATGGGAATACCACCCTACCAAAACCCTGAGCTGACACACCCAGATAATCCTAAACTTCAGCCTGACTTCTATATCAAAAGGTTAATAAAATCTAAGCTGCCCACCATGTGGACAGCTTTTCCAAGGCAGCTGAATATCCAGGCTTCCCAAGAGAGAGCTAGTGTGACACAGCACGATAATGCTAGCCACACTCACCACAGCCAGACTCACCGCAGCTTTCTGCTTCTGCCGAACCTCAAGGGCTGCATCCAGCACTTTAGTAAATGAGAAATGCCTGCCCCCTCCAGCCCTGATTCAGGGCCAGTGTCAGGCGGGCACTGGAGGAATGGAGATAATGTGGCGGCATGGTGCATTCATATTTTTGCAGTCTCTAAACTAGAAGTACTATTTTTACATGTCTGTGACATCAGCATGCCCTTCCCCCAGAGCAGTCTGCACCATGGTTTAAACCCAGCCAAAGGTGAGCTTCTTGAGATTCACTTGCAGGAGTCCTGGTTCCAGTGCTATCTGCTTGAAACATTTTCTTTCTTCTCCAAGTAGCATTACATTTGCACTTGGACACACACACAAAACACACACACACACACACACACACACACACAACCTCAGCTATAACCTGCTCTGTTTCCCAGATCAGATGCCCTGATTCTTACCTAAAGAGCTTGTAGGCCGAGGGCTGTACCTCTCTCCACACTCGCTCAGTGCTGTCCCAGGGGAAGCAGAATCCACTTGGTGTCTTCTTCTCAGAGTAGCCCGGCTCTCTGAACCTCCAGGCTACTGCAGCTCTGAGTGGGGAGAGGGACGGGCCGTGGCATGCACATCAGGTTGCTGGCCTGCCTCCAGATACCATGCCACAGAGCTGGCTACCCGTCCCTAGGGCTCTGTGGGAAATCGAGGTGGGGGGGGTGTAGGCTGGGGGAGCCAAGAATGTCAGCCTCTAGGTCTATCTCCGGTCCTTGTTTATCAGTAGAGGGGACCTGCCTTTAGACAACCGCCCACTCCCACACCACCCGCAGGGATGCACACAGCTCTAAGCAACCCCTACTCTGGACAGCCAGCAGCAGGCCCAGGAACACAGAGCCATTGGCCAGCCAGGAGGGAGGTAGAGACAGAAGACGGTGGCAGCAGCTACCCTGGGTGTTATTTTAACGTGGTTTGTCTTGGGGCAAATGTGTGAGCCGAATGGACTTCTGGCCCGTCTGAGCAGAATCCTGTTTATTTTGAGGCCTGAGTTGCCAGGGAAACAGCAGGTCGTGGCTCGGAGACTCTCCTCTGGAGTCAGAAGGCTGCTGGATGAAAGGGAGGCCTTTTCTGTTCTGTCATCTGGCATCCCTGCATGGGGTGTAGGTGTCTGTGTGTGGCAACGTGTATGTGTGCGTGTGTGTGTCTGTCTGTGCCATCCCCAGAGCCAAGCCCTACAAATGGCATTTTACGAAGTCAATCGAGGCAAAAGCCATCCAGGTTGGGACTGGCGAGGGGCTGCAGAGGTGGCAGCTCTGTCCTCCCTCTCCACTGTTCAAGCCTGTCCCCGTTGGATGAGGTGAATCCTCAGGTGAGCTCAACTTCAGGGGTGGGAAATTCTTCAATGGGCCATGGACATCCTCTTTAGACTTCTGGCCAGGACAGGGTAAGGAAGGGAGGGAGCTGTCTGGACAAATAACTCTTTGGCTAGAAGGTGGGGAATAAGGTGGACTGAAAGGATATGGATCAAGAGCTGTCTTTGAAGAAACCAAATGAAAACATGATTAATAGTTTCCAATAATTGAAGAGTCGCTCCTGCTTATGCAGGCGTTTGAGCCCAGAAGGCATGAGTGTGTGTGTGTGTGTGTGTGCACGCATGCACTCCCATGTATGTACACAAGCCTGCTCACCTGATGATTCAGGTAGAGAGGTACAGATCGACCTGTCAGAACTAGAAATATGCTCTCCAGTCTCTACCTCCTCTGGGTAGTTGCTTAGGTGTAGAGAGGATGGAGTTGCAGTTTGTTCCCCACACTCCCCACAGAGCATGGGGGTGTGGGGAAGCCATCCATGTGCCTTCTGAAGGGATGAGCCTTGGAGAAGGAGCTCGTGTCCTGTACTAAAGAGCTAGAGGCTCAATCATCACAGAACTCCAATCACGGATAAGCAGCAGCTCCCAAAAGGGACTTGAATATACAGAAAATGTTGATTTCTTGAGACCCTATTAATTGGAACCCTCATGAACTACCACTTCTACACCTGCAAAGGATACTGATAATTTGCTTTAAAACATAATAATCTTCCTGAGTATCTGCAAGTTTCCAAAGGGCCTTCTGAATCCTTAAAGAAAATATTTTGGACAATGGTTTTCCAAGTATTAAAGAATCATTATGCTAGATGTAGTATGCATGTTAACCCTTTTTAACTACGTGAAATGATAGACTTGAAAGTTAGAAAATACCCTAAAAATCCTAAGGACAGAGATGCAGACTCAGAGACTCACTCAGGTGGTACCCTTAGTTAAAGTCCTCATTGTGACTAAAACCAGGTCTCCCTGCTTTAGGTTAACCCCGTGTTAACCTGCCTGCACTGTGTGGTTGGCCATTGTTGGGCAATTCAGCCCAAGGGCTCCAGATTCCCCCCCTCCTAGTGGAAATTAATGAGACTTTCCTACTCATATCTTCCCTGCAAACTCACAGGATTATCATGACAATCAAATGTGTCCAAGTGTGTTCGAGCACCTTGAACGCAGGGAATGCAAATGCAAGTCATTATTTTATTTTATTTCTCCATTATGTCCAGTTGTGAAACCCTGTTTAAACACACACACTCACACACACATACACACACAGCTTTTAGGCAAATATAATCCCTAGCTACTGACATATGCTAATTTATCTACTGCATATTGGGTGTTTGGCAATATTACTGTCCAAATACTGGGAAATAATCCTCAGTTAAGGTATTTACTGTAATATAATTCCCGCCAATGTGGAAATTTTTTAAAATTTCATTATAATATCCTTCAATTTCTACATTTATTTGAACTTCTGTTACTATCTAGATTTACCTTTTAAATAACATATATTGAGATTTTTCCCAGTCTGGAGACATGATCATGTGAATGCTTTTCAGCCCCACTGTTATTTAGAGTAGGAAGGGACTTTGCAATGACCTAGTCGAAAAGTCTGGTCTCAGAATAGCCCTCCAGCTCTGTGCCTGGAAATAGTCAGTGGAAATAATAGCCGTCGAAGCTGCTTATTAAGCATCCACAATATGCTAGATCGTATGCAGAACATGTAACAGAAATCATGTCTTCCTCCAAAGCTCTTACACCACTTTAAAAGCCATTTCTGCCCTGATAAAACCTTGTAGGAGAGGCTGCTAGTACTGCAGAGGGGTCCCTGGAGAAAGGAAGAAAATTACAGGTTTGGAGGACCAAAAAAAATTCTAGTAGGTTTATCCACAGAGACGTGGGCTTGCCCCGGAGTCATCCACATCTAAAATGTTGTGGCTCTTGCCAGAGGTGAGATTTTTCCTTTCGCATCCTAACAGATGGACTCAATGCAGAGCACTTAGGCAGCTGCTATTACAGAAAGTGGCTCTACACCTCTCCTAAGAGCTTTAGAAGGGCAACAAAGGTAGAATGTGGTGGTTCTGTGGTTTTACTTATTTTGTGCTCAGTGTCTCTGAAAATCAGACATATAACTATCACATTTTAACTGTACCAGCATGAAAGAAGCAGAGCATTATTGAATCAACAGGGTTCAAAATGCCCCCAATATATACATTTTTTTTCTCTCCAGGCAGAACATAAGCCCTGGTGTCTTGTCCTTGATTCTTGAGAATGACATTCAATATTTGCCTTAAAAATTCCCCTTCATTCATCCTGTTTACACAAATGATACAGTTATGTGAAACACACACCAGACACATTGCATTTTCTTTCTAATCTCATTTGACCGTGTTCAGGCACAACAAATCTTAATCAGCTGACGGGAGAAATTGGATGCTGCATGCCACTCTCTCCCTCCAGCAACACATTTCCCTCTGTTTATGCCCAATGAGGCAGTTAGATGAAGGGTGTCCTGGTCTCATGGTGAAGCAAGCGCCACGATGACAGAGGGCAATGGGAAATGCAGCAGACATTCATGGGAAATTGTATTCGTTGCTCAAGGAGACCAGCCAGCCACAAACATCACCAGAACTGCAGGACAGAAGCTGAGTCCAATGACCCTCAAGAAGGAAGGTGCCTCACCCTGATCCCACTGAAATCCAATCATATGCGCTTGCCCGCCGCTGGTTAGCCTGATTCTTCAGCAACTTCAGGGGAGGATGCTTGGGAAGGGTCCTACCCATGAGAGCTGGGTTTCCTCTCCTCTAATATTGATTGTCTGTCGCCTATTCTACTGTGTTTTCCTCGATCCTAGTTTTTTTTTTTTTTTTTTTTCTGAGACAAGAGTCTCGCTCTGTCGCCCAGGCTGGAGTGGAGTGGCGCGATCTCGGCTCATGGAAGCTCCGCCTCCCGAGTTCACGCCATTCTCCTGCCTCAGCCTCCGGAGTAGCTGGGACTACAGGCGCCCGCTACCACGCCTGGCCAGTTTTTTGTATTTTGTTCAGTAGAGACAGGGTTTCACCGTGTTAGCCAGAATGGTCTCGATCTCCTGATCTCGTGATCTGCCCACCTCGGCCTCCCAAAGTGCTGGGATTACAGGCGTGAGCCACCGCGCCCGGCCCCTCAATCCTAGTTTTTTAATTTTAAAATATTTTACCTTGGCCGGGCACGGTGGCTCACGCCTGTAATCCCAGCACTTTGGGAGGCTGAGGCGGGCGGATCAAGAGGTCAGGAGATCGAGACCATCCTGGCTAACACGGTGAAACCCCGTCTCTACTAAAAATACAAAAAATTAGCCGGGCGTGGTGGCGGGCGCCTGTAGTCCCAGCTACTCGGGAGGCTGAGGCAGGAGAATGGCGTGAACCCGGTGAACCCGGCGAACCCGGGAGGCGGAGCTTGCAGTGAGCCGAGATCGCGCCACTGCGCTCCAGCCTGGGTGACAGAGTGAGACTCCGTCTGGGGAAAAAATAAAAAATAAAAAAAAATTTTACCTTTACTTAAAACGAACACTCTGTGCACATGATAACACTGCACTAAGAGGTATAAAACGACACTCATTAACCCTCTTTTCTCCAAAGATAACCACTATTCACTTTGAATGTATGGATCCTTTCAGGAAAGAAAACTGTCTTTGTACCCTGAATATGTGTATGCTAAAAACACACATTACTGTGCACAATGTCCTGCGTAATTGTTTGTTTTTCACTTAATAATAGATGTTTGCACATTGGTCTAGTTCATCCAAGCACCAAATTTCTTGCCTGGAGTATTGGGGTATCTTCCTAATTGGCCTCCCTGCTCTACCCTAACCCTCTACAGTTCATTTCAGAAGGAACCTGCTAAAAGGTAAATCAGACCATGTACGTATTTGTTCAGACCTGTCCAGGGCCTTTCCCTTGCACTAGGAACAAAAGCCAAGCTCACTACCACCACCTGCCTCTGCAAGTTCTCCCCCAACATACTCATTGCTCACCGTGCTCCAGTCACCTGCTCCTCATAACGGGCCAGGCTTGGTCCTAGCTCAGGGCCTTTGTACTTCCCATTCCCTCTGCCCAGAATTATGCATTTATTTTCTGCCTCTAGGTTATTTGCCTGGCTGGCTCTTTCCTGTTATTCTTGTCTCAGCTCAGGCCACCTGCAGCCTGACCACCCGTTCTAAATCAGCCCCTTATCACTGTCTTTTTACATCTCCCACTTTCTTTTTCCTCATACTACTTACTACTTTCTCAAAATTATTGTATTCATAAAATGTTTACTTAGGCTGGGCGTGGTGGCTCATGCCTATAATCCCAGCACTTTGGGAGGCCGACGCGGGTGGATCACCTGAGGTTAGGAGTTCGAGACTAGCCTGGCCAACATGGTGAAACCCCGTCTCTACTAAAAATTACAAAAATTAGCCAGGCATGTTGGCTGGCGTCTGTAACCCCAGCTACTCAGGAGGCTGAGGCAGGAGAATCACTTGAACCCGGGAGGTGGAGGTTGCAGTGAGCCGAGATAGTGTCACTGCACTCCAGCCTGGGTGATAGAGTGAGACTCTGTCTCAAATAAAATAAAATAAAATAAAATAAAATAAAATAAAATAAAATAAAATAAAATAAAATAAATAAAATATTTACTTACTTGTTCTGTCTCCCCTACCACATACACTGGAATACAAATTCCACAAGGAGAGCAGGACTTTGTCTTCTCACTGTTATATACTCAGTACCGAGACCAGTGGTTCTCAAGCTCGAGTGTGCACTGGAATCACCTGGAGGATTTGTTAAAACACAGATTGCTGGGCTCCAACCTCAGAGTTTCTAATTCAGTAGATCTGGGGTGGGCCTACTGAAATAGAGTTTATATTTCTAATAAGTTTCTAACTGCTGCTACTGCTCCTGGTCCAGGGACTGCATTTTGAGAGCTACCAGTCTTGACGATGCCTGGCATATAGTGGGTGTTGCATATACATTTATTACATGAATGCATGAGCCTGCACATAGGATCTGCCACCTTCTTTGTAATGGCAGTTTTGTTTTCAGTTTATCATTTATTTATATTTATGGGACTATAGGCTGTGAACCTTGCCTCCTCAAAGTCTTTGTGACAGGAAGGCCCCAAGTTTTGTCAGCTAAAATTGTGCACTATCTCCATTGATTTGTCAATTGATGATTAAAAACCTAAAGTTTAGGCCAGGTGCAGTAGCTCATGCCTGTAATCCCAGCACTTTGAGAGGCTGAAGCAGGCAGATTGCTTGAGTCCAGGAGTTCAAGACCAGCCTGGGCAACATGATGAAACCCCTTCTCTACCAAAAAAAACCCCACAAAAATTAGCTGGGTGTGGTGGCATGTGCCTGTGGTCACAGCTACTTGGGAGGCTGAGGTGAGAGGATTGCTTGAGCCCAGAAGGCGCAGGTTGCAGTGAGCTGAGATCACGCCACTGCACTCCAGCCTGGATGACAGAGAAAGACCCTGTCTCAAAAAGAATAGCAGCAACAACAAACTAAAGCTTTATAGACCCAAGAGGAACCATTGAGAGACTTCTCATTCTTTGCCTCAGCAGAACATCAAACCAAAAGATGGTGCAACTCTCACTTGACATGTGACAGAGAACAGAGTGATCTCTCAGGCCTCCCCTGTAATGATTTAACAACTATCCTGTTGGTTTAGATTGGGTCTTGGTATATTGGAGTGTATGCAACATAACCCCAAGCAGGTTATGAAATATAGAAAGCCTACTGGTTTTCCTGAGTCACAAAACCTCTTGAAAATCTTGACAAGATCTATAGCTCTATTCCCCAGGACACACACACACACACGCACACACGCACACACACACACACACGCACAGACACACACACACACACAGTTTTACATTTAATTTCAGGAAGTTACAAGATGCCCCAGGCACACTTTAACCCCAAATTAAGAACTTCTGGTTTAATAATTGTCTAGCTATTTGGCAAAAACAAACAAACAAACAAACAAACAAACAAACAAACCCAATCTGGATCCCCAGTTTCTTATTTAAATTCCTGATGAATCCGAGGTTTAAGTGTAAAGAGACAAGCCTTAGAGGAAAACATTAGTTAATAAGATTTATAATCTTAGAATGGGAAACACTTTTGGAAGCATGATTTAAAACCCAGAAGTGAAAATAAAGTAGTGAGACTGATTCTAAAAAATCTAAAATGTCTGTCCAGGAAAGAGGAAAAAAACTCTCCTGGTTTAGACTCTAAGGAGAAATTAATTGATCCTATCTTTTCCATCTATCTTCTTCTCAGTGGAATTGTGTGAGTGACCTATGGCCAGGCTCTATGGGACAAGACAAGCTTCTCAGAGCTTACAGGGTGAGATCACATCCTTTGGCAAAGCCCTGTCGCGGGGTTAATTATTTCAATAGCAGTGGTTTGGGTTTTTTAAATTATTTATTTTTATTTTTTTATTTTTTGAGACAGAGTCTCACTCTGTCGCCCAGGCTGGAGTGCAGTGGAGTGATCTTGGCTCACTGCAACCTCCACCTCCCAGGATTCAAGCTATTCTCCTGCCTCAGCCTCCCGAGTAGCTGGGATTACAGGCGTGCGCCACCACACCCGGCTAATTTTTGTATTTTTAGTAGAGACAGGGTTTCACCATATTGGCCAGGCTGGTTTGGGTTTTTAAATGACTTTATTGAGATATACTTCACATACTCTGAAGTTCACCCATTTAAAATGTACAATTAAGTGGTTTTGGTATATTTACAAAGTTGTGCGGCCATCACAACTATAATTTTAGAATATTTTTGTCACCCCCCAAAGAAACCCCATATCCATTAGCAGTTCATTCCCCATTCCTCCCTCCTGCCAGGCCTAAGCAACCACTCATCTACTTTCTGTCTCTATAGATTTTCCTGTTCTGGCCGTTTCATATAAATGGAATCAAACAACATGAGCATTTTTCCTTTAGTGTGATGTCCTCAAGGTTCTTCTGTATTGGAGAACATATCAACATTTCTTTCCTTTTTATTGCTGAATAATATTTCATTGCATGGATACACCACATTTTATTTCTCTGTTCATCAGCTGATGAACATTTGGGGTGTTTCTTCTGTTTGGCTATTATTATACTGTTGTTATTCATGGGCAAGTTTTTGTGTGAACATGTGTTCATTTCTCTTGGGTCTAGCAGTGTTTTTTTTTTCTCTTAAAGATTTACCCGAAGAATTTATCTATATCTCTATCTATCTATAATCTATCTATCTATCTATCTATCTATCTATCTATCTATCTATCTATCTATGTCTATCTGCCTCTCTGTATATATGTATTCCCCCCCACCCTGCCCACCATCATAACCTCATGGAGAACCAAGCAGATTTGGGTTCTAAAGACCTCAGATCTCTTACATTCCTGGCCTGGGACCTTCTGTGCAAAGGTCACGACTCACTCTCACTATGCCTCAGTTGTGCTATCAATGGAAGGAAGGTGAGAACACCAGCTCTTTCACACTGCCACAGGATATTGTAAAGATAAAGAAAATGACGTAAATCAATAGGATCTGCTCTTTCCAAGATATGAAGCCATATGAATAGGCCAGTGTGCATCAAAGAAACAAGATACACTTGAACCAAAAGTTTTGCCAGCACAAAGATGACTGCATCAGCCGAGTCCAGTGGCTTGATGTGGGGGCACAGATGGTACAAGAAATCACCATCTCAAGATTTTGGTGTTCTTTGAGATCAGAATTTGGTTGCCTTCCAAATCCTGCCAAACACCCTGAGGGAGGACCCCAGCTTGGTCACCCTGGTGGCGGGTAGGAGAAAGGGCAGGGCCATAATGTACTGACCGGCAGCCCAAGGGGCAAGCTTAAATTCTAAAGCCTACCCTCTAGCCAACATTTCCCGCAAAGACCACCCTACCCCCGTTTAATTAAAAAGCACCCTACTCTCTGCAGAGTCCCAGAGACACCTCTTTTTGTGAAATCCCTGACATTCCTGTAGGCTCTGGGGCAGGGGAGTGACCCCTCACCCCTGGGTAGAATCTAATAAGAACTTCCCAGTAGAGGTACTGGGCACCCAGGTGGCAGAAGAGGGGTCTAAAATACATGTACTTCTTCCTGCTCTCTGACCCATCACCTGTGCCCTTTGCTCTTTAAACTCAGGCAGCAGGAAATTCTACTGATAGGTGTGTAAATGATTAGTGGAATAGGAAATGAGAAGGTGGCATCCTGGGTTATAGTCTGCACATCACCACTTACTAGATGTATAATTTAGGATAAGTAACTCATTTCTTTGAGACTTGGTTTACCCATCTGCTAAATGGGATAATAGCAGTACTTGCCTCGTAGGGTCATTGTGAGGATTACCTGAGATGATGCCTGTAGGGACTCCAGCATACCATCTGTGTTTGCTATAGTTATTATATTACTTCTAAAGTCAGAATTAAAGACCTCAAGGCTGGGCGCAGTGGCTTATGCCTGTAATCCCAGCACTTTGGGAAGCCGAGGTGGGGGTGGATCACCTGAGGTCAGGAGGTCAGTTCGAGACCAGCCTGGCCAACATGGCAAAATCCTGTCTCTACTAAAAATACAAAAATTAGCTGGGTGTGGTGGTGGATGCCTGTAATCCCAGCTACTTAGGAGGCTGAGGCAAAAGAATCGCTTGAACCTGGGAGGCGGAGGTTGCAGTGAGCCAAGATCTCACCATTGCACTCCAACCTGGGTGACAGAGCAAGACTCTGTATCAAAAAGAAAAAAAAAAAAAGAAAGAAAAAGAAAAAAGAATTAACGACCCCAAGTAATCCATCCATTCTCCCTAATCTATTTAGGAAGACTCATTTTCTATTGGTCAATTAACTGGATGCACTTAATCAAGCACCTAGTATCTATTAGCTACCACAGAGAGGGCTTGGGAATGAAACTTAATTTTCCCGCAAGAATGGAGAATTCAAGCTGTGAGAGAAACTAAGATACATGAAGTTCTTAAAGAACATATAAACAGTAAACTGCAATCCTGACAGTCAATGCCATTCTGATTCAGAGAGGGGAGACAGCAGGAAAGTCTGGAAGGGCCAGATAAGGCCTCAGAGGGGAGACAGCACCAAGGTGGGCCCTCACAAGTCAAGATGAGTTCACAGCAGAAGAGGAGAGGGAGACAGAACTGGGCAAGGGTGGGTGAGGGAGAAGGGAGACCCATGTGAGCATGGGCAATTTGGGAGCCCAGGTGGGTCTGGGCCTGGTGCATGGTCTGGGAGCTAAGCCACAGACAAGCATCCTGCTGTCTTTCCTACTCTCAAGGATCTCTAGGAATAACATGCCATGGAGTCTTTTAGTCACCTTTTCCACTAATAATTATCCTTCCTATGAGAACTTCTGTCACTAATACATTTTTATGGCATGTAAGAGGGAGGAGCTGCTATCAGATGAGCTTTGAGTCAATCTAGACCATTGCAAAAAAGCAACATAGAGTGGCAACCATTGACTTCGGCCACCCTGCATCTAGCCCCCTTTGTCCTGGGATGAGAACTCTGATCATTTCTGGGGAAACACCCCTTCATTGCTTTCAGTCCATGCAGTTTTGGGGATGGGAATGACTCCATGCCCATGGCAAGGATGGGTACAGTACCCACATTCGTTCTATGAGATTGACCCTGAGATTCTAGCTAGAACTAGAAAGGGAAGCACCTGTTCTTGTACGGTGCTGTGCTAGTAGGATGTCAGCTGGGAGGTGCTGCAGCCATGTGGCCTTCACAATGGGCAGGTCTTCCTGGAAACAGAAGGACGCAGGGGAGGCAAAGCCAAGATATGGAAAGACAGCTTCATGATGCCATCATCTAGGCCCCTGGATCTCATGATACCAAAACCTTGCTTTTTCAGGCACATGAGTTAATAAAAAAATCCTCTTTTTGCCTAAATCTCTTCAAACTGGGTTTCAGTCCATGGTTACTAAATGAATCCTGACTTATTCAAGTAATGACCTTGTTCCTACCAGAATTTTGTTGGTTGCTTCTTAGCATGGGTATTTGTAGTCCATAGCCCAGGGGCAGACTACATCCAGGATAACAGTTTGTGTGTGGAAGTGATAGTGGCGTCTATCCATATCCCTAAATGGATATAGGTACATGTTCTATGAGGAGGCATTATAGGGGAGACCGAGGCTGCAAAATCTGTTTCTCCTCTTTGTCTCTGAAGTCTGTGTACAGAGCAATTTTCCCCAAACCCCTGATTTTATTCCTCTTGTTTTCAACCAGAGAAAGGAACTCTTGAATCTGTTAAGTATGTTTTGCAGGGCTCTAAGAAATCAGGAAGAGATGGGGAAGGGAGGTGATGGGGAAAAAGAGGCTCTGCATGTCTCATTTTTGTTTTTTCCTTTTTGCCAACGACAAAGAATCAGCTGGCATCCTTTTATTTTCTATTTCATTCAGTGCTTTTTAAAATGAAGCATTAAGTCTACTGTAATGGGATTTGTCTAATGATTTCCTGGTAAACGTCTTCTTGGATCTCAGCAAAGATAATTCACTTAGTAGGAACCATTTCCTGCTTCCCCACTAAGAACCAGACCTACCCAGTTCTTTCTGGGAGTGAATTGGCCTTTGAATGAGAGAAGGCAGTACAGGAATATTTCACTCTAGCATTCATCACATAGACTCAAGCTTGCCACAGACCCAGATCAGGGAGGAGAACAGGAAGGCGGGGGTGAGGGAGAACGTTCACGCTGAGCACAACATGAAGCCAAGCAGAAAGTCTGTAGCAATCTGAGCCCTTTGCAGAAACAGATGCACTCACCTCTTTGCCTTGGCTCTGGGGTGCTTTCTTTCTGGGGCAGTGACAGCTTCTGCAATGTCCACACTGTTCTACCAGGACAGCTGCAGGCAGGCTGCTGCAGGAGGAAGGGAGTTCCCATTCACCATCAGAAGGGAGTGTCCTCCCAGAAAAGGAGGCGATGCCCTGATTCCCCTGGAGCGAAGGCTGTTGGATCCACTTGTCCTCTCTCTCCTGCTCCCTTTCTGGTATGAATGGAGCTCAGAGAAACCCCATGAGAAGAACTGAGTGAAACCACACACCATACCCACCCACCTGTTAGTAGGTTGGCCTCCTAGCCTTGGGGATCCTGGAGAGGAAGGCTGCCGAGTGGGTCATGAGGCACTTGGGCCCCTACAAGTGCAGCTGACACTGGTATGCCCACAGAAAGGCTAAGGACAAGCACTGTATATTTATTTCTCCCCCTCTCATGTGATCTTATTTTTGGACTGGACACAAAAGCTATTTGGGGGCTGGACAGCTGCCAGGTGAAAGGACAATGATCTCATCCGAATTCTCTCCATGCCTCTCTCTGCACTAGTCCCTGTTACCTTTCCCAATATGAGGCAGAAGGGAGCGGGTTTTGCTCTGAGCCTTACTTTCAGTACATCCAAGCAATGTGTCCAACTTATCATTTTTCTTCAATTAGCTGATTGCTACCTTTTGAGGTTTCACAGAGGATCAACGTAATGAACGAAGTCCTTACTTTTATGTCTGAGGCAGGTGAGTATTTCTGAGTCTGGTGGTCGTGTCACACAGTCATCATACACACTATTTTAGATGCAAAGATCCTCTTTTCAACACCAGGATGGGAGCCCCGACCCTGAAAGGCAGATGTGGGCAACGCCACAGAGCTAGGCTCTCAATGTGTTGATTCTGCCTTCTGCCCTGGCTGTTTCTGCCTCTGGCTCCTAGGCTTGTAAAACTTACAACATTGAGACAGTTTGATTTTTCACCTCTGATCCTTCCTCTTCAGACATGAATGGAAAGTTTTGAAAATGTCATGCCTGGCAAGATGCCAATTCAATATCGTCCTCTTCACCATTATCACTGTTATTTACTGGGCTCTTTCTTGCTGAATGCCCTTCATTTGAGGAGTACTTCTGCATTCTTGTATTTAATCCTCACAACACCGCTGCCAGGAGGGTAAGATTGCTCCTATTTGATATCCAGGGAAGCTGAGGTTTGGAAAGGCTCCTCACCTAAGCTTTGGAGAGGGTAGAGTGGGATGGGAACTCCCGACTGTCTGAGCTCTTGGCCACTTTGCCCTACCGTCTCCTGAAGATGTGAATCGTTGACATTTCACTGTTGTTTTCACTTCATAAGAGGGAAAACAAAACCCTTAGGGTTGATTCAGACCCACAACTTCAATCCTTGATTTCTGTTCCAAATCCAGTTATTGAAGGGGAGAGAAAATAAGGTTTTCACCTGTTTACAGTCCCAGGCCCTGGTTCTAGGTACAGGATGGAGTCTCTGGCCACCATTCTCGTTGGAGCCATTTTCCTGTGAATAATTCGTTGTGCAAACACACACACCAGAGAGGACTGGGCTGGGCCGCCCAGGCCGGGTTCCCACTGTATCCAAGCTGGACTGCACTTTCCACTACCCTGAGAAAGAGACAGAGAGATTGAACCAACAGCTTGTCCAACACTGCCCTCTGCAGGTCACTGGGCTGCATTACCCCAGATGGGAGTCTGCAAGGCTTTCCAAAGAGGAGGGCCACACCAAGGATTATTTTTAGACAATCAGTTAGTTCTCCATTTCTGCAGCTACTCTTTCCTAAACCTGGTTTGCCTGAGCACGTGTCTGTGTTCATAACCCTTCCCCTACTGTATGAAAGGAAATCATACCTGTCAGTCTTCACAAATCTTAATAAGGTGCCATTGCCCCAAGTATAAAAATATCAAAGTCCCCAAACTAGGAACTTCCTTTAATACTTTAATTCAGTCTTTTTTAATGATTAATTAGGCATTTTTTAATTCAACAACTTTGCTTTTCCTTCCTTGAATATTGAGGGACAGAACTGTGGAAGCAAATCAAAGAGAATATTAGAAATAATAACAGATTAATAGGTACACTTGAAGAATGATGCCACAGTTTAATTTTTTTTTTTTTTTTTGAGACAGAGTCTCGCTCTGTTGCCCAGGCTGGAGTGCAATGGTGCAATGTTGGCTCACTGCAACCTCTGCCTCCTGAGTTCAAGAGATTATCTTGCCTCAGCCTCCTGGGTAGCTGGGATTACAGGCACCTGCCACCACGCCTGGCTAATTTTTGTGTTTTTAGTAGAGATGGGGTTTCATCAGTTTGAGGCTGGTCTCAAACTCCTGATCTCAGGTGATCCACACACCTTGGCTTCCCAAAGTGCTGGGATTACAGGCATGAGCCACCGCACCTGGCCCACAGTTTAATTTTTAAATTCCAGCTTTATAATATATTAGAAATTATGCTCTTGAAACCATATAAACTTAATGATGAAAATTAACATAAATGTTTAAATGTGGGTATATGTAACATTGTTTTTCAAAATTGTTTTAGAAGGTACAAGAACAATTTGTGAAGTCTGCTGTACCCTTGGGCTGGCTATTGCTGACTGATATTAGGTTGCCATCTATCCATCCATTCATCCAGCCATTCCTCAAATACCCATTGAGCACCTACTGTGTGCCAGGCCTTGTTTTAGGCACTAGATATAAAAATAGTGAGCAAAAAATGGCATGTTCCATGGCAAATTCTTAGTGATGGCCTCCTCTAGGAAGCTCAGGGAGGGAAACAGATTATGGATACACTTTTAATAATTAATTCAATAAATGTAAGAATTCAACAGTGATAAGCACTACTAAGTGTTCTGTGCGGGAAACGTGTGAGGGGAGAAGAAAAGGCACACACAATACTTTTGAATCCCATATAACTAGCAATGCAGATATAATAAGCAAATGATATAATAAGCAAATTGCAATGGGAAAGGGAGAAGAAAAAAAAATATATATATATATATTTATACCACCAGACTATGGAGGATTCATCACCAGGCCAGGAAGCAATAGCCTGGACTCCAGAGTCAGCCACTCATCTGTGCACAGACGAGGAGAGGTCTGTGAAGCTTCGGCACAGTCTGGGACTCTAGCTCTTTTGTAACGAGTTGTTTGGCATGAGGTCCAGTCACGAGGGCCCTTCGCAACTGGGCTCAAGGAACACAAAAAGGTCAACTTGTTTTTGTGATTGTCTGTTATTTTTCAATAACTAATGTATAGGAATAGATTGAAATGGAGATTTCTCCGAAACTGTGCTGGATGAATGCCTCAAGGGGTTCACACAACCTGTTCCGGGAGTTGGTGACCATTGTTTGTGTCCACGTTCAATTGAGTTCAAATTTAATATTTTTTTCCTCCACACCAAGGAGAGGTATTTGGTAATTAGAGAATGAATAATGGAGATTAACAATGTATAATGAAGATTATTATACATTATAATCCTCATGTATATATACATGAGTTGATGGGGGAGGCATCAGGGAAGGTAGCCCTGGAGAAACGAAATCCAAACCAAAAATAAGGTATCCAAGAATCTCTATGAAAAAACTGTGAAGACCCAGGAAAAAAAGGCCTCTATAACATGAGAGGATCAGGGAGAAGTAGGATCAACGTTTTTAGAGTTAGTTGGGGTTTTGTTTGTTTGTTTTGTTTGAGTTGGAGTCTCACTCTGTCGCCCAGGCTGGAGTGTGGTGGTGCGATCTTGGCTCACTGCAACCTCCACCTCCTGGGTCCAAGCAATTCTCCTGCCTCAGCCTTCCCCAGTAGCTGGGATTACAGGCCTGGCACACAGTGGGTGCTCAATAGGTATTTGAGGAATAGGTGGATAAATGGATGGATAGATGGCTGGGATTACAGGTGCCACCATGCCCAGATCATTTTTTTTGTATTTTTAATAGAGACGGGGTTTCTCTATGTTGGCCAGGTTGGTCTCGAACTCCTGACCTCAAATGATCCGCTGGCCTCAGCCTCCCAAAGTGCTGGGATTACAGGCATGAGCCACCGTGCCCAGCCTAGAGTTAGCTGTTTTCATAAAGGGCCTTTGCCCTTACGCAACTTCAACCCGTATTAAAAATCAGTGGTTCTCAATCAGGAGCGATTTTTCCCCAGGGGATATTTAGCAGTTTCTGCAGACATTGTTAGTTGTTGCATCTGGGGTTGTTCTAGTGGCATCTAGTGAGTAGAGGTCAGGGATGGTGGTAAACTTTCTACAATGCTCAGGACAGCTCCCCATAACAAAGAATTACCTGGCCCTAACAGTCCATAGTGCTGGGGTTGAAAAATCCTATCATAAATGGGGGCAGGGCAGGCCTGACAAGTGTCTATAGTGGTTGTGGATTCACTTGTTTATGCATTCATGCATTCAGCAAATACTTATTGAGTGCCCACTATGTTTTAAACACCATTCTGGGCATAGTTGAAGCCCACCTGTCACCCATTAACCAAAAATAACCATCTCAAATAGCTAGCCTGGTTGTGTTCCTTTGTTACTCAGCTTAACATTTTTACCATTAGAATGGTGACAAAGCTGGTCTTATTGCCTGAAGAAAGAAGATATTGAAATGCATGGATATTATTTGCAAGGATGGTCACTGAAGAATTGTTTGCAATTGTGGAAACAACCTAAGTGTCAACAGAATGGTTGCCTAACTGTGATACAGTGGTACTATGGCATACTAAGCTGCCAATGAAAAAGAAAGGCAAATCTCTTTGTGGTAACATGGAAAACAACCATGGAGATATTATCAGCTGGAATTTTTTTTCAGAATTGCAGGTAGAATATGATTGATGAGATGTGTGTTTTTTTAAATTGGTGTGTATGTGTGTGTGTGTTTGCATGTGCATGCAATTGCTGGAGAAATTCTCACCAAATTCTTTTTTTTTTTTTTTTTTTTTAATAAAAAGCAGAGTCTTGCTCTGTCGCCCAGGCTGGAGTGCCGTGGCGTGATCTTGGCTCACTGCAAGCTCCGCCTCCTGGGTTCATGCCATTCTCCTGCCTCAGCCTCCTGAGTAGCTGGGATTACAGGCACCCACCATCACACCTGGCTAATTTTTTGTATTTTTAGTAGAGATGGGGTTTCACTGTGTTAGCCAGGATGCTCTCGATCTCCTGACCTCGTGATCTGCCCTCCTTGGCCTCCCAAAGTGCTGGGATTACAGGCGTGAGCCACCGCACCTGGCCCTCACCAAATTCTTAATAATGGCTACCTCTAGAGAATGAGAAACAAAAACAAAAACTGTAATGTGTTCATTGGTAGTAGCTCTTTACCTAATTCCACCCTTTCATACTGATCAGCTTCTTCCTGGTTCATCTCCATTGTTATCAGTAGTCAAGTCAGTCACCAACTTCTGGAGATCCTTCAACTTGTAGGACAATATCCAATATTTACTGTTAAATCCATGTCCCTTTAAAACTTGCCCTCTAGCCAATCTTCATAAGCTCTTCTTGGGAGCTGCTTTCTCTGCCTCAGCCACAATTTCTGTGCCCATCTCCCTGGAACTTAAGCCAGTGAACTCACCAGGACTGTATCACACCATATTCTTTCAAAACAGGCTCACCTCTGTGCCTGGAAAACAGCCCATCTTTTTTTCTATGTGTATTAGTAGAAAAAAAGGTGAAATGACTGTGATCATGAATAATCCCCACCTCTCAGTGGCTTAAAATAACAAAGGCTCCTTTCTCACTCACAGTTGGGCACGTCTGTCCATTTGCAGGTGGGTTGGGAAGCTCCATTCTGTATCACCCTCGCTCAAGGACCTGGACTGAAGGATTTCTGCTTTCAAGAAGAAAAAAAAAAATAGAAGACATGTTTACTAATACACTGGTAATTATTTCTATTCATATTTTATTGGCCAAAGCGAGTCATATGGGTATACAACATAAAATGAGGTGCAGAATTTCAATCCTATCATTTGCTTGGAAGGTGGAGAGTCATATTTGGAGAACATGAGTTCTATAATTGTTGGATGTAACAGTCTATACATGTCCACTAAGTCAAGTTTGCTAATCGTGTTTAAATAATCTATATCCTTACTCATGTATCTGTTCACTTCTTGCAGTTTTGTCAATCTTAGTTTTATATTTTTGAAGCTATATTATGTGTACAAGTTTTATAATCATTGTACTTTCTCATGAGTTAAACTTTTTATCATTATGATAATGCTTTTTGCCTTAAAGTCTACTTTGTCTAATATTAATATAGATAACATTAATTTTTGTTAATATTTATATTTTTCCACTTTTTAATTTCAACATTATAATACAAATGTTTTAGGTATGTTTCTTATAAACAGTATGCAGATTGTTATCCAATTCAATCTTTGATTTTTAATTGAACTATTTAATTTATTTACATTTAATGTAATTACTGATATATTTGAATTTAAATATACCGTCTTCTTAAGTGTTTTCAATTGTCTCACATGCTCTCTGTTCTCTTTATCCTCACTTTTTGCCTGCTTTTGGAAAATATTGTTTTTGCCTCCATTGTTTTGGAAGTTACATATCTTTTTAGTAGTCTTTTAGAGTTTATCCTATAGATCACAGTATGGGTCTCTGAGTTAGCAAAGGCTAATAATGTTAATTGGCACTTTCATTTTCTTCCATAATAGTACAAGGACCTTAGAACGTTTCAATTCATTTACTTCCTCTCCTGATTTGTATGCACTTTTAATATTTTTAATTTTTTAAATCTTCAGCACTGTGTTACATTGTTTCATACGGTATAATTCATTTAGACTTCCTCAAATGGACCTTCGTGCTGGACCTCATTTCTTTCTGCATCTATATAACCTATCATCCTTAATCATCTTCCTTCTGCTTAAAGAACATCCTTTAGTATTTGATGCTGGTAAAGAATCCTGAAAATGTCTTAATTTCACTTTTATTATTGAAGGCTATTTTCACTGGACATAGAATTCTAATGTTGACAGTTATTTTATTTCAGCACTTGAAAGACATTTAAATTCCACTAATTTCTAGTTTCCATTGTTTCTATCAAGAGGTAAGCTAACAGTCTATTACATTTTTTCAAGTAATGACAGCTGCTTGTAATTTTTTTTTCCCTTTGTCTTTGGTTTTCATCTGTCTTATTGTGATGTACCTAGGTGTGGCTTTTAAAAATTTCTCCTGCTTGCAGCTCCCAGGGCTTCTGAGATTTGTGGCTTGTTGTCTTTAATCAATTTTGGGAATTTTTCAACTATTTTCTCTTCAAATATTGATGCTGCACCATTCTCTTTCTCTTCTCCTTCTGAAATTTTAATTCTCATTTTATCTCCATATCTCTTACTCTCTGTAGCATTGCTATCCTTTTGTCTCTCCATGTTTCGTCATGATGTTGTCTTCTAACCTACTTTCCAGTTCATCAATTTTCCCTACAGCTGTGTATAATTTTTTGTTAAACCAAGTAAAGAGTATCCACTGAGCTCTTTGCTTTTGTTAGTATATATTTTAAATTCTAAATTGTTCACTGGTTATTTTTTACAACTTTTTCATCCTTTTTTAAAGTTTTCAGTTCTCTGCCAAATTTGTTGATACTGTCTTTTATCTCCGTATGTGTAGTAAACATAATTAATTTAAAGTCCGTATCTGATAAATCCATTAACTGGAGTTCTGTGGTATTGTTTCTATTGTAGTTGTTTCTACTGGATCTCATGTTTTCTTATTTCTTTATGGGCCTGGTTATTCTCTTGTGTGCTAAAATTGTATATGAAAAATTGTTGGTTGAAGTAAAGTAAAACTTATTGTGTTATATTCCTCCTGAGAGTACAGTCATCCCTCAGTATCCACAGCAGGATTGGTTCCAGGACCTACTGCAGATACCAAAATCCATGCAGATTTCATTTCCACAATCAACCCTGTGGAATCCATGGATATAAAACGTCGACCCTCCATATATAAGTGAGTTTGGCATCCTGCAACTACTGTCTTTTATATTTATGTTTGGTTGCAGATGCAGAATTCACCAAAGCCTAATCCAGAGCAAGGCCCTAACTCTTCAATTCTATGAAGGCTAAGAGAGCTGAGGAAGCTGTAGAAGAAAAACTGCAAGCTAGCAGGGGTTGGTTTATGAAGTTTAAGGAAATAAACCATTCCGTAACATAAAAGTGTAAGATAAAGCAGCAAGTGCTGATGTAGAAGCTGCAGCAAATTATTCAGAAGATCTAGCTGAGATCATGGATGGCGGTGGTTACACTAAACAACAGAGTTCCAGGGTAGACAAACAGCCTTCTATTGGAATAAGATGCCATCTAGGACTTTCATAGCTAGAGAAGAGTGGGCTGACTATATTTATTTTAAAAATCCATGTATAGGCTGGGCGCAGTGGCTCACGCCTGTAATCCCAGCAGCACTTTAGGAGGCTGAGGCAGGTGGGTCACCTGAGGTCAGGAGTTTGAGACCAGCCTGGCCAACATGGTGAAACCCTGTCTCTACTAAAACTAAAAAAATTAGCTGGCATGGTGGCAGGCACCTGTAATCCCAGCTACTCAGGAGGCTGAGGCAGGAGAATTGCTTGAACCTGGGAGGCGGAGGTTGTAGTAAGCCGAGATCGCGCCATTGCACTCCAGCCTGGATGACAAGAGCGAAATTCTGTCCAAAAAAAAAAAAAAAATCCATGTATAAATGAGCCATACAGTTCAAACCCATGTTGTTCAAGGGTCAACTGTATTTATATTTGCTTTTGCAAGATACCTGGGGATGTGAGGACCTGGGATCACCTTTATCCAATTTGAAGAATTAAGCTAATTGGATCTCAGCTGAGGCCCCACAAAATCTCATCTACTTCCATCCAAGTCATCCTGTCTTTTCTCTTTTTTAAATTTTTTTGGAGGTGGGGTCTCACTGTGCTGCCCAGGCTGGACAACATAGGTCCAGTGGCACAAACATAGGTCACTGCAGCCTTGCACTCTTGGGCTGAAGGGATCTTCCCAAGTAGCTGGGGCTACAAGCACATGCCACCATGCTACCATGCTGCGCTAATTTTTTCATTCAGTCTTAAGATGAAGACTTTCAGGGTCCTAGCCTGCTATGGGGAGTTATATGTCTACCCTCTCCTTTGGTGAGCACCGGATTCCAACTTGTGTTTATGTGGCCACACAAAGCTGCCCAGGTGCTGCTTAGTCTCTTCAGTTCTTTTTTTTTTTTTGAGAGGGAGTCTCACTCTGCACTGTGTCGCCCGTGCTGGAGTGCAGTGGCATGATCTCGGCTCACTGCAACGTCTGCCTCATAGGTTCAAGCTCCTCCGCCTCCTGGGAGCCTGGGTGATTCTCCTGCCTCAGCCTCCCGAGTAGCTGAGATTATAGGCACCCGCCACCACACCCAGCTAATTTTTCTTTTGTATTTTAATAGAGATGGGGTTTCACCATGTTGGTCAGGCTGGTCTCAAACCCTAACCTCAAATGATCCACCTGCCTTGGCCTCCCAATGTGCTGGGATTACAGGTGTGAGCCACCACACCCGGCCATCTCTCCAGTTCTTTGTTGTCGTTTCCAGAAGCAGCAAATGTCCCAAGGGGAAAAGAGGCCCAGTTATTGGGCTTGCCTCCTTGAATACCCATCTTTCTCCAGCTCTTCATTGGTGATTCTTCATTATCTTTTTAAGTCTGATGTTTTCAAGCACATTTTATTTTAATTTTTTCCCACTTTTCTAATTGTTCTCAGCAGGACAGTAGGTCTGAATTTAGTCTGCTATTACCAGATGGTAGGAAATAGACAGGTATGCTTCATTTTGTCATAGTTTGCTTTACTACACTGCAGATATTATATTTTTTACAAATTGGAGGTTCGTGGTAACCCTGCATTGAAGAAGCCTTTAGGTGCCATTTTTCCAACAGCATGTGCTCACTTTTTGTTTCTGGGTCATATTTTGATAATTCTCATAATATCTCAGACTTTTTCATTATTATTATATTTGTTATGGTAATCTATGATCAGTGATCTTTGAGATTACTCTTGTAATCATTTTGGGGTGCCATAAACTGTGCTCATATAAGATGGTGAAGTTCATTGATAAATGTTGTGTGTTCTGACTTCTCCACCAATCAGCCATTTCCCATCTTTTACATTCTTTTCAGTCCTCCTTATTCCCTGAGACACAACAATATTGAAATTAGACTAATCAATAACCCTACAATGTCCTCTAAGTGTTCAAGTGAAAGCAAGGGTGGCACATCCCACACTTTAAATCGAAAGCTAAAAATGATTAAGCTCAGTGAGGAATGCATGAGGAAAAGCCAAGAGAGGCCAAAATAGAGGGCTTTTGTGCCAAACAGGTAGCCAAGTTGTGAATGGAAAGGAAAAGTTCTTGAAGGAAATTAAAAGCACTACTCCAGTGAACACACAAATGATAAGAGAGTAAAACAGCCTTATTGCTGATATGGAGAAAGTTTGAGTGGTCTGGATAGAAGATCAAACCAGCAACAACATTCCTTTAAGTTAAAGCCTAATCCAGAGCAAGGCCCTAACTCGCTTCAATTCAATGAAGGCTGAGAGAGGTAAGGAAGCTACAGAAGAAAAATTAGAAGCTAGCAGAGGTTGGTTCATGAAATTTAAGGACATAAACCATTTCCACAACATAAAGTGCAAGGTGAAGCAGCAAGCGCTCATGTAGAAGCTGCAGCAAGTTATCCAGAAAATCTAGCTAAGATTATGGATGGTGGTGGCTACACTAAACAATAGAATTTCAATGTAGACAAAACATCTATCAGAATAAGATGCCATCTAAGACTTTCATAGCTAAAGAGGAGAAAGCAATGCCTGGCTTCAACGCTTCAAGGGACAGGCTGACTGTCTTATTAGGGGCTAATGCAACTGGTGGCTTTAAGCTGAAGCCAATTGCTCATTTTCCATACAGAAAATCTTTGGACCCTTACAAATTATGCTAAACCCAGGCCAGACACAGTGGCTCATGCCTGTAATTCTAGCACTTTGGGAGGTCGAGGCAGGCAGATCACTTGAGCTCAGGAGTTCGAGACTGGCCTGGGCAACAGGGTGAAACCCCATCTCTACAAAAAAATACAAAAACTAGCCAGGTGTGGTGAAGTGTGCCTGCAGTCCCAGCTACTCAGGAGGGTGAGGCAGGAGAATTTCTTGAGCCTGGAGGCTGAGGTTGCCGTGAGTCAAGATCACGCCATTGCACTCCAGCCTGGGTGACAGGAGTGAAACCCTGTCTCAAAACAAAGAATTGTGCTAAATCTATTCTGCCTGTGCTCTATAAATGAAATAACAAAGCCTGAATGACAGCACATCTGTTTATGGCATGTTTACTGAATATTTTAAGCCTACCGTTGAGACTTACTCCTCCAGGGAAAAAAAGGGATTCCTTTCAAAATATTACTTCTTGTTGGCAAATGCATCTAGTAACTCAAAAGCTCTGACAGAGATGTACAAGGAGAGTAATATTTTCATGCTTTTAACACAACATCCATTCTGCAGTCCATGGATCAAGAAGTCATTTCAACTTTCAAGTCCTATTACTTAAGAAATGCATTTTTTAAGGCTATAGTTGTCATAGATAGTGATTTCTCTGATGGATCTGGGCAAAATCAATTGAAAACCCTCTGCAAAGAATTTACCATTTTAGATGCCCTTAAGTACATTCACGATTCATGGGAGGAGGTCAGAATATCAACATTAGCAGGAGTTTGGAAGAAGTTGATTCTAACCCTCACGGATGACTTAGAGGAGTTCAAGACTTCACTAGAGGAAGTCACTGCGGAGGTGCTGGAAACAGAAAACTAGAATTAGAAGTGGAGCCTGAAAATGTGCCTGAATTGCTTCAATCTTGTAACGGTTAATACTGAGTGTTCACTTGATTGGATTGAAGGATGCAAAGTATTGTTCCTGGGTGTGTCTGTGTGAGCTTCCCTAGTTTTGAGGTTTTGGGACTTGGACTGGTTTCCTTGCTCCTCAGGTTGCAGATGGCCTATTGTGGCACTTCGCCTTGTGATCATGTGAGTCAGTACTCCTTAATAAACTCCCGTTCATTTATACATCTATCCTATAAGTTCTGCCTCTCTAGAGAACCCTAATACAAATTTCATGATAAAACTTGAACGAAAGAGGAGCTGCTTCTTATGGATGAGCAAAGAAAGTGATTTCTTGAGATGGACTCTACTCCTAGTAGAGATGCTGTGAACATTGTTGAAATGACAATAAAGGATTTAGAATATTCCGTAAACTTAGTTAATACAGAAGCAGCAGCATTTGAGAGGACTGACTCCACTTTTGAAAGAAGTTCTACTGTTATTAAATGCTACCAAATATGGTACAGAGAAATATTTTGTGAAAGGAAGAGTCCATTGACATGGCAAGCTTCATTACTGTCATATTTTAATAACTTGCCACAGCTACCTCAAACTTCAGCAACCACCAGTCTGATCAGTCAGTAACCATCAATATCGAGGCAAGACCTTCCACCAGGAAAAAGATTATAACTCACTGAAGGCTCAGACGATCATTACTATTTTTTTAGCAGCAAAGTATTTTTAATTGAGGTATGTACATTTTTAGACATAATGCTCTTGCACACTTACTAGACTACAGCATACTGTCAACATAACTTTTATAGGCACTGGGAACCAAAAATTTGTATGATTCACTTTGTTGCAATACTTGCCTTACTGCGGCAGTCTGGAACCAAACCCACAATATCTCCAAGGTCCACCTGCAAATGCAGGCAGTGGGCCAGGTATACATGCATACATATGCCTTATGTGAGGGGTGGGCACTGAGGTTAACTAGAAAGCATGAGCCTATTTTTGCCTTGTGGTAATAAGGGCCTCATATTGCCAAATTTTTCCATTTTTTTCAAAAGAAGTAGGAAAGGAAATGCAGGCTTTTAAAATGTGAAATCCCAATTTTCAATTGTTGGTTCAAAAAAAACTTAAATCTCAACTAGCCAAATAAAATGCATCTGGGGTCCACACCCAGCTACCCTATAGGATACTAATTTAAAATATCTGGACTATAGTCTATATTGATGAGAGAAGTGGGGTGAAACTTGGCATTCCCTTGCCATTAACTTCTAGCCTCCCAGTAGTCCAGGCTGCCTTGAATAAACACCAGACCATCATACAAAACAGAGTTTTTATCTTATTTATTTATTTATGAGTTGGGTGTCTTGCTGCATTACTCAGGATGGAGTGCAGTGGCACAATCATAGTTCACTGAGGCCACGAACTGCTGTGCTCAAGTGATCCTCTCACCTCAGCCTCCTGAGTAGCTGGGACTACAGGTGTATGCCACCACATAAGGCTAATTTTAATTTGTTTTTGAGAGACAGAGTCTTGCTATGTTGCCCAGGCTGGTCTTAAACTCCTGGCCTCAAGCAATCTTTCCACCTTGGCCTCTGAAAGTACTAGGATTATAGAAGTGAGCCGCTATGCTTGACCAAAACACAGTTTTTAAATCAATTTATGTCTTTACTGAAATCTCTTAAAGATGCCAAAGGGTGGGGTTTGGGTTCCATTCATAACACCAACATTTCTGAAGAATCCTCTTCTCTTGTCTCTTTCTCAAGTCCTCCTCATGACATCTGTGTTAGTCCGTTCTCACACTGCTATGAAGGACTGCCTGAGACTGGGTAATTTATAAAAGAAAGAGGTTTTAATTGACTCACAGTTCCACAGGGGTGGGAAGGCCTCAGGCGGAAGGGGAAGCAACCACATCCTTCTTCACATAGCGGCAGGAAGGAGAAGTGCCAAGCAAAGGGGAAAAGCCTTTCATAAACCCATCAGGTCTCATGAGAACTCAAGAAGAGCATGGGGATATGTGGAGGAAAAGTTAAATCTTAAATTTGAACTCAATTGAATGTGGACACAAACAATGGTCACCAAGTCCCAGAACAGGTTGCATGAGCCCCTTGAGGCGTTCATCCAGACGGTTTTGGAGAAATCTGTTCCTGTATGTTAGTTATTGAAAAACAACAAACAATCATAAAAACAAGTTGACCTTTTTGTGTTCCTTGAGTCCAGTCATGAAGGGCCCTCGTGACTGGGCCTCATGCCAAATAAGTCGTTACAAAAAGAACTAGGGTCCCATACCACGCCAAAGCTTCATGAGACCTCTCCTCATCTGTGCATGGATGAGCGGTCAACTCTGGAGCCCAGGCTGTTGCTTCCCTGTCTGGTGATGAATCCTCTATAGTCTGGTAAGTGTAGTGGCCGACTCTGGAGCCCAGGCTGTTGCTTCTGGTCTGGTGATGAATCCTCCATCGTCTGGTGAGTGTGTGTGTATATATATATAGTCTATATTGATGGGAGAAGTGGGGTGAAAGTTGGCATGCCCTTGCCATTAACTTCTAGCCTCCCAGTAGTCCAGGCTATATATATATATCTTCTCCCTTTTCCCCTTCCCATTGCAATTTGCTTGTATCATTTGCTTATTATATCTGCATTGCCATTTACATGGGATAAAGGTTGTTTACCCTTGAAGGTATTGCATGTGTGTCTTTTCTTTTCCCTTTGTGCATCTCCCTCATAGAAAAGAGTAACCGCCCCCATGATTCAATTGCCTACCACTGGGTCCCTCCCACAACACGTGGGGATTATAGGAACTACAATTCAAGATGAGATTTGGGTGGGGACACAGCCAAACCATATCAACAGCCCAGCAGCTACTTCAGTCCTCCTTAATTTATCTCTTGAATTCTCCCAAACCCAGCTCATCCCTGGCTTGTTTCTCTTATTCTTTCTCTCGCCTTCTGATCCATTCTGCTTTCGTTAGTATGTAACTCCCTGCCTTCTCTTAGGTAGACCCATCAACCCATCCTACCCATGGTACTGCACAATTCAGAATCCTTTCCCAAATTTTCCCTTATTATGCACAAGAAATACTCCAGGGCCAGGTGCAATGGCTCACGCCTGTAATCCCAGAACTTTGGAAGGCTGAGGCAGGAGGATCGCTTGAGCCCAAGAGTTCAAGGCTGTAGTTAGTGATGTTGGTGCCACTGCACTCCAGCCTAGGCAACACAACAAGACACTATCTCAATTAAAAGAAAAAAAAAGAAAAAAGAAAAAGAAATACTCCAGAACTTGGCTAGTGAAGACTAATTCCTCCTTCACAGGAAGGAAGTGGGGGCAGGGGAAAATGATGCTGTAAATACTCTAAAATATGTATTTTTTCCTGTCCCATCAGCTATGCCATCTGGGATGGGGTGACGCCTGGATGAGATGTCATTTTAAAGGACATTTCTGGGACATGCTGGCATCAAGGCAAGTTTTCAGGTGGCTGCCATTTCCTTGTCATTTACCTTCTATGGACAGGACAGAGTCTCCACCCAAACCACCACCCTCCCACAAAAGCGGGAAGGAGAAGCCAGAAGGGAGAGAAATCAGACTTTTCCTGATTTGTCTAATAATAGAAAGTTGGCAGAGCACGTCACAGAATAGAAAGTATTTGATAAAAACAGCATCTGTTCAGCTTGGGACTCGAGCCGGAGCTGCATGGAAATTTAATTTATTCCTTCCTCGAGTATTCCCATTAGAGTATCACAATTCTGTCTTTCTCATTAATGAGAGAAGTTGAAAACGTTGCTTCCTGTGACCAAAATGGCTTTCTTTCCCACGGGCTGATGGCAGAGGAGGCGACAGCGCAGCTGAGCGAGCGGCCAGCAGGGGGCGCGGCCCTGCCGTCCTCACACCCACCCCGGACACGGAGACGCGGGGCGAGCGGGGCGCCCCTTACACAGCCTGCGAGGGGAGACCCAGGAGGTTTTCCAAACAAGAGGCTTTGCTGACTCTAGGGGCCTAAGAATAACCACTGTGTAGTATCCTGACTGCCGGCGGCCTCAGTAAAAGTGGTAGACAGAGGCTTCCCTGTCGCTCAAGGAGCTCCCAGGGCTTTCTAGGCTTCCCGTTCTCCTCCTGTTTCCCAGGACCCACCAGAGTGCCCCCTGCAGGTCAGGACGGGAACCGACACCTGGCCTTTGTCAAAACGCATTCCAGCGCCCAGTGAATTACTGTCCTCACGCCTGTCACCTCTCCATCTCCGGCTCCTCGCTGCTCTGGCTCCTTAAAGTCCTGCTCTGGGCAAAGTGGCCTTAACAGGAAATCAAAGCTGAGTCAAACTAATAATAGTTTGGCTATTGATCAGGCAGCCCCTTTAAATCACCCGGTGTTTTGTTTAATTGCAGAAAAATACACATAACATAAAATTTTCCATTTTAAATGTACAGTTAGTTTAGTGGTGTTAAGTGCATTCACATTCTTGTGCAACCATCCCCACCATCCATTTCCGGGGCTCTTTTCATCCTCCCAGGCTTAAACTCCACACTCATTAGACAAAAACTCCCCATTCCTCTTCCCCCAGACCTGGAAGCCACCATTCTGCTTTCTGCCTCTGAATTTGACTACTCTATGTACCTCTTATAAATGGGATCATATTGTATTTGTCCTTCTGTGGCTGGCTTGGTTCACTTAGCATAGTGTCCTCAAGGTTTACCCATGTTGTAGTGTGTGTCAGAATTGCCTTCCTTTTAGGGGTGAATAATATTCCACTGTATGTATATACCACATTTTATTTGTCCATTCATCTGTCAATGGCCACCAGGATTGCTTTCACCTTTTTGGCCATTGTGAATAATGTTGCAATGAGCATGGGTGTCCTTTTCGAGATTGTTTTGACCTGTTGGTATTTTAACAGGACTCTTTAGGAAGGTAATCCCAATGGAATAGTTCAAGGTCCGAAGAAAGCTGATGGGAACTATTTTAGGAAGAAACAGATTTAATGTCCCTTGCACCAAACCATATCACCTACATAGGGGGCTGCCCTAGGATATATGTTCTGATATCATGCATTTTGTATTTCCTCACTGAAAAGGATAAGAAGTTGTGCCCAGTGGAGGGAAAATGTTTCTGACTCAAACAACTTCCAAGCCACTTGGCTCTCGGAATCTTTGATAGCCGTAGATTGTTAGGCAGTGACAGTGGGAAGCCAGAGAGTGATGCAGACACGAGCAGGCTTTGGTGTCAGACCCGGCGAACATTTCTCCTGACATGAGCTTCAAATATCTTCATGAGCGGATTCTTTGGGGGTCCTTGCTGATTCAGCTTCTATCCGCCCCTCTATGCTTTCCTGTGCCTTCAGCTCTTAGTTTTTCCCCCATCAGCATTGCAATATGCTCAAGAAGTTAACAAAACAAATTAACACAGAGAAAGCACAACCCTCCCTTAAGCCCTGCCTCCCTTCAGTTCCCATCCTTCCTGTCTCTCTCCTGCTGTGGCCTGTAGCCTGTCTTCTTGAAGGAATCATTTTCACTTGCCACTTCCATATCCCCACTCCCATTCACTCTTGAACCCGGTGCTCTCCTGGCACTGGATTCTGAGGGTTTCTGATGTGACATCTTGGTTCAAGCTTCTGATGGGAAGTCAGCCCCCTGTTCAAGTCAAAAGCCCTGCATCCTGAGAAGTCCTGGCACCTTGCTTCAGAGACAGTTCCTAGAATACCAGAAGATATATATATATATGTGTATATATATGTGTATATATATACACACACACACATATATATGTATACATATATGTGTATACATATATGTGTATACATATATACACATATATATGTGTGTGTGTGTATATATATATATACACATAAATATATACATATATATATACACACACACACACATATATATACTTCCTCATCAAAAGAAGGCCTAACAAGAACTTTTGTAAATCATCTTTCCTGGCAATGGAGTATAGAGGTTAGGGGACCAACTGTATCATCATCCACAGCTTGATATGACCCCCAGCTCTGCCAGTTGCTAGCTGGGTGACTTTGGGCAAGTTACTTAAGTTCTCTGCACCTTCTTACCCTGCCTCTAACATGACGATCGCCCCAGCACCTACCTCATAGGCCTATTAGGATAAATAAATAATGCATGTCAAGAGCTGAGCACAGGGCATGGCTCACAGGAAGCATTTCATAAGGGTTAACTCGTGACTACTTTTTATTGGCATAATACTTAAAGGTTGACCTTAGTAATTAAGTCTATCTTGATTTTCATACCTGTAAAATTTGAGTGAACAAATGTGGTAAGACTAAAGGGTTTACTGCAAATTTTCTAGAGAATAATTGGTTCCCTAAGTGATCAGAAACATTTGCTAAGGATAACATGAGGAACGACAGGGAGAAACATCACATAGGGCTAATGAAAAGGCAGAATCTCTGAATGGAGATGAATACTCCTAGATATTGTGAGATAAACCAAAAAGCGGGAGAGTGTGATTGAACTTGTGCATCAGTGATTAGCGTTGGATAGGATTAGCATGCATAAACACAGACTTTTTGGAAAACAGCCCCTTGAAAAGCTATCAGAACTAAAATATGATAATAGTCAACACAGTCTGGCCACCAGATGAGGTATTCTGCTGTTTGATAAATTTTATAAAACTGCAGACCTTATTTTAAACTATGTGGAACTATTCCAAGGACTGATTGCAGAGTACATGAATAGGTATGTGAGTCTGATAAAATAGCTGAAATAAGGACAGGATTGGAAGGACATTGAAGTAAAATTGGCACGTGTTGTTCCACATCTAAAGGCTGGAAGCCATTTGGGCAGAGGCAGAATCTGGGCTCAGAGTCTAGCCCTGCAGGACCCAGTGTGGCAGCTGCGTGTCTCTGGAGCACTGGAGAGGGGGCTACTGCAAATTAAGATCTGCTGTAAAGGTAAGATACACACTAATTACAAAAACAAGAATGTAAAATATATCAGAGATTTAAAAAATATTGATTATATACTAAAAAGCGTCAGCACAGTAACTCACACGTACTAAGCACTCAGGATATGTAGTCTATTTTTTCTGTTGTTGTTTAAACCCAAAGAGCTGAGAGTTTATTATATGTCAGTGTCCTAGGTAAGACAATACTTGAAGATACCCTCACAGTCTGCCAAATGGAAGAGGAAAACATTCCCGCTTTTTAGAGAGGTGGTTCTCAAATGGGAGAATTTTGCCTCCCAGGGCCATCTGGTGATGTCTGAGACACATTTAACTATCGAAACCTGGGGGAAGTGGCTGCTACTGGCATCAAGTAGGTGGAGGCCAGGGATACTGCTAAAATCCTACAGTGTACAGGACAAACTACCCCCACAACAAAGAATTGCCACGTCAAAATGTCAATCGGACCCAGGTTGAGACATCCTGAATTAGTGGCTCTTGATCACTTACAGATGTGACTGATTAATAATCAAGCTCAGCGAGTGTGTGGTAGAAGGAGGATTACAAATGTTATCCAAAGAGGCATCTCCTGGCCAGCAGCCTTGGCGTCACCCAGAATTTACTAGAAGAGCAAATTCTCAGGCCTACCCCAATCCTACTGAGTCAGATCTCTGGGGGTGAAGCCCCTATATCTACATTTTCACAAGCCTTCCAGGTGATTCTAATACAAGCCAAACTTCTGAGAAGCGCCGCTCCACTGCCCCTGTGTCCTAGTTACCAACTCCTGCTCATTCCGGGCTGAGCAGTAGGTGGCAGTGAATCGCAGAACGGTATTTGGACGGCTGCTAAATGCTGAGAAGGGGCTGGCTTGCACCAGATTGGTTGGTGATGGAGCTGGTGACAATTGCTCCAGTGTTCTTACACTAGCCCACAGTTCATGATGCCAGCTTTCTCATCTCAGGAAAGTTCAGGGAACAAATCCAAACATGGTTCAAAGTCATTCTAAGGTCTCTTCTTAGTCACATGGTGTTTCCAAGGCTTTGAAATTGTTTACTTCTAACTCATGTTTTCAAAGTTGTATCCTTCAACAGAGAATTCTGTGAGTATCTGGGTTTGGACTATTCTCCTAAGACACCTTCCCACCCTATAAAATCCCAAAGTCATGAGTACAAATCATTTCTGCCATCCTTGGACACCTTTTGGGCAAAGTATTTGACCCATCTCATGCTGAATGGACCCTTGGCCCCTCCTCTGCAATGGACCAGATCCGGTGAATGGTGAACATCCTGTTTCCCTGGATCTTTTGTCAGGCAGATAAAATTCAATGTTTGGCAAACTTTGTTAAGGCTGAGAGTGAGGTCACTGCAGTTCAGGTTATTTTCTATCTGGGCCACAAGAGGACACCCTCCACTCAGCCATGAGCATCTATAGTCTCCATAAAGCTCCGAAGTGGGTTGAGTGATGTGCTGGATTATGAAGAGGGGACAGTCACCTGCTAGAGAGGGAGGGGATGTCACTTTCCTTCTGTAGAGTGGTGGGATGAAGTGGCTTTGGATCAGACCTCAGCCCTGAACTCTAGAGCTGGGTTGCTCGAAGTGTGGCTCCCCGACCAACCGTATCCCCGTCAACTGGGAAGTTGTTAGAAAAGCACATTCTGGGGTCCTAGCCCAGACCTGCTGAATCCGAAGCTCTGGGGGTGGAGCCCAGCAATCTCTGGTTTAACAAGACCCCTCCCCTCCCAGGTGATTTCCATGTGAGCTCTCGCTCGAGAACTGCTATTCTCTCCTCCAGAGCATCTTCCTGGTTATTCTCTGGGACGCAAAACCATGGTGGTATCTGATCTCATCACACTTCTGCCAGGAGGTGAAATCGAAGAGGCTACATTCTTGATGCTCAGTGTCTTCTTCAGGTCATTTGCCTGAGGACACCTGGGGATACTGAGGTCAGTCATTCTGCATGAACGTGTGCAGTCCCTGGGCTCAGCCCTGGGCCGAAGGCTCTGAGGGATGTAAGGGTCACTAAATAATAATTTGTCAGCCCTCACAGAGCTTCCAGTCCTCCATGAAATGCAGGGTTGCCGCCTGAAAACAGACCAAAGGGGGCACACGACATGGTTCTGACAGCATGGGTAAATACAAGGAAGCTGGGAGCCGTGCAATGCTGCACACGTCCCCTCCCCGGCTTCATCTCCCATTCCCTCCCACCCAGCTGCTGTTGCAGGGCCCCCTGCCTTCTTTTTCACTCTCAACAGCACACCCTCAGTTTGCCCTTGTTTTCATTTCCTTTTCCCCTTACCTCCCATACCTCTTTTCCAATCTCTCCCCCTCCCGTTCTGGTTTTGTTGTAAATCACAAAATTTCAGGAACAGGCCCAGCAAGGACAGAAGCCCCAAGGGGCAGGGGAAAAGGAGAGAAACTGCATAGATAAGAACAGGCTTCTTCTCAGAGTAAAGACTAAGAAGACACAGCCGTACTGTAATAGTAGTTACCCTTGTCCGAAGGGCAGTGCAAGCCTGGAAAAGGGAGACCACCCGTGGGCTAGGGAGTGGGGAAGAAGCTCATTAGGGTGTCTGGACACGAGCTAAACCTTCACAGGGCACGGGGACTTGGGAAAGCAGAGGGGACGGAGAGGCCATGCCAGCCCCATAGCAGGGAGGAGCTGGGGTGGGAGGGGGGCCGGGGGCAGCCTGGTGGGGAGGGAGGATGGATGGGGAGTCATAGGAAGTGAGGCAAGATGGGCTCCCAGATGGAGGAGGGAGCAGTTAAAGTCTGAGTTTTATGATAGATGTACCAAAGAGGTGTGATAGGTTCTGAGCAGAGGAAAACTGTGTATATTGTTATTGTGAAGACATCTTCTCTTCCTGAGGTCACAAACTCAAATGCCTATAGCATGAAGCAGGCCAGGTAAGAAGCTGGAGGGCCTGGAGGGGTCGCGTGAGCTGGAGAGCACGTGTCCACCCTGAAGTGGGCAGTGATACACAAATCCCGACAATTATTACCGGGGGCAAGTAGAAGCTGAGTTGCGAAGTCATCCAGTTTTTCGACAGAAATTGGATGTCTGGATTTCTTTCTCATAATGTAAAATTTCTTCATTTTTAAATAGGCAGCTCATTGAAAATTTAAAAAAATCTGTACACCTTTGGGTGGTAACTTCTGACCTGCATTTTAAAAAATTGGACCTGAGGGTTTGTACCATACTCTTAATCAAAAATATTATGACCATTGTTTCTTCTTAGTTTCCTCCCTCACCCCTTTCTAGTAAATCCATTTATTATGAACAAAAAATATGATAACATCCAAACATGAACAACGTACTGTTTTCAACACTGCACACGAATTATCTCATCCTCATACAACCCTGTAAGATTATCTACTCCCACTCTATAGATGAGAGAACTGAGGTACAGAGAGGGAAAACAACTTGCTCCAAATCTCACTAGTTTTAAGTGGGGGAGCCAAGACCGAAGCCCAGGTGGTCAGACTACAGGGTCGTGAGTTCAGCCTGTGTGTTATATCCTTCCCTATATTCTTTGGTGACCATATTTCAGTTGTGTTTTTCCCTCTTCCAAGTATGAGTGACATTTGTGAGGTTGTATTTTCCTTCTTGTGTTAAAATATTAGGTTCACTGTCTTTATTGCCCGTGCCCTGGTGCCTGAGGCCTGTGAGTCAGCTGTGCTCAGTCTAGCAAGCATCCATGGAGGACCCGCCGTGCGCCATGCATCGTGCTGGTGCCAGCTGTCCCATTTCATGAAACTCCATTTTAATAAAAGATACTGACAGATAGAAACCAAAAATTTCAACCTAATATGGGATGTTATGTTGAGACAAAGGCATCTTTGGTATGCACTGCGATCATATAATGGAGTCATAAATGTGGAGGAGGGGTGGGTCAGGGAAGACTTCCTGGGAGAAACGTCCTGGGGGCTAAGTCTCAAAGAACTCTGAGGAACACCAGGTTCAAGAGGCCAGGCATTAGAAGTCAGAGGGGTGCAGGGAAGGTCAGCAGAGTGGCGATAAGGCAGGAGGAAGGAGCCTGGGATGGTAGGGTTGAGCCTACCTGAGACAGCTGATGGATAGGAGGAAGGGACCAGTCAGAGGGGCTGGGGAATCATGACCTGACATTGTGTGTGTTGATTCAGTGTCTACACGCTCAGTGTCAGGCCATGGGGAAGACCCCACAGAGAGGGTAAGGCTTGTTGTTGAAGTGGATGGATGAGAGGCTCTACCCCTCATTATTTGTGGGGCCTTAGGCAGGCTGCTTTGCCTCTGGGAAGCTGAGTTTCCTCACCTGTGAAATGAACTCAAACTTATTCAGCTTAGTGAGTACTGAATAAGAAGATGCTGGTGCCAAGTCTAGCACAATGCCTGACCCCAGCAATCATTCAGACAATGTTTGCGATTACTATCATTTCTGACACTTAGTAAATGTTTACTGAAGGAGTGAAAGGGAGCAATGGCTTAGGTGACCCCAGCGGCACCCAATGCAGTTGGGAGATCAGATCATCAGCTAAGCTTAAGCCTGGCCCATGATTTCCACTTGTCTTACGAGGACTGGGAAATAAGGGTTACATTAGTTTGAGGGAGACTTCAGCTTTAATATAAATTCCAAGTGACGCCATCCAGTCCACCGGAGAAGCAGCCTGCCTCAACAGGCAAGTCTGACCACAGAGACTGCAGCTGAATCAGCCGTAACTCGGAGCTGAGGCTGATAATTTTCTGAGGCTTGTCTGCACGCCTGTGAATCTTGCGTTCCTGTAGGTTACATCATTCTGTCCAGGTGCAGACAGTCCTGCTGATGGAACACTCCCCGGCAGCTGCAGCAACCTGGCACCTGGCATGGAGGAGTCCATCTGGTGGTGATATGCAGCCACTCAGGACTCATGCCAGCCACGCCGGCTCCTGGATGACAGGCAGATATGGCTGCGGCTGCCTTGCTTACTCCCAAATAGCACAGAGCAGGACAGTCTTCCAGCCAGGTGGGTAGTTCCAGGAGGCCACATTCACCTTGGAGATTCCTACCATACTCAGGAAAAGAAAGAAAAGCTGCGTACAGTTCTTACAATCATGCTTGTCATTTCTGTAGTCCTTTTTGTTTAAGGATCTCAGCTGCTGGGGCACGTGCAAGTTTTCCTTCAGTTTCTGTGCCAGCAATAATGTGCCTTGATTTTCGGGCAGTTATAAGTGGCCAGAGAGAAAGGGGACCTTAAAAGTGTAAGCCTGGCTTATTTTTTCTGGAATGAGCTTTCTGCAGCAGTGGGTCCCAAACTCAGCACTGTGCTGGGCTTTTCTGGAGGAATATGACACACACAGGGCTGCCAATTCTGATTCAGTAGGTGTGTGGCCAGCCCCAAACACCTGCATTATTAACCAGCTCACGGGGTGGTCCCCTGACCGGCTGCCTCCAATCCCCTGAGGTACTTGTTAAAAATGCAGGTCCCTTGGCCATACCCCAGACCCACTATATAGACAGCTCTATCTAGGGTGTGGATGGATGGAGTTTCACTCTTGTCACCCAGGCTGGAGTGCAATGGCATGTTCTCGGCTCACCACAACCTCTGCCTCCCGGGTTCAAGCGATTCTCCTGCCTCAGCCTCCAGAGTAGCTGGGATTTCAGGCGCCTGCCACCATGCCTGGCTAATTTTTTTGTATTTTTAGTAGAAACGGGGTTTCACCACATTGGCCAGGCTGGTCTTGAACTCCTGACCTCATGATCCACCCGCCTCGGCCTCCCAAAATGTTGAGATTACAGGCGTGAGCCACCGCACCTGGCCAATGGCTTCCTTTTTAACAGGTGCATTTTGCCACAGGTCCCTCAGCGGCTCTTGAACACAGTCAAGTTTTAGAGCTGCTGCCGTATGTGATTCTGATGCACCGTATTTGACTACTACTCCAGAACAATTATGCTTGAATTTCTGTCTTGCAGACCCTAGATTTTTTTTCCCTGACTCAACTAGACTGTCCTCAGCAGCTGAGAGAAGTGTTGTTGGCCAACATAACACAAAAGAGGCAAAGAAAGTAGAAAAGTGATGTAATCTGAAGCCATGTGGAGTCTGAGGCCAAGAAATTGGATGGAAAAACACCAGGGATCCTCACCTTGACTATGACCCAGCTTTGAGAGTTGAAACGGAGTGTCTGAAGACACTGCGCAGTTCTTTGGCGAACGGGCTAGTTGGAGTTAGCAACCTTCTGCTTGGAGAAGCTTCTGCCACTGCTTGTAGGTTTGCTTGGCTTTTGTACTTTTTTTTTTTTTTGAGACAGTCTTGCTCTGTCACACAGGCTGGAGTGCAGTGGTGCCATCTCAGCTCACTGCAACCTCTGCCTCCCAGGTTCAAGCAATCCTCCAGCCTCAGCCTCCCAAGTAGCTATGACTACAGGTATGCACCACTATGCCCAGCTAATTTTTGTACTTTTAGTAGAGACAGGGTTTTGCCATGCTGGCCAGTCTGGTCTCGAACTCCTGGCCTCAAGTGATCCGCCTGCCTTGGCCTCCCAAAGTGCTGGGATTACAGGCGTGAGCCACTGTGCCTGGCTGGCGTTTGTACTCTTCTGGGCAGTCTTGGGGCAGGGACTGTGTGAGCAGAGAGTTTGGAAACTTGGATCCCAAAGGTCAGAGGCAGGGTCTGACCTCCAAGGGAGAGGAGAAGCACAGTCTGTGGATCTGGGAAGTGTTTCAGGACAGGCTTTGCTGCCAGTCCCCAGGAGCCTTCCTCCCCTGCGGGGAGCCAGTACAGAGGCATTCTCCAGGAACCCAGCTGGCCAGACAATGCCACTCTGTTCCTGAGTTTGCTGGCACCTAGGCGGTTAACCCAGAAGCCGCCTCTGTGCCCTTTAGGGCAGGCAAGTTTTAAAGCTCTCCTTTCAACTTTGGGCCAACAACATCTCACAGGGTAAGAAGATGCACTTTCCTCCCCCAAGGCGCTGTTTTTCAGTATTCTTTGACCATGAGGTCCTCAAGAGTGTATCTTTTCTTCTTTTCTTCCTCTGCAGCTGATGATCCCTGGGAGAATTTTTTTCTTTTCTTTTCTTTTTTTTTTTTAGAGATAGGGTCTTTCTCTGTCACCCAGACTGGAGTGCAGTGGCTCAGGCATAGCTTACTGTAGCCTTGAATTCCTGGGTTCAAGCAATCCTCCCACCTCAGTCCCCTAAGCAGCTAGGATTACAAGCAAAAGCCACCATACTCGGCCCCTGGGAGAATTTCTACATCTTCAGAAGAATTCTCCCAGGAACTCTTGAGATGAGAATAACCCATGTCCACTCAGCACTGTGAGCCAGGAACATGCAAAGTGTCTTTCTCCTACTCCATGGTGGCCAGAGATCAAACAGCCATTCCTGAAGGCCAGACACTGGAGACATTTAAAAAAAACCTGTTTTAAAATTTATTTTATTATATTCCATAACATGTCAAAATTTAAGACAGCTTTAGGCCGGAGGGCTCACGCCTGTGATCCCAGCACTTTGGGAGGCTGAGATGGGTGGATTGCTTGAGCCTAGGAGTTCGAGACCAGCCTGGACAACATGGCAAAACCTCGCCTCTACAAAAAGCAAAAAAATTAGCTAGGCGTGGTGGCACGTGCCTGTAGACCCAGCTACCTGAGAAGCTGAGGTGGGGTGGAAGGCTCGCTTGAGTCCAGGAGGTCAAGGCTGTAGTGAGCTGTGGTCATGCCACTGCACTCCAGCCTTGGTGACAGAGTGAGACCCTGTCTCCAAAGACAGCTTTAAAATTGCATACAGTATATCTCAAGAAGAGGAATAACAACAAAGAGAAATAAAGGAAGGGGAACCAATGAAACTAGGTAGAGGTTGATGCATGAACTCCTGGCACACTTACTAAAGACAGTACACCGATTTGTGTTTTTTTTGTTTGTTTGTTTGTTTGTTTGTTTGTTTTGAGACAGAGTCTCGCTCTGTCATCCAGGCTAGAGTGCAGTGGCGTGATCTTAGCTCACTGTAACTTCTGCCTCCTGGGTTCAAGCGATTCTCCTGCCTTAGCCTCCTATGTAGCTGGGACTACAGGAACATGGCACCACGCCCAGCTAGTTTTTGTATTTTTAGTAGAGACAGGGTTTCGCCATGTTATCCAGGCTGGCCTCAAACTCTTGACCTCAGGTGATCTGCGTGCCTCAGCCTCCCAAAGTGCTAGGATTACAGGTGTGAGCCACCACACCCAGCTGGTTCTAAGCTTTTTAGCAAGGAAGAAGTGGTCAGGCTTAAAGATAACCCAAATGACGTCAATTCCTTTACCCTTTCCTTTATTATTTTTTAAATCTATCATTTTTTGAGCTTCTACTATGTGCCAGGCACTGTCCGAGGCATGGAGGATACAGCCGCAGTCAAAATGAAGCCCCTGTCTCTGTGTAGCTGACTCTCCAAGTGGGAGAGGGAAACAACATGCAAGTAAGCAATGCCATACATGATAATCATATGTCAGGCGGTGCTAAATGCTAAATGAAAATGACCACAGCATGCCTAAGGATGGAAAGTAACTGGGAAGAGGTGTGGCCATTTTAGACTGGGGCACTATGGAAGCCCCCCAGGGACGGGCATTCGGGCAGCAACCTAAAGATGGAGGCGGGGAGCTGCACCGATGTGTGGGAGAAGAGTGTCAGGCAGAGGACAGTGTGTGCAAAAGCCACAGAGCGTGACAGTCATGGGTGTCTGTGGAACTCCCAAAAGACAGCGTGGCCCAAGCACAGTAAAAGGGGAGACCCGGAAGGGGTAGGAAGTTCACAGCACCCTGGGGATTTGTGCAACATGGCGGCCCTGGGGAGGAGATGAGGTCAGGAGGAGAAGGCAACTCCCCAGGCCATGGCCTTAGGGCAGGGAGGCAATATGATTTCAAGAGACCACTCTGGCCACTGTGTAGAAAACAGGGAGTCAGCAGGGGCGGGGCATTAGTTTGCTGGGGCTGCCATAATAAAATGCCACAGGCTGAGTGGCTTCAACAACAAAGTTATTTTCTTACAGTTGTGGAGGCCAGACGTTCAAGTAAGATCAAGAGGTTGGCAGGTTACTTTATGCTGAAGTCTCTTTCCTTGGCTGGCTGCCACCACCTTCTCACTATGTCCTCACAGGGTCTCTCTGTGTGCACACATCCCTGGTGTCTGGGTGTCCAAATTTCCACCTCTTATGAGGGCATCAGTCAGATTGGATTAGGACCCACCCTAATGACTCATTTTAACTTAATCACATCTTCAAAGCCCTTATCCCCCAATACAGTCCCATTCTGAGCTACTGAGGGTTAAAGCTTCAACACATGAATTGGAGGGGACACAGTTCGACCTGTAACAGGGCAATGACAGAATCAGGGAGACCAGTTACGAGGCTAATGCCATGATCCAGGCAAGAGATGATGGTAGCTTGGACCAGAGTGATAGGTGTGAAAGTGTGAGAAGTGGTCAGATTCTGCAAATATCTTACAGGTGGGATAGGATTCATTGATAGAATGGATGTAGAGTGTGAAGAAGGAGGGGAGACAAGGATGGCTACAGTTTTTTTTTTTTTTTTTTTTGTCATGAGCAACTGGAAGCATGGAGTTGACATTTATTGAGATGGGAAAACTATGAGAGGAGCAAATTTGGAGGGGAATGCTGAGATCAAGGAGTTTAGGTTGGGAACTCCTTGTAAGTTTGACATACCTGTTAGGCATCCAGGTGGAAATACCAAATAGCCAGGAGGAGATAACCAACATTCAATTTAGGAGAGAGGTCAGGGTTGACTGACATCATTATTTTTTTCTCATTCCTATGGTTTCTTTTTTTAATATAGAAATTTTGTTGAGAAATAATTCACGTACCATAAATTTTTCTTTCTAAAATGTACAGAGTGGTAGGTTTCAGTATATTCACAGGATGGATGGTGCAACAATCACCACTATCTAATTTCAGAACATTTCATCACCCCAAAAAGGAATCCCATACCCATTAGTCATTCCCCAGTCCTCTCTCCCCTTAAGCCCTTGACACCATGAAATTGCTTTCTCCCCTACTGATTTGCCTATTATGAACATTTTATAAAAATGGAATCATAAAATATGTGGCCTTTTGTTTCTGGCTTCTTTCACTGTGCATAATGTTTTCAAGGTACACTTATGAGTATCAGTGCTTCATTCCTTTTTATCGTTGAATAATATTCTATTGTATAGACTAGCCATGTTTAGTTTGTCCATTCATCAGTCAATGGGCATTTGGGTTGTTTCCACTTTGGGCTGTTATGAATAATGTTGCTATGCACATTCATGTATAAGTTTTTGTGTGAACATGTGTTTTCAGTTCTCTTGGGTATACTTAGAAGCGGAATGCTGAGTCATAGGATAACTTTATTTTTAACATTTTCAGGAACTGCCAAACTGTTTTCTAAAACAGCTGTACATTTTACATTCTCACCAGGAATGTATGAAACTTCCAATTTCTCCAGATATTCAGCAATCCTTGTTATTGTCTGTCTTTTTTTATTATAGCCATCCTAGTGAGGGTGAAGTGGTATCTCACTGTGATTTTGATTTGCATTTCTCTGATGACTAATGATATTGAATATTTTTCATGTGCTTATTGGCCACTTTTATATCTGCTTTGGAAAAAATGTCTATTCAAATTTGTTGCCTATTTTTTTCACTGGGCTGTTTATCTTTTTATTGTTGAACTGAGAAGTTCTTTATATACTCTGGGTATAAGTCCCTGTCTGATATATGACTCACAAATATTTTGTCCTATTCTGTGGATTTTCTTTTCCCTTTCTTAATCATCCTTGGAAGCATAAGAATTTTTCATTTTGATGACCCGACATACAAATTTGAGAGTCATCAGCATATAAATGTTATTTTAAGCCACAAGACTCCACAAGATCCACTGGAAAGTTAGCTTAATAAGAAATAGAAGTGGGCCAGGAGCAGTGGCTCACGTCTGTAATCCCAGCCTTTGGGAGGCTGAGGTGGGTGGATCATTTGAGGTCAGGAGTTTGAGAGCAGCCTGGCCAACATGGTGAAACCGCATCTCTACTAAAAATACAAAAATTAGCCGGATGTGGTGGTGGATGCCTGTAGTCCCAGCTACTTGGGAGGCTGAGGCAGGAGAATCGCTTGAAACAAGGAGGTGGAGGTTGCAGTAAGCCAAGATTGCACCACTGTACTCCAACCTGGGCAACAGAGCAAGACTCTGTCTCAAAAAAAAAAAAAAAAAAAAAAAGAAAGAAAAGAAAAGAAAAAGGAATAGAAGTGTCCAAGGACTGAGTCCAAGAATGCCCACCATCCAGAGATCCAAGACATGAAAAGAAACCAACTAAGAGGACTGAGGACTCCACTCTCACTTCCTCTTTTCTCTGAGTTTTGGAGTGCCCATTCCTTTCCAGAGTAGCAACAGAAAATTAAAAACTCATGTTTGTTTTTTAGGAATTGCAATTCCAACCCTCTCTTTCAATTCTCACCTTCAAGGCCATGCAGGTTCCAAGGGCTTTGCCCGTTCTGATGAGGAGTGCTAGCATGTCAATTCAGGCCCCAAGATGGCATTAAAACCACCAGAGATTTATTGGATTTCCTGGCCTTGAAAGATAAGGGGGAAAGGGAGCAGCAGTGGTCAGCAAGAGCCTTCAGACTGCATTGTAGCTTTGATGTCTCTGAAAGGAGAGGGAGAAGAAAGGAGGGCTGGGTAGGAAGAGCTTCAGGCTGTAGAGCGGTTCTGAGAACATCTTGTCAAGCCCAACTGGGGTCCCAGCACAAAGCTTGCCCACAAAGTTGTCCATGCTGGCCAGAAATGGCTTGGCTCTAGTACTTCTGCCAAACTATCATTGGCTGGGAACAGCTTAGGGAGAATGCTGCCCTAGCATGAACACTGCGGTCGATCTCAAAGATACCGAATCTGGAGGCCGTCTGCTAACTGCAATCCTTCCAGCAGGTTCTTTCTTGAAGCAAGACCTGAGTGCTGCATTCCTATGGCTTCCACAGTCCATCTCTAGTCCTCACAGACCCGCTTCTCCATATAAACTCAGGAAGCAGCTCCTCTGGAGTTTTCATGAGTTTCTCTTCCTGGTGGGGAAATTAGAAGGAGATGAAAACTGACTACAGCTTCTGTAGCTTCAGTAGATGCAGCTTCTCAGTGCTGCAGGTGATGCTGATCCCCTCCCTCTTGCTAGCCATTTAAAATTCCCCTCACCCTGTTATCACCCCTGCAGGTCTTTATGGCTTACCTGGTGATGTGACTTAAACCCTCATTCTTGAGGAGGCTGAGTCTCAGCCTTCTCAACTGGGGTTGCTGTACCTATCTACATGTCACCTGGGTTCCACATGCATGCCCTCATACTTCCATTGTGTACGGGCAGCCCTGTATGCTTTTGCTGATCAGGATCAATTACCTCTGCCAAGATGGCAACTCCTTGCCTATTGGCTCCTAGACACACAGTCCAAAGTTCCCTGGCAGCAGCCATAGCTTGTAGTTCAGTGGGACCCTTGCTGTGTCCTCTGGCAAGAGTGCACCCTTTCTGAGAACCATGACCTCCAACCCTGCAGAGCCTAGAGTTGTGGGGACAGGAAATACCAAGTCTCTCAATGGGTCATTAGGAGTAGTGGTAAGTGGGGACACTCCTGCTTCCATTCCTTGGTTTCCTGATCAATGTATTCATCCTACTGGGGACACAGTGACATTGAGATCTCTGATTTAATGCCTATGACAGATCCTGATGCATGGCACCCATCCTTCAGCTGTGCCTGTAGAAAGCGATTTCCACACACTGCAAGGCCCACTGCATCTAGATGGTGTGCTTCTGGGTGATATGACCAGTGGATCCCATGTTAATGGGCCCACATCTGCACTTCTTTTGCTGTGAAGGGACCCCTGGTTAGATGCTGTGTTGGGTAGGACAACAACTGTGGATCATTTATTCCTTAAGCCCCTGAATAGTGGTGCTGACTAAGGCTTTGTCAAAGGGAAAGGCAAATCCATATCCTGAACAATTCCTTCTATGAGGTTGAACTAATAGCCCTTCCAAGGCAGAAAGAGCTCAATGTTGCCAATTTGTCACCAAGTAGCCAGCTGGTTTCTTTCAGGAATAATGCTACTTTGGGGGCTATATTAGTTTCCTGGGGCTGCCATAACAAAGTAGCACAGACTGGGTGGCTTAAAAAACAGAAACTTATGTCTCACAGTTCTGGAGGCTAGAAGTCCAAGATGAAGGTATGGCAAGTTTCACAGGGCCATGGAGGAAGTATCTGTTCTAGGCTTCTCCCCTTGGCTTGTAGACGGGTATCTTCTCCTTGTGTCTTCACGTTATCTTCTCTTTGTATGTGTCTGTGTCCAATTTTTCTTATAAGGACTCTAGTCATGTTCGATTACAGCCAACCCTAATGACCTGATTTTAACTTAATGCCCTTTAAAGACCCCATCTCCAAATGCGGTCACATTCTGAAGTACTAGGGGTTAGGACTTCAACGTATGAATTTTGGGGGGGGAACTATACAGCCCTAGCAGAGATAGATCACTTTGCCATTGGGTGCAAAGTGATCATGTATCTGAAACTGCCTATTATGAGCTGGTTTTGTTGGATCAAGTCATAAGCTGGGTGAGCCCAGCAGCACCACATTGTAAGATGGAAATGATACATTTGGAATCAAGCTGCATGAACAGGTAGTCCAGACCCCAGGTCACCTGTCACAGTTGCACAAGTGTTTCTCCCCTAACTGGTACCTATGCCATGGATCTCAGGACTGGTCTATGTTGCTTCCAAGTTGAACACTCAAAGGTAGCAGTAGCTAGATCAGCCACAGTAGGTGGGGATCCATGTTGTTTGGCCCATACATGTATGGGCACCCTCTCTGCTACCAAGGCCACTCCATGCCTGTGCCCACCATGCACATGACATCAGCCTGCTGAATTACTTGTCTACTTGGTTGTTGAGTACCTCTTCCATGGTGGATGCTTTCTGGCAGGCATTAAAATGTGATACAAAAATCCTCACTTTGTACCCATTCCCATATGTGTCTGCTCCAGACCTCCTTGTCTCCCAGACCCCTAATCTGATGAGCAGGCCATTGGCCTCTGCCCATAAATCTCTATAGTCTCACCTCAAATCACACAAAATAGGTGAGCACATGCACCACTTTCTGCTCCATCCATTGGGAAAATTTTCCATCTCCATCCACTGTGTTTCAAGACGACTCCTGAATGTAGCTGGAGTCCAGCTGCCATACCCTTTTGCGTTTCACCTGTCTAACAACCCAAGCCATTTATAAATCAAGCTAGGGCTTCTTTCTCCTCCTCCAGCCCATGGCACACGTTTACCTATGTAACAAACCTGAACATCCTGCACAAGTACCCTTGAACTTAAAAGTTGGGGAATAAAAAGAACTCCCAACATGGCATAGGTACCAGTTGGGGAAGAAACACTTGTGCAACTGTGACAGGTGAACTGGGGTCTTAACTACCTGTTCATGCAGCTTGATTATAAATGTATCATTTCCATCTTACAATGTGGTGCTGCTGGGCTCACCCAGCTTATGACTTGATCCAACAAAACCAGCTCATAATAGGCAGTTTCAGATACATGATCACTTTGTACCCAATGGCCAAGTGATCTATCTCTGCTAGGGCCCAGGAACACATTATGAGTTGTTTCTCCAGTGGCAGATACTTGTCTGCTGTGGATGGCATGGCCTTGCTCTGGAATCCCGGGACTTCAACATTAGTCTTTCACTGGGGCTTACAGCAATGTTTCTTTTATCTTAGAGGGGATATTCTGTTAAGCCCCTGAACACTGGACCCCTACAAACTTTACTAAAGTGGCGGGTCCCTGAATCTTCACAGCATCCATCTCGCACACTGAGGGTACACTTGTCTCACCTAGGCTTCCAGTGTTTAGCCACCTCTTGCTCATCCTGTTGGATCAGCATGACACCATCAATCAGCGTAATGCATTGGTGTGATGTTCTGTGGGGTGTCTGGTTAGTTCAGGTCTTTAGGACCATATCATGACAGAGGGCAGAGAGTTAAGAGAGCACAGAGGCAAAATTATCAATAAATGTTGCCAGTTTCATGATAAAGTGAATTGTTTTGGATCCTCTTTTCTAATCAGAATAGAAAATAACACATTTACTGGATCAATGGCCACATATCTTATATGTACTTTAGGGCTTATTAATCCCCTCTAGCAGAAATCCCACCTCCAGCACAGCAGCTATGATAAGGGCTATGACTTGGTTGAGCTTGCAGTAGTCTGCAGTCATTCTCCGGGATCCATCTGTTCCCTGCAGTGTCTGACTAGCAAATTAAATAAAGATATGAGAAGGACCATCAGCAATGCATCCCTTAGGTTTTTAATGGTGATGCTAATTGTCTCCATCCTTCTAGGACATAGTATTTTTTATTTACTCTCTTAGCCAGGAAGGAGCAGGTAGCTTCAGAGGATTCCACTTGACCGTCTCTACTACCATCATTCTTACCTCACAGGCCGAGGAGCCAATGTGGATGCCATACCAACTGCTAAGCTTGTCAATCCCAGTTTCACACTCAGGGACTGGGGAAATGATCATATTGTGGTTTAACAGATCCAGGAGACCTTCCATGAACTAGATTTTAGCCATGAGTACATTCATATCCTAATATTTGTAAGCCCCCTCTTTAACAAGGGGACTGTGCGCATCCTTTGGGTCTCTGGGCATCAACGTCACTTCAGATCTATCTAGAAGTGTTTTAAATATCTGGGTATCCCCTTTTCTTAGTGTACAATAACCTAAGTAAATATTCTAGTATATACCTCCCATAGCCTTTCCAGATCCTTTCTTTTAAGGACTAATTCACCCCTTCAGTCAACTGGTTCTGGATCTGAAAACTGACACTGGTTCAGGAACTGAGTAAGAGTCCAGATTTATTTATTTGTTTATTGAGATAGAGTGTTGCTCTGTCACCCAGGCTGGAGTGCAGTCGCAGGATCTTGGCTCACTGCAGCCTCTGCCTCCTGGGTTCAAGTGATTCTCCTGCCTCAGCCTCCCGAGTAGCTGGGATTACGGATGCATGCCACCACGCCCGGCTAATTTTTTATATTTTTGGTAGAGATAGGATTTAGCCATGTTGGCCAGGCCAGTCTTGAACTCCTGACCTCAGGTGATCTGCCCACCTCGGTCTCCCAAAGTGCTGGGATTACAGGCGTGAGCCACCGCGCCCGGCCCCATGACTTCATATTGGGGTAATTTCCCTCAGTCTCCTGCTCCTTCAGTCTTGCTTTTTTTGGGGATTGGGGGAATTATAGAGGTTAAGCATCACCTTGTAGGCTGCCCATCTATCTTGCTCCTAGGAGTGCCACGCTCTATCAGTCACTGCCACAACTCCATGAAGCTCTTTTAGCTGCCGCTTCAAACTTGCCAGTCATTATGGTAAAAGCTGCCAGAGCTGGCTTCTGATGCCTAATGTACCTGGCCTCTGTTACTTGAGAATGAGGAGACATCCCTGTGGATACTAACCAGCCCAGCCCTGTGACCACCTCTCTGGCCTGGAGAGGAGAATTACCACTGGACCTCTTCATGGTGATGGTACCCCTGATAGCCTTGGTTGATGGTGTGTGCTCTGAGGCCTCTCATAGAGCATGATCCTCTGGCCTCACATAATGTATCCATTCCAGCTTTCTCACTTCCTTCAACTTCTTTATTTCTTTCTCTACTATCTTTCAGGGGCAAATCAGGCATTCCTATGTTGTTCAGCATGGACCATTACTTTCTCTGGGCTTCTAGGAACTATTGAATTTGTCATTGATTGCTGTGCTAAGTTATTGTTTTCCATAACTTAGTGGCTTAAAACAACAAACATACATTATCTCAGAGTTTCTGTGGGTCAGATTGGGAGTGGTTTAGCTGGATGGTTCTGGCTCAGGGACTCATGAGGTTGTAGTCAAGGTGTCAGTCAAGGCATCATCTGAAGCTTTGATTGGGGCTGTAGGGTCTACTTCCAATAAGGCACGCTCACATGGCTGGCAGTTGGTGCTGGCTGTCAGCTGGGATGCCTCAGTTCTCCATGTGGCCTCCCAACCTCCAGGACCTCTCTTCTCCATGTGGCTTCTCCAGAAAGGTAGCCTGGACTTCTTTACTTGGTGGCTGGGCTAAATAAAGAGGCTAAAGAGAAAGAGAGCATACACCTAAAATTTCAACCAATATAATCATGGAAATGACATCCTGTCACTTCTGCTGTATTCTAGTTATTAGAAATGAATCCACAAGTTCAGCCTACATTCAGTGGGAAGGGATTAAACAAGGGCATGAATATTAGGAAGCGAGGTCATTGAGACCATTATGTTTGAGGCTGCCTACCATAGCTACCTAACAGCAAATTTGCCCCCAGCTCTGGGGATCTTTAACCAGGTGTTAAATCCCATGGCCCAAGAAAGTGCCCCCAAGTCAATGAATTCTTGCTTATTCAGTCCTATATTATTACTCCTTGATCAAGAACTCTCAAATCTAACCCTTGAGATCCTTCCCTTTCTCCTCTTGATTCATGCTAGCTCATTCTTATTAATCATTGTATAGTCTCTTCTCTCCCTTATCAGGCTCAGCACATCCTGAAATGTAATCCTAGGTATTGGAAAGTGAAGGCAGTTCCTGAGGGACCAGAGAACCTGTGCTTTGTAGGGGAGAGGTCTCTAGCATCAGTCAGCATGGGGAAGTACTAACTTGGGTTACCTCTGCAATCTCTACGGTGCAGAACCACCTCATGGAGGTGTGGATGAGGAGGTTCATCCCCTTGGATATTACTAATAAGAAGCCCAGAGCATCCATCTAGATGTCCCCATATGGTAGGGGCCAGGTTTTCCAATTAGGATCTTGACTTTAGTAAAACAGACTAGTCTAGGCTGAGCATTTGAATGCCTTTGGAACTCTACACCTCTAACAATCAAGTCCTGCAGCTGTTTCTCAGCTCTGTTAGCCCTTCCACTACAGGAAATAAGGGCCTCTTGGCAAACTTCCAAATAAGCCCTCTGGTTTTCACACTTAGCCTTTAACTGTTTGTATAACTGTTTGTTAAAGAACCTCAGTTTCAGCCGGTGGAGGTGGCTCACGCCTGTAATCCCAGCACTTTGGGAGGCCAAGGCAGGCAGATCATGAGGTCAGGAGATTGAGACCAGGCTGGCCAACATGGTGAAACCCCATCTCTACTAAAAATACAAAAATTAGCTGGGCATGGTGGCGCATGCCTATAGTCCCAGCTACTCAGGAGGCTGAGGCATGAGAATTGCTTGAATCCGGGAGGCAGAGCTTGCAGTGAGCAGAGATTGCGCCACTGCACTCCAGCCTGGTGACAGAGTGAGACTCCATCTCAAAAAACAAAACAGAACAAAACAAAAACAAAAACAAAAACCTCCCTCTGGTGGGCTTCAAGAAAATTTAGCAAAAAACAGCGAACTCTTCTGTCCCTGTAGACACTGCCTCCCTGAATATCTTTCAAGTGTCTGATTTGTCCCACCTGCAAGGCTGTTCCCTTCCACCAGTATGCATCCCCAGGCTACCACCAGCACAGCTTCAGCAATTAGGCTGCCACCTTGTGCCAGGGACTCTCTGTGCCCCACAGTCTACTTAGGATGGTGTCCTCTTTGCCTCCCTAGTAGTGAGTGAGGCAGTTCCCAAGCCCTATCATTCTGTCTGTTTTCTCCAACCATTCCTGTGCTAGTTGGGGTCCTCTAAGAAACAGATGCCAAGGGCGATGATGCGCAAGAGATTTATCTGCAGAAAGGAGAAGGAGCAAGATTAGACAGGGAGAGCCTTCAGACTGCTCTGCAGAACTGGTATCTGGTTAAGGAGACTGGGAAGAGGATTCATTAGGAAGAATTTCAGACTCTGGTGCAGTTCTAAGAAAGTTTCAGCCAAGCTAATGGAGAGTGCTCAAGCCATGGTTAGAGGGGCCTGCACTAGAACCCCGCCATGTTTCGTCATTGGCTGGGAGCAGCTCTAGGAAGCAGAGCCTGGGCATAAACAACGAGGCAGGTCCAGAGTGGCTATCAGTCAACTACACACCCCACCCCTCCCCAGCTCCTTAGGGGAGGATATCTGAACAGACTTTTCTTGGTCTTCCAGTGTGCAAGTGCCCAATTGCTGAGAACTCCAACTTCCCTGCTCACTGAGCCTGGTGAGAATGTGCAAATATCCTGAGTCACCAATCGTCTGAGTCTGAGGCCCCCTCTGTCCTGGAAGTGCAGCCAAATACCCCTTCTGGGCCTCCCCTTACATGCCCCACACTGGCCCTGGGCACGGGCCTGGTCTCAGGAATGAAAACTGATAGGGCATGGAATTGCCGCAAGGCAGGCAGAGAGAGGGTGGGGCATATGGTGCACTTTCTGTGAGCCTCATCTAAGATTTACTGGTCAGACTTGAAAAATCTGAGACACTGAAGGTCCCAACAGCCAAATGGGTTCCTCAGGGTTAAGTCCGAAGCAAGAGACTTACATTGTAATTTGAGGGGATCACAGCTGTGTTCCTGCCCTGTGTTTGTAGCCTCAACTTCCACCCTCGGAGTCATTCCTTTATCTAGAACACAATCTTCTCTAGACTCCTATTTTTAAATGATGTTCCTCACCCCCCTCCCAATCCTGCCCTCACTTCTCAAGAACGAGATGATGAAATTGCAAATCCTCCCATATGAACTCATTTTCCTGGTCCTTTCCTCAATCCCAGGAATAACCCTGGGTAGGAGGAATGCACCAGGGGGTGCTTACAAGGGGAAGAGCAGATGGGAAGGCAAGCGATCTACTGCAAAATAGGCTGCTCTTCCCCACCAGGAGGGAGCAGTTGATTACACATTTTTTTCTGCGTGGTATTTGGCCATGTTACCTGTTAGTACTCTAGGAAGAGATCTTTGTGTCTTTGAGGTAGGAAAACAACACTTAATGTCATGCAATGGGTAGACCAAGAAATGGATAAAATCAGGCAATGTCTGTGTCCCCTTGCTGCCTCCAGCAGGTGCTGGAGAGAGGGGAGAACGTCAGAGTCGGCTTAGCCTACCTGCACGCTTTTGTCTTGAACCTCTTGAGGGTGAAAACCATCCCAGTTCCAAACTGGAGGGGAGCAATACACCCTTCTCTCACCCTGCAGCTTTGTGGGACAGAACATTGTGCTCAACCTGGAGAGCAGACGGCTGTGATTGTTCTCTTTGCAGGCAGGCAGCCCTTGCTTGTTCCCAGCTACAGGACAAAGCCGATGCAGGAAGAGCTAGTCTGGGGATTGGCTTTTGACCAGGAGTTCTTCACAAACGTTACAGGCAGAGTGGGGAAAAGTAGAGGTACGGGTCTCAAGGGGATTGGCCTCCAAGGCCTCCAAAGTGGAGCCCCCCACTACTGCCTCTCACCCTGTGTGGACCTGGAGATCTAGTAATCAAGCATCTCTGGGCCTCAGCTACCAACTCTGATAGATGATAGATAGATAGATAGATGGATGATAGATAGCTCCTCTCTCATAGCATTGTTTTAAGATTTAAGGGGGTAAGTTGTGGAGTGCCCAGTCCAGGCCTGGCATTCTAAGTTCTTATCAATGAAAGCTGCTGTAAGTGTAGTATTCCTGGGCTGGGTATTGAGCAGCAGATGTGTACTCTTTCCCAAGCTCAAAGGTGTCTGAAATGTCCCATGACTTCATTACTTTTAAAAAATGATATGAAGTCCAACTCCCAGCCCCTGTTCTATCAGGCTTCAGGAAACTCCATCTCAGTTATTATTACAAACCCTCCACCCTCCAGGTTTCCCAGGCTGCGCAGACACTGGGGGCTCCACTATAGTTGACTCAGGGGACTAGTGCATGGGCCTTGTCCAGGCTCACCTTGTCGGGTGAGCACCTGAAACCTGAACTTCTGTGCCTCTCAGGGTGCAGGACTCTCATACCTGGCTCCCATGCCTGGTGTCTGCCTTCCTTAGCCCACGTTGAAGCTCTCTGTTCCTCCTCCATTTGCAACTCCCCAGATCCCACATGACCTCAGGGATCTATAAGGAGGTATCTCTAGGACCCATCGTTCACCAACCTGCAGATCTCCCACTGCTTGAAGAAATCCTGTTCCTCCTCTTCTCAACCAAACACAGTAAGGCCCCGCATGCTCCAATCCCCGGGGCCCCAAGCATCTGCTCCTTAGCTTGGTAAGATCTTCACGAAAGAGAGAATGACAAGCTGGCTTCAGACAACTTCTGCTTTTAGCTCTGAATCACAAACTCCCCCAAGGCAGGAAGGTGCTGGGGTGGGAGTAGTAAGAGAGTGAAATATACATTTATTTATTTACTTATTTATTCAAACATCTCTTCTATGTGGCAGGTACCATTCTAGTTCCCGAGGTTCATTAGTGAATAAGTTCTCTCTCTCCAGAGGCTCACTTCCTAGCAGGGGGAGTCAGGTGATAAGTGTATAAACATACAAGGCAATTTTGCCTAAAGTGCTATAAAGAGAAGTTTTAAAAAGTAATCCAGGAGAAAATGGGGTGGGAGAATTAACATTTGGTTGGGTGGTTGAGGGCGGTCTCTTTAAGGAGGTGATGTCTGACTGGAGACTCTGCTGCTAGGAAACCAGCCATGCAGATATCTGGGCAGGAATGTCCAGGTGGAGGGATCAGCCCCCACAGTGGGAATGAGCTTGGCCTGTTGTAGAATCATGAGCAAGGTGGTGGTGCAAGATGAGGCCAGAGAAGTCGCTGGAGGCCAGACCATGACCTTTAAATTGTTAGGATTTTATTTTAAATCCACTAGGAAGCCCACAGGATTTGAAGCAGAGTAGTAACATAATCTGATACTTTTTTTCTTTTTCTTTTTTTTTTTGAGACTTGCTCACTCTGTCACCCAGGCTGGAGTGCAGTGGTGTGATCTTGGCTCACTGCAGCCTCGACCTCCTAGGCTCAAGCCATTCTCCCACCTCGGCCTCCTGAGTAGCTGGGAATAGAAGCATGCACTACCACGCCCTGCTAATTTTTGTAGTTTTTGTAGAGATGGGGTTTAGCCGTGTTGCCCAGGTTGGTCTAGAACTCCTGGGCCCAAGCTATCCTCCTGCCTTGGCCTCCTACAGTGCTAGGATTAGAGGCATGAGCCACCGTGCCCCAACCAATATATATATATTTTTTAATATCAATAGGTTTTTGGGGAACGGTGATGTTTGGTTATATAAGTCAGTTCTTTAGTGGTGATTTGTGAGATTTTGATGCACCCATCACCCGAGCAGTATACACTGAACCCAATTTGTAGTCTTTTATCCCTCACCCCTGTCCCACCCTTTCCCCTGAGTCCCCAAAGTCCACTGTATCATTCTTATGCCTTTGCATCCTTATAGCTTAGCTCCCACTTATGAGTAAGAACATATGATGTTTGGTTTCCCATTCCTGAGTTACTTCACTTAGAATAATGCTCTCCAATTCCATCCAGGTTGCTGTGAATGCCATTATTTTGTTCCTTTTTATGGCTGAGTAGTACTTGATGGTGTATATATACCACAATTTCTTTATCCACTTGTTGATTGATGGGCATTTGGGCTGGTTCCATATTTTTGCAATTGCAAATTGTGCTGCCATAAACATGTGCGTGCAAGTATCTTTTCTGTATAATGACTACTTTTCCTCTGGGTAGATACCCAGTAGTGGGATTGCTGGATTAAATGGTAGCTCTACTTTGAGTTCTTTAAGGAATCTCCACACTGTTTTCCACAGTGATTGTACTAATTTACATTCCCATCAGCAGTGTAAAAGTGTTCCCTGTTCACTGCATCCATGCCAACATCATTATTTTTTGAGTTTTTGATTTTGGCCATTCTTGCAGAGATAAGGTGCTGATATGTATTTTTTTTTAAAGTAACTTTGGCTGGTAGGCAGAGAATGGTTTGTGCCGGGGCAAAAGTGGAAGCAGGAGACCTTTGAGAAGCCTCACCATAGCACAGGGGAGACCGTGGCGCCTGTACTACAGTGGGAACAATGCCATTATCCCACCACAGTATACCACCATGGATGTTATTATTTTAATAGTCACACTACTAGATTACCAGCAAAAGCAGTATGGCCTCCTTTATCACTTCTAGTGGGCATTTTAATTACATTCTTTCTTATTTCTCTTTTTGTTTAGGAATGAACATATGCAGTTTCCTACTAAGTTATTTTAAATCTTATTCTCTGTCACCATAAAATTAAATTGTATTTCTGAGAAGTATATTCTTATGATGAGTTCTTTATCTTTCATGTTTTCCATTCCCATTTGGTGTTTCAGAACCTCATGATTAGCCAGCTAGTTCTTCTCCTTATGATGGTTAATTTTACGGGTCAACTTGACTAGGCTAAGGGATGCCCAAATCGCTGGTAAAACATTATTTCTGTGTGTCTGTGAAGGTGTTTCTGGAAGAGACAAGCATTTGAATCAGTAGACTGAGTAAAACAAACTGCCCTCCCCAATGTGGGCAGGAACCATCCAGTCTGTTGAGGGTGCGGCTAGAACAAAAAATCAGAGGAAGGGCTAATTTTCTCTCTCTCCTCTTGAGCTGGGATATCCATCATCTCCTGTCCTCAGACATCAGAGCTCCTGGTTCTTGAGGCTTCAAAATCCAGGACTTATACCAGCAGCACCTACACCTCCCTACCTCCCTTCCTATGCCCTAACCCCAACGTAGACCTCTGACCTTGGACAGGGAGTTACGCTATGAGTTCCCGTGTTTCTCAGGCCTGCGGACCAGACTGAATTACACCACCAGCTTTCCTGGTCCTGCAGTTTACAGACTGCTTATCATAGAACCTCTCACCCTCCATAATCCCCATCATGAGCCAATTCCCAATGTAAATCTCCTTTATATCTCTATGAATCCTTTTTGTTCTGTTTCTCTGGAGAACCCTGACTAATATCCCCTTCCTCTTTCTTCTTTTATCTTCTAGTGAGGATTGGATTTGGTCGACTTCTGTCTTCATTTTTGAGCCAATTCCTCTTCATAACCTTTGCTGTTCTTCACAAAGAAGGCCATCAAAGGCTAAATAAAGATTTCTATCATAAAAATCAGTCATATTTAGTCATAATCATGTGTATCTTAAGCACTTACCATGTGTTAGGCACGAAGCTAAAAGTTTGTCTCATTTAATTCTCAAAATGAAATGGATATTTCTATTATCCCATTTTACAGAAGAAGAAAAGCTCTGGGAAACTAAGCACACTTCCTAAGGTCTTATGCTAGAGTGAGTGGCAGAGCCAGCTTTCAGGGCCAAGTGTCTGATTCCGAGGTACACTCTTGATTAGCCACCTCATCTATCATTGGCCCAGGGGATGGTTTTTCCAGGCTCGACTAGCCCAGTTTGAAAACAGAAGGACATGGAGCTATGTGAGCATAGACCATAGTTGCATTCTTTGCACCTACAGGAAGTAAACAACATGCCAATCCAAGTCCTAATGCAAATAAGAGCCTATTTGTTTTCTGAGTCAATCCTTCAGGTATTATCTGTAACAGATCTGTGGCTCCTCTGGTTAGACTGGGCCTTGATTGAATGTGATGTTGCCGTCAGTCTAGATTTGTGCTTACATATGTGACTGGTCCCCAGATGCCATACAACACTTAAATGCAGCCCAGTAATGGTTCCTGACCACCGCACCTCCACTCCAAGAACACATAGCTGATGCAGCTGCCGAGCTATTTCCTAGCCTAATTACTTTCTTTATTTTCATGCCTGGCCATTGTTAATGACATTTGGCCATCAAGCACACAGTAAATAGAATTAGGATGTATTGGAAAAATATGACTTCTGTACAGAAAGTTGAGAATCCAGAAATTGCCATCTGGATTTTATGTCTTCTTGCACAATAAGACAGCCTCTCAAGGCAGCACATTTTGGGAGTAGCTTGGCAACATTCAGCAGCAGCTTGATTCCTCTTTCTTTATCCTGCCTGCTCCCAGATGCTGAGTCCTGCTCTGTAGCTTGAGTGGAGCAGGAGATGGGTCCGTGGAGGAAAAACCTAAGGCTGTGTCTTCCTTGTTCTCTGGCTCTGACCACTGCCAGTCCAGCACAGTTCTGTCTACGCTCATGCTGCCATGCTGCTGCTTTTCCCTCTGAAGTTTTAATGAAATTGTCCTAGTAAGTCTGACCCTCATATTCTGCATAGAGCACCCTTTATTGTTTCATGTATTTTTGAAGGCTAGTAGAGCTTCCTAAGGAAGGCAGGTCAGGAGATGGTAAACCAAAGCTCTCACTAAATGCTAGCCGTTACTACTACTGCTACTGGTAAAAACCTCAATGTGGGGTTCGTCCTTTCTCTGCCTCTTACATCTTCCTTGATGCCTAGAAGAGTGCTGGGTACACAATAGATATTCTTTCATAGATACTTGGTGGCCTGGCTTTATGCTTCCATTTCACTACCTATAAAATATCCATCAGTGTTTTCCAAGCTTCCATCATTTCCCCATTACCTTTGCATATTGATTACTATCTGTACAATTATTTTTTCAGTATACTTTTTATTTTATTTTATTTTTTTAGACAGAGTCTCACTTTTTCACCCAGGCTGGAGTGCAGTGGCACCATCTCAGCTCACTGCAACATCCGCCTCCCAGGTTCAAGTGATTCTCCTGCTTCTGCCTCCTGAGTAGCCAGGATTACAAGCATATGCCACCACGCCCAGCTAATTTTTGTATTTTTAGTAGAGTCGGGGTTTCACTATATTGGCCAGGCTGGTCTTGAAGACCACTTGATCTCAAGTGGTCCGCCCACCTTGGCTGGGAATCCCAAAGTGCTGGGATTACAGGCATGAGCTGCCATGCCCAGCCTTTCTTCAATATACTTTAAATCAATTGATGCTCTTTTAAAAAATTGATTCCTTTTGCAATCTATATATTTCATCACTACCACAAACTGGAAACCAGCACCTTGTGCATTAGGTGGAAGGGAATGTTGAAACTTAATTTTTAACTATTAAAAAAAATGTGTCCTTGTATTATCTAAAAACGTCTATGTCCCCTGTGAAATAGGACATTGAAGTCTGAGCTTTGCTTGAAGGGGGCGGTGGTCAGGGCTGTCAGCGCGCATCAGATCTTACTGCTTCATTGTGCTCTGGACACATCTAATTGCCAGTATCTGCATCTCTGTGCATGAGGGATTTTCTGGGAACCATAGAAGGCCCGTCTGCCCTGGCCTGTAGGCTGCCAGAGAATTAACACCCTAAGAGTAGCTGATGGCTGATGGGAATTGGTAGATAAGTACCCCAGCTCCCCATGCCTCTTGTGGGATACTATTCCCCAGAGTGTCCCTGTGGGGTTGGACTCTTGTCACTTACTGTAGTAGCTGGCTGAATAACACATCCTTTTTTGGCTGTCTTCCTTTCCTCTATCACCTCCCCAACCCATAAGCAGTGTCCCTACACTTCCCAAATGAAAGGCTTGCACTTGAATCATTGTTTCCAGGTCTGCTTCTGGGAGAGTCCAAACCAAGTCAGGGGCTGCTTGCAAATCAGGGGTCAGTGGTCATTTTTATACTCACCAGCTAAGGTTTGCATGATGTGTGCTTTGTACAACTGTGCGTTGACTATGCCAATTTATCAAATGATAAGTGGGAACAGATGCAACCACACTTTGACAAATATTTCATCCAGGTAGCATTTTCCCTACAAAAGAAATGATTTGAAAATATTTTTCCAGAAAAAAATTTTAAAACAAAATCTAAATGGTTTCCAATAGTAATGGCTCTTTCCAACACACACAAGTAAATATGAGCTATTTTTTATTTGGATAATGTTTTGTTTGGATAATGTCCTCCAGTGAAAGAAAGTCAATGTGCTTCAAGCCTGGGAGATATTAAGCCGAAAGCTTGGTTATAAATGCAAATAAAGCTGGGTGCAGTGGCTCATGCCTATAATCTCAACACTTTGGGAGGCCAAGGTAGGCAGATCGCCTGAGCCCAGGCATTCAAGACCAGCTTGGGCAATATGGCAAAACCCCATCTCTACAAAATAATAATAATAATACTTAATAATAATAATTTTAAAAATTAGCTGAGCATGGTGGCGTATGCTTGTAGTCCCAGCCACTTAGGAAGCTGAGGTGGGAGGATTCCTTGAGTCCAGGAGTTCGAGGCTACGGTGAGCTATGATTGCACCACTACACTCCAGCCTGCGTCACAGAGTGAGACTCTGTGTTTAAAAAAAAAAAGAAGAAAAGAAAGAGAGGAGAATGGGTCCTGGATAGGCAGCTAACAACTCTGTCACAGAATAAGGGTCAAGGAAAATTCTTTTGAGGAAGTGACATCTAAACTAAGACTTAAAAATAAAGTAGAGTTACCTATGCTAACAGTGGGAGAGGCATTCCGGGAAGAGGGAAGAGCAATACATGAAGGAGGGAAAGGAGGGGAGGAGAAGAGAGTGCAGCTTCCCAGTTGTGCGTCCCATACTAAGCAGCATGAGATGATTCTGGCCCCTTCCTGGCTTCCCATAGAGAGGCACAAGGACTGCTGTCAAATAATAAAAGAATGCCAAGCAGGAATATTAAGTGACTGTTCTCAGAAAGAGAAGATTATGTATCACCGTTTCTCCATGACTCATCCCTTCCCACATATCTTCAATTTTGAGCATTTAGTCCTTTTTCCACTGGAAGTATGAAATGGTGGTCCCTCTTCCTGCCAAACTCCCCATCAGCTTTGTTTTGGACATTGGCAAAAAGAAATCCTGTTTCCTGTCTTTTGTTTCCTGGCTGTAGCCTCTGGTTCCACCCCCTTCTCGGTCTCACAGTGTCTATTTCCGCCTCAGGCCCCAGAGTTTCTAACAAACCCGTAGATCAGTTTTCTCTTCCATAGTTACTAGTTACACAGAATTATCAAAGAGGAAAATAACTTTTCTTCATCCCAGGGTTTTTTTTCTCCTTGGATCACTTTGTTTAGTTTTTTTCTTAGGTTAAGTTCCCAGGCTCTCCTCTGCAAAGGCAGGAAGAAATTAGCAGGTGTTGGGGGCCCAGTTCTCCCCGGGAACATACTGGAGCCCTACTGGTGTCAGACCAGAAATGATGTAATCAAGTCACTGGCAACAGAATGAAGACAAGGAAAACTCCAGGGTTTATATCTTGGGTGTGGAGATTGAGATATAATATATGGCCAGGAGGGGGAATAAGGCGGGCCTCCTTGCAAAGAACAGTTTTTGAGTTTGCATAATTTTTCCCACTTCTAGGCTGGTTGACCTTAAGCAAGTTACTTGACCACTTTAAGGTTTGGTTTTTTGATCTGTAAAAAAGGAAATCACAGTACCTACCGATGATGTATCTATCCACTTGACTGGGCTAAGGCATGCCCAAATAGCTGGCAGCACATTATTTCTGGGTGTGTCTGTTAGGATATTTCTGGAAGAGATCAGCATTTACATCAGTAGACTGAGGAAAGAAGATTCACCCTCATCAATGTGGGCAGGCATCGTCCAATCTGAATAGAACGACAGGGCAGAGGAAGGGTGAATTTGTTCTCTGCTGAAACTGGGACATCCATCTTCTCCTGCCCTTGGACATTAATGCTTTTGATTCTCAGGCTTTTGGACTCTGACACTGACACCAGCAAGCATCTTCACCCTCCAGCTTCTCTGGCCTTGGGCCTCATACTCTGAGTTACACTATGAGCTCCTGCTCCCATTTCTCAGGCCTTTAAACTCAGACTGAATTATAGCACCAGCTTTCCTGGTTCTCCAGCTTGCAGACATCATACTGTAGAACTTCTCATCCTCCGTAACTGCATGAGCCAATTCTATAATAAATCTCCTAATGTATCTCTATATATATCCTATTGGGTCTGTTTCTCTGGAGAACTCTAATAATATACTACCTAATCAAATTGTTGCGAGGATTAAATAAAATGATATATGTCATAGTGCCAAATAACAAGCCCTCAACAAATGGCCATTATCTTTATTACTAGTGGGATTTAGATCATGTGCTTCTTACTAAAATAATAAATAATATTTATTGTTTGTTTCAGCTATGAAAAGAAAACATTTGGAAGATCACTGATTCCTTCATGGAGAGGCTGGCTTGGGAATAGATGACGTGTCAAAGATTGACATCAACCTTGAGTGCTTATTTGTGGACTTGAGATACAGATAAAAAAAAAAAAAAAAAAACCTCCCTAGAGTGAGGGCTACTTGGGATACATGCTATATCCCAAGGAGTTCTCAGTTTGAGGTCAGCCCCAGCTCTACAACTCACCAGGAGAGTGCGCGAGGATGAGGGAGAGACAGCCTGCTCTGGTTCTCTTCAAGGTGACAATGACACCTGTTGACAGATGAGAATTCCAGCCAGGAATACAGATTTAGGAATCATGTTTCTCACTCTCATGATGACATAGAAGAGATGCGTCTGAATCTTTCTGCCAGTGTGTTAAAGTTATTCTGATATTGACTGTAGTTCTGAGCTTTGTCTCTATCCCACCAAACCACTAACTTCTGGAAATTACTTGTAGACCAAGATGGGAGGACTCCGTGTGTGGCTCCGTGAGTATGTCTGTTACACATATCAACTGCATTTATATATATTCTATATCTTGTTAGGAAAGGCTAGGCTATGCTGCAGAAACGAATAGCCCTAAAATCTCAGTGGCTTAAATGACATAAAGTTATTTTGCTTACGCTGCATGTCCAGATCAATACGAGCTGCCCCTGGCAAAGAGAAGGGGGACACAGAAAGTTGTATTCTGATACTTATAAACTACTGCCCATATTCCAATAGCTCAAACAGATCCTTAGCCACACCTAACATTAGGAAAGAGTTCTCTCGTCAGTGTTAGAATTTTTCTAATTCAAATGGATCTACCTGTGGTCAGTGGGATCTAACTGACATCTTGAACCTTTGAAATTATCTGGCTTGAAGCTGTCGAGTACTGACCAGTGATCTAGTGAAAACAAGACAGGATGGGGATTTTAAAATGCCTGCTAAGAATCTCTTTTAAGAAAAGAGTGATATTTCATCTGCTCACTATGTTCAAAATTAAACCTGTTTCATGCTTTATATTTAAGTCTTAAAATAGATACAGAAAGTTTGGACAATAGAACAGTCAAGATGCAATAGCAATGCTGATTTTTAAAATAAATGGTTAAAATAATCTTTGTAAGAATAATAGAATTACAGTGTTTTGAATTTTTCCAAGGCAGAGATCAGGACAGATGTTTCATTTGTATGCCTGTATCACTTCATTGCCTTAGTTCAGATTAATTTTGCTTATAATTTGGAAGTTGATAAACTAATCCACTTAGTTGAAGGTTGACTTCAGATCACAACTGCCAGTTAAAACACCATGAACACACTGGACTTTTCAACTGTTTTGAATGAAATGTGCAAGTGAAGCCAGCAGAAATATCACTGTAAGTCACTATTTACTGACTGCCTCGCATGTGCCTGACACTGGTTTAAGCACATTAAACACATTATCATTTACCATCTTCCCAGCAAGAGACAAGGCTGCTAAGGCTTTGAGAGCTACCATGTTCTGTTCAAGGTCACGTGGCTGATACATGTCAAAGCCAAAGCCTAATCTCAGGTTTATCTGAATCCAAAGGTCAAATTGGATTAATTCACTGCTATTGAACTGAATAGCAGTGACTTAATGAGACTGACTCCACTGAGGGAACCTCACAGATTTGGAGGAAGATTTTGACTGTATATGTGCTTATTTGACTGTTTTCCATTCGAGGAACTGAGACACGAAAAGAGTTCACTCAAGGATAAGTTGTGAGTCTTATGTCAACCAGAAATTATCTCTAGTTATTATTTCTGAAAGTGATAAAATAACATTATGTTCCAAGTCCTTGATGGAGAGCTTGATCCCTGGATTTGAGCTCTTTGAGAGCTTACTGGCCCTGGGAAAAGTATAACTGGTACTTGAGCCTTTTAGCTTATACTTCTCAGTCAGATTTTTTGAAACTTCTGTTCCTCATAAACTCAAGCCAAAGCATGACTATGCATAGAACATGCAACAGCTCTTCAGGAAGGGAAATTGCTGCCCAGGATTCCAAATTTGAAATCATGCAATGCTATTTAAAGGCTTGGCCAAACTTCAAAGTTGGTTGAATTCACTAGGGGTAACCTGGAATTTCTGTTTCCCAGAAAGGGATTTCTTGACATTTTCTCCTAACCTTGTGATGGTCCCTTATTCTGAGGACCCTATAGGATATTCACTGATTCTATAAGCATTTTTTGAGAACCTCCTCTGTGCTAGGCATGTGCTGGTAATATTGTGGTAGACAGAACATAGTGTTTGCCCTTAAGGAGCTTATAGTCTAGTCAGGAATATAGAACATGACATGGGCAATGAGTTCAGTTGTCTTTTTTTTTTTGAGCTACAATGCCACATTTAATATTCTTTCCAGTGATGCCTTGGACTAAGCAGGTACTTTCAATTTAAGGCAATGGGTCACAGTGTAAGGAAGACTTGGGGACAGATAGGGACACACAGGTAAGTGATTGGTCATGTTGCACATTAGCCCTATTACTTAACCTCACTGAGCTTCAAGTTTCCCCTCTGTAAAATGGGAATAATAATACTGGCTTTGAAGGGCACTGTAAGGATTAAATGAGGTAATACGTGTCAAACATCTATCATCGTGCCTGGTTCACAGCAAGTGCTCATAACTGTTAACACAGCCAATAAAGGTGAGAAATAGTGAGGATGTCAGTAACAATAAGAAAGAGTAAAAACTGTAACAATGAGATGGGGGTAGAAATAAAATATAGGCTGATGAGAGAAAAGGGTTCAATCACTGAAGCTATTTTCTCTGCAAGTCACCCCTTAAAATGTGTATTCGGATGCAATTTCCAGCCTTTAAAAAAATACATAAAGAGTCAACTTTTTATTAAATTTGTATGTAAAGGGCAGATATAGCTGAATGGGAGCTGGTTTAAACTGAGCCCAAACTTTTTTCCTTTTTCTTTTTTCTCTTGTCCTTTCCTTCCCTGGGTCCAGAACAATAAGCTTTGTTTAGAGGAAGAGTATTTACCCAAGGCCTGTTTCCACTTAAGATATTTCAGCAGGACAGTGAATAACCTCTTACACTATTGAGAAATTTTCACTGTCTGGAATTACTGGAACAAAGATGTCATTATTAAAACAAACTTTTGACCTTCTATAGAACGGTCACTTTAGCTACAAGAGAATCATTCACAATGGCTTTATAAGAATGGAAGCTATGACATCATTATTATATACAACACTCTATCAAAGATCTTGATTGTGAGAATCAGTTAGAATTCTTTGGTGGCAAGCAACAGAACTAACTCTGGCTCACTTAGGCAAAAGAAACAATTTATTCCAAGGCTATCAGGGTTGCTTACAGATCTGAGGGAAAGGCTGAAAAACCAGGTTTCTGAGAGCACAAGAACCAGGGCAACAGCTTAGGAAGCAGAAACTAACAGATTTTTGGGGTCACCCGTACCAGATGAATCAACTTCATTTATTTTGTCTCTGCTTCAGCTCTCTCAGTATTTAATTTCCTGGGAGAGAAAATCTGGTTGGCCAAACTTGGGTCTTGGGCCCAGGGGGCAGCCAGAGGGCAGCAGAGCACCTTGATTGACAGTCCTACAAAGCCTTCCTCCAGTCAGTGAGGGGCAGGTAGTTCCTTGAGGAAACTGAGGCTTGGCCACCCAAAGTGGGACTAGATCATGGGAAGATATCAATACTTTCATACTACGCAAGCTTCTAGGGCAGAGATATCATGGAGGAATCATCACTTTACTTAAAGGGACAACTGAGGAACTGAATTAAAGTAGTTTGCCCAGGAGCCACAGGTAGTGGCAGAAAGGAAATGTTCTGACTCCTACCAGCCAAATGGGAATTTCCCTTATTCCATCCAGTTGGCTAAAGCAGTGGTTCAGAGACTTGGCAGTGCATCAGAATTACCTGTGGAGCTTGCTAAAAATAGAGAAGCTAGGTTTGGCATAGGGCTGGGGCATCTGTATTTTTAATAAGCTTCTTGTGTGATTCTGCTTACAACCAACTTGGAGGCCCACTACATCATCAAATTTCCATAGGATCTGATATAGGAAAAGAACATTGCAGAAATAAAAATGGGATAAGGTATGATACAGTTTGAATATTTGTCCCCACCAAATCTCATGTTGAAATGTGATCCCCCAATGTTGGAAGTAGGGCCTAGTGGGAAGTGTTTGGGTCACAGAGGCAAATCTCTCATGAATGGCTTGGTGCCCTCCTTGCCATAATGAGTGAGTTCTTACTCTATTAGTTCATGCGAGAGCTGGTTGTTTAAAAAGCCTGGCGCCTCTCCTCCATCTCGCCTGCTTCCTCTCTCACCATATGACTCATCTTCTCTCCTTTCACCTTCCTCCATGAGTAAAAGCTTCCTAAAGTCCTGACCAGAAACAAATGCTGGTGCCATGCTTTTTGTACAGCCTGCAGAACCATGAGCCAAATATACTTTTCTTTATAAAGTACCCAGTCTTGGGTATTCCTTTATAGCAATGCAAAATGGATGAATTTAGTAATTTTAGGGGAAAGGTTTGGGTTTGTTGACAACATTTTTTGAGGTCCAATTTGTGTTAGCTGATTTCATGGTTTGAGGTTTGAGGGAATGTGAGGACAGGGAGAGGTCTTTCCCTATTTGTGACAAGCCTGCACCAAGTGGATCAGGCAGGTTAGGCTGTTTCCTAGAAAGCATCTACCGTTGAGCATACTAAGCATTGAGCATATTAAGCATTGAGCAAGGAGCAAGGCTGGGACCCCTCTTGGGTAGTCCTGACTATCTACAGTATTAAAGGGGGAGGATCAGATTATACGGGTAGTGTACCCAAGTGCCAAGATCTAGAATACAAAAAAGGGTTGGGAAATAGGCCTGAGCTGGCACAAACAGGAAAAGATCTGTTACCTTTATCTTGTTTCCTCACAGCTGATGAAGACAGGCTAATGCTAAGTCTCTTAACCAACCTGGAGGATGGAGAAGATGGGAGAGTGCTATTCTTCTTCTAGGAAGCTGCATTCCTCAACTCTTTACCTGGGTACTCCTATCCACCCTTCAGGTCCTTGTTTAAATATTACCTCCTCAGAGAGGCCTTCCTAACACCCTCTTCCCCCAGCTCAATCTAAACTAGGGTCCTTGCTGTTCTTTCTGTGGTCATCTGGTCTTTCCCAGAGCCAGATTCATGGACATGCAATATGTACAGTCATTCTGCACTTAGAAGGACTCCATGCTTGGTTTAATGCTCTGCTGTCACCATCCTGAAGTTCTTAATACTTTTTGAACCAGGGGTCCTCCATTTTCATTTTTCACTGGGTTCTGCAGATTATATAGCTGGTCCTGTTCTTTCCCTTTCTTGAACTTAGCACCTTTAATTGCTATTAATTTAGGTGTTAATAGTCCTAACATCTAGCTCCATGCCTCCCACTGTCATACAGGCTTGATAAACGTTGCTTAACCTTTTCAAATTATGGTTATTTGACTACTTTTGATTTACAAAAAAGCATATTCATATGATTAAACCTAAACTATTCTGGATGAATGAATAGATGAATGAATGAATGATGGAAGGAAGAAAGATACTTTGGACAAGTGCATTGTTGACCCAATATCCGCTCACCTACTTCCTTTCTAATAGAACTTAATTATGATCAGGTGTCCATCCCTTCCCCAGTGACTCAGGGGAGGTGACCCAATTCCCAATTCCAAGGTAGATCCTGATTAGCCTACATTTTCTTTTTCTTAAAAATAGTCTTCTCTCTCTGGACGTTGTCAGGTTTGAATCTGACTCCCAGGACTGCTAAAGTCATCTTGCTATCGGTCTAACAATTAAACCAACCAAAGCGAAAAGTAGCGCCAAGGAAATTGCATAAAAGCGGTAGCAATATGCATAAATAAAAGCAGTATTCTAGATGGCCCTTGCTGTACCCTGAGCTTCTTATTATGTGAGATAATAGGGTTTCTGTATTGTTTCTTCTAGTTGTCTATTGCTATAAAACAGTTACCACAACATGGAGTGGCTTAAAATAGCATCCATGTTATTAAATTTCATAATTTTGTAGGCCAGGAAGCCAGGAAGGACTTACTTAGGTAATTCTTCTATTCCATGTACCATTGACTGAGGTCCCTTAGTGATATTCAGCTGGCTGATGGACTGGTCTTTAGAGTCCACATATTTGGCACCTTGGCAATGCTGGCTGGAAGTGCAGGCTCAGCTGGGACATTTAACCAGAACACACATACATGACCTCTTCAACATGGCCATCTCAAGGTACTCAGACTTCTTCCCCAGGGTGAAGGGCTTCCAGAGAGAGTATTCCAAGAGACAGGAAGTAGAAGCCTTCAGTCTCTTAAGGCCAGAGCCTGGACTGGCACAGCATCACGTCTGTCATATTCTGTGGGTCAGAGCAGTCACAAATTCCATTGAGATGCAAGGGGAGAGGACATAGTTTACCTCTTGATGGGAAAATTATCACTTTATGGCTATTTTAATGCTTCACATTATTTAAGTCAATTGGACACTGATTTTCTGTTATTTATAGGCTAAAGAATTCAAGAATTCCTGAGGAATTCAAGGAACTCAAGGTTCTCTCAAGCTTGGGAAGATATTTCTTCCTGTTCCCCTAAAACAGAAGTCTGTACACTTTTTCTGCAAAGGGCTACATAGTAAATATTTCAGGCTTTACAGGCCACTTGGTCTCTTTTGAAACCACTCAACTCTGCCAATGAGGCATGAAAAACAGCCATGGAAAATAAATAAATGAATGAGTATGGTTACGTTCCAATAAAAATTTTCTTTATGGTCACTGAAATTTGAATTTCACGTAATTTTCACATGTCACAAATTGTTTTGTTTTTCATCCATTTAGAAATGTAAAAATCATTCTTAGCTGTGGGCTGTCCAAAAAAAAAAAAAAATGCAGGCCAGGTCCCTCTGTTATTTCTTGGGCTGTATTTTACCAACCCCTACTCTAATATATCAAGCCAGCTTCAGGCTCAGGACTTTGCATGTGCTGCCTCCTGGAATGCTGTTCTGGGTGGGTCTCCATGTGGTTTGTACATTCTCTTCATTGGGTTTTATCTCAAATATTACCGCTTCAGGATAGTCTTCTCTGATCACTCTATCTAAAATAGTACGCTTACTCTGAAACACATTATCTCCTTGTATTTTCTTTTCTTTTCCTTTTTTTTGAGACAGAGTCTCACCCTGTTTTCCAGGCTGGAGTGCAGAGACACAATCACAGCTCACTGCAACCTCCGCCTCCCGGGTTCAAGTGATTCTCCTGCCTCAGCCTCCTGACTAGCTGGGATTACAGGCACCTGCCATTATGCCTGGCTAATTTTTGTATTTTTAGTAGAGATGGGGTTTCACCATGTTGGCCAGGCTGGTCTTGAACTCCTGACCTCAGGTCATCCACCCGCCTCAGCCTCCCAAAGTGCTGGGATTACAGGCATGAGGCACTGTGCCCGGCCTCTCCTTGTATTTTCTTGATAGCATGTCTAACTGTCAGAAATTTTGCTCGTTTATTTATTTACATATTTGCTGCTTTTTCTCCACCCTCACTAGATTCTAATCTGAATGAAGCAGGGATCATGTCTGTCTTATCTACTTCTGTGAACACATTATCTAGCACGGTGCCTGGCATGTAATAGATGCTCAAGTAAATATTGGTTGAATCAATAATGGTTACAATTCAATTCACTAGAGCTTGAGAAGAACATAAAAGGCTACTCCATTTATACTGATTGAATGAGAGAAAGATAATAAAAGCAGAGGAAGGAGATCAAGTCATCACCTTTACTCAGAGAAGCTTTTGTCCCTCTGTTATTTCTGTGTGTTTCAGGGAAAGCTGAAGGAAAAATTCTTCTCCTCTTATATAATTTTGAAGATAGCTATTTTTCTCTCTTGGCAGATATGAATGACTTATCGTGCCTGTCCAGAGTCAGGGAAAGGAGAAACAATCTTATTTGAGAAGGGAGGATATCACTGCAGTGGTTGTGAAATCGTGTTTGGAAGCTAGATTGCTCTAGACCACTAAGGTATGATTTCACAGAAATTCCCAAGATCCCTGCAGGGGAAATAACAAAGGTCCTGGGTGGCATGGCAACAATAGAGATGACAGAATTGGGAATAATATCAGGCTAAACCTGTCCTGGGAGGCAGGGAGGAAAAGCAGCAGCAAGTACAACATTTGGGACAGAGAGCTTGAGCTTGAACAGAATGTACCGGTGCTGTTGGGTGGCAGCCAGGCCCAACAATTTAGCATTGGGCTTTCTAAGCCTGGGGACAGAAGTGGCTTCCATCCAGTCCTGCCTCTACTTACTAAAACAAACAGATTGGCAAAGGAGAAAGAGACTGTTCTAGGTGAATATAATAAACAGGAAGTGTCCATGGGAAACAGTGAGGTCCATAGCTTAGGCTGTGAGTTCAGTGAATTCAGCTTAGGAACCGAGCACTGACACAAATCACAAAGTAGTGGAGAGTGGGCCTGATATAGAAGGTAACAAGGGGCTGACCTGAAAATGTTGAGCACAGTGTGGAAGGCACAATAGGCTAGCTGGGAAGAAGCATGAACTTGGACACTTGAGTCCCTGTTGGTAGATGAGGCAGAGAAAATAGAGATCAAATGATGTCTATAACCTGGACTTACTGGTTGCAAGCAGTGGAAAAGCTAAAAAAAAAAAATTGACCAAATCTTAAAAAGGGCACTTATAGGCTCACATATTTGAGGAGTATGGCAATATGCTAGCTTTAGGGATGGTCAGAGACAGGATCTCGAAGACTGTCTTCAGTCCTTGGTCTCTCTCTCTTTCTTCATCTCTCAGCTCATCTTTCCTCTGTGTTTGCTTCATTCTGAGTCTTTCCCCATGATGCCCAGTGTGCTATGGCAGCAGTGGTCCACATCAGCTCTAGGTGTATATCCATCCAGCTTCAAGTTCAGCTAAGATTACTTTTGGCCTGGTTGTTCTAACAAGTCCAAGAATTCTATCTCATTGCCTCTGACTGGGTCATAAGCTCGTTCCTGAGCCAGTCACTGGGCCCATGGGTTTGCAGTGTTTCATTGGTCATCTCTGGGCTGCATGCCCTCGCCTGAAGCCCAGTGGACTCAGCTTTACGAAAATCACTTGGACTAGGAATCAGAGAGAAGTGGTTCTTCAAGAAAAACTTGGTACTATTTATACCAGAATTGGGTATGGATGCTGGATAGGCAAAAACAAATCAAATTAAAACAAATGAAAAATAGATGTTTGCAACCAGTAATCATCACACTCACATAGAATTGACCAGAAGCCACAATCTCTCTCATCAGTACATGAATATAATTCTAAATGTTATAACCCAATCTTAGACTTTCAGTTGTTTTTATACTGACAAACTGCATGCTCTGGTTTAAATTAGCTTCAGGGAGTTAATACCAAGAATAGAAAATAATCATCATAAATGAGGAAAAAAGTATCCGCAATTATTTAAAACAAAAATGCACAATAGCATAAACTTGGAATTAAAATTGGTAACTAGAAATGCAACTACCTATTGCTCAAATAACCCTTGAATTAGAAGATTAGAAAGCTCTAGAAAAAAGAAATGTTTATATTTTCCATCTAGAGACCTACTTAACTCTTATTTATTTATTTATTTATGGCAGAGTCTTGCTTTGTCACCCAGGCTGGAGTGCAGTGGCATGATCTCGGCTCACTGTAACCTCTGCCTCCTGGATTCAAGCGATTCTCCTGCCTCAGCCTCCCAAGCAGCTGGGACTACAGGTGTGCACCACCACGCCCAGCTAATTTTTGTACTTTTAGTAGAGATGGGGTTTCACCATATTGGCCAGGCTGGTCTGAAACTCCTGACCTCATGATCCACCCGCCTCGGCTTCCCAAAGTGCTGGGATTACAGGCGTGAGCCACTGCGTCTGGCCTCTTTTTTTATTTTTTATTTTTATTTTGAGATAGGGCCTCACTGTGTTGCCCAGGCTGGAGTGCAGTAATGCAATCATGGCTCACTGCAGCCTTGACCTCCCTAGGCTCAGGTGATCCTCCCACCTCAGTCTCCTGAGTAGCTGGGACTACAGGCATGTTCCACCATGCCTGGCTAATTTTTGTATTTTTTGTAGAGACAGGGCTTCACCATGTTGCCCAGGGTGGTCTCAAACTCCTGGGCTTAAGTAATCTGCCTGCCCTGGCCCTCCAAAGTGCTGGGATTACAGGCATGAGCTACCACACCCGGCCTTCATTTTCAATTTAGGATTAATTCATGAAGAAATGTTAACATGGGAGAATGCTCAGATTTTACAAGCCCTTATGATACCTGATGAAGTGTGGTGGTGTCCTTGGCTCCTATGCCTATCTCACTTTATCCCCATGACACCACCTTTCTGACCACTCCCTTTCTGCCTCCTTTACCCACCCCTGAAGCATTGTGTTTCTGGAGGTTCATCTTTGGTTTCCAGCTCTTCTCTTTTTATATGCTCTTGCAGAGTAACTCTTCCTTTACTCTTTTCAACAGGCACCCACTGAGAGCCTCCTTTGTCCCAGGTACTGGGCCAACCATCCTCATAGGTTAACTCCTGAATATCCGTGTGCCAATGATACCCAACTCTCTAAAGTCTAGACTCTCCCTCCAAATTCACACTTGGAAATTCATATAGAGTTCCTTTATAGGTAGTTTTTGAATGGACAAATAGAATGCTTCTCCCTTAGTGATTCAAGTTTAGTGTACCTAAAAATGAAATCCTCTTCCTTCCTGATTCTATCAGTATTTGTATTAATACTTGGTAATACCCTCTAGGATTGAAACTTCAGGATTGTCCTTGCCTCCTCCCTCTAGTCTCCCTAACATAAAGTCCCACTGATTTTTGACTCAGTATTTCTAAATCTGGCCTCTTATCCCCCATCTTCACTCCTCCTTCCCTAATTCAGACCTGTATCACCTTTTATTTAAATGCTGGTCTCCCTCCCTCCAAGCGTATCCATGTATCAATCACATTCCCCTGCTTCAGTGGCTCTCTATTGCCTATTACACTCTTTAATATGCTAAATAAAGTTCTCTGTATCCTGCCCTCTGCTCCGCTTCCAGCTTTACCTCTAGAGTGACCTGCCTTAAATGTCTGTAGTTTTCTGCACACCTTACACAGATTCATGCCACTGTGGCTTTGTGCATGCTCTACCCTCTGTCTGGAATATATCTCACCCCAAGAGTTAATTGAGGTACAGTTCCTCTAGAGTGCCTTGTTGGCACTCTTCAGGCTGAGCTGAGTGCCCTTGCATTGGCTCCCATAGCACACTGGGCATCCTTCTCTCATTGCACTGTGAAGTTCAGGTCCTCTGGCTGTCACTCAGACTCCCTTGTGAGTTCCTTGAAGGTGTGGGCATGTCTCGTTCATCCTTGGCTCCCCAGTGCCTAGTCCAGCACCCGAAGCATAGTAAGATTTCAATAAATGTCTGGTGAGTAAAATAACAGTTATCATTGTAGATCTATGTTTCTTCTTAAGTGCTTATGATTCTTCTTATAATTATAGGTCTGTGTCTCCTCTTGGTCTTCACAGCTCTCTTCATGTGACAAAGAAACTTCCTAAAATACTAAAAGCTAAAGGAGATTGTTATCTAAGCTTGAGATGGAAGGTTGCCAGCGGAAACTTGGAGGTAATCTAATTTGCATTTTCTGGGCCAAAGGATTAATTCTAGAGGCCAAAACGAATGCTACAGAACCTAAAATACATACTAGTTTGATACAATGGATTAGAAGAGTGACTAACAAAAAAATAAGATCCTATTTCTCTAGTTTAAACCATTTATTTACTTATAGTCAGTTTTTCTAAGCCTTATCTGGAATTGTCAAACTAATATTTTCTAAATTAATTTTAAATCCATATGGAAAGTCAACTAGTCTTTGTACTGCATTCTGAGTATAAAATGAACAAGCACAGTATTCACCCTGCAGAAGGCATTCAGCAAATGGTTATTGACTTTACATTTTCCTATTGAAATATACAGAATATTTCACCAAAACACTATTATTCATTAATTCATTCAATAAATTTTTTGAGTACTTGTTATGTGTGAGGCACTGTTCTAGGCCCAGGGGATATAGCACTGAAAAAAGGACTTTTCTGTCTAAAAGAGCACACTCCCACTCTCTTACCCTGCTGTCATGGGGTTTTCATTCTATTGTGAAGAAAATAACAATAAATCATGCAAAAAGTATACATCACCAACAACCACGATAAGGATTGTGGCGAAAAATAAAACAGGGTGAGTGTGTGTGTGTGTGTGTGTGTGTGTGTGTGTGTTATTTTGGATGGGGAAGGTAGGGGAAGCCTATCTGAAAAGATGATATTGGAATAGAGACTTGAAGGAAGAAAAATAATGTCATGTTGATATCTATGAAAAAAGAATTATAGGCAGAGAAAACAGCAAGTGTAAAGGCCTTGAGGGAAGAGAGTAGGTATGCCTTGTTTGAAGAATGTCAAGAAGGCCAGGTAGCTGGGACAGAGTGGGCAGAGGGAGAAGGGCAGGACACGAGCTGAGAAGAGTATCTGTGGGTCAGATCGTGGTTTCGTTTTTACTCTGGTAAGATGGAAACCACTGGAAGGTTGTGATCAGAGGTGTGACATGCTATCTTCTATGTTCACTCTAAAGGATCACAGCCAGTCGCCTGGGATTGACCACAGGGAGTGGCAGAGGCAGAAAGCAAAAGACCAGTTGCAATTATCCAGGTAAAAGATGGAGGCTGTTGCAATAATCCAGGTAAAGAATGTTTGGTGGCTTGAACCAGGGTGGTAGCAGAATAGGTGGAAAAGTAGTCAGACAATAGGTATCTGTTGGAGGCTCAGTCAAAAAGATTTGCTGATGACTGGGTATGAATTGTGAGGGGGGAAAATGGTGGCTCTAAGATTTTGTCTTGAGCAACTACAAGGATGGGTTTAGTGGGGTTTGGGGAGAAAAATCAAGATTTCGGAGGTGAGAGGGAGAGATTTTAATTCTGGTCTCTCTTTAAATTTGAGATGCCTATTCAGATATACAAGTAGAATGTTGAGCAATCAATTGTGTACACCTGTATGAGTTCAGGAGCGAGGTCAAATCTGGGCTAGATGTTGGAAGTTGTTAGTGTGCTGACGGTGTTAAAAGCTACGGAGTATTCAAAGTTGGGGTCACCTAGGAGGTGTGTTTGGATAGAGATTTGAGAACTGGCCTGGAGTATTCTAATGTCTAGAGATTGGGAAAATAAGGAAGAATCAGAAAAGGAAACTGAGAAAGAGGGATCAGTGAGCTAGAAGCAGATCCAAGAGAAAGTGAGTGGGTGGAGACCCAGAGGCCAAGTGAAGAAAGATTGTTAGGCCTGAAGTAAGAAACAACCCGCCAAGTTCCCGTTTACCCCAGGTCTCAGCGGATGGTGTACTTCCACATCTATATGTGTGTAAAAATGTTTTTTCTTTATTCTTTTTGGCCTGGGGTTACCCAACTGCCATGTATTCCCTTTGTTCCTTCCCCTGGAAACTCTGAGTCTATGTGGTCCAAGACTTCAGTACTGGGCCTGTGTGGTTATGAGCTCATACTTCTCTTTTCCTCTTATAACAGCTATAAGATCAGTTCACCTTTTGTTTACAGTTCTAAGGAGAATTTGAAGCACTGAGCATATGCCAGGGTTGTCCATTCATAAAATCACTCATTTATTCATTTGCTGTGTAGTTACTGGGAATTTGCAATGTGCAGGCACTGTTCTAGAAGCTGATGATATAGCCATGAAGCAGATAGACCCAACATGAGATCTGCCAACAGGGAACTGACATTCTAGTGAACTAAGAGGGAATTACTTTCAATCGGGAGGGCAGGGAAGTATCTCTGAAGGGCTAGATTCTGCTGTCTCCAAAGTAACCAATTCATCTGTTCCTTTTTAGAATCCTGAATTGAGCCTGTGTTCCCAGTTCCTAGAAACCCTCAAGGTTATTGGTTTCCTCCTCGCTTAATAGACCAGTGGAAGAAATCTACCTCCAGTTCTATCTTCACATGAGCAACTGTTTACAGTTTACAATATTACTCTGAAAATCAGTTCTTTTCAAGTTTTATCTAACACCCACCAGAAGAAACAGAAGATTATGAAAATGGAATTTGTCAAAGTTCCTCTCCCAACAATATGATATTTAATTTTGCTAACATTTTTTTTTGAACACTTACTATATTGCAGACAATGGTCTAAGTAAAGCATTTTATGTGCATCCTATCATGTCATCATCACACAGCCCTGTGAGGTAGATACTATTATTATTAACCACATTTCACATTCAAAAAAACTGAGGCTTAGAGAGACTAAGTAAATTGTCCAAGGTCACACAGCCATGAAGTGGCAGAGCTGTGGTTAAAACCTATGTCTGTCTGATGTTTAAGATTTTGCTGTTAGCATTACTTTGAAATGACAATATGAGGGCATTTTATGTATTTTTTTTGCCCCAATATGATCTGCAGAAACTATGTATTTTAAGTACTACATTTCTTTTATTTACCAAATTATTGTCAGATAAGAAACCGAAATAAAAGTTTACAGGGTCTAGGATTCCTCCATAATGAATGAACTTTGGGGTATTTCAGTGACAAATTGGCTTTAACGCGATCAAATTCCATCCTACAATGAAAGTGTGTTAGTTTGTGGTTTCAAGTTTAAAAACAGCACTGTATTGTCTTCCAGAAATATATAAATAGAAATTCAAGAAGTATTTCAATGAATACAGATAAAATTAGTTTTGTTAGAACATCAAATATGTGGGTTTCATTTCTTAGCTCAGTTTAGAAACTGTAATTTCAATTTTTTTTAGCAGCTGTGGTAAATTTTGAGATTTGAAATTTCATATAATATAAATCCTCATTTATTGAGCATTTAAATTATATGCCCAACAATTTACTGTGTACATTACTTCACTTGTTCTTAACTATAACTCTACAAAATATTATTGTCCTTGATTTATAGATGAAGATATTGAGACTCAGTTAAGTAACTTGCTTGAAATTCAAAAACGTTAACTGTGGAAGGCAGTATTTGAACCCAGTGTTCAAAACCCCATGCTCTTTTTATTATATGACCTTATTTCCTATTCAGTCTTCAGAAGATATATTGTCTTATTAGATTATTCTCGTTCTCTAAATAAGTGACCTTGGGCAACTATCTTTTTCCCTGGTATTTTCCCCTGCCTTTAAAACAATGTGATCAAACTGGAAGTTTTTCACGATCTCTCTTAGCCCTAAAGCTCCTTGGTTCTGTAATTCCACCAATAGCCCATTTCAAAAATAATTCTACAGTAATCAGTGGGACTCCTGTTTTTCCCATCTTTTTTTTTTTTGAAACAGAAAATTGAAACTTTTAAATTAGTTTAGTAAATACATCTACTAGTTTTTTTCTTTTATAGTCATGGTTATATTATTTGGTCCTTCTTAGTTGCAACATGTTTCCTTGCTGTCAATTTATAATACCTCTCATCAACAATAGCCTGAAGAAATAGATTTGAATTGCTTTCCCTAATTTATAGCTGGAAAACTAGGCTACGCTGGTATCTTAAATTGACTTTCCTGAGGTCACGGGCACTCAGTGCCAAGAGGAGTTGGTACCTACGCATTTGAAATTTCTGGATTTCTGGTCTTACTCTGTACTTAGTCACTCTTTTCTTTCATTTGGCCCTATGGTGGGCAAACTACAGCCTACAGGCCAATTCCAGCCTACCATCTGTTTTTGTATGGTCCATGAACTAAGAATGGTTATCACATTTTAAAATGGTGGGAAAAAAAGACTATTTTGTGACATAAAAATTATATGAAATCCAAATTTCAGTGTCTATAAATTTTGTTGGAATATAGTTACCACACTCATTCTTTTATGCACTGTTTTTGGCTGGTTTTCTGCCTCAACAGCAGAGTTGAGTAGGTGCAACCAAGACTGTATGGCCTACAAAGCCTAAAAGTTTGTTATAGAAAAGTTTGCTGACCAACTCTATTGGTTGCTTAGTATTGCTAGGCACTCTGCAAGTCACAGGGAACACAGCAAACTAGACACATGACTGCCTTGGGCTTAAGAAGAGGTTTCTAAACTTTTGAATAAAAAACAAAACAAACAACAAACAAAGTTGGAGGGACATAAAACTTCCAAATATTAATTTTGCCAGTGGGGTTTGTTTGTTTTTTTGTTTGAGATGGAGTCTTGCTCTGTCACCCAGGCTGGAGTGCAATGGCGCGATCTCGGCTCACTGCAACCTCTGCTTCCTGGGTTCGAGCAATTTTCTTGTCTCAGCTTCCAGAGTAGCTGGGATTACAGGCACCCGCCACCACGCTTGGCTAATTTTTTTGTATTTTTAGCAGAGACGGGTCTGGTCTCGAACTCCCGACCTCAGGTGATTCGCCCAGCTCCTGGGCGTGAGCCCCAGTGGGTATTTCTTAAAAACACAGCTACTATTTTCACTCATCATTTTATTTAAAAAAGGAGTATGTTAATACAAAAAAGTATATTAATGCCAAATTTGTAGGAAGAACATAATCTCAAAAAGCACTCTTTCAAATGGAATATATTAAGCTTCATGAAAAACTTTACATGGTCATTGTTTTTCTCATTTCATTATGGATCAAAGTAAACTTTCTAGACTGGCCTATATCATCAGACCAGCTTTGGGAAGCACAGGAGTAGTTCACATTGTTACTTTTCAGGCAAAACAATCTTTAAAAATGTTTAGTCTTTATAGTGATAGAATGCTTTAGTTTGAGAATTTAACTGCTAGTAGCTTTTTTTTTTTTTTTTTTTTTTGAGATGGAGTCTCGCTCTGTATCCCAAGCTGGAGTGCAGTGGCGCGATCTCGGCTCACTGCAACTTCAGCCTCCCGGGTTCACGCTATTCTCCTGCCTCAGTCTCCCAAGTAGCTGGGACTACAGGCGCCCACCACCACGCCCGGCTAATTTTTTGTATTTTTAGTAGAGATGGGGTTTTACCATGTTAGCCAGGATGGTCTCGATCTCCTGACCTCGTGATCCACCTGCTTCAGCCTCCCAAAGTGTTGGGATTACGGGTGTGAGCCACTGCGCCCGGCCAACAGCTACTAACTTTTTAAAGTCAAAAATAGAAATATAGTGATGGGAAATTCCAGAAAAGAAATACAAAGGAAAATGGGGAAGTAAAGAAATCTGCCAATATTCACTCTCCCCTAACAGACATTGTATCCCATTCGCCCTGTGTTTAGATGGAGGATAATCCATTTTAGCATTGATTTTTCATCCTGGCTTCTCCATAGATGAAAAGAAGATCAGAATACTTTATCTATTGAAATATTGCCCTCTTCACTGCCACTAAGCCACCTTCAACAAACACATGCACTCACTAAAAACCACAGCATCATCTCAAAACCGGAGCCATCAAAAGAAATGTGAATTCCCATGGATGAAAAGCCCATCCATCAATAAGGATTCGAAGTTGGGAAGTGATAGTTTCCCACTTGCTTTAGAAAGTTTGCTAATGCTTCATGACAGACTTCCTATTTTGCAATAACTAAAATGACAGAAGACTAGAAATTATCGCTTTATCTTATATGTCCTTATTCCTGCAGTCTATGTTAGTGTTTATGTCCTAAATGCATTTTTTTTTTTTTTTTTTTGAGGCGGAGTCTCACTCTGTCACCCAGGCTGGAGTGCAGTGGCGTGATTCCGGCTCATTGCAACCTCCGCCTCCCAAGTTCAAGCAATTCTCCTGCCTCAGCCTCCTGAGTAGCTGGGATTACAGGCATGCGCCACCACGCCCAGCTAATTTTGTATTTTTAATAGAGAGGGGATTTCACTATCTTAGCCAGGCTGATCTCAAACTCCCGATCTCAAGTAATCCACCTGCCTCAGCCTCCCAAAGTGCTGGGATTACAGGCGTGAGCCACCACACCCTCCTAAATGCATTTTATAGAACACTATGCATAGGATGTAATGTTTGGGGGAAAAACAGGATTCTGTGCTCAAAGAACTACGAGAAATACTTGGTTAAGCAAAATCTCAAGGATTACTTAACACAGGATTTCTCAGGATCTATAATATGCTATTGTCCATTTAAAGCATATACTCATGTATAAGATTCAGAGGCAAGAAAGAGAGCAAGGCACATAGGAATGCTTGAGTTTAGGTTACTGAAGTGAACTAATTTATTTGGTCATTTTAGCACCAACAATTATAGAAGAATAGGCCAATTATTTTTATTGACCCAGATAATTCTGGGTCTCTGTTGAAATTGTCTTTGATAGTTTTCTGGTTTCATATCAGCTTTTGAACAGTTTATTTTTATCAATAGAGTGTCCTTTTGCTTAAATACTTTTCCTCATTTAATACATATTCCTGCCCTGTAAATGCAGATATCATCTTTTAATGTTTAAGAAATCATCCTTAAAACTATGATTTTCTAATGTGAAAACTGCCTAAGAACCATGGATTAATGCAGCTGCTGAAAATCCAAGAGGAGGTGAAACAATAGGTTTTATAATTAATGCATTATATCAACTAGAGTAGTTTTGACTTTGAGTAACAGGAAACCCCATTAATGTAGCTTAAACAAATAGGTTGTTTTTTCCCTCTTTATGTGATGAGTAGTTGGGAGGTGGGTACTCTGGAGATGGGTATTGTGGCTCGTGGGTGTCACCAAGCTACCTGGCTCCCTCTGTTTTCCCATCCAGCCATCCTTAGCATGTGATATTCATCTTCATGACTGCAAGATGGCTGCTGCTGCTCCATGCATTGCATCCACATTCAAGACAAAAAGAATAGGGAAATGAAGTAAGCAGAAGGTGTGTGTCAGCAGTTGTCTCTTTATTAAAAAAACAACAAGAACAAAAAAACACACAAACCTTTCCAAAGCCCCAGCCAATACACTTCCAAGTGTATCTCAGTGGTCAGAAAAGTGGCACATGGCCACCACCAGCTGTGTGAAAACCTAAGAAATTAAATTCTTTAGTTGGGCACATTGGGGTTCTGCTAGAAACGTAACCTAAGTCTGGAGCTAGACTACCTTTTGAGAATCTCAGCTCTGCCACTCATTAGTTATATGATTTTAGGTGATTCATTTCACTTGCCTCCCCTGTAAAGGGAGATAAGATAATAATAGGGTTGCTAAGTATTAATTGAGTTAATATTTTTAAAGTGTTTAGAACTGTATCTGGTATACAGTAAATGTTATATAAGCACTTTCAATAAATGAGTAAGGTAAAGAGTGAATATTAGGTAGAAAAGTGGCAAGCATGAAATAAATCATGAAAACTGAAAATAAAAGTATTGCTAACATGTAAAACTTGTGTAGAACAAATGCTATGAGTTTCACTAATTTCTTGAGCCAAAGAATGTTAAATAGGTGCTGCTACCTCCCTTAAAGAACTATGAGCCAGTGGCTTTATGAGGATAGATTATTCTTTTTTCTTTAAGGAAACTGAGAATTTTATGTCTGTTTCAATCAACTGCTTCTACATAAATTGTAGGGCCTGTGATTTAAAGCTAAAGCAAATTAGAGGCTTGTATAATTATTGACATATTTGGGACATACCAGCAACAAGCCCTGGAAAACCACATACAGCTCATAAGGAGCGATAATGAAATCGCTCCTCTGTCATTCATATGTGATCTCATTCAAGTTTTAGGTGTTAGGCTATTATTATTTAACAATGTTTTTAGACATATAAAATGTATTTCTATAGATATTTTATATGGATGTAGTTATTTAAGCCAGATAGATTTGAATTCTAAGTCTAGCTCTATCAGTAACTACATTAGGCATCTTACTTCTCTAAGCTTTAGTTTCCTTACCTGTAAAATGGGGATGGTAGCAGCATCTAATTCTCAGGATTGTAGTAAACATTAAATAAAGAAATGTAATAGAGTGCTTAGCACAGATCCCGTTACATAGCAAAAGCTTAATAAATATCAGCATCACTGCCATCATCATTATTTTATTATTATTATTATTTTTGAGACAGAGTCTCATTTTGTTGCCCAGGCTGGAGTGCAGTGGTGCGATATTGGCTCACTGCAACCTCTGCCTCCCAGGTTCAAGCGATTCTCCTGCCTCAGCCTTCCGAGTAGCTGGGATTACAGACGCGTGCCACTACGCCCAGACAATTTTTTGTATTTTTAGTAGAGACGGGTTTTCACCATGTTAGCCAGGATAGTCTCGATCTCCTGACCTCGTGATCCACCCTCCTTGGCCTCCCACAGTGCTGGGATTACAAGCATGAGCCACCGCGCCAGGCCCATCATCATTATTTTTTAAAATCAACCTTTAATGAGGTTTACACACAATAAAACGCACCCATGAGTTTTGACAAATGCAATGCCTGTGTAACTACCACCCTAACTGAGATATAGAACATTTACATCAACCTTAAATTGTTATTTTAAAATAGGAAAACTGGTATCTTGTCTAGTAATAATAAAAAGGAGAAGTCACTGTGCAGCACAAAATATGGCATCAACCATAAAAAAGCATGAATAAGTGCTAACTAGAATTATGGGGCCATGAGAATGTGGCAGGAGGCGCATTCATTGTGAGGGAGTTGGGGACAGGTCAAATGCACTATACATTATTGCTTCTGCCTGTGCAGCAGTGATCCCCGTTTTCCCTGTTAAATGCGCTGTGCTTGTCCTTTAGTGGAACAACTTCACCCCAGTACTTTACGTTTTTGGAGTGGGGCTGTTTTATCCTTGACTCCAGTCTTGTCATTTCTATTGGAATTCTTAGAAAACTCTCTTCCTGCTAATATTGCTGGGCGTAATTTGGAGAAGCTGAGAGAGTCACTGAGACTGAAGCCACCACAGACAAAGGTCAGCTTGGGGATGGAGAGAGAAACCTGTGCTGTTATCATCTTCTAGATCCCCAGAGGCTGCCTTGAAGCTGGATCTACCCCTGAACTTCTCAGTTACATAAGGACCCATGAATGCTTCATCACGGATCAGATCTGTTCACAAGCTGGTGTTCAGGAACCAATGTGTGACTGGTCCATGCCCACTTCTGATTATATGGACTCAGAGACAATGTACATGGGAGTGCTTTGCCAGTGGTAAAGTTTCTACAAATGGGAGGTAATTGCATGGCAGGTGTAAAGTTATTTGGACCATTGAGGCCAGAAAAAATGTAGATTTAAAATATACTGATACTGAAAGCAGAACTGTTTGAACTAATTGCTAATTTTAAGGAATTCAGACATTCATCCAAAGGATTTAGGCCAAATGTTGCCTAAATTGTTTCTCTATTTCATATGAAAGTGATTTCTGCGGCTTAACTGTTCTCTTCTATTTATGTGCATGGCCATAACTGATGTTGTCACATGAGTCCTGTTTCTTTCTTATTAAACATGTGTCCGGCTCATTGATGTTCAGCACCTTTGAAGTTCCAATTGCTGTTCTAAGCTGGGGTTGCTGCATTGAATAATACAAAATCTCTACCCTTATGAGCAGATTTTCTGGGAAGAGAAAGACAACTGCACCCTCCATGCGCCAGTTTCTGTACTGCTGCATTCTTCTTTTTTTTTGAGACAGTCTCACTCTGTCACCCAGGCTGGAGTGCAGTGGTGCGATCTCGGCTCACTGCAACCTCTGCCTCCCAAGTTCAAGCGATTCTCCAGTCTCAGCCTCCCAAGTAGCTGGGACTACAGGCATTCACCACCACACCCGGCTAATTTTTTTACTTTTAGTAGAGACGGGGTTTCACCATGTTGGGCAGCCTGGTCTCGAACTCCTGACCTCAAGTAATCTGCCTGCCTAGGCCTCCCAAAGTGCTGGGATTACAGGCTTGGGCCACCACACCCAGCCTGTACTGCTGCATTCTGATTCTCTCTTTCTAGTAATACTGCTGAAAGTGTGGGAGGTTTTTTGTGGAAATTCCATATTAAATTTATGAGAAATTTACACATTATTCACATATTTACATATTTGTCTGTGAATGGGCATATTAAGTTATATGTTTGTGCCACATAGAATTATTAATATTATCTCGGTAAGCTGGTTCAAGTTACAACTCTGGGCCTCAATTTCTTATCTGAAAAAATGGGAACTATCATAGTACCAGTCTCACCCTGTAGGGATTATATGCATGTAAATAATTTTTTTGTTTGTTTTTTGAGACAGAGTCTCTCTCCGTCACCCAGGCTGGAGTGCAGTGGCACGACCTCAGCTCACTGCAAACTCTGCCTCCTGGGCTCAAGCAATTCTTGTGTCTCAGCTTCCTGAGTAGCTGGGATTAAAGGCGTGTGCCACTATGCCAGCTATAAATGCATGTAAATAATTTACCATAGTGCCTGGCATAAACTGAGAGCTTAACAAATGATAGCTGATATATTATTGTTGTTATTATTAATACATATATATTATTTTACACACATTTGCCTACTATTCCTCAATGGGATAAAACAAATAATTGTGGATCACATTTTATTTCATTCATTTAGCATGTATTGAATGTTACCATTTATGCTGGGCCCACTGTGGCAGATTATGTTTTTCAGAAATAGCTACTATAATATCTCCCATTCTTGTCATTCCCCCATCAAGAGGTACAGTCTAATCTCCTTCCTTTGAAGCTGGGTGGGCTTATGAGTTGCTTGTAGCCAATGAAGGTGGTAGAAGTATGTGGCTTCCAAGTGATTCAGGGCAGGCAAGGCCCAAAATTGCAGCTTAGCCCAGGAGGCTTCTTGGCTTTGCCCAGAAAAGAATTCAAGGGCAAGCCAGTGGTAAGAGAAAGCAACTTTCATTGAATCAGTGCTGCTCCTTGTGGAACAGGGCTATCCCATAGGGAGTGTGCTCAGGATGGGCAGTGTACAGGGCTGTTGGCAGCTGTACCTATACCTACCTTTAATTATATGCTAATTAAGAGGTGGGTTATTTAGAACTTTCTGGAAAGGAGGCAGGGAGTTTCCAGAACCATATAAGGTAACTTCCAGGCCATTGCCATGGCCTGTTGCAATGGCATTTGTAAACTGTCATGGCAATGGTGGGAGTGTCTCTATGCTAATGAGCAGTGAGGGCAACTAAAAGTGTCTTTTTTCCTTGCCTGCTGGTTTCTGCTGGCTGCTTCACTGAATCCCGTTTGGAATGAATCCTGGTTTGATCAGTGGGGTTGTGATTGGAAAACAAGTCCTGCAGGCCTCTCACCTCACAAGGCTAGGTCATAAAAGGTGATGCACCTTTCTCCTTGTGAGCTGTATATGTTCACACTGGAGCCTTAAGGCTGCCATACTGGGAGGAAGCCTAAACTGGGCCACAGAGAAAGGCCATATGGAGAAGCCCTGAGTCTACCTGAAAAGTGGGATGCCCAGCTAACCATCCACTCCTCCAGCTCCTGTCACCATCCAACTGCAATCACATGAGAGACCTCAAGCCTTTGGCTTCCCTAAATTTCTAACCCACAGAGATTGTGAGAGAAAATAAAATGATTGCTGTTGTCTTAAACCATTAACTTTTGGTATCATTTATTCTGTATTAATAGATAACCAGAACACCTACCTTTAGGTGCTCAAGATAAAGCATTAAACAGATTTACTTTCATAGGGTTTCCATTCTAGATCTTTCTCATCTTTGGCAAGTGAAGAACAATTGTTTTTGGGTTGTAATTATCTATCAGATAGCTGTCTGGACCTGCTATCAAGTCTAAATTTGTAGATACACCTATCAAAGAGATCACATTCACTTATTTATACATTTACTTATTTATTTTACAATTTTTTGTAGAGATGGGGGGGGTCTCGCTGTGTTGCCCAAGATGGTCTTGAACTCTTGACCCCAAGCAATCCTCTCACCTGGCCTCCAAAAGTTATGGATTACAGGTGTGAGCCACCATGCTCCATTTATGAATTTAATACATTAATTGCTTTCTTAATATAGATGGGACACCTCTGACCCCTCCTGAGTGAAAAATCCATGTTCCCAAGCACCCAGGCCTTCTATCCTATCACAAGGCATGGTTATCGCTTGTTTGCTTCCATCTCACCTAATACCACCAGCAGCTAAATTCATTCTGTTATTCATCTTTGTATTCTTACCATCTAGGCTAGTGCCTGCACATAGCAGACCTATTTAAAAAACAAACCAACCCAAACAAACATGAAGCCCCCACGTAGCTGAAGGAGGGCTGCTGGTTCCTAGACATAGAGATAATTTATTCAAGGACAGTCCCTATCCTCCAGGAGTTAACAATTCAGCACTAGACACCCTGTGGGACCCAGCCTGACAAGTGCAACGAGTGAGATGCCAGAATTGAGTCCTGCGGTCGAACAGAGGGACTACAGGGCAACGCACTGGGCGTGGGAGGTGGAGATGGCTCTGGGAAAGGATCCATTCATTTATTCTACATTTATCAATCACCGTAGCACACACAGCACATAGTAAGTGCTCAATATCTGTTATTAAATGCCAGCCACTGTGCTAGGTGCCAGGATGCAACAGCGGACAAGAAAATTGCAGGGGCACTTGCCCTCGTGGGGCTTACCGTGTAGCGAAGGATGACAGGCAGTAGACTGTCATCTTATTATGTAAAATTGTGCTAGATGCAGAGCAGGAAAATAACAGGCGGCTGAAATTCTAGTAATGATGTGAGCTCCTTCGGCTGAGGGGAACCGTGGGCGGGTTCTGAGCAGGAGTGGCCGTGAGGGGGACGGACCGTAGGGGGCGGGAAGACTGCAGGCAAGAGCTGGTAATTTTAAGATGCAAATAACATTTTTCTGCCTGACTGGAAGAGGAGCGTTTGGTCGCTCGGGATTCTCCCGGAGCAGGGGGCTGTATTTTGAGTGTAAAATCGGTTGCCCCGCAGTGCAGGGCAGGCGGTGGTGAACTGCAGCCCTAGTCCCCAGGTTTTTCATGCTTGGCACATCGAGGCTCTTCGGCCCCCAGGACCAGCAGACTCGCCATGCGTGGCTCGGATTCGGGCTGGAGCAGGCGGGCAAGGTAGCGGGGGCGGGTGCACAGCAACGCTCACCCCTAGGTTTCGGGGTCTGCAACGCTGGGAGGGCAAGAGGAGGCGGAGTTTGCGCTGCGGACCTAGGCGTTGGCGAGGGCCACGCCCCCAGCCGCAGACCCTGCCTCCAGGCCCCTTTGATTGGATCAAGACCGCGGAAGGGCCGGGCGTCCTCGGGCGGCCTGAGGGTCGGGCAGGGGAGGGTGCGCTGATTGGCCCGGCGGGGATTAAGTCATCGCTAGCAGGTTCGAGCGGCCCAGACACCGGCGGGGCGGCCGAGGCTGCTGTGAGAGGGCGCTCGAGGCTGCCGAGAGCTAGCTAGCGAAGGAGGCGGGGAGGCGGCGTCTGCACTCGCTCGCCCGCTCGCTCGCTTCCCGGCGCCGCTGCGGGTCCGCGCTGCGTTTCCTGCTCGCGATCCGCTCCGTTGCCCGCGCCCGGAACAGCAGCACCTCGGCCGGGTCCGAGCTCGGTTCGGGAGTCTTGCGCGCCGGCGGACACCGCGCGCGGAGTGAGCCAGCGCCACACCTGTGGAGCCGGCGGCCGTCGGGGGAGCCGGCCGGGGTCCCGCCGCGTGAGTGCTCTGGGCGGCGGGCGGCCCGGGCCCCGGCGGAGGCGCGCCCCCCGGCTGGGCGCCGCGCGCACCATGGGGCTCCCAGCGCTCGAGTTCAGCGACTGCTGCCTCGATAGTCCGCACTTCCGAGAGACGCTCAAGTCGCACGAAGCAGAGCTGGACAAGACCAACAAATTCATCAAGGAGCTCATCAAGGACGGGAAGTCACTCATAAGCGCGCTCAAGAGTGAGTGTCCCGAGCCCCTCGGGGACGCGGCTCCGGGGCGGGAGGAACTGGGAGGTGGCGCTTAGCCCGGGTTGCCCGCGCGTCTGCCGGGTTTCTGCTCCCGGTACACTGGGGGACGGGTGTCGACGCCTCCGAGGCAGGAAGGATACGTAAAGCGGGCGAACCAGCAACCATCAGATGAAGAGAGAGACCCGTCGCTCCGCCTTTTGCGTTCAGGGATGGTCGGGAGGTGACCCAGCGCGGGTGGTGCTCTGGGGCAGCGCGGGTGGGCGTGGGCGTGCGCGGCACGCAGGTGTCCCAGCAGTGGGGCCAGAGTGCCGAGCGCGCCGCAGCCAGCGGGCAGATCCCATCGTGTCCACAGCTCCAGCTCCCTTAGGGGCAGAGTTGCTCAGCCTTGAGTGCCCAACCGTGAGAATGGAGCGTGCCCTGCCGAGGGGGCGCTGCCTCCCCTTGGGAAAAGGTGGGTTGTGACTGCTTCGCTCCCTGTACGCAGCTCCAGCCTAGTCAGGCCGCCGGGTTCCCTGGGTGGAATGCTTGGTTAGCTTGCGATTCCTTGGAGTATTGGCAGCCAGTAATCTCTAAATCTGGAATCAGTACGTGCGCAGGTTCTGATTCTTGTGTTTAGCAGAAGGTGATAGGGGTGGGAGTAGAGAATCAGAGTGTTCCTTTACTCTAAACTGTGGGCGAGGGTTTAAAAATAGAATGTACATATCCCAACTCTCTCCCTCTCCTGCTCCCAAGCTCTCCTTTTTACCTCTTCCGTTATCCTTGTAAAGGTCTGAGAAGGAATATCCATAATTCTCAGAAAGAAGTTCAAACGTATTTCAAAGATTCTTGGACCTTTTGTAAAACCATTTTTGCGTTTTTTCCTTTTGGTACAAGGGGAGAGATGCAATTTTGCATTCTGCTTCACTTTTGCAGAGCCAGAGAGTTTCTTTTTCTGGCCAAATAAGCGTGCTCTAGGGATGAGTGCTTTGGATTGTGAGAACGTTTTTGGTGCCTTTTCAGTCTCCCCATTTAAAAATAGCTCAGTCCATCTTTTAGTTTTAAGAATCAGGAACCACATGAAGGCAGATAGTGGAATTGTCTCTGACTCTGTTACTGTATCTGTTTCTGTGATGGATTTCTTAGTAGGTGATACCTTTCAGCTAAGAAATCTTGCCTTAGCAGAGTAGAGTCGTAGCTGTGGGAATTGTTCCCAGGCCTCTTTAAAGGGCACTTACAAAAGTCAGGTGCCTGAGATGTCATTTTGTCAGCTTGTTGCTTCTAAAAATGAAGAGAGAGACAATGGAATGCCAGGGCAGCCCAAAGTGCCAATCTTTTGGGATGAAATGAACACAGGACTGTGATGTGATGAGGCTTCTTAGAGGCAGATTCTTAGGCTGTGCCTTACCTGAAACATATGAACAGACCCTTCCTTTGTCAATAATCAAGGCCATTCTTGGTTTAGGGGATGGGGGTCCCTGGTTTGGAGTAAGTTAGGGGCCCACTTACAGGTTGGGCCCAGGAATTTTGATTGAACCTCAGGCTGGCTTTAGTGAGTTCTCTGCTTCACTCAGCAAACTTTTGGTGTGATTGTGGTGTACTGGGTACTGCACTGGGCACTAAGGGTGTAGGAGTGAATATTTTGCTGCTCCTGTGCTTACAGAGGTGTACTTCATTCCAGGCACTGCTTCACATATAATTATCTCATGTGCTTAGATTCATTCTGCAAATGAGAAAACAGAGACTGGGGGAAGCATTACCTCTGAGTCACACAGCTCTAGCAGCAGGACCAGAGCTTTTGAATCCACCTGGTTTGAGCCAGAGATGGAGTCCCTGCCAGTGCAGAGCTCTTGACTTCTGCCCCATCTCACTTGCCCGGAATGGAACCTCTTGCACCAAGCCCTAGAATTTGGACTTGTGTTTTCTATTTTGGCATTGAATCTGAGGAGGGTGCGTTTGGGTGACTGGCAGTTTTCCTACCACTAGTTTTTGGGGGCAAGAATTCTTTGGTAGGAAGAAACATTGCAGTGATAGAGTTGAAGTGTTATTTAAGCTGTCTAATGGAATGGATCAGCCCTGTAATCTGGAGGAAAGACTGATGGGGATCTCGGTGTTCTGTTCTCTCTACGTCCAGCTCTGCTAATGTATTCTACCACTACTAACTACTACTTGATCAGGTCAGGTGACCTCTAAAAATAGAGGGTGGAGTCAACCATTGTGTCCTGGATTTCAGACATTCCGATATCATGAGATGCTTGCTGCGTGGTATACTACTATATTAATGTTTGTGTATTATTTTTCTTCAGTCATGTTTATTATATCTATAAACAGAAGTGTTTTCCCAGTACAACTTAAACATAAATACATAATTATATAAACACTGGGTTTAGATAATCTATGTTCTCTTATAGCTCTAAACTTTTGTGGCTTTATTTTATAGCCATATTTTATTTTATTTTACAGTTATTTTATAACTAGTATTTCTAGCTCTTTGGATTTAACTTGGTTTTGAGTGTTAATCATAGGCAATAAAACTGTCCTCTAGGGATTGCCAAAGTTCAGGTAGATCATTGTTACTATTACTTCCACTTTATGAATGAGATGCTGGCAATGGAGATGCAAATTCTTTATAGATCTAGATCCCGTAAAGGAGAAACATGCAGCAGGTGCTTGATTAAGTGAAAACATTGCCAGTTGTTTTTTAGACTCCGAGCCCTGGGTAGCAAAGACCAGCTAAGATTTTGTATTATCCTCTGAAGTTTTGGAGTTCTTTCTCCATCACGGGCTTTGAAGGCTAGAGGGACAGATGAGAGTGGCTGAATATGTCTTGGCTTTGTAAAGCAGCAGAGTTTCTTTTGGGGGTAGCACTGAATGATTATCAGTGATTGTCTTTTCACTGAGTAATATAGCATTGAACAGAGAGGCCAAAAACCTGTTCTTGGTGTGATTCAGTAAGGTAAGTAAGTGGTTCATCCTCTTTGCCTTTCAAAGCAAGAGTAAAAAGGTCAGCACTGAGTTACATGCTTTAAAGCCTGTCACCCTTTTGTACTTGTTAGAATTAAACGTGGGCATTTTGCAATACATAAGCGCTTCTTGAATGGCATAAACTCTCAAAGGATGTTCGATGCCAACCTGCTTTGTTTAGGAGTAATTATGTTACTCAGAAAATCCTAATGGAACAAATGGATGTGGAGTTGGGTAGCAAAATATTTTCCCCAGATCCTTTGCTTTGCTTCAGTACCTTGTGAATAAAGAAAATCAAAGGCATTTCCTAATTATTTGTAAATGGTAGTAATTGACATTTTGAATATTACTCATACAAACATAAATGACAGCAAATTAAATTCAAACAAATTTTTATAGTTTTTATATAACATTGGCTGAAAAACATCCCTTCATTTTACTCCATTCTGTGTTCTTAGTTGGACTGAAAAAATTTGCATCCAGTCTGTAGTTCTCAATTCATTGACTTTGGCTTAAACCCTCCTTCCCTGCACTTAAATCATTAATGGACTTTTTTTTTTTTTTAAGAGCAGTTTTAGATTCACAGAAAAATTGAGTGGGAAGTGTAGAAAGTTCCCACATAGCGCCTCATACCTGTCCCTTCCAGTTGCCCCTATTTCTAACATCCTGCATTAGCATAGTACAGTTGTTATAGTTGATGAACCAATATCAATATAACATTATTAACTAAAGTCCATAATTTACATTAGGGCTCACTCTTTGTGTTGTACATTCTGTGGATTTTGACAAATGTATAATGACATATAAACACCATCATAGTAACATACAGAATACTTTCACTACCCTAAAAATCCTATGTGCTCCACCTATTCATCCCTCCCTCCCCACTAACCCCGGGCAACCACTAATCTTTTTACTGTCTCTCTAGTTTTACCTTTTCCAGAATGTCATGTAGTTGGAATTAAACAGTATGTGGCCTTTGCAGATTGGCTTTTTTTCACTTAGCAATGTGTACTGAAGGTTCTTTCATGTCCTCTTATGGCTGGGTAGCTCATTTCTTTTTATTGCTGAATAATATTCTGTTATCTAGATGTGCCATAGTTTATCCTTTCATCTATTGAAGGACATTTTGGTCGTTTCCAAGTTTTATCAATTATGAATAGAGCCGATATAAACATTTGCGTGCAGTTTATATGTGGAAATAAGTTTTTAACTCATTTGGGTAAATACCAAGGAGTATAATTGTTAGATTATATAGTAATGTATATATATATAAAATAAAATAGTACGTGTAGTTTTTTTTAAGAACTGTCAAACCGGCTTTCAAACTGATTATACTGTTTTGCATTCTCACCAGCAATGAATGAGAGTTCCTGTTGCTCTACATTCTGCTCAGCACTTGGTTTTGTCTGTGTTTTGGATTTTGACCATCCTACTAGGTGTGTAGTGGTATCTCATTTTAAAAAATTTAGCTATTTCCTTATGACATATGATGTTTGGCATCTTTTCATATTGCTTTCTTGCCATCTGCATATCTTCTTTGGTGAGGGGTCTTCAGATCTTTTGCCCATTTTTATTTGGGTTATTTCTCTTTGTCGAGGTTTGTTTGTTGTAAAATATACATAACACAACGGTTACCACTTTAGTCATTTTTAAGTATATAATGCAGTGGTTTTCAGCATGTTCACCATGTTGTATAATTACTATCTCTTTCGAGAACATTTTCATAATCTCAAACTGGAACTCTGTTCCCATTAAACAATAACTCCCCACTTTCCCCTCCCCCAACCCTAGTAACCTCTATTCTGCTGTCTGTATGAATTTACCTATTCTGTGTACTTCTTATGAGTGGAATTATACAATATTTGTCATAAATATCTGGCTTATTTCACTTAGCAAAATATTTTCAAGGTTCATCCATGTTAATAGCATGTGTTAGGATTTCATTTCTCTTCATGGCTAAATATCTTATTGTTGAGTTTTAATTATCAACAGCTGTCATTAGGAAAGACTATTCTTTCTCTTTTAAAGTCATAAAAATGTATTTTTTTCTTTCCATTTCGTTTCCCTTCAGTATGATCACTAACACTTGGAATTGACATACCAATTGATCATGGTTGTCTCTCACAAGAACACTATATTTATATTTATTCCTTTCAAAGCAGTTACTTGCTTCAGGTCAGCATGTTTTTGGGGGAATTTTTCATAAAAGGTTAATTGAATTATAATTTACATTCCATAAAATTCACCTTTTAAGATTTTATTTTTTATTGTTTTTATTATTTGTGGAGATGGGGGTCTCACTTTGTTGTTGCCCAGGCTGGTCTCGAACTCCTGGTCTCAGGTGATCCTCCCGTCTTGGCCTCCCAAAGTGCTGCGATTACAGGCATGAACCACGGCTCCTAGCCACTCACTTTTCTTAAGTGTATAATTCAGTGGTTTGTAGTTACAGAGTTATGCAACCATCATCCTAGTCCTGTTTTAGAACATTTTTAGCACCCCGAAAAGCTTTCTCATGCTCATTTGCAGGCACTGCATTTTTGCCTGAAGCCTCATACAACCACTGATCTACTACTTTCTGTCTCTATAGATTTCTCTTCCCTGAAAAATTAAGCTAAATGGAATCATATAATATGTAGTCTTATGCATCTGGCTTCTTTCACTAAGCATGCTGTGTTTGAGGCTCATCGTGTTGTAGCATGTATCAGTAGTTTGTTCCTTTTTATTGCTAGAAAATATTCCATTTTGTAAACCATAAGTTGTTTATCCATTCACCAGCTGATGATTTGGGTCATTTCCAGTTTTTTGCTCTTATGAATAATGCTGCTATGAATGTTTGCATACGTGTCTTCATGTGTATATATGTTTTCACTTCTAATTTCATTTTTTACCTAGGAGTAGAATTTTGCTGGGTTGTATGGTAAATTTATGTTTAAGTTTAATTTAAACTTGTGTTTATTTAAAAAAACCTACCATACTGTTTTCCATAACAGAAGCACCGTTTCACATTCCCACCAACAATGTATGAGGATTCTGATTTCTCCACATCCTCGCCAATACTTGTTGTTGTCTTTCTTTTTGATTGTAGCCACTCTAGTGGGTGTGAAGTGGTATCTCGTTGTGGTTTTAATTTGCATTATCCTGGTGACCAATGAGGATGAGCACCTTTTCATGTGTTTGTTGGCCATTGGTGCGTCATCTTTGCTGAAATGTCTATTCAGATCTTTTTTTTCCTTTACTTTGTCTCATAAAACTTTTGATGATTAAGTGAACAGCACTTAGTATATTTTCTCCATTTGCCCTCTTTTGGGGACTATTTGTTTCCATGTGCTTCAACCTTAGATGTATTTAACTGATCAGTTTCAGGATCTCAGGAATTAGGAAGTGGTTCTTATGAGGCTGTGGTTCAGATTTCTGCTCTTGTTAGGCCAGTGGGCATCGCTCTGGGCAGATGCCACACAGGCTGGACTTCCTAATTCTGGCCTGCATAAGCTAATGATCCAAGCCCTCTCAATGGACAAAATGAGAACCGGCCAAGGAAGAACTGTTATCACCATTGAGCTACTGGGGAAAGCAAGTTGTAAAGGGGACTTTGTTATCCTGTCAAGGTCATTGCATTTCTAAAAATTAGCCAGTGGAGGAATACTAACCTAGCAGTCAAAGTAGTTTTTCTAGATTTAAGTTTCTGAGTGAGCCTCGTTTTACCTTTTAAAATTATAACCCCTTCTGTTTCAAATTATATATTTTTTGCCATCAGAAGAAGAGTTTCGTTCAGGAAATACGGAGACCCTGCTCTGCCTTTACCATGTCCTCCAGAGCCCTAGACTAGAGTAATGGCTTTTTGGATGGAGGTAACCAATGTAGGAGTCATTAGCGGGGAGATTGAGTGGGATGTTTGGGGGCCAGTGGCGCGGCCAGTTGTGACTGTAGCAGAGTGAAGGCGAATGCACAAAGAGATAGGCCAGGGCAAGGTCATAGGGATCTTGAATTCTAGAAAGGACTTAGAGTTTTATTCTAAGTGTGATGGGCAGCCATGGAAGGCTGTGCCATGATCGTACTCATACTTTAAAAAGATTATGTAGGCAGCTGTGTAGAGACCAAGCGTAGTGGAGCAACAATGGAGGCAAGATGACCAGTAAGGAAGCTGTTGTAATAGTTGAGGTGAGAGATGATGGCACCGTGGGCTAGGGTGACAGCATCACAGATGGTGGTCAGAGGCTGGGTATTTTTGGAAGTAGAGCCCACAGGATTTGCTGCACAGCATATGGGCTATGAGAGAAAAGAAAGAAGTCTAGAATGATTCAGATATTTTTGGCCTGAGCAGTTATGTGAATGATGGTACTATTTGCTAAAATAGTTTGCTTGGGAAGGATTAGGTTTAGGGGTAAAATTAACAATATGAATGAATGACCTAATCTTATAATGCAAAGACAAAATATTATGACATGGATAGTTCCTGAATACATTCTCATGCAAGCATCAAAGAGTATAGACGTATACAGTGTAAAAGCACCCCCTTTTCCTAGCTAACAATCATTGTTAGCAGTTTGGTATGCATTTTTTCTTGTCCTTTTTCTGCGTGTTTTTTTCATAAATGGGATTATACTATAAGGATTATTTTGTGTTTTGCTTTTCGAGTTGATCATTTGTCTTGAAGACCTTCCATGTCAGTACATGCATGTAGTGCATTCTTTTTAATGACTGCAGAGAGCTTTATGTGGATATGCCATAGTTGGTATTTACTCAGTTTCCTGTTGAAGGATATTTGGATTGTCTCTGTTGTTCACTATTAGAAGGCGTGCTGCAGTGATTATTTGCACACCTGCTTTTGTGTGTGGATTCCAGCATTTCCCTGAGATGGATTCCTTCAAGTGGAATGGTTGCTGGCTCCAGTTTTTACAAGCCCTTTGACATCTGTTGTTTAGGTCCTTTGCATCCTTGTAGCCGGTTGATAATTTGGTGCTCCTTTGAGTATGTTAGATTGTTTCTGAAGCTTAATCTTTTGGTTAAATCAGAAGCATCCTTAACAGACCCTTCTGTTAGACACTGACACTGATTTTAAAACAACCAAGGGATAGAAAAAAAAAAAAAACTTAGTGTGTGTGTATGTGTGCCAGGGAAAGAGAGATGACAATTAATTGGATGTGTCCCTATTAGCCCTGGAACTGCTTGATATGCTTTCTGAGTGGCATGTTCTTATAGGTCAGATGGGAGATGGGATGGGGCTTTGCCCATATCTAAGAGTCTATTCTAACCTCCAGGCTCAGGGACTAGGAAGGAAATCATGTTTATTTAGGGTGAGAACAACAGCATTAGCAGCCAGAGGAATTTTTACAAATTATAGTGACTGGGGTTTACACATTTTTGTAGCACCTCAGAATGGAGAGAGAGGAAATGGTAAGGAAAACAGCTTGGCAGTGTGGGCCACGAGCTGTCATGGCATGTTTGTGTCTGGCTCATTTCACCTTGATTGGAAGGCACAGAATGCTGCCCTGGGTAAGCTGGAGACTGGGCAGTTTCCTGCTATATTTAGAAAGAGGAGATTCCTGGGGTTAGGGTGGTGTGTGTGTGTGTGTGTGTGTTTTCTTTGCCAGATAGACAAAGGTTTGAGGGGTTTGTGAATTCCACACCAAACTGTTAACTAGCTGGTTTCTCTGGGCCAAGCCAGTAGCTACTCTTTGACTCTTGCTGCTGCCACACAGCAAAAGCTCAAAAAACTCCTATTTTATATGGTTTGAAAAGATACCGCTGGTAAGTTTCAAAACTCATCTGATCTTGCTGTCACATCTGCTTTTAAGTTTACTGCAGGCTAATTTGAACACTTTGAAAATATGAACTGCCTCCTCCTCTGAGACTTCAGATAGATCTCCAAGCTGACTGAGTTGAACTTTGGCTGTTTCTGTGCCAAGGAGACTGTCAAACAGATAGGACCAAAGCCTTAGCAAATTCCTGACTGCGTATCTCGTTATCACACTTGTGGGTCAGGGGTAGACAATGAATATTAGTCGAACAAATAAAATAAGGCATTTTTACTTTAACTCATAGCTATGTTTCTTTTTAAAAGGGTTGCCTAAATAGGTAATACCTATAAGTTGTTCATAATTCAAAAGAGACAAAAGAGAATGTGAATATCCCTCCAATGCTTCCTGTCTCCTGATCCCCACTTCTTCCTCTGGAGGCATTTTATTGGTTTCTTTGGTATTTTTCAGATGTAATTTATGCATGTGCCAACAAATACACATACACATTGTGCCATATGTGCTGTTTTACCCTTTGCTTTTAATATATTAGATATTATTCTACATTGGTACATAGAGAGCTCACTCATTGTTAGATTGCATTGTATTCTATTGTATGAATTAAATATAGTGTATGTAACCATTCCCCTAATAATAAACATTTAGATTATTTCCAACCTTTCACCATTGCAAGTAATGTTGTTGTGAACATCCTGGCACCTCTGGCATGAGGCACATGAGTGACAAATTCCTAGAAATGAAACTGCTGGACCAAAGGGTATGTACATTTTTCATTTTAATAAGTATTTCATAACAGTGTTTCTGAAAAGTTCTAAGTGAACTGAATTTGATAAACCATGATTTTAGAGTAGGAAGGAAACTCACCATTTTAGACAGTTTATTACAGAATGGTCTCTGTAAATAAAACAATACTTAGAATTTTCTCCATTTTCCCCTTTCCAGTTTGTGTGTATTGTTAATTCTGGGATTAAAAGCCACAGCAAAAATCATTCCCTAAACTGAGACAGCTGTACCTAGAAATCAGTTGAATGTAGGATCCCAGAGACCTTGTTTGTGTTCCTAGTGATGGTGCTGTTGAGTTTTTATCTTTGTGCGGTGCGTGTAACATTCAGGAGATTCGGCAGGTTTGTTGAAGGAGGGCAGTCTTCTGCCTTCTGTGACCGGAGACCGTGACTCTGGTCTAGGGGACACGTTGCCTATCATAGAAGCTTCCCGGTGGGCACTGGAATTCCTGGGAGCTGGTGAGGGAGTCGGGAGTTTTGCATGACATCTCTCTCTGGCAGCTTCTCCTGCAGAGCTTAGCACTTTTCCCTGATAGAGGACAGGATCATGCCACATGTCCTCTGCCATCTCTGTTCCAGCTCCTGTTGATGTAGAAGGCTACATTGGCCAGGTTCCTGGCATGAAGCAGGCACAGTCCTTGTCTCCTAGATGCTCACTGTTTTGAGAGGAGGCAGGGAAACAGGCAGCCCACAGCACAAAGGGGAGATTGCTAGCAGTTTAAAAGGGCCTCTGGGGGAGGGAGCAGAGGCCTGTGGGAAAGGCAACTGAAGGCTTATCGAGCCCAAGGGGGCAGTGTGGTCACTAATGATCAGTCATGTGAAGGGTACCTCTGTTATTTTTGCCCCACCTCACCACCCTTTATTTACTTTGAAAAAAGTCTACTCATTACAAAATACATTTATTTCAAAAAGGAGCTTTTGAACCTGCATTCAGAAATTGCAAGTTTGATATGGTTAACTTTTTTTTTCTAAATATCTTCAAATAATTATTAAATCATAATCATTACATTGAAAAGTATTTGTCATTGTATTGCCTAAAATAATCCCATATTTCACCAGTGTTATGAGAGTCATTCTCTTCTTAACACTGTCCCAAGGCAGAAGTATGTGAGAGAATGGACACCATCTGCCCATCACACCTGGGGGAAAAGGGAGGGGAGCAATGCACTCCTTAGGCTTGGGTGCAGGTGTCTGGGGCAGGAGGCTGTGTGCCAGGGAATACAGTCTGCTGAAAATCTGTTTTACTCAGTGGGATCACAATTTGAATATTCAAATAAACACTGATAAGTTATAGAGTGGAATGCAGAATTCATGGCTTTTTTTTGAGATGGAGTCTCTCTCTGTTGCCCAGGCTGGAGTGCAGTGGTATTATCTTGGCTCACTGCAACCTCCGCCTCCCGGGTTCAAGTGATTCTCCTGCCTCAGCCTCCTGAGTAGCTGGGACTACAGGTGCGTGCCACCATGCCCGGCTAATTTTTTGTATTTTTTTTTAGTAGAGATGGGGTTTCACCGTGTTACTCAGGATGGTCTCAATCTCCTGACTTCGTGATCTGCCCGCCTTGGCCTCCCAGAGTGCTGGGATTACAGGCATGAGCCACTGCGCCTGGCCGATTCATGGTGTTTTTGAGAGTAGATGATCAGGTGTGGATGAAGAGAACACATAGTCAGCAGCATAGTGCCTGAGGAAGGGATGACAGAGGAGTTAGGGGCATCTCCAGAGTTTCCTTCTTAGGCCTTGGGAGGATGGCTGAACTGCATACAGGAGAGGAATCGTGGTGTGTGATGGGGGATACAGAGTGAAGTAAGGTTTGTCCTTGCTGAGTTCCTGCAGGGCATGCAGGTGGAGACACCCACAAGGCTGTGGGAAGCACAAGTCTGGAACTCTGGAGGAAGATGAGGGCTACAGGTATAGGTTTGGCTCTCTCCAGGTGGTATTTGAGGCCCTGGGAGTGACTGAATCTATAAGAGTGAGACCCACGCAGGGGTCCTTAGCCTCTGCTGTCCATTGAAATCACCTGAGGAGCTCAGGACTCACCTTCAGAGATTCTGATATAATTTGGCTGGGTTGCAGTCTGGGCATGGGACATTTTAAAAACTCCCCAGGTGATTCTAATGTGCAGCAAGGGTGAAGAACGCCTGGCATGGAGTGAGAGAAGAGAGTGGAAGCTGAAACCATAGGGAGCATCCACATTTAGCAGGTGGGTAGCAGAGAGTTGGAGAGGCTTTGATGACTTGATGTTTCATCCTGGCCAGTTTAGGTGAGGACTGTTTGGAGGCCTTTGGATTTGACCTTTGGAGATGAAACTGGAGAAAACAGCATAAGTGCAAGGGAGGATAATAAATATCTATTATACCTTACAATATTATTGTGAGGAGCAGCTGAGATAATTGTAGATATTATGCTTAGCAGTGTAAGCAGGCCTGTGGTAAGTGACCTGTTATTGGAATCTGCCTTTAGAGTGTCCTTGTAAGATAGTGGTTCTTAAAAGTGAAGGTGTACAAGAATTCCCCTAACTGCAGATTCTCTGGCTTTACCCAAGGAAATGCTGATGCATGAGCTCTAGGCAGGTCTGGAAACCCGAATTTCCTATACCCCCGCCCCCACTCCCTTCCATCTCACCCCAAGTGATTTGCATGGTGGGAGTCCTTGGACCACACATTAGGTCTAAATAGGTCAGCAGAGATTCTGCATAAATCTGGTCCCCAAATCCTGTTCTTCCTTAATGTGCACAGCTGTGCTCTCCAGCCTCGTGGGCACATCTCAGATATCTGGAGGGTGTTTGCATTACTGCAGGCCTAGGAATGATGCAGGAGGGTTTCAGAAGCGTAAAAGTTCTAGCAGCTTGAGAACATGTCAGCCAGTGTGGCTCCACGCCTGGGATCCAGTTGTTCCGTGAGCTTGGCCTGTGAGCGGGAACCCTTCAGCAGCATTGCCAGCGGATGTGGGGGAGCTCCTGAAAGGAAACTTTTGCTCCTGGGCAATCACAGGGAAACTGTATTCCCACAGTGAGTCTTGGGTGCTCTTGTCAGGGTTAAAGTCATTTGGGGTCAGAGCCTGTAATTATGTTTCACATTTTTTTTTTCTTTAAAAACATTCAGGAAGCATAATGAGCTGGTTGAGCTGTTGCACAGCAAGGGGAACTCAGGATCTGGGGAGAGGAGGAGAGAGACTGGGTGATGGCTCTGGAGCTGAGATGCCTTAAACCCAGAGAGAGCTGATCTCCCCCTTCTACCTGGAGGTGCCCCTGGGCAACTCATTTCTGGCAAATACTGCTGTCTCTGTTCTGATCTCAGCTGGTTCTCACCCTTTTAAAGCAGGGCTGGATGACTGGGCAGACCACAGCTGCTGCTGGTGTGATCCCAGGGTGTCACCACCAGGAAATTAGTGCTGCTTTCACTCTGCTATTTGCTTCTTAAGAAAATCTGTGGGTTGCTCTTCCAAAAATAAGGTTTTCTTGCATTTGTATCTGACTAGTGCACTGAAATGTTTGACACAGACTTTACCGTGGGCGACTTACCCAGCAGATCATCAGCCACACCACCCCTGCTGTGGACAATATGTCATTGTGGAGGCCAGGGCAGGCACTGGAGGCGAGTGCCTCAGCATCCGTAGGCTTCGGCATCCAGATGCTCCTGCTGCATCTGTGTCTGCTGGCCAGGACTTGCCACAATCTGCCGGCCTTCTGACCGAAGCTGCCCAGAGCTCAGTGTGCAAGGTCAGCAGACTACCATGCTGCCAGCTCTGTTTAGAGCAGCAAGATGGGTTTCTCTCTGGAAAGAAAGCCTGTTTCCTCTTACGTAGCCAGCATGCTTGTAATCGGTTCCCCAGCAGGGAAGCTCTGCTCCATTGCATAGGAAATTGGAGTGGAACTGATAGCTTTTGGCCTCTGTGTCTTTTGGGATATAACTTTGGCTTGCTTCTCATCTCCCCCACCTCTCCTGGCCAGCTTAACTTCATACCATACTGCAAGGAAAAGACACAGCCCAGTGGGGCTTGCTTGGGATTTTGTGCTTGAAACCGTACGTAATTTGTACATGAAGATGATCACCAGTTGAAGATAACTTAAATTTTGCTTGTTTTCCTAAGGAGTCTAATCCTTACTGCCCCTAAACTGAGTCTCTTTAAGAAAGACAATTTGTTTTTTGATGGTTAAGCAAGAAACTTGTAAAATGTCAAACTGGAGAAGGATGACTCATATCTCTTAATGTGCCGTCTCAATCAGCCATATTACTGAGCTCCCCAAATGGGCAGCATGGGGGTAGGCGATGGTAGGCAGAGACCATGGACGATGTTTTTTAAAAACAGCTTTTTTGAGATACAATTCACACGACACAATTTACCCATTTGCAGCATACAATTCAATGGCTTTTAGTATATGCACAGGATTTTGCATTCATCTTCACGATTAATATTAGCATATTTTCATCATTCCCCCAAAGCAATCCTGTAGTCCTTAGCTAATATCTGCCATTCTTTCCATCCCTACCTCTCATCCCTAGGCAACCACTTCCTTAGGATTTTTTTTTTTTTTTTTTTTTGAGATGGAGTCTTGCTCTGTTGTCCAGGCTGGAGTGCAGTGGCGCGATCTCGGCTCACTGCAAGCTCCGCCTCCCTCCTGAGTTCATGCCATTCTCTTGCCTCAGCCTCCCAAGTAGCTGGGTCTACAGGCGCCCACCACCATGCCCGGCTAATTTTTTGTATTTTTAGTAGAGACAGGGTTTCACTGTGTTAGCCAGGATGGTGTCGATCTCCTGATCTCGTGATCCGCCCACCTCGGCCTCCCAAAGTGCCGGGATTCCTTAGGATTTTTAACTCATGTCTCCAAGTGTGGCACTCTCCTATCTGCTTCGTCTCTTGATCTTGTGAAGCCACATACCCTTTTCCTTCAGTGCATCCAAACAATTTGCAGCTCCTCAGAATGCTGCAGTTCCAACACCAGGATGTTCCGACCTGGCACTGTTCTTGCTCTTCACACATTCTTGTCCTCTGACAGATTTACTAGTGCAACCTGACTAATGCACACTCACTGCCGAGGGGGCCTTTAGGCCTCTGGTTTCACACTTCTTTTGTCTTGTCTGTCCCTTGGTGTTGATCTTGCTTTAGAGAGAGTAATTGGAACGAGAGCGTGTTATTTCTGCTTGAGAATGGGTACCCCAAATCCAGTAGGTAGATGCATTCCTTCATTTCTACAGAGGAAAAAAATTGCCAGTACTATCCTGATTTGGCTGGTTGCACTTCAGGGTTTCAGCTTTAACCATTTTAGGGACTATTGACAAAAGTAAACTTTTTATATGCTGAAATGGTGATGTTTGGGGGTGTCAGTGGTCTTAACAGGAAAGCCCTTCTTCTTCACTAGCAACCTTGCATTGTTCTAGGAAATTCCAGTCCAAATGTAGAAAGCGTGTTTTCTACCATCTGTATGTTTTCTCTTTCTCTCATTTGCTTTCCTCCCTTCTTTTTCTTTCCCTTCACCTTTCCCCACACACCCCCATCATTTGTTCACTGTGTCTGGCCTTCTACCATCTCTCTCTTGCCTTGCCAAAGGACCAGGGAGGTGACTGATCCCTGGTATTTTTTTTTTTTTTTAAATAGACAGAGTCTTGTCTTGTCACCCAGTGTGGTAGTACAGTCATAGCTCACTGTACCCTCAGACTTCTGGGCACAAGCAATCCTCCCACCTCAGCCTCCCAAGTAGCCAGAACTACTGGCTTTTGCCACTATGCCTGGCTAATTAAAAAACATTTTTTTTTTTTTTTGTAGCGATGGGGGTCTCAGTGTGTTGCCCAGCTGGTCTAGAACTCCTGGCCTCAAGTGATCCTCCTGCCTTGGCCTCCCAAAGTGCTGGGATTACAGGTGTAAGCCATGGTGTTTGGCCCTAATACATTTTTTAAAAAGTTAATTTCTTTAAGAGTTGGGGTCTTCCTTTATCACCCAGGCTGGAATGCAGTGGTGTGATCATAGCTCACTGCAGCCTCGGACTCCTGGACTCAAGTGTTCCTCCCACCTCATTTTCCTGAGTAGCTGGGACTAGAGGAGCATGCTACCATGCTCAGCTAAGTTTAAAAAAGTGTTTTTAGAGATAGGATCTTGCTGTGTTGCTCAGGCTGGTCTCAAATTCCTGGCCTCAAATGATCTTCCCACCTTAGCCTCCTGAGTAGCTGGGATTCATCCCTGATATCTCAGTTATGGAGAAAACAAAGCCTTTGGTAAATGGAAATGACGTGAAACAGATTTCTGGAGTTCTAGAATTTTTTTTTTTTTTTTTTTTTTTTTGAGATGGAGTCTTGCTCTATGCAGTGGCATGATCTTGGCTCACTGCAACCTCCGCCTCCCGGGCTGAAGCAATTCTCCTGCCTCAGCCTCCCGAGTAGCTGGGATTATAGGCACATGCTACCACAGCCGGCTAATTTTTGTATTTTTAGTAGAGACGGGGTTTCACCATGTTGGCCAGGCTGGTCTTGAACTCCTGACCTCGTGATCTGCCCGCCTTGGCCTCCCAAAGTGCTGAGATTACAGGCATGAGCCACTGCGTCCGGCTTGGATTTCTATAATTATAGCTAAAATGACTCTCAGCTTTGAGGTGACTAAGACATTCTGGTTCTAGAGAACTCTTAGTCGGACTGTGAGTGGTCTCATCTAGGTGAACAGCACTGTCTAGGGCTCCCTTTCCTGTTATACTTCCTGTGTTACATTTCAGAGTGAGAGGATGTGCTCAGAACCAGGGTGGGCACAGAACTTCTGGCTCACTGCTTAGCCGTTCTGATGGGTAACATTTAGTGGCTTATTTTCTACCTCTCTAATGGGACCTGATGACAGTGTCAAGTGTCTCATTTTTATCATTGGGGTGGGAGAGTGCCATTAAAATGGTCTTTAACAAAGTAGGTCAATAATTTATATTTCAAGAAGGGAAATTTGGGGACATGGAATGAGAGCATGTTATTTGGGTTAGTTGAACAGCTCCAGAAATAATTACGTATTTTTAATGCCTATTAGGGACCTAGAAACCTATTTGGGGAGGTCAGGAAACTGGGTATGAGATCTGAGTCTTTGCAGGTGCTCGATCTAGAATCTCCAGGGAGAATGTATTTTGGACATAAACAATGAGACGTGGATAAGATGGATGGCTTACATCTCCCTCCCTTGGACAGCCAAGCCCACAGCTGACAAAGCCACTGACAAAGCCAGCAACACCAAAGGAGCAGGCTGACCCTTCTGCCTTCTCCTGACTTTCTGTCTACATAGGTTAGTCATTAAAAGGAAAAAAAGCAATCCAAAAACCTGTATTTTTTCTTAGATAACATGATTATATAGACAATACATGTTCATTAGAGAAAATTTAGAAATTACAGATGGATAAAATAAAATGCAAATTATGCCTATAGTACTGATTAGAGATTGTCATTTTGGTTTTATAGTCTTTTCAACAGTTCATGATCATCCCTATGTATCATTAACTACTCTCTAAGATGGTTTTTGGTGGCTACATAATACTCCAAGTATATTGTGTGAAGACTTTTTGAACTGGTGACCTATTTTTGGATGGTTAGGTTGTATCTCTCTCTCTTTTGTCCATGATTATTAACCAATTCTTTTTTTTTTTTTTTTAAGATGGAGTCTTACTCTATTGCCCAGGCTGGAGTACAGTGGCATGTGGCATGATCTCGGCTCACTGCAACCTCTGCCTTCCAGGTTGAAGTGATTCTCGTGCCTCAGCCTCCCCAGTAGCTAGGATTACAGGCACGTGCCACCATGCCCAGCTTATTTTTGTATTTTTAGTAGAGATGGGGTTTCACCATGTTGGCCAGGCTGGTCTCGGACTCCTGACCTCAAGTGATCCACCCACCTTGGCCTCCCAAAGTGCTGGGATTACAGGCACGAGACACCGCGCCCGGCCAATTAATCAGTTCTTTTAAAACCAGCTCCCATTTCTCTGCTTGCTTCCCGACTCCCACCCCATTTTTTTGTTGCTGGTTTAGCAGAACCTTGGGGACAAAGAGAAGATACATTACCAGAGTGTCACAGAATAACAAATTTCATATGTTGAAAGCATGATTTAAATTTATTTGAACCATACTAATAGTACAGTTGACCATCTGTATCTGTGGGTTCCTCATCTGGGGATTCAACCAACCACAGATCAAGAATATTGGGTTGGGAAAAGAGCATCATTACTGAACATGTTCAGATGTTTTTTCCTTGCCATTATTCCCTTAACAATACAGTACAACAACTGTTACAGAGCTATTACCTTGTATTAGGTATTATAAGTAATCTTGAGATGATTTAAAATATGTGGGAGGATGTGCTTAGGTTATATGCAAATACTATGCCATTTCATATCAGGGACTTGAGCATCCATAGATATTGGTATCTGTTGGGAGTCCTGGAACCAATGCCCCACAGATACTAAGGGACAACTGCAGTAGAATATCTCCACCATTTAAGTGTTTTCTGTGAGTCAGATGCTTTTGTTAAGTGTTTTATAAAGTTTATTTCATTGAACCTTCACAACAGTCTTAATGAGGTATGTACTGCTCTATTCATTTATAGACTAGCAACGGAAGCATAGAGAGATTAAGTGTCTTAGACAACTAAAAAGTGCTGTTGTCAGAATTTGAACCTTGATCTAATGCCAACCCTTTTGCGTGGAACTATTGTTATACTGCTGACTATAAATTGTTAGCCCAGCCCTTAAATCTTCTGTTTTCTCATTTACAAAATGGAGACACAAGTGCTTACTTGGGAGCATTGGAAGAGTTAAATGGGGTAGCACGTGCAAAGCAGCAGACACAAAAATGTAGCAGCTATTGCTACTCTAATCACTCATTATTTTCACCTTTTGTGAGATAGTAATAGTATAGACATTTAAACAAATTGTCTCTCTGCTGTCTCTACATCTGAATCTCTGGCTTGCTCAGTGGAGATAAATCTTCATAATTATCTCTGGAAATTAGAGTAGACCTTGTACTCTGGCCAGTATTATATTGAATTTAATCCAGATGTCTTCGTTTTAATCTATCTAGTCACAAGATTCTGCAATCTTTTCTGGACTGTTTGGGAGGCTGAGTTATCAAAAATCATTATAAAAGCAACAACATCACATGAGAGCCCCTCCCATCCCAACCCATCTCACTACCCAGAGGTGATTACTTAAGAGTACTTCTTTGAGTCTAATGTAAGTATCTGTTGTAGTACTTAACAAAAAGTTGCCTTATTTATATAATTGTTTGTGTTAAGGACTGATCTCCATTCGCTGGTCATGAATTATTTCCGTTCTCAGCACTAGAAGTTTACATTTCCTTGCACCCCCACCCATACACACTCCTGCCACTTAGCAGACTCGAACACTTGGGCGGTTCTGGGGTAAACAACAGCACAAGACACTCCAAAACATATCTAGACTGGGTTATGATGGGATCTAGGACAAGGGAACCCTTCTTTCCTTATGTATCCAGGACCAGGGCACTCTTTCTTAATCTCTGCTGTATTTCTGAAGTCATTTTAGTTATAACAACCCACATAAGAAGCCGATTGCCCTAGAAAGGAATCTAGAACTGGGGACTGGTAGAATTTTTTTTGAATACAAATCAAGATAAGGTCTTTATTAATCCAGTCAACAAATGTTTATTGTACTCTAGCTGTATGGTAGGCATTGTTGTAGTGTTGAGGGGTTAGCTTTGAACAAGATTAAATTCCAGCCTTATGGAGCTTTTGTTTTTGTGGGCAGACAAACAAGTAAACAAGTGAGCAGGATGCTAGTGGATAGTGTAAAGTACCATGATGGAAATGAGATAACACTGAGTGATGGATGGTAGAGGGTAGAGGCAACTTTAGATTATGTAGTCCGAGAACACTTCTCTGAGGGGCTGAATGACCTTCCATTCTGGGCCTATAGTTGGTGACCACAGTGTTGAAAATTGTAAGGCATCCCTTTATTAAAGGAAAGACTCTGCTGGATAGTATTTTTTCCCATCGTATTTCTCCTGTTTTTGTAGGCAGAATGATATTCTTACTCATTGGAATCATGACCACCTGGAACCTTAGTGATCTTGGTAAGATAGAATCCATTTCTTACATGGCAGGCAGACCAATATTTTAGAAGTCATAAACCTTATTCCACTCTTTCTCATCCAGAATTTCCCAGTGGCTTCCCATGCCATTCGTCATACAGTTCGGACACCTTACCATGGTTCATGCGGCCTTGTATGATCAGGCGTCTGCCTACCTTGCCTAATGCCTCTCTGACCTTCCTCTTTCTACCTCACTGTGTTTAAGCTTGGCTGACCTCAGATTCCTCTGATGCTCTGAGCACTTTCCCGCCACCTTCTCTTACTGTTCCTCTGGAATGCCTTTGCTACAGGTTTTTATGTCATCAGCCTTTCATCCTTCAAGTCTCAGCCAAAGGTCCTCTCAGAGAGTCCTCCTCTGACCACCTGACCTAAAGTCTCAGGTAGCTGTCCCATCCTTCCCCTTCTATCTCATTACCCCGTTTAGTAGTCTTTATGGTACTTCTCACCCTCTAAACTCCCCGCTGCATGTTGAATAAATGATGTCGAATGTTCCTTTAAAGGGCCCTTCTCAACCACTTGACTTTTTTCTAGAAGCAACTCTAAGTGTTGATGGCCTCAAGCATCAAGCATCTCTTGGTTCTCCTTAGGGTTTATTTTGCTTTAAAGTTTTTTTTTTTTTTTGAGACAGAGTCTCGCTCTGTTGCCAGGCTGGAGTGTAGTGGCACGATCTCGGCTTACTGCAACCTCCACCTCCCAGGTTCAAGCGATTCTCCTGCCTCAGCCTTTTGTCTTGGATAAACCAGGTGTAACTGCTCTGATAGGGTGGCATCTGGCTTCCTTTGGGGTAGCCCAAGAAATGATGAGTTAAAAGAAGCAAGAATCAGAACTAAGTGTAGATTAATGCTGTCACCAGCCTCCATCTCCTCTCCCATTCTTTTGCCAGTGTGCTCATTCTGTTTCTCTCTTAGGTCTCTATTGCTTTACTTTTATCAGGTAGGGGAAAGGGGAGAGAAATTGAATGTTTCTAAATATCTTTCATAAGTAGCACTATGCAGGAAGGCCAGGTCTGCTTGGCTGGGCCAGTTGACTTTCGGTGAATTGATGTGTTTCCTAATCTTCACACCTAGAAGAAATGGACTGATGGCTGACTCTTAAATTGACAAAGCCGTTTGTTTGTGTATATGAAACTGCTTTAAAAAGAGAGATTTTGAATATTAGAGTATATATTCTCCTCCCTACCCCTCGCATTTAAAAGGTGTTAAGTTGGCTGGGCATGGTAGCTCATACCTGTAATCCCAGCACTTTGGGAGGCCAAGGCGGGTGGATCACCTGAGGTCAGGAGTTTGTAACCAGCCTGACCAACATGGTGAAACCCCGTCTCTACTAAAAACACAAAAATTAGCCAGGCATGGTGGCACGCGCCTGTAGTTCCAGCTATCTGGGAGGCTGAGGGACGAGAATCGCTTGAACCCGGGAGGCGGAGGTTGCAGTGAGCCGAGATCACAACAAGAGCAAAACCCGTCTCAAAAAAAAAAAAAAAAAAAAAGGTGTTAAGTTTTGACAAATCAGTTTAGTTATAGTAGCACAAATGGGAAGGTATACTTTATAAGCCTCCTAATCAATTACAAAAGAGTCATTTTTCACTTTCCTTTAAAATTAAAAAGAAGTTTCTCTTTGTCCATATTTCAGGCCTCTCATACATTGTTTGCTGACAGCGTTTCTGTGTTGGAACCACATCTCTTGTTCTTCCAGTAGATACCCTCAGGGCATAGTTTCTGCACAAAATTTATCTGAAATCTTTAGTGACCTTTTGCAGGATTTAATATCAGTTCATTTGGATAGTTCCACATGCATAAATGGGCCTTAACAGGAATTTAGCAAACAAAAGATAGTGCCTCCCATACACCTTCTTATTTTTTAGGCTTGCTAAGTAAAATTTAAGCAGAAGAGACTGTCTCTGTCTTTCTCTTGGGCTCCGTTTCTGTGTTTTTTGTGGAACACTACCATTCTTAGGTAGAGTGGGTAGGGAGAGAGAAGGAACAGCATCACCTCTTCTCTATTTTTGCTCACACAGATGCCCTGTTTGGCGACATCTAAGCACTAGAGACTTATTGACCCACATTTTTTTTCCTCCTTCTCCTCCAGGGTACTGACCGTGCAGGGATCTAGTACCACAGTTACTTCTAAAATGTGTTGCCAAATGTAGAAATCTCTATCCCCATTGACTTCTCAGTTGGAAATTAGTTCATGACCTAGAGACTGAGAGCACCCCGGCTGTGCTTTCAGAGCAGGAGTCCTTGGATGTAGCTGTGGAATGAGCAGCGTTGGAGGATTTGAAAAAATCCTGGACCTGAAACGTAAGCTGGCCTGTGTTTCCCTGATGTGCCCTATGCCTTTTATTGTGCTGATTTCTACTATCTTAATAAATAGTAACATTAAAGTTCTTTCTGTGTTCAAAACCTTTTCCTTGTTTTCCTATCAAACTGTTTTTGAAAGCCTATTTCATCTATTTTGAGCAACACTGATAACTGATGTTCATCGAAGGCAGAAAGGTTGGAGGAACTTTGGCCAGTGTGGGGCAGACAGAAACCCATGGGTATTCCCCCTAGGCATCAGGGGCTTTGTCAGCTGCATTCTGCCAGCTTTGTAGAACAGCATGAATCCACTCCTGCCCTCGAGTAGTGGGACCGCAAACAGTACATGGTGCATGACCTGGAGGCCTGACATTCGTTCCTCTGCCTGTCCACTGGAATGACCAGGCTGAGGCTGGTCGCCAAGCAACCCTGGACCTAAAAGAAGCAGGAGAATTTGCCCACTGATTGTTATATCCCTTTGCTTTTTTTTTTTTTTTTTTTTTTAATCTATCTTTCTTTAGAGGCTTGAGGGGTCGTAGCTTTGGTAGGAGGTGATGAAGCATGCTAGTTTGAAATACTGATGGTGAGTCTTAGTGTTTTAGTCTCACTGGTCCCAGCTCTAATCTGATCACTTGGTGTTAAATTAGGAGGCCTTAATGTCTCTCTGAGAGCCCCAGAGAGATGGAATAGATGGGGAAAAGAGAGTTGAACCCCTTCAGGTCTCAGTATGGACATGGAGTATTGGTGAGGAGCTTTGCTGACAGTGAAGGCAGTGCTAGTTATCACCATTCTCTCAGTTGGTTTTATTTATTTATTTTTTCTTTTTCTTTTTTTCGAGACAGAGTCTCACTCTGTCACCCAAGCTGGAGTGCAGTGGCATGATCTCGGCTCACTGCAACCTCCACCTCCCGAGTTTAAGTGATTCTTGTGCCTCAGCTTCTCGAGTAGCTGGGATTACAGATGTGCGCCACCATGCCTAGCTAATTTTTGTATTTTAAGTAGATACGGGGTTTCTCCATGTTGGCCAGGCTGGTCTTGAACTCCTGGCCTCAAGCGATCTGCCTGCTTCGACCTCTCAGTGTTGGGATTACAGGCATGAGCCACCATGCCCAGCCTCAGTTGGTTTTAATAAGTTACATTTGTAGAGGCGGTGCTTTCTTCTGGCCACACCAAACGGTATTTTCCATGGTGAGGGAGAGAAGAACCAATCCAAGCGGCTTAAACAGAAAGGGAATTTGTTGTGGTACATCTCTGGAAAGCCCAGTGATGTTCTAACTGAAGACCTGCCAGACTCTCGTGACTCCAAAGGATATCAGCAGGCCCTGGTCTCTGCATCTCTCAACTCCACTCTTCTCTAGGCTGGCGCCATTCTCAGGCAGTCTTTTCCTTCACATTGGTGGGATGACTTGGCCAAGATTTTGAAGGGAAGCCCTCAGCATGGTTCTCATTGGCTCTTTGTTGAAGCCTGTGCTCATCCTTGAGATAATCCCTGAAGCCGACCTGACCCAGCCCCAGAGTAGAGTTGACAGTGGGTAAAATAAGTGTTCTGAAAGTCAGGGAGGGATGATTTCCCAGAGGAATACTGGGGTGCTATAAATACAGAAGGAGGGGGGACAGAGGCCAAGGCAACGCAGTTACTCCACACTGGCATAAGTAAATTGAGCACGGTCATCTGTGGAAGAGAAAGGGCCCTGCCTTCCAGATATAGCATGGTTGTTACCCACATTTGAAAATTACTTTGGGCGATCAGGCTGTGGTTTAATAAAGTAACCCTGGACATTCAAATTTGTAGGGGGAAAAATGAGATACTTTTAGTATTTTAGTATTAGGCACCACCAGGATTGGGCAGACTGTGAGCAGCCTAAGAATAGTGTTTGGGAGTTAAGTGCCTAGAGAGTAGGGAACAGGGATGTCAGGCAGATAGGAGGGAGAGAGGGGACTGCCCCTGTTGGGACAGATGATAAGAAATGAAAACAAAATGATGTATGAGAACTATTAAGTAATGCCACAGAGTTCTGTAATACCCCGGCCAATGATTGACTGCCCTGTAGCCCAGCCAGTACGAGAGCTAGTTCTTTATCTTCCAGAGTCTCTTTCTCTTTATGATATTTACATTTTGGGAAATAAACTATAACTAATAGAGCTTGTTGTGAATCTGTTGATGTCTCGTATAATGGATTAGACTACAAAGGTGGGCAAGCTTTTTCTGTAAAGGGCCAGTTAGTAAATTTTTTAGGCTTTGTGCGCCACATAGTGTCTCTGTCATATCTTCTTCTTCTTTTTTTTTAAAAAAATTTATAGCCCTTTAATAATGTAAAAACCATTCCTAACTCACAGGTCATACAAACACAAGGCAACAGCCACATTTTGCCTACCCCCAGAATGGGTTTTGGAGTCAGATAGACCTGGGTTCCAGTCCTGGTTGTTGCCCATTGACTGTATGGGCATTTTAATCTCTCAGAAACTCAGTTGCCTCAGTTTTCTCATCTGTAAAGTGAGGCTGATGAAAGTGACCACCTCGTAGGGTTATTGTGAGGATTGCTCAGAAAGTGTTGGCTCTTTGGAATGATATTGTTGACTCTTTACCACCGCACAGCATGCTCTAGGGAAGAAGAGGCCAAGCTCTAATGGTCTTTGTAATCTCAGTTGTTCTTCCTCTTTTGGTGCCTCCTTTTTCTCTGTTCTGGGCAACTCTTCATCAGGTTTTGGGAACTTGGTGCCAATCTCAGTTTCATTTCTGGTGTGTTCAGGAAGTGACCCACATTTTAATCCATATTTGACAGTAACCAAAATAAATTGGCTTGGTTCATTATCCAAGTGTAGAATATGTACTTGTTTTGCTTCCAGCCCCAAATTCCCTCCGTATCCACTTTTTCATTACATTACAATTTATCGCCTATCAAGGCCTCTTATTAAAGCCAGGAGGATAATTTTTTCCAGTTTGAAAAGAGAGAATGTTAGAATTGTGGAGTTTTGTTTGTTGAACTTGGTAGATGGATGTCACCAGGTTTGGAAAAGGGGCTGAATTTATCCCCAGAATCTCAGCCCTATTACCTACCACTTTGTACAGGTAAGTTATGATGGAATGGATAGAAATCATGTGACCTCTCAAATCCCCAGGATCCTGAAAGTATCTGCCCTCTTTAAGACTTTCTCAAATGTCATCTCAGCAAATTCTACCCTGACAGCCTCCCCCATCCCACTTCTCTGCTCTACTTTTTTCTATAGTACTTATCTTGTTTTAACATGCTGTATAATTTACTTTGTTTACTAAGGTGTTTTTCTGTGTGTGTGTGTGTGTGTGTGTGTGTGTGTGTGTGTTACGTCTCTCCTACTAGAATGAAAACTCCACAAGGGCAAAGATGTTTGCCATTGTTCATTTCTGTATAACCAGTGCTTAGGATGGCATCTGCTGTATGGACAAATATTTGTGGAATTAATGAATGAATGCTTTGATTCTTATATTGGAATGTTTGCTACATCCTATTCTCTCTGGCCAAAGAAGACATAAGACTTGGGTTTAAATATTGACTCTGCCACAAATTGCCTCTGTCTTTGAGCAAATTATTTAATCTCTTAGGACCGTAGTTCTCTTATCTTTAAAATAAGGGGTTAGAGTAAATGATTGCTAAAGTTCCTACTAGTTCTGTAGTTCTGTGATTATAATCGCTGGTTAAAAGAGATGATGTACTGCTATTAAAATTCCCACATATATTTCCTAAAAACAGTTTGAATTTCATTGGTGGGCAAAGTGAATCAAGAGTTTCAGAAAAAAGTCTTTGGAGGCACCTTCTGCTTTCACTAAAACAGTTCTCAAGTATTACAGTGTAGTTGCTTTCAAGAACGTTTCTGCTAGCCCTTTTAGGATAAAGTTCAGACGTCTTGATAGGGCTTTCTGAGCCCTGTGGACTCTGGCCCCTGCCAGCTCCTCCAGCCTCACATTGCCTATGTGTATAAGCTCTCTGCTCCAGTCCTGAATCTGTTTTGATTTTTTCTAATGGATAATGGGTTTCCCAGCATCAGTCCACTGAATATTTCTGTTCCTTCTGCCTGGTGTCTCTGGTACCATCCCTGTCCTCCTTTGTTTGGCCAGTGCCTACTGGTTGTTTAGGTCTCAACACACAGAGGGTGTGGACTTAGGGAGGGATTGCCAATGGGGTTCCGTTTCCACTGGGAAGCTCACTAGCTATAGCGTGGTGTCAGAAACTGACTAGCCTGGTTGGCTATATCATCTGTGCAATAAGAATCCAAAAGTTGTTGGAATTAGATTGCAGAAGGTTTAGGTGACACAGTGAAGAGTCTTTGTTCAGTGGACACTGGGAAGTCACTGTAAGTTTTTTGAGTAGCATAGTGACATAATCAAAGCTTTGTGAACTAAATAGCCCGGATATACCTCTAAGAGCATTGTATCATTTCTCTGATCCCTAAAACATCCTTTGGGAGATAAATGCTAGGGTTCCTGTTTTGTAAATGGGGAAAAGCTAGGACACTTAATGATTAAAGGACTGATTTTCAGCATCATAGGAAAGCAGTTGATTGAGCCAGTGTTTTTATAATTAGATAGAATTGTGATCTGTGGGATTGATGAATGTTGCAAGTAGTTTTGTTCATTTTTCAAGTGGGCAACAAGATGAATATTTGAGTGTTGAGAAGCTGTCCCTCAAAGGTGACTGACTCAAGGATTTGTCAGGAAGCTTTGGCAGAGACTTGGATTCTGCTTAGGAGATAAGTGATGCTTTTGGGGGTGGTCACAGGGTGATTTTTTGTATCATAGCTGTCTGTGCTCACCCTACGTGGTTGCTTTTGTTGTGTTGACTTGGCAAGATCAAAGAACAGGTGGATGCTGATTTCCCCTTCTGGCTAGTTTAGGAATTGAGAGTTCTCTCACAGCAACCCTCGTCTGTGATTCCATTCTATTTAAACCTTAAGGCAGGTATTTCGGTTTTGCAGCTTCATTGACAAACTGTTTAAAGCTGAGTTTGAAAAGGCAAGTCTTTGGTGGTATGATTGATAATCTCCAAAGACCAGTTGCCACTCTGTTGGGGGAGTGCTTTTCAAACTTTAATGTGCATCCAGATTGCCTGGGGACCTTGTTAAAATGCAGGTTCTGAGGTGGGGCTTGACATTCTGCATTTCTTACAAGCTCCAGTTGATGTTCATGCTGCTGAGTTGCCTGTGCTAGACCAAGTTTCCCTTTACCTGACCCTTCTTCTTTTCCGCTATGTCCCAGCCTTTCTCTTTCTTGATGTCTTGGACAGTGGTCCCCATTTAGGGGCTACTAGCATTTGCCAGGTGGACTCATTGATTAGCTTGCGGCTACCACTATAGCCAGGGTGGTCTTTTCAAAATGAAAATCTGATCACATATGCCACTTCAGTGCTTAAAACCCTTTAGTTGTCTCCCATTGCTCTTAAAATGACCCCCTTATTGTGGTCTGTCTTCCTTTGCCTCTCCACTCTCATCTTACACCATCTCTGCATCTTCCGGCAACAGGACCCTTTTTCTGCTCCCTTTGATGCTCATGTGCCTCCTCTATCACAAGGCTGTGGTACATGCAGTGCCCTCTGATGCAGCATTCCTCCGCTTCCCTTCACCTCTTCCTCCTTTTATGTCTCAGCTCAAATGCCACTGCCTCTGGAAGCCACCTGGTTTCCCAGTCTAGTGACCTTCTGTCATTGGTAGGCTTCTTTGGTGTATAGCTGGGACCAGCATCAGAGAAACAGGCTTGGTTGGGGCATGGTGGGATATTGTGCTCTGACTGTGCTCTCAAATGGAGTATTGTGTAGCATTTTAGGAAGTTGTAGATTGCCTAAGAGCTGTCTTTCAAAAGCCACTCTGCCTGGAAGGGTGGTGATGGTGCAAGTACACTTTGTGGTATGTAGCGAGAAGAGGAAGAGCAAAGAGTTTCCGCCCAGGACCTATCATGCCATCTAAAGCTGGGTTTGTGTCTATGTATGCACTTGGTGAACAGTTATATATCCCTCCCCTCTTCCCCATGCTTCTCCTTTTTCTACTGGTCTTGTCATTTTATAAATGCAGGAACTATATACCCTCAGGGAAGGAATTGACTAGTTCAGGGCTGTGGGATATATGGCTGACCTGAGAAAAGAATGCAGCTCTCATTGCAGCATGGAGCCCCTTCATCCACCAGGCCAAGCTGGTCTGGCATTTGAGTGGTAACCTTGAAGGCCCAGTAGCTGCCTGGCAGCTTTCCTGGGCATGGAAACAGCCCTGTTTAGGTGATGCTGTTCCTTCCCAATCTGGTATACCTCGAAGAGATAATGTGTTCCACATTAAACCTAACAGACATCGCTAATTTGGTCACCTTTTCTGCTTTTACTCTTACTGTAAGAGTAAAGTAATGCTGCAGGTATTCACTCTTATAGCGGTGAATGGTATTAGGAGTAACAACTGTGGTGGGTTTTTTTTTTGGAGGCATATTGTAATGTATCTTTATTTTCTTTAGAGATATGTGTTTCTGCATTTTGGTTCTTTCTTACATTCGTTACAACTCAGACTATAAGATCCCCTTAGATGCTAAGCTCCAGAAGGATAGGGTTCATGGCTATATCCTGAGTAGTTTGCGTGGTGCCTGGCACACAGTAGCCATTCTACAAATGCTTGTCAAGACGAATGTCTTAATTTGTAATATGGTGAGAAGTTTACCCTCCATCTTTCAACAGTCCCAAGAGTGGATGCTTTGAGGCTGAGAGTATTTGTACCTGTGAATTCCTCAGCAGGATTTATTCCTTGAGCTGTAGGAATGACATGTACCTTAGTTCGTTTTGTGCTGCTCTAACAGAATACCACAGATTGGGTAACTTATAACCAACAGAAATTTATTGGCTCAAAATTCTGGAGGCTGGGAAGTCCAAGATTGAGGGCCCAGCATCTGGTGAGGAGGGGTCTGCTTTCTGTGTCATCCCATGTTGGAAGGGCAAAGAGAGGATGAGAGAGGCAAAAGGGAGCAAACCCATCTGTTTATAAGGAACCCATTCCTGTGATAATAAACTCACTCCCATGATTACAGCATTGATTCATTCATGAGGGCGGAGCCCCCATGGCCTCATCACCTCTTAAAGGTCCCCACCTCTTTGTACTGTTAGAGTGGCAACTACATTTCAAACATGAGTTTTGGAAGGGACATTAAAACTGTAGCAAAATGTAATTGACTTCACAGCTGCTTATTCACATGCTTGAGTCACTGGCCTGATGTAGTGGGACACACAGTGTTAAACGAACACTTTTGACTCATTGGTACAAATTTAAGTTGGTACCTTCTTATCCTTGAATGCAGGCTCTGAGAGAGCCATACTTCCCATTGTCTGGCACAATGATCTAGAAAGAAATACCTGCGTAATAAGTAACTATAAAAAATCCAGACTAAGTTTCTAATGATGAATAAAATTTGCACTACCTGAAAGGCTTAAAGATTGAGCCTTTAAAGGGGAACTAGGGAGGGCTCTAGAGACATGCAGCTTATTCGCTTCTGTTCTTTAGTGACTCATTGGAGTCCTTCCTCCCCCTCTCTCTGTCTCTGTCTGTCTCTGTCTCTCTCTCTCAAACTGCCATCAGAAGGCTGAGGTCTTTTTCTTTGTCTTTTTTTTTTTTTTTCTGAGATGGAGTTTCACTGTTGTCACCCAGGATGGAGTGCAATAGCGTGATCTCGGCTTACTGCAACCTCCGGGTTCAAACAATTCTCCTGCCTCAGCCTCCCGAGTAGCTGGGATTACAGGCACCTGCCACCACGCTCAGCTAATTTTTGTATTTTTAGCAGAGTCGGGGTTTCACCATGTTGGTCAGGCTGGTCTCTAACTCCTGACCTCAGGTGATCCACCCACTCAGCCTCCCAAAGTGCTGGGATTACAGGCGTGAGCCACTGTGCTCAGCCTCAAGGTCTTTTATCTAATTCCATTATTTGTGCTTTGTTAATAGACCTGCTTATGGTGTCAGTTCAGTAGTTTCCCGGCTTTCCACAACTATTCTCGTGAACCTGGCAGCACGTTCTCTTGTGCTCACGTGTGATTTGATCCCCATAGCTAGAAGGTGCCTGCAAACTGGAAGGTCTTAGAATCAGGGTGGGAGGAAAGCGGAGGCCGTGGCAGAGAGAGATCAAAATGATGCCAGGTTCATTTTTTGTTCCAGTCTAAGAAGGTATCTAAACCTCCACATTGTATGACTCCTGTTCCTCCCTGATGGGGAACATCAGGTCACAGATGGGGCTCTGGGCAAGAGTGTGTGTGTTTGCCTGTACAATTCAGTCATCAGCTTACTGCAGGTGCCGTTTCCTGTTCTTGAGGCATCTTTAACTGCATGATGGTGGCTATGTGGTTTTAGTTGGTTGGAGCACAGGTCTGATTGCTTTTTCTTTCTTTTTAACATTTTTTCTGGGCATAGCTTTGACTCTTTCCTCTGGGTTTGAGCTGTGGAATTGCTGTAGGAGCTTTTTGCATTGTGTTTTACACATCTAGTTCTCCCTCCTGTCATCTTGAAGTTCACATCTGTGCTATTCTAGTGCTGCACTGTGGGATAATAAGAGTTATAGTCATAGCGAATAGAAATTGATGACGCCCTATGTGCCAGACCTTAAAATCTTGTATGTACTGTCATTCAGTCATCAGAACTTTATAATGTATAGTGTCACTGTTGTGCCACCATCTCTTTTTTTTTTAGATGAGGAAAGACATGAGATCCATGGGAAAGACACTGGATGCCCCTTTTTGGTAAATACGGACAAACATAAAAACCCCAATCATCTTTTTGAGAAAAAGAGTGGGTACCTTGTCTGAATCCCTGGCATATTTTCAAGGCTGCCTGCTAAGGTGTAAGATTTAGTAGAGGGTTTTTTTTTTTTTTAACTGTTACCAAGGAGATGGATTGCCTTCCAAAGGCAAATATGATGATGAAGAATTCCCACCCCTCCCCCAGCCCCCGCCTTTGGCTGCTCTTGTGTTCAAAGAATGTCACTGTACCCAACTGTTTTCCTTGCAAGGAATAGGGACGAAAGTACCTTGTCTTAAACTTTTGTGGTTAGAGAAGCCCACAGCCCTTAGGGAAACATTGCATTTTTAAAAAATGACTTTAAATCCGTGCTGTTGATACTTATGTCTAATGCCAGTCATTGGTCTGGGATCTGTGTGCAGAGTTGCCTTCTGTCTGGTGAGACTGGAGTGGGTGCGGGTCAGATTCCGTAACCTCGTGGAGAGAGGATAAAAACTAGATTGAAAGAAGAACATCAGAGGGGATCTGTTCCCTCTTAAATCCCTGGAAGCTCCAGAGGCCGTGAGAGTTGAGATGAGAGAAACTATTCTGTGGTACCTTTTATATGAATGAGGTATTTGTTTACAACAATATCCAGATAATTTTCTTTTTACAGTAATGGCTACAATTTTGCCCCATCCTGTTATCATTGGTGATGAAGGCTATAAACAGATGTGTGGAAGTTGATGTTTTTCAGATTTCGTTTTCATTTTATTCTGAGCATTCTTTAACAGAGCTGTACCCAGTTAGCAGGATTTACCTTGTTTAAAGTTTGGTCTCCTTTTATTTTTCTGGTCCTTAATTTTAGTGGAGAGGTCCATGCGAAGTCAATTTGCTGAGATCTGCCAGTAGATGGAGGAAAGAAAAAGTACAGTAAGTCCTCACTTAACATTGTCGGTAGGTTCTTGGAAACTGTGGCTTTAAGTAAAATGGATTCTTGAATAATGTCATTTTGTTCAACGTAGTTTTTATTGTAATGTTGAGGACAAAAAAATTGGTTTTGTTATGTGTTGTTTTACTTAAAGTTGCAGTTTCCAAGAACCTATCGACGATGTTAAGCGGGGATTCCATGTAATTGTAATCGTCAGTTGAAGTGGCTCTGGAGTGTTTTTGGGATTGAAGTTTTATTGATGAAAAAGTAGGCATTGGCAAATTTTTTTTTTTAACAGCTGTATTGAAATACAATGCACATACTAGGGCACTGGAAATTTAGAATTAGCTCAGGGACACTAGAGTAGACAGTAGACCAAGTCTGGGACTCTGATGAGAGGCCCATTGACATTATTTGTTTGTTTAAATTAGGAGGCCCAAACCTGAGTTAGATTTCATCCTCTCCAAACCTCAGTTTCCTCACCTGTAAAGTAGAGAAAATAATACTTGGGCCTACCCCATAGGGCTCATTCAAGGATTCAGTAAGCCTCTAGTCCATATTAAGTGTTTTGGGGCCATGCAGGGCCAACTGAAGTTCCAGTGTGTAGTGGCGGGGAGATACCCCTTAATCCAGCCTCATGCGCAGACTGTCATAAAGTATGGGAACCTTATCTTTCTGGTCTGCATAGTTTCTTCTGGTGAAAGAATGGTTAATTGAACTGAAAGTACATTGTGTCTTGTGTTTGGGAAATAAAATAGTGATCTGAGATGCCAATTAAATCTAGTGTTGCCAGATAAAATATGGGACACCCAGTAAAATTTGAACTTCAGATAAATAATGAAAAATTTTCAGAATAAATATGTCCCAATATAATTGTAGTTTACCTTAAATTTAACTAGTTGTTCTGCATTTTTATTGGTGAAGTCTGGCACCTCTAATTTTGTCTCATTGTTTCCCCATTTGGAATCTTTTGGCTGCCTTTATGATAGCTGAAAATGAGTTGAGGAATTTCAAATAGGATGCAGAGGTATGATTTTATTTGCATCTGCCCCATAGCTCCTGTCCTTTGTTGTTGCTAATAGAAACCTGGCCTTTCACGAAAGGTCCCGTCATCTATTAAAACACTGGTTGCATAGCAGCCAAACATTTTTGTTGAGAAATAAGCCGGACGGAAATCTCTGTGATGACACTTCCTTCAACCTCACGCTATTGCCGAACATGCGACAAGGAGGATGTTGGGAATGGAATCATAAGAATCCTCCTGCAGCACGTCAGCAGTTCACCCTGGAGCAGTTAGAGGTCAGCAGGCAGGGACTCTGGTGGCATCTGGGGATGTGTTCTTGGGCTTTAATAGCAGGTAGGAAGCCTTATCTGTGGAGGAGTCCAGCAGTGAACATCCCATTCTGCATGCCAAGGGAACGCACAAATAGGCAACATACAAAAACAAAAGAAGTCAAAGGCCTGGTCCTTGATCACTGAGGAGTGTATAGTTCCAGAGAGGGATAGGACCAGCAGGTATTTACACAACACTTCCTTTGTGACTTTGTATCAGCACTGGTAGGTGCTTTCCACGCACTGTCATAGTAATCCTTAACAGCAGCCCTGTGAACAAGATCCTGTTATTATTCCCATTTTCCACATGAGGAGACTGAAGCTTAGGCTGTGGGATGGAGCCTGCAGCCGTAAAGTCAGCCTGACCTAAAAGTTCCTGTTCTGTCTCTACTCCTTATCAAATATTGCAAGTATAGGTTGAATCATATGAAATTGCCAGTATGTAACAATTTTGACCTACAAAAAACGACAGTTTTATATGGTTCAACTTCATCCAAAGAACGAGACCCAATATTATATACACACACATATATATATTACAAATAACTTGCTATTCCGTAACTATTACACATAACTTGCCGAGGCTGACTAGGGTGAATGAAATATGTGGACCTAGTTTTGGTCTAACCAGGGATGCTTCTGGGAAGCTAGTTTTCATTCATTCACTCACCCACTCACTCATTGGCTCACTCACTGAATGGAAACTTACTGAATTCTTCCAAGCATATTATTAAGCATAGGTTTGAACAGATTTTATTTTTTATTTTTATTTTTTTGAGACCGAGTCTCACTGTGTTGCCCAGGCTGGAGTGCAATGGTGTGATCTCGGCCCACTGCAACCTCTGCCTCCTGGGTTCAAGCAATTCTCGTGCCTCAGCCTCCCGAGTAGCTGGGAATACAGGCATGTGCCACCACACCCAGCTAATTTTTGTATTTTTAGTAGAGACGGGGTTTCACCATGTTGCCTAGGCTGGTCTCAAACTCCTGACCTCAGGTGATCCACCTGCCTTGGCTTCCCGAAGTTCTGGGATTACAGGCATGAGCCACCATGCCCGGGCTGAACAGATTTTTTTTTTTAAACTTTTTATTCAGAAAAATTTCCTTCCTGCTCATTTGTAGTGAATTCTGCTCTCACCATCATGCAACCACTAATCTGTGTTTTGTATGTGGGCCATTTCTGGCCATCTTGTATGAATGGAATCATTCAACGTATGATTGTTTGTGTCTTGCTTCTTTCACTTAGCATAATGTTTTTCGGGTCCATTCATGTTGAAGCATGTGTCACGAGCTTATTCCTTTTTATTGCTGAATAGTAGTCCATCATGTGGCTATACCACATTTTCTTTTTCTTTTTCTTTTTTTCCTTTCTTTTCTTTTTTTTTTTTTTGAGATGGAGTTTCACCCTTTTCGCCAGGCTGGAGTGCAGTGGCGCAATCTCGGCTCACTGCAACCTCCGCCTCTCGGGTTCAAGCAGTTCTCCTGCTTCAGCCTCCCAAGTAGCTGGGATTACAAGCATGTGCCACCACACCTGGCTAATTTTGTATTTTTGGTAGATGTGCGGTTTTGCCATGTTGGTCAGGCTGTTCTCGAAGTCCTGACCGCAGGTGAACCACCCGTCTTTGCCTCCCAAAGTGCTGGGATTACAGGTGTGACCCACCACGCCTGGCCCACATTTAGTTTTTCTATTCTCCAGTTCATAGACATTTGGATCATTTTTACTTTTTGGCTATTATGTATGTTGCTACTATGAAATTTTTGTACAAGTTTTTGTGTGGATGTATCATTTCTCTTGGGTAGGTAACTAGGAGTGGAATTGCTAGGTCATGTGGTAAGTTTGTATTTTACTTTTAGCAGGTTTTTGAGGAGGGAGAGCGAAAAATGAGTTTATATGAAGGCCCAAAAGTGTGACTGAGGTTTGGAATAGCTAATGAGGCAGCTGTAACCTGGAATGAAGTACCAGAACCCAGAAAGATGAGCTGGACAGATTTTAGTAGGAAGGTTAAAGGTGCTCTGGAGTTAGCCAGTGATCCTGCTGCCTCTCCTTCTCTATGAAGCCAGTGTTCCTTTCTTTGCATATTTGGTAGGGTGGGTAAAAGGCTCCTCTTTCTGTTGCTGATTTTGGACCAGGAATGTCATTTTTTAACCTTCCAGTGGCAATAGTCCTTAACCCGGAAGTAGCAATGCTCCCCCTTCTAGAGCATCAATTCCCTAATGTGGAAATCCAGTCCCACAGTTTTCTCTGAGAAAAATGTGGACAGTGTAATATAATGGGTTATTCATAAGCCTAAATTTATATAATGCAAAGGTGTGTGTCTTATTCTTGGAGTGTATCTTTCTTACTGTTTTGGAATAATGAAGACTTTTTGTTGTTGTTGTCGGAGACAGAGTCTTGCTGTTTTGCCCAGGCTGGAATGCAAGGCACAAAGACGGCTCACTGGAGCCTTGACCTTCTGAGCTCAAGTGATCCTCCTGCTTCAGCCTCCCAAGGAGCTGGGACCACGGGCATGTGCCACCAGGCCCATGTATTTTTTTATTTTTATTTTTTGTAGAAACGGAATCTCACTATGTTGCTCAGGCTGGTCTTGAACTTTTGGGCTCAAGCAATCCTCCTGCCTGGGATTACAGTGCTGGGATTACAGGCCTGAGCCATTGTGCTGGCCATGACAACTTTTTAATTCAGTGATGTTAATATATGTTTTTTAACGGTTGTACATGGCATAATAAGTTATAGGCAATGAAATGTGTGTGTGTGTGTGTGTGTGTGTGTGTGTGTGTTTAGTTTAAGTTGGTTGTTGAAATTCCCAAATCTGGGGACTACTTCTCCAAAGAAAGTTTTGGGAAGGCATTAGTTAACATCTTTGTATTTTGCCTTCTTCCGTATTTTCTTACATTATTGTGTAGTGTGGGCATCTAGAGTGATGCCTGGACGACATCACAGTGAAAGATTAGTGCAACGAAGAAAAGACAATCCCAGTTATGTACCCCCCCACTACTTAGACATCTAACTCTGTGTTAATATATGCAGTTGATGGGCACATGTCATCTTAAATCCTTTTGGTAGTACAAAGAAGCCAGAACTAAGTTTAGTTTGGATTTCTTACGCATATTTGGAACTAACCAGCAGTTGACTCATTTCAGGATAAGCAGTTGTTTTCTATGGATATTCTGCTGAGGTTGGAGGCTCTGCACCAACTGTATGTGGTGAGGGCTTTGATATAGAACAGCAGCACTGGATCCAAAGTGTGAAGGGAGCCCTCAGGCTTGCTATACTGTGCCCGTCCTCAAGGTTGGGGCTAGGGAGAGGGATTTTTCTGTAACATGATCCTACAGTACACATAGCCACATTCTCCAGTTAATAATGACAACCGTGATAATGGTTGAAATTAATCACAGTGAAATTAAGGCATGAAATTAATAACAGTGAATGCATTGAGCCAACATCATGCTAAATGCTTTCAGGCATGATGCAATTTGATCCTAGCAACAGTTGTGTTAGACAGGTATGGTTATTCCTTTTTTGTGAGAAGCAACTTAGGGGCAGTAGTGTTTGGTAAATTGCACACTTACCTTGCCACTGACTGAATGAGAGATGTAGAGCCCATTGCCAGAAGGGGCCAAGCCAGGGTTCAAACCTAACCTGTTCTTTTAAAACCATGAGCCTCTCAGATCAGCAGTTTCTACACCAGATTGTATTCCCAGAGGCCCAGCGCTTCAGTTCAGCTGTGCTGCTGAGGTCTTGTGTGTGAAAAGGGAACTGGGAATGGATTCTGCAGGCCATGCTTAGCAAAACCTCCCTGAGGCAGCCCACGGCTCTGGTGTATCCAGCACACTTTATTGCTGCCCCTCTGTCTACAGACGGCTCTATTGATTCAGCCTTGGGAAGTCTTTGCCCCCTGCCCTCTTCACCCTTTTTGTTGATACATTCCCAGAATGTTCAAGTTCACACCCATGTTGCAACCCTGGCTCCTAAGCCTGAGGACAGGATGTGAGTGCCTGCCCTGGTGCTCATGGGTATCAGCGGGACAGAGATTTGTGCTGAGCTGCGTGCTGCTGGCTTCCCCCTTGCCTGTCCTTGGGAACTGGGGACTTTACCCGCTGTCTTTATGCAGTTCTTACAGGCCATATTTTAATGCTGTGTCATCTCTTAGAAAGATGGGTTGAAAAGGATAAACTGGAAGCTTCTATTCATTTCTCTTTTATTTTTAAGAATGTTGTATTTTGGCAGGGTGTGGTGGCTCACGCCTGTAATCCCAGCACTTTGGGAGGCCGAGGCGGGCGGATCACGAGGTCAGGAGATCGAAACCATCCTGGCTAATACGGTGAAACCCCGTTTCTACTAAAAATACAAAAAATTAGCCAGGCGTGGTAGTGGGTGCCTGTAGTCCCAGCTACTCGGGAGGCTGAGGCGGGAGAATGGCATGAACCCGGGAGGCAGAGCTTGCAGCGAGCTGAGATCACACCACTGCACTCCAGCCTGGGCAACAGAGTGAGACATTGTCTCGGAAAAAAAAAAAAAAAAAAAAAAAAAAAAAAAAAAAAAAAATGTTGTATTTTAGGAGAACATTGATCCGAAAGGTGATTTGCATGTCTTTTCTGCTTGTTAAACTCAGCATAGTTTGAGGTGGGGAAATCCCAATCATCTAATTGGTGTCAAATTTTGTTTAGTAGTAATTTCTGCATTCCCTTTTCTTTCCTTTCCTCCTCTCCTCTTTTTTTTTTCTCATCAGTTTAACATTTGCCATAGTTTATGCTTAGCAACCTGTGAGATACGGCTAGTGTCACTCACTTTTGGTAACACGGAGTCACCAAGGTACAGAATAACTAAGTGGGGTATGCAGGGTCTGGCCAGAAATACAATCTTTTGATTGCTAGCCCAGCTGCTTTCCTTGTTATCACTTTGTGGAGCAGGCTGGACATTGACAATGAGTTCTGAGACTGAGTGGAATGGGAGACCCCTCCCAGCTGGTGGTCGAGCTGCCTAGAGCATGGTCCATCTGTTTGGGACTAGGGTTGAGCTCCAAGATGGACCAATCAACCCCACCAAGAAAGAAACCCCTTCTATCACCGCGGAGTGTACCATAGCTCCTGTCAGCCGCTCTGGAAGTTTTTGCCACCAGAAGAGAGATGCAGAGCATCTTTTCTTACCACAGCTGAACTGAGAACATATGTTTCATCCATATATGGCACCTTACTTATTAAGCTTGTGTCCTTGTCCTTTCTAATACTCTGGCACCTTGCCCATCAGATGGCTGCCCCTTTTTATAAGATAAGTGCCTGTATGGCTGGCTGTTCTGATTTTAAGTCATGAGCTTTGACTTTTATCAGAAATTTACAGCTTGGTTTTCAAAGGACTTAGTTGAGTGCAACTGCATGAAATGGTAGTGTTAAATTTTATACTGTAGAAATGTTGAAATGGAACTCTATAAAATGTGCGTTTTCAGTGTCTTTTTTGAATGGTTTTATTTGTGTGTTTTATCAGTCTTAGACATTTTTATTACTCAAGTAATCTGTTCATTGTAGAATGATTAGAAAATACAGATAAGCAAAGAGAGAGAGGAAAAGAAAAGAAAAAAATATAGGTCTACTGTAAATAAAAGTTCCCCAAGAGAGAAGCCAGGATGTGAAGGACTTTGAGCTTCTTAGAAGAAGGGGTCAGATCAGCTGGTGCAATTCTGCATTCCCAGCAGCACTCTGTTCTTCCTGTTTTGGACACTAGCAATCAAGACAGAAGTTGGGGTGTCTGAATATGTCCTGGAGAAAGTCAAGATGGCTTTTGGTTTGCTGCCCCAGGCAGTGAGTCCCGGTGGTTCAGGGGCCAAAAGTCCTGCAGTTAATCCACCACCTGCAAGGGATGGCTGTGAAAAGAGAAAAATAGTCCTCCTTTGGAGTCCCATTATTTATACAGTTGCTAGCTTTCAAGCAGATAGAGAGAAAATAATCTTACAGTCATGCTTTCCCTCCTCTTAACTTCTGCCAGTCCTGCTGGAGCCATCCACTCCTTCATTCATCTGTCCATCCATCCATCCATCCAATCACTCATTCATTCATTCATCCACTTAGTGGCTCACTTCATTCATCCATTCAATACCAATTTACTGTGTACCTGCTGAGCACTAAACACTGTTGCATTTGGTTCTGGGAATACAGCATGAATAAGATAAGGCCCTTCTCTCATGGATCTTACATTGGACTGGTGCAGGTTTTAGTATCATTGCTTCCCTTTCAGCCTTACCTTTCTACAGCTGTGGATAAGATGCCATGAATTTGCGAGTAAAAGTGTTTATCTCTCCCTGGAGCAGACTAGACCCCTAGGCTCTGTCCTAGAGCACAACTCACCCTTAGCTGCCCTGCAACCTGATCATCTCCAACAGGGAAGGTGAAGAGAAGGCAGTATTTGGCTGATGAATTCTTCTCAAAATGATACTTTAGTTTTGTCTGGGAGGGGCAGGGGAACAGATCACAGAGGGAGGGGTTCTTGGCTTTATCAGAGAAAGAAGGCCTCATTGTGTGTTGTTGTTGGAACAGGTCCCAGAGACCTCAGTACAATTCTTTGGACAGGGCTGAGCTAAGCTACCATGTATACAATAATAGTCGAAAGAATAGTGTGGAATTTAGGGTAGTATCAAAGAGAGCTCTGTGTTACAGCTGTCTTCAGGCAGAGGGCATGACTTCAGCCCCAGGTCAAGTCCTGTTGTTAACTTCATAATATTTTAATGAACATGCCTTTTTGTGTCTGTTCCTCTCCCCTCTCCCCCATCTCTTTCTTTTTTGTGTGTGTAGTCATTTATTAAGGGATTTTGATAGAAAATTTAAAACTTAATCTCTGTAAACTCTTCCTTTTGAACTATGGCATACCTGAGTGGACAGGCAAGTTGCAGGGATGGGGACATTTGACACAGAGAACTTAGGAAGTTCCAGGAAACCAGTATTTCTGAAACTGTAGTCAATTCTGTTTTGATTTTTTGCTACATTGATGTAATACCTATTTCATTGTTGACCTAATATTGTTCTTTAAGTGGGAGTGCTTGTTCTTTTTGAAGGGACACTCTTCGTTTAATAAAGAACAAGTATAATTCGCCCAAAATAGTAAGTAACCATAAGCGTTGATATGTAAACTCTAGTGTTTGTGTCCTACATAAAGCGATTTGTGGTATGCAAGGACATATACATACCACATTTTGGGAAGTTCTGTTGTAGATTGTACCAGCTGTATTCACCATATTCTTGGAGAGTCAGATGAATAAATCTACCCGCTTCCAGTCCTTTCCTCCCATCTCCCTCTCCCACACTAAAGTGAATTGTGGGGCATGACACAAGTTGGAGAGAGGCCCCAGGGAGTGTTCCAGGACTGAGGGAAAGGAGGATTTGTGGCTACTCTGTGCCCTGCCAATGGAAGTAAAAATAGACCTACCTCCTGGGGTTATTGTTAAGTTTCAGTGAGCCAGTGCATACGGACTTTGCTTATTAGCACAATGCCTGGCCTTCCACTTTTCCTGATCATCTATAGGCACTGGCCCCTTGAATAACTTCACTCTGTATGCTGGGTATACAGTAATATTGCCAGCGCTGAAGCAGAAGATGCAGACACTGTGAAATGTGCTGTGGTCAACCAAGCTGTCCACATGCCAGGAGATTTATTTCCCATCTCTTCAGCAAGCTCTCTCCATCCTGGGTGGCATAGAGTAGAAGCTGAGAGTGTGGGCTCTGGACGCCGACAGCATGGCTTCCAATCCTGGCCTGTCCGTCACGTGTAGTTGGTAAGTACCTTATCTTTTTCATGTATTCAACAAAAAAACACTGTGTGCCTGCTGTGGGCCAGCCACTGTTCTAGGCTCTAAGGATTTGCTAGTGAACAATCTGAGGGACAGAATCATGCCTTTGCGGAGCTTATATTCTGGCCTTATTTTAGTCTCTTAAATGGAAGTAATAATAGACTTACCTCCTGGGGTTATTGTTAAGTTTAAGTGAGCCAATGCATACAGAGCCTGCTTATTAGCACAATGCCTGGCGTGCAGCTATTACTTAATAAATGCTAGCTTTTCACTTATGATACTCTTGTGCGCAGCCTTGCACCAGGCTTAGAACCCATTTTCATCATTCCGTTCCTGCTCTGGCTTCAGTAGCACCCAACTGAAATATTCTCTCCTTATTTCTTGGCCTCTAAGTAATTCTTGAAACCTCCCAGCTCTAGGAACCTCTTATGGCTTGCAGCCTCCTCACCTAATCATAGCACTCGAAGAACTCCTGGTCACCTCCTGAAATAAGCTTACTCATCACCTAGCTGCTGTGATGAGTTGGCATTCTCATCTCCTGGATGACGTTTTTTGGAAAGGATCTTTTGTGAAAGGCTCCCCCTCCCCACCCCGTCTACTGCCTTTTCCCCCCAGTGCTTCCTCTTCGCTTCCTGTAGTATGAGGGTTGTTCGGGCAGACATCCTGACCTTGCAGTTGCTGTAAGGATCTTTTTAACCCAGTTCTTTACAGGAAAACTCACTGTAGCATGGTTGGTCTAATACAGAGGTATTTTTTCATATTTTTAGAGCTGGGGTCTCACTCTTTTGCCCAGGCTAGAGTGTAGTGGTGCAGTCATGGCTCACTGCATCCTTAAACTTCTAGGCTCAAGCAATCTTCCTCTTTTTTTTTTTTGACAGAGGAGTGTAGTGGCGTAATCTTGGCTCAGTGCAACCTCTGCCTCCTTGGGTTCAAGCAATTCTCGTGCCTCAGCCACCCGAGTAGCTGGGATTACAGGTGTGCGCCACCATGCCCGGCTAATTTTTGTATTTTTAGTAGAGGTGGGGTTTTGCCATGTTGGCCAGGCTGGTCTCGAACTCCTAGCCTCAAGTGATCCTCCTGCCTCGGCCTCCCAAAGTCCTGGAATTATGGGCATGAGCCACCACGCGCAGCTTCAATCCTCCCTCTTCTGCCTCCCAAGTATCTGGGACTATAGGCACATGCTATCATGTCCAGCTAATTAAAAAAAATTTTTTTAGCGATGGGGTCTTGCTATGTTGCCCATGTTGGTCTTAAACTCCTGGGCTCAAGCAGTCCTCCTGCCTCAGCCTCCTGAGTCTTTGGAGTTGAGGGCATAAGCCACCGTGTCTGGCTCCTAAAACAGGGGTATTGATGCTGGGCCTTAGCAATCAATTATCTGTGGGAGGGCTTGACTGCATGTTAATTCTATATAATTTCTTTTTCTTTTTTTTTCTTTCTTTTTTTTTTTTTTGAGAAGGAGTCTCACTCTGTTGCCCAGGCTGGAGTGCAGTGGCGCGATCTCGGCTCACTGCAAGCTCCGCCTCCTGGGTTCACGCCATTCTCCTGCCTTAGCCTCCTGAGTAGCTGGGACTGTAGGTGCCGGCTACCATGCCCGGCTAACTTTTTTTGTAGTTTTTTAGTAGAGATGGGGTTTCACCGTGTTAACCAGGATGGTCTTGATCTCCTGACCTCGTGATCCACCCGCCTTGGCCTCCCAGAGTGCGGGGATTACAGGCGTGAGCCACCAAATTCTATATAATTTCTAAAAAGAAAAATTCTACCTATCCTCTCTGTGTAATTGACATAAGATTTTGTCCTGGGTTCCCAGCCTCTGAAAGGCAATACCAGGTCAGTCTCCATTGACTTCAGCACTCAGTGGCCTGATAGGACTTTTGTGCTCGGCCGTGCCACATGGCTGACTGTTTCAGAAGGAAACCAGACTGCTCTGCCCTTCAAAGAGTGGGAGGGAACTGGGTGACAGGGGTGACTTGGACAGTGTGTGTATTAATCTTCTAGGGCTACCATAACAAGGTCCCACAGACAGGGCAGTTTCAATAACAAAACTTGGTGTTCTCATAATTCTGGAGGCTAGAAGTCAGATCAAGGTTTTGGCAGGGCTGTTTTCTTCCCAGGTCTCTCTTTTTGGCTTGTCTTCTCCCAGTATCTTCACACGGTCTTTTCTCTGCTGTGCCTGTGTCCTAATCTTCTTTTCTTATAAGGTCACCATATTGTATTAGGGCCTGCCCTAATGACCTCATTTGCCTTAATTACCTCTTTAAAGACTCTATTTCCAAATACAGTCCCATTCTGAGGTACTGTGAATGAGGACTTCAACATAGGAATTTTAGGGGCCTCAATTCAGCCCTTGACAGTGTGGTTCAGGAATGCAGTTCCAAAATACACTCATGTTACCTAAGCCTTGAGTTCCTCAGGTGGGCCTCTGAGGGCCAGCAGGGAAGACAAGGTCAGCCAGCTTTAGGCTTGGGTGTGGACTTGGTGGCCACCATTACTAGTTTAATAAGATCTTACTGGTGGCTTAGGCAAGTTGGCTGTTCCTCAGGAGGGTTGGCCAGGCCTGAAGTAGGTGGACAGTGTTATCCACAAGTAGGTAAGCTTTGCTTATTAACCCTTGTGTCTTGGCTACTTTCAGACAGGAGTTGAGAAAGAGGAGTAGGAATAGTTTGGGGAAGAATTTGTTGATAGTAAAAGTGTGATATTGTCCTTCAGACAAGACTCAGAACTTTGTCAAGAGTTGGGAACACCATGGCTAGAGCCTTCCGGTAATCTGCAACTTCCCTGTTCTTCCTGTTAGATGTGCTGTAAACAGCGACTGCCTACAAGAGAGGTTTGGAATCTGTTGACTTTGGCTGGGATGTAGCCTAAGGAGATTCATCGGTTTCCAATTCCTGTTCTCTCAGGATATTAAGTATTGCCATGAACTGGAAAATTTTTCTTTATTAAAATTGGAGGAAGAGTTGGAGTGTTTTGAAAGAGACCTGGAACAGGAAGGGAGCTGACATGAGAAGTTCCACTGCATTGCTTCAGAGATGATTTTTATCTTTTTTGTGTTGCCGGTGCTCAGTGGCTTAAATCTTCAGTACAACAAGGTGAGATAAACAAGTAAATAAGATTCTGGAAGTACTGACATGGTAGCTAGCTTGTGAGGCAGTGTAGTATGGTGACTAAGTGTACAGGCTCCGGAGTCCCACTAACCCGCATTCAGAACCTAGCTCTACTGCTCATCACCTGTGTGACCTTGAGCCAATTATTTAACCTCTCTGGGCTTCAGTTTCCCTATCTGTAAGATGGTAATGATGTTGGTACTTACCACACTGGTTGTTGTGACAATCAGATGAGATAATGCGTTAGTGCCTGTAGACAATGCTCAATAGTTATTAGCCAGTTATTAGCCTCTGCTCTTGTTATCAATGTAGGATGATTGAGAGGCTGTTTCCCTAGTCAGTTGGCTGGCTCCTGACTCAGGGATAGAGCAACATCATATTACTTACGGAATTACATGATTTTTATCTTTTAGAGACAGAGTCTTGCTCTGTCACCCAGGCTGGAGTGGGGTGGCATGATCTCGGCTCACTGCAACCTCTGCCTCCCGGGTTCAAGGGATTCCCCTGCCTCAGCCTCCCAAGTAGCTGGGATTACAGACCAGCGCTGCTACACCTGGCTAATTTTTGTATTTTTAGTAGAGATATGGTTTCACCATGTTGGCCAGTGTATTTTTAGTAGAGATATGGTTTCACCATGTTGGCCAGGCTGGTCTCAAACTCCTGACCTTAGGTGATCTGCATGCCTCGGCCTTCCAAAGTGCTGGGATTACCGGTGTGAACCACCATGCCTGGCCAGAATTACATAATTTTTATGCTTGCTTTTCTATTTCTATTTTAGCTATGAGAACTCACTTTAGTCTTTTTTAGAGAACAGCAGTTACACTGAAGGAGGACATTTCTTTTAAATGGAAAAGAGTATTTTTTAAGTTATATTTTGTGTTTTGTTATAAATCTAAGGTTGGTTAGTTTTATTGGTTAAAAAAGTTTGCTAAGTGATGAGGGTCATGGATTCTTATTCACTGCACACATTTATTGAGATGTCCCTGCCACCTTCTAGCACCTTCCCCTGCTTCCTTTGCAGTCTCCAACCACACTGGCTGTCAGCCCTGGTCCACCACAGGGCCTTTGCACAGGCTGTCCCCAGGACCTGGAGCACTTTTGCCACTTCCCCTTCTCACCACTTTCAGACTCATTCGAGCCTCACTTTCCCCGGCTAGCCTTCCTGGTCCATCTGTGCTACTGCTGCTCTTTTCTTCTTATTTTTTTGAGACCAGGTCTCACTCTATCACCCAGGTTGGAGTACAGTGGTACAATCATGGCTCACTGCAGCCTCAACCTCCTGGGCTCAAGTGATTCTCCCACCTTAGTCTCCTGAGTAGCTGGGACCACAGACATGCACCACCATGCTTATTGTTTTTTTTTTTTTAATTTTTGTAGAGATGAGGTCCCGATATGTTGCCTAGGCTGTCTCAAACTCCTGGGCTGAAGCCGTCCACCCGCCTGGGCCTTCCAGTGTATTGGGATTACAGGTGTGAACCATGGTGTCCAGCCCCTCTGTGCTTCTGTAGGACTCTGATTCTTTCCCTTCTACAGCATAGAGATATTGCTAACTGTACACTCATTTGGGTACAATTTGATTGAAGTTTGGCTCATCATTAGATGGAAAGCCCATGAGGGTAGGAACCATGTCTTTTTTTGTTTACCATCATATACTGAGCAGCTGAGAGCAACTTGGTGCATGATCGACACTGGATAAATATGTGTTGATGAGTGAATGGATATCATTTTGATGTAAAGAGTGTTAGGTACAGTGAAGGCTGCAGCGATAAAGCCTGCTCAATCTCTTCCCCTAAGGAGCATCTGGTATCATAGAGAACACAATTAAATAGTGCCATAGGAGGAGTACATGAGTGAAGCCACAATTCACAGGAGGATAGTCACTCTCCATTAGTGGAGAAGCAAAGGCATCTTGTAGGAGATGCCATGTGCGCCCTGGGCCTTGGAGAAAGAGGAGTTGAGTCAGAAGAAATAGGAAGAAGAGACACATGAGATGGAAAGAACTGTGTGAGCAAAGGCTTGTGAAGTGCAGTGTGGCTTCAGGGAATGGGAGTCACATGGTTTGGCTGGAGCCCAGCTGCCTTGCAGGGAAGCAGTGGGTGGTAAGTTGGAATGTATGTCACAGCCACATTGTGGCAGGCCTTCAGTGCCAGGCAAGTCATTTGGGGTTGGTTCGGAGGAAAAGATAGGGGGAAGGTGTGATCAGTCCTTGAGCAGAGGGTTAGTGTGATCAGCACTGTGCTCAAGAAGATAGTGTCCAGTGTGGTTTGCATGGAGTGTGGAGGCAGGAGCAGCGGGAGGGGGAGCAGGTAGGAGACAGAGTGTGGGAAGAAGAGGGCTTACGGAGAAACCTACAAGTGGGCTGTGTAGTGAGGAGAGAGAGCACGTGGATGGGGCTTGATCACTGACTAGATGCAGGAGCCAGGGCAGAGGGAGGGGACAGAGAGGGTGATGGGATTTTGCATCTTGGGCTTCTGAGACTTTAATGATTCTTTTAAATTAAGGAACTGGAAAACACTCAGCATGGTCCTGGAAGTGTGGGAAGTTCAGTAAATGTTAGTTCTCTCCCCAGTGCCAGAAATCAGGAACTCAGGCAGAGAAGCAGATGGGAGGGGAGGGGGAAGGTGGAGGTGCTGGCACTGTATTCAGGTGATGAGACCCAGCAGCTGGCTGGAAAGAGCAGGAGCAGAGTTGGCAAGGGACAGTGGCGAGTGCCACCTTCACAGAGTCATTGTTGAAAACAAGGGAGAGAGAAGAGGCTTGGGTAGAACCAGGGAACCATTCCCCTTTCAGGGTAAGAGGAGGAAAAGTGAGAGGCAAGTGCAGAACAGTCAGAGATAAAGGGGAAAGGCACTGAGAGGATGGTGCCTTGCAGTCCCGGGTTCATAAGACAGGTCTTCCTGCTGTAGAGGTGAAGGATAAGAGGGCTGTTGGTGGCCTGTGGGTGGGATTGGGTCTGGGGTCGGGCCTCGATTTCAGCCTGCCATCTTTGTTACTCACGTTCCCTGACCACAGACCTAATCCCCATCCCTGGGTGGCCATGTAGTAAGTGCCCACCTCTCATGAGGTGGTGTGGACACATCAGCTCAACTTCAGTGCTGGCCTCAGTGACTTGCCAGGAGCAGTCATTACATCTGTGCTCGCCAAATTGCACTGTTTGCCCCTGCTGCAGTGATGGTGGAGAGTGGTTGTATCAGCATTATTTTTATAGGACCAGCCATACTAATGTTGAAAAGCTCAGGAGACTTACTTAAAATTCCTGGACAGAACCTGAAATCTACTTGGAGTTTGGGGAATCAGAGTTTTAGTTGTGATTCATTTGTGAACTTTGACAGCTTTGTTGTCTTCTCTGAGCTTTAGGTTTTGGAAATGAGATATGAGTTATAGGGTGTCAGAACAGGTTCTGGGCTTGTATTTAAGGTTCTGCTTTCTCTTTCTTAGCATGTCATCCAGTCCTAACACCAGGAATGTAGTTTCTGTTCCAGTATTTGTTAGGAGTTGGGACAGCTTGGGTATTGGCAGGCTTCCTTGGTTCTGCCTGGCCTGGAAGTGTATCTTTCCTTCCACCGTGCCATGTGGGACCACAAAGGAGAATGCCATGTACCAATTATTGTAAAAAAAAAAAAAAAGTCACTCTGGTTTAACCCTCTGTGATCTGGGACCAAGCCAGGCTCCACTGGGCCTTGTTCTGGCCAGCCAAGCCATGCCCCGGTCAGGTGGCACAGCCTCTCCCCCAGCCTCTTACCTCTGCACACCCTTGTTTCTTGGTGCTGTGCCCATAGGTGTGGCATTGCTGGCTGGGGTCAGGGACTGACGGCACAGGAGACAGGGCTGCTGGAGGGAGGACCTTTTGGTGGCTGCACCGTCTGCTGTCACTCTGACAGTAGGTCTACTTGGGGTCTCTGTCCTGTCCTTTAATATCATTTAAAAAAGCAAGGTAGTGAGATGGCTCAGACTCTGGAGTTTGGATCCTTTATTTATTAGCTATATCACCTTGGAGATCACTTAATATTTCTGAGTCTTCATTTCCTCATGTATAAAATGAGGAAAATGACATTACCACCTTCATGGGGCTCTCAAGAAAAACAAAATGAGGTAACAATTGTAAAGAGCCCGATTCACATGCTAACATACACAGTAACTGTAAGCTGTGTTTGTCGTCATTGTTTCCCCACTATCAGCAGGAGGGAAGAGCTCCAGGTACCCTCCTGTTTGCTCCTTCTTGTGGCACCTCTCACCTGGAGTAATGTGGAGGGGACCCACATTAGAATGCCCCTTCCCTGACCCTATGATAAGGTTCAAGCCCTACCCTCTTTTGGGGTATATCTGGGAAGGGTGCTCACCCAGCTTCTAGCCTTCCTTCAACTCCACCTGGACATTGGAGCCAGAGCTGTGCAGCACAGTGAGTCTTAGGGGTGATTTGGTTGCAAGGAGAAACTGCCTGCTCAGACCAGCTAAAGAGAAGTTTATTGCTAGGTTACTGGGATGTCCCTGTGCCTACTTTTTCTCTAGGGCAGCTGGTGTCTCCTCTTACTTGCCTCTATGGACTGGTTTTCTGCCTCAGGAGGTCACCCTAGTCCAAGTCGAAAACATTCCTCAGTTTGCTTGTCTAACGTCAATTAACAAGTTCCTCTGTGCCCTAATTACAAATTCCCCTGAAGAAAAGCAGATTGGCCCCAGTAGGTCAGAGGTCAACCATGGTCCTTGCAGTGGGGAGTCTGGGCTGTGGGTGGGTGGGCATGTTTCATCTCACTGATGGGGTAGACAGGTCACAAAAAGGACACCTGGACAAGTCAGTCACACCCACAGGTGACATAATTTTCTGGCCTTCTGGCAGGAGGGAAAGCCCTCTCCTCCCATAGCCTGCTCTGCCAGGCATGTGCAGACTGAGGCTGTTAGGTCTTCTGGAGTTTGCCAGAATAGACAGCCTTCTGCATCACAGGCCATGCATGCCTCATAAAATCCTCACATGGTTCCAGATCTCTGGATTACACAAACTGATGTTACCTGAACAGGAAGAGTAGTCATATATAGGTGATAGGGGAGATGATTTTAGGTGTACAGTGACACAATGTTTTATACTGATAATTATATGCTGTATTTGGAAAACTTATAACTAAGGATCAAACCCACAATTTCACAATCATTACATAGAAAATTTACTTTCATTATAGATGTAAGTAATAATGAGTTTCTTATAAAAATTTACATAGTATGGACTTGATTTTTTTTTTAAAGTGAAGGTGGGATAATTGAATGATGAAAGTTAAGAAGCCCTGACTGGTGTTGCATACACCAGGGTTCTTACCTGTGAACCTGTGGGAAGACTTCAGGAGGCCTGTGAAGCCCTTGAAGTTGTAGACAACATTTTGGATTTACTTACCGGTCTGCCGTTGTTTGTGGAGGAGGGAGAGTGAGTCATCGCTTGGTTTAGAAATTTAGTGTTGGAACTTTCTGGGGGTTATTTATTAAAGGTTCCAATTTCCTTCCCCAGAGATTTTGATGTAGCAGTGGAAATGGAATCCACGAATGTGCATTTCACATGCATTTAGATGAGGAGTGCAGGTGGTTCTCAGACCTCACATTGAGGAACACTGCTTATCAAGAGTTTCAGGAGACCCCAACGTTGAGAATTCAGTTCTGAGCCATCCCAACTTCTTAGGATTGTTGTGCGGTGGTTAAAACTTTCTTGTTAAGAGTTTTTGAGATCTTTGGACGAAAGGTTTCTGGATAAATTTATATCACAAATTAGTAAGGGTTTCATAGTAAGGTGGCTTTCTTTTCCCTGATCAGTCATTTTGTGGTTGGGTTTGATCTTTTTAGTCCAAGATGCTTAAAAAAACAAAAAAACAAACAAAAAAAACCCACCTAAGGCTCATATTGAACATTGCCATCCTGGAGCTGAAGGCGGTAGAATAACTTCAATTCAGTGTTAGAGAGAGACAATCACAAGTGTTTGTGAGCGGCTACGATGGCCTCCAGCATGGTTCTCAAACAGCAGGGGTGTATCTGTGCAGCAGTGGGATGGGCAGAGCTGGACCTTGCCCTAGACATGCAGAGCAGCAGTTACACTCTTCCATTTAGAAAACAAAAGCCTTTTCTTTTGAATGGATCTTGATCTTTGCATGTTCATAAAGGCCATAATAATAAAACATAAGAATGAAACATTTTTAAGCAATTGCAATGTGTCAGGCACATCACGTATGCATTTTCTTATTTTTCCCGGAACATTATGAAGTGGAGTCTATTCTTGATTGCATTTCATAGACAAGGAAACTCAGACTTCAAGGGTAACTAGGTAGGACAGCCAAGATGACTAGCCTTCTGTCCCTCCACCTCCGCTAGAAATCAAATTACCCGGGAAGGCAATGCCAGGTAGTGGTGGGATTAAGTAGCTTTTGCTCTGCTTAGAGCAGACAGGATGCCAGGAATGAGGACTCCTTGAGGTGGAACTCAAGTGGAAGATGAGTAAACTATATCTTAGAGCTATATTACAGAGCTTCTTGGTATTCTGTTTTTATTTTCCTTTTATTATCCCCTATCTTTAAGGCATCTTAACTATGTTTCTGTGGACCAAGAGAAGAGCGGGTGAATTACTCACACATGGGCCAAAGTGATCAAAGGAGTGCATCTCTCTATTCCACCCCAAGCTAGTTTGGTGTTGGCAGCAGTTGGCAGGCTTCCTAAGGTAGAGTGGTTTTTTTTTTTTTTTTTTTTTTTTTTTAAACTTGGCATTTCAAGGACTGCCTTACAGAGGTGGGAGGTTCTTTTGATGGCCCATAGTAGAGTTTGGAAATTTTGTGTGTGTATTCCCATACCTGCAAGTGCACTCTTACATTTTTCTAGGTGGTAGAGTCCTTGACTTCCATTATAGTCTCAGAGTCATCTGTAACCCTGAAAAGATACCTTACAGCAAGGGGAATGTTTTATTGCTGGGCCATGGCTGGGAATTATCATTCCTGGACCAGCACCATCAACATCGTCTGGGAATTTGTTAGAAATTCAGAATCTTGGGCCCCATCTGGTAGCTGCAGAATTGGAACTGGCATTTTAACAAGATACCCAGGTGATTTATCTACACATTAAAATTTGAGAAACACTTGGACTGAGTAACCCTTCCCATTTGGTGACAATTTCCAGTGCCAACTCTGTGTAGGAGGAATTTTTATTAAGAAAAGCCATCTTTCCTTACAGCTTTGTTTAGAAAGTAGGGTGCCTCTGGTAAGTGTAATAGTTCTCATCTTTGCCCCTTACGTATTGGTGCTCAGCTGCTTATAAATTGAGTCAGATCTAGATAAAGGAATTTTTGTCCTACATAGATTAATTGACATGAGCTGTTAGGTTGGCCATAAAGGGCTGACCCAGCCCTTTGAGGGAAATAAAAAGTTAGAGATGACAAACTATTAACCTGTTAAACATACTCCAATCCCCCATAAAGCTGTTCTTCTAAGAGTTCATTGGTGGGTTTAAGGAAATGATTGCACTGGCTTCTCAACTTGTCATGATTACCTTGGAACAGTCTTTACTGGTCTCTCTTCTTCCTCTTCTTGCCTTTTGCCTAGAATTGACTCACTCTCCATCTTTCTATCACACTAACTGTTTGATGAATCATCAACAGTAGGGCAGTTTAGTCTTAATTTGCTCAGAGTGCTGCCTGATGACTCAGACTCACAGTTAATAAATGCAGCATCTTTAGTTTTGTGATTATATGTTTTCTGGTGACATACATGCTGGGCTCTGTTAATCTCGAAAGGGGAAGGCTATCTTCATTTTGGCATGCTTTGATCTGGCAGCTCCTCCAGTTAATGCTGAACTTTAGCTCACTGTTGAACATTAACTCTCTGTGAGTGTGTTGGCAAGAGATCTGCAGGGTTAAATCTCGGTATAATTCCTAAATAGGAAACAAGTATAATGTGGTACTGGAGATACATACACAAATACACACACATGGTGTTTGTGTACATATTTATCAGATACCATATATATATATAGCTGATATATATGTATATGTATAATATATATACACATATATCTCACCATGTGTGTGTATGCACACACACCATACATATATGTATATTCATGTCACAATTAAAGTCCATTCTAAATTACAGTAAAGCATTCGAATGGTTGGATTGTGTGTGCTTCTTACTGGTCTTCATCTGGAACCTTGGACATTATATTGGTTATATGACAGTCTCTCCAGTGGAGGAGTTGTTGAAGGCTAAACCCCATATTATTCCCTTTATATCCCTAACCTCTAGCCTGGTGCCAGGCACGTGGGAGACCAGTCAGTAAATAGTTGCTGAGTGATGGATGAACCATCTAGGGATCAATAACTGTGCTGGTTTACCAGTGAGCCCTTATTTATTGAAATATGAATGATGTTGATAATAGCAGCTATCATTTATTGTATGCTTACCATCAAATAGGCACTTTAAATACATTTCATTGTATAATTCAATAACCTTATAGGGCAAGGGGCATCACTATTCCCATTTTACAGCTGAGTTTCTTATAAAGTAACTTGGTCAGTGTCATTCAGCTGGTGAAGGTGGAGCTGAGGGTGGAGCTGAGGATTGGACCCTTGGGCCTCTGGCATGGAAGCTCGTGCTAAACACATGAGCATTTAATTCTCTTCAGGTAAGGACACTGACCTGTAGAAAGGGATAGGAAGCAGCAAGCCATGGCTTCTGCATGGCTCCTGTAACATGATCAGTATATGCAGATTACAAATGTTGGCTACCCCAGTGCCTGGTGCTCCTCCCTTCATTCAGTGTGCCCCTCCCTTCTGTGTTTTTTTTTCTTTCTCTTCTTCCCTGCAGAAATAAAGCCACAGACATCTGAATGTGTTCCCACTTCTCCCATTGTCCACCCTAAAGCCTGGCTCTTGGGACTGTGTGACGTTATACACCACTCTTTTTGTTTTTGGAACAAACTCTGTTACTCTGCCGTTTGCTGGTGTTATGGCAAACTAATCTCAAAGCACTGATCATAAGCAAGTACTATAAGAAAAAAAAAATCCTGTTTCCTTCCTCAAGGTGTAGGACCAAGGGTCTGGTTTGAAAAGTATTTTTATTTTTTAGATTTTGCTAAAAATCAGTGTCCTGCTGTCTTACTGAAATATGAATGTCACGGTGTGTGTGTTAACAAGTATTTGATGGCAATAATTGCTTTTGACAGATTATAGCTTGCTGATGGTTATTTAAAGGCAGTCTTTCCTTAGGCTACTTCTGTCTACCACTGCTTTGGGTAAAATGATTTGTTCTCTCATAAGGCCTGTCGTGACAGAATTTTCACTTTTTAAAAGTGGTCGTCTTATTTGTAAAACTGAAAAGATCTTTTCTTTCAGTGGTTTATAGACAAATAACAAAGCAATGGATGAGTACTGTAAAAGTTTGGGGACGACTTCACTTATTTTTGTGTGTTCCAGGGCTGGATGTGACTCATGCACATTTGGGGACCAGCTCCACAATGGGTTTCACACCATAATTTTTTGTTTGTGGAACACTGTATGAGTTTCAGTATGTTGTGTGTATGTGTGTGTGTGTGTACATTTGCTGCAGTTCGCGTTCCCATGCTCTGTGTCTTAACAGCTGTGTCCTGGGATGTTCTTGCAATCCAGGTTCTTGAGGATGTGTTGTTGCTTGCTGAGTGGAGCTCTGCTAGTTGCTCTTGCATTGGGCAAAATCGGAATATTAAAAAATCCCCAAGAGCTAAGCATGGAGTAGGAAGCATAGTTCCTGAGGGTCGTCCCTATCAAACACCACACCCTGGTTCTCTAAGACAGGACAGAGCTGGAAGTGTGTGGTCCCCAAGGCTCAGTACTTACTGGTTTAGCTGACATCCCACAGGCAAGGCTGCAGCCCTAGCATCAGCAGCTGTATAAGCTCCAGAGTGGGTGTCCCGGCAAGAGAGCCAGACAGGTGATTTGTTAAATTATTACCTGTGTGTAGCTTCTTGCCCCTGGTGCCAGGCAGCATGGAGCTCGGCAGGATTAAAAGGAGGTTGATTACACAGCCAGCAAAGGTAGGAGGTGAGACTGCCAGCTGCTACTGTGCTTAACTCTTGAGACACCCACAGAAAATGGTCCCTGCAGCTGTGTCTCTGTGGGACTTAAGAACATATAGGGAATGAGAGATCCAAACACAATGCATTGACAATGATAGGATTTCCTAGGAAGCCTTATTAATGGGCAGGGCACCAAGAGTGCCACGGAAGGGGCTAGGCTTTCAGCAAAATGTGCAGGAACTATGTTTCAGGAGTGGGGGAGAATCTGGCAAATGTTAAATATATATTGAGGATCATCTGTCCTCTGCTACTACAGGCAGAGAAGGGAGAAAATGGGCTCTTAACTCTTATTGGGGCAACCAATGAAAATGGATCAGCAACTCTTTTCATTCATTATAATTATTCAGTGTCTCCTATATGTAAGAACAAGAGGACCCCTCCCCTCTCCTTCAAGCTTGGAAAGTGGGCTGGGATAAGTAGTAGAGGCAGCTGTGGAGCATACTGTTCTCTTGCTGTGCGATCTTGGGCATAATAACAGTGCCTCCTTTACAGGATAGTTGTAAGGATTTAAACCAGGTTATGTATTGAAAGTGCTTACAACAGTACCTAGCACACAGTACATGCTCTATGTTAGTAACAGTAACTTGTTATTGCTACTACTGCCATCCTTATTGAGTAAGCAGGGGTCCTTGTGGAGGAAGAGGGTAGTTGGGAGCCCACTCAGGAGGTGGCCATGAGGGACAGAGGCCCCCTTCCATCCACTGTTGGAGGGGCTGGAGTTCTTGGTGCCCTTCCTGCTCGAGGTGCACATGGGGCTGAGGTTATGGAGATGAGAAGGAGGAGCCTGAAGGCTGGTCTCCTTCCCGTTGTCCAGCCCAGCAGGGGACCTATGTCAGCAGCCTCTCCTTGGGGACTGCCTGAGTGTCGTCACCCTGAGCAGCACAGGCTCCTTGATTTAATTTGTTTCCTGCCCACAAGCCACCTGAAGTTCAAAGGGTTATTATTTTTCTATTGTAATTCCTTAGCGGGACGATACATTCCTTCTGGGACCTGCAGGACTTTTTTTGGAAAGCTAAATTGGCAACACTGACTCAAGGAAAAGGCAAGTAGTTAAGAGCCGATATTCCGAAGCAAGGTATTCTAAAAAGGCTTTTCTGTCCAGTAGAGACTCCAGATCAGAGAGCAGGAAACTTTTCCTGAGCCAGAAAGTATCATTTATAGGTGTCCTTGGCGGAATCCCTCAGAACACAGTTCTCGAATCTGCCTGTAACAATGTTGCCTTTCCCGTGCTGTGTGCTGGCTTGGGAATTGTGGAATTCTGCACATGATGCATCTGGGTATTTAGTTTCTGGTGGCCGAGGAGAGATGATGAGGAAGCAAAGATAGAAGACCTAGATTTTCTTATCGATTTGCTGGTTAACCCAGGGAAAATTACTCTGTGCTTCATTGATAGAATTAGAACATCTTTCTGTCTCACGAGAGTGTTAATGACCAGTCAGACAGTGTTGAATCTGGGAATTATTTTTCAAGGAGGGGGATATGATATGTGATCAAATTGTCTTTTATATATTTAACAGACTAATGAACTGATGCTTCGTCTGTCCATTATTATCAGGGAACGGAGGCTGCTTCCTAGGTCAGATTTCCAGATAACTGGAGATTGTCCATACACTTGTCATGGTAGAGTAAGACTCACATCCGGGGTGGAGGAGGCGCTGTACACAGTTAACTCATTTAACCCCTACCACAATCCCATCATGTTAGGAATTGTCATACTACCCATTTTGCAGAGCAGGAAATTGAAGTTTAAAGAGGGGTAAATAAGTTTAAAGAGGGGTAAATAAGTTGCCCGGTTCATTCAATTATTGGATAGCCATTTATTGAATTTCAACTACGTGCTAGCACGAGGATTATTATCACCACGGTGAGTGGACCAGGCTTGGGTTGTCCGTAGGGGAGTTAGGATTCTTCCCAGGGATGTCTGGCAGGTGACTTGTCGCCACACCATGTTCTCTCTCACAGGATTTTAGTGGTGGGAGGTACAGGGCCTTCTTGAGACCCATGAGGTGGGGTGATTCCCTGTGTCCCTGGCCCCATCACCAGGTGCGATCTAGTTTTCAGCCTTAAAGCCCAGGTCAGTCTGCTGTCCTCTGTGCCTATCTCCACCAAGCCCTCCCACCTGCTACTATTTCAAATGCCAAGACTTGAAAACTTTTAAATACTTGATAAAAACCTGGCCTCCAAGTTAGGCATTTCCCTGCTTTTAAAAACAGAGGAAGCTTGAGCAAAAGCCAACATTTTTCTGGGTGACTCAGACCTGTCATTATGTGCTTCATTGATATAATTTTGAGTCTGTACTTTCAGGTTTTCATTTTCTTTCTTTGTGTCACTTGTCACCTCACCTGTGGCCACTGAGATTGTCACTAAGTGCCTCTCATTTCCTTTGGGTTGGCTGTTTTTCATCTCCTGTGAATGGGGAAACTGAGCTTCTGTTTTTTTTTTTAAATCCTATTTTTTTTCTACCCTATTTTTTTTCTAATGAAAAGCCGGAAGTTGCTTGGTGAGACCTGAGGAATGAGTCAGTGACTGTTAAAGCCACCTCTGGTGTTGGCTGGCCTCCATGGTTGGTTGTGGCATGGCCCTGTGTCCTGTGGTCATGGTCTTACTACAACTGTGGCATCTGCAGGAGGGATTGAGAGCTTGGGCGCAGGAGTCTCCTGAACGTGGGCTCAGGTCCTGGCTCCACTGCATATTAGTTTGGGAGCTGAGTCAGCTTAATGCCTCCAAGCTAAAGTTTTCTTGTCTTGGCACAGAAAGCCCTGCATAAATGATGCCCTTTATTATTAATGGTTGTAGAATTTGTGGTGCTGGTGGTGGAGGTTGAGGTTGGGGCAACATGACCAGTGAGTGTTTAGGTAACTATGTAGAGTGTAGGTTAAGAGCATGGGCTTTAGGGCCAGGATGACCTGGGGTTTAGTCCTTACTGCCTCATTCACCAGCCAGGTGACAGATAATGAAGGGATACTTACAGAGGTCAATGGCGTGGGCTATTGAGTTAATGTGGGAGTCTGTTCCTGGCTCTGCTGCTTACCCTCTGGTGACCCAAGTCTAGAAGCTGCTTTAGGTTTCTCATCTCCAAAATGAGGAAAAAAGGACCTACCTGTCAGGATTGTTGGGGGAATTAGCTTAATGCACATACCCTTAGTGTTTCAAACAGTGTCTGGCACATGTAAATGCTCAATAAACGTCAGCCGTTACTAGCTAATGATTCTCCTGGCATCCGGGAAGTGTAGATACTGCTTTTATTTTTTAAATACTGTTGTTTATGCTGTAGCCCTTTTCAGCACTTCTTCCTGGTCTTTGTTCCCTTGGCTTTTCTTGGTCTTCCAAGTATTGAAGTAGGACTAGTAGATGGTTCATTCTGGGAATAGTTACGCACGCTATTCAGAGGGAATGGATGCTTTGCTTTGTGAGTTTCCCTGGATCAAGTTTCCTCTACAGGTAGGAATTGTTTCCTTATCAGGCCCTCAACCTGGACCTCCCTGGGAGCCGCTGGCAGATTGTATGAAATAACAACAATACTCAGGGGATGAAGTATCTGTTAAAAATTACGAGTGTTGTCCTCTTTGACATCTCCACCCTTTCTTATGGAAAAGATTTTGAGTGCACTGTAGCTGAAAGATTATTCCTGCACTCTGTACGATTCCACTTTTACCCGTGCAGTTTCCCTTCTTTTCTTGGTAGGTTTACAGCATATGCACCACAAAATGAGTCATTATGACTTAAGTTTTTTTTATTTCTTTTAAGCCCAACATGTAGGTGGTAAACTAGGATCTTTCCTGGTCAATTCTAAAATGGTTGGGAAAATGAAATTTAAAAGAAAAACATGGAGAAGGAAATTAACAAGCATACATTATTCTTTTCCCCCTAAGGTTTTTGCCTTCACATGGGGTTGCTTTCATTTTCCTGACAATTAGTTGTAACTAAAATACTGTGTGTCTTTGGAATAATTTAAGAAGAAAGGTTTTGCCCCCATGAGGCATCAACCATGTGCAGGGTACTGGTGATGGACGGTTGCTGTGACTGGGGTAGTCTGGTTTGGCAAGGGCTTGTCATGTAGGGGATTGTCTCTATATTTTGAGGGGTTGGCAACTCTCTCCGCATGCTCAGGGAGAGTTGCCACCTGGCCCATCTGTAGAGTGGCCCAAATCTGGTTTTTGCCTCCTCTAGCAAGACGGGTTTGGTGTGCTAGGTGATTCTGACACACACCAGGTCCCCGCCTTCCTCCAGCAGCCTGACCCTGTCCTCAGTCCAAAGCAGCTAGAAGGCCTGCGTATCTGTTTCACCTGTTAAAGTGTTTCTGTGTGCTCATGATCTTCACTACTGGTGTGTTATTGGAAGTTAGCCACTGTGTTCAAAAGAAAGGCACAGCTTGATTAAATAGGTTAGTAAGTGCTGGTTAGGCATGTGCTTCTGTTGAGTCAGGGAAAGGCTGGTGGTGATAAGGAGAGGAGGCTTTGAGATTTCTGTAACCTTTCTGTCCTCTAGATTTCTGAGGTTGACACTTGGTAAAGGGAGAGAGAATGCTGTATACCATCATATTCTCTGTGCAGGACCCAACCAGGTTGACCAAATGTCCTAGGTCACACCTGCTATCTCAGCATGATTATTAACAGTGCCCCCTTTCTCGAAACCGTCTGTTTGGATCTGGCCACCCCATGTATGTGTCACACAGGTCTCTTTGAAACTTTTGTCAATAGGAATGAACCTCATTTTCCAGTGGCCTTTTCCCCCTTAGTAGATCATGATAAGAGTGAGATCACCTTCTTTTCCACCCAAATTAGCAAGAAAGAACAGTTCTGTGAATAGTTGTTACAATTCTCACCATTAATAACTTCAAAAAGCTAGAGATCTGCAGAGCAGAGGGCACCTCACATCACCATTGTGGAGAGGGTGAGGTGCAGTGTGATATAATTGGTATTTATCTCTGTGGCCTGCTTGCCGCACTGGATTAAAACAAACCAAGAATTTCAAGGCTAATTGGCTAAAATTATATGTGTAATTAGAGAGAGTAGAAAAGCTAAAGGAAATGAACTTACCCAGTGTCACCTGGTCAAGCAGGTAATGGTGAACAAGGAGTGTGTGCCCAGGTGTGTCTGGCTGTCTCCACTGCCCCTTACTGTCCACCATATTGGCCTAATGTTTTCCACTCATGACACTGAGGATGGTGTCATTCTCAGCATGCAGGGGATGAGCTGATTCAGAGCATGGTCATTGTTCCCACTGCTGTCTTCCCACAGCTAGGAAGTGGCAGAGGTTAGGTTTAAGCTCAGGCCTTTATACCATTATTACTTTGGGGAGGGCTAAATGGTGGATGTTTTCGACCTGATGAGAATAGTAGGAAGGGGCAATTGGTGTGAGGAAATATTGGCCCAGGGTGAACCTTTTCAAGTTTATTGGTGTGAGTTAAGTCATTTCCCTAGAATGTTGGCCAAGCCTCAGGAACATAGCACGTGGGGATGTTATTCATGTTCAATAAATGTCAAGTAGCATCCACAGATTTGTGGGTTTGTAAATCCAAATGGAGTGCTATTATTCAGGTTTCTTGCATGCTCAGGATTGCTAGCATTTGTTTTTGAACAGTTCTAATAAAATAGCTCATTACTATCAAGTATGGATTAAATACCTGGCTGAGAAAAGTAAGGTGATTTATATATCTTCTAATTAGTGCAATTGAGAGTGACTATGGCAATGATTAAAAATTATTTTGTGGTGATAATAAGTTGCGGTGGAGGGTAGGAAGGGGAAGTGAAGGATTTTTCCGTTTGTGTTACATTTCCACAGGTTTGGGATGTTTCTGACAGTACGTTATGGCAGTCAGTCTGTTTTTCCATAATTGTGATGACCTCTGAGTGAAGACTTGACTTTTAAAATTAATGATCTGATCAATGCACTCTTTAATTAATATAGCTGTGCAGGTGGATAAAAAATACCGGTCTTCAAAAAATGTTACCGATAGTATCAATTTTCACTGGGGCAAAATGACCAGACTAGCATGGTTTTGTATTTTTTCTCCCAAGCAGTTCTTGTGGGAGAGACAGACAGACAGATACACACACAAAATATGTAGCCTCTGGGAGTCAAGTTCATCTCTTTGCCATTGTAAATACTTTGGCCATTGTGATTAGTCACTCAGCCAGACTGCGCCGTATCCCCCTCTCTCAGTTTGTATCATTTTCCTTGATATCTGATTCCACTTACATGCCTGCTCTCAAATCTCCATAGCTACGTGAAAATATGTATGAGAGGTATGTTTTTTCAGACAGGCAAATATGACCTTGCAGATGAGCTCCTTTCATTATTAAGTTTTACACAAAATGCTCTGAATACAAATTATAATAGCACCTACCCTGTAGGAGTGTTTGTGGGGACTAAAGATGATAATCCATGTGAAATTCCGATCACAATGCCTGGCATGCACATAGGTCCTCAGCCTGTTAGTGTCTGTTTCTTTCTTGCTTTCTGTGGTTCCCTGATTTGCTGTCTCCACCCTGTTGAGTTGGTTCTCTCAGGGATTCCACTGATCACGATGGAGCCAGATCCCAATACTCTGTGCTCAGTCATTTGATATCTCTCTGCCTCGTTCAGGTGCTGAACACTCTGTCCATCCTGGAAACAGTTCTTCTCTGGGTTTTGTGGCACTGTGTTATTCTGATTTTCTCCCACCCCCTGGCCTTTCCTCATCTCCTTTCCTTTGCTCTTTGGTCTCCTTTTTTCTCCTTGTTGTCCACAGAAGACAATCTCTGAGTTTCTGTGCTCAGTTCATTTAGGTTTTATCAGCCGTCTGATTTACGTCTGTGGATGAAATTCAGATGTTCACCCCTGGCTTGATTTCTAGGGTTCCATACATCCATTTCCAACTGCATGCCTAATTACCTCTGCCTTGATGTTGTTTCATGTCAGCTCAGATCCAACATGTCTCAAACGCAAGCCACCCTCCCCTCCCTTCTCCAAAGTATCTCTTCCTCCTCCAAACCCTCCTCCTCCTCCTCCCTCTCCCAACCTGCAGCCCCCACCCTCTGCCACCCATCCCTGGGTCTTTGGATGGTGAAGCCCTTCTCTTACCACCTCCTCCCTTTACCTTAACACTTTGCTGCTTTTTCTATCTCCCATTATCCAGTGGGTAGCAATTTCTCATGGATTCAACCTTGATGATTCCTTCTTGCATTTGCTTTTTCCTTTCTCTCTCTGCTCCTTGCAACATAGCTACCTACATAGCCGCTTGACTGACTCTTGCAATGGCTTCTCACCTCCTGTGTGTCTCTGTTTGCATCAGATTTACTGCCGCCCCATTACTCCTCCTAAAGCACAGGTTTGGCCATATCATATCCACCCCCAAATCTTCCCTTGGCTCCCTGTTGTCTATTATGAAGACATACCAAAACTGTACACATGTCCTTTGGTATACCCTGTCAGTGGACACAAGGGATGCTGTTGTTCAGATGGTCACAGATAATAGTCTATTTTTGATGTCAACTTAGTGGTCCCCTGGTGAGTGAAGTGTTATCTGTTTCCCTCTAATAAATGCTATGGACTGAATTGTGTCCCCTGCCAAAATTTGTATGTTGAAGCCCTAACTCCCAATATAACTACTTGGAGATAGGGCCTATAAAGAGGTAATTAAGTACAGTTAAATGGGGTTATATGGGTGAGGCCCTGATATGATAGGATTAGTGTCCTTATAAAAAGAGACAACCGAGAGCAGGCTCTCTCTCTCTCTCTGCACACATGCACAAAGAAGAGGTCATGTGAGTGTAGAGCCGGAAGGCAAGCCAGGAGGAGAGCCTGCAGCAGGACCTGACCTTGCTGGCACCCTCATCTTGTCTTCCAGCCTCCAGAACTGTGAGAAAATAAAGTTCTTTTTCTTATGGCAGCTCAAGCTGACTAATACAAATAACAAACACTTATTTCAGGTCTTTTGTGTGCCTGGCACAGGACATCTAGGGAAGCGTGGCCCCCTGATGTTATGCAGTTTAGGTAAGTCCCTCTGTCCTTGCCCTGATGTCTTGCAGCTTTTGGTCAAAATGTAAGAGCAAGACACTGTGTTGGGCATTGAGTTTACAAAGATCATGAAGAGCTTATATCTTAGAAGGAAAGAAAGAGAAATGATTCAGTGGGAGTTGAATCTGCTCAGATGCTTAAGACACGGGTATAGCTGAAATGATGAGCTAGGCAAGCAATGTAAGGAATAGATTATAATATTAATTATCTTTCAGCTCAACACAGTTCAGTTTTTTTCTAGTTTTTTACTTAAAAATTTTTTTTGATTATAAAAGAAGTGAAAACTACCTGTATCTGTAGAATATTTGAAAAGTATAATATGGAAAATTTGTAAAGCAGTAGGATGAAATACACTCATAATCTTACCACAGAGAACTTTTATTTCTTTTTTTTTGTTTTTGAGGTGGAGTTTCACTTTTGTTGCCCAGGCTGGAATGCAATGGCATGATCTCTGCTCACTGCAGTTTGCCTCCCAGGTTCAAGCAATTTTCCTGCCTCAGCCTCCCGAGTAGCTGGGACTACAGGCACCCACCACCACACCCGGCTAATTTTTTTTTTTTTTTTTTTTAGTAGAGATGGCATTTCACCATGTTGACCAGGCTGGTCTCAAACTCCTGGCCTCAGGTGATCTGCCTGCCTCAGCCTCCCAAAGTGCTAGGATTACAGGCATGAGCCACTGTGCCTGGCCCTTTTATTCCTTTTTTAAAAAATATTTTTTAAAAAACATGTTCATGTACTTTTAAATGTGTACTGTTTCTGTTTTATGGATATAAGATAATTTTCTTACCTCTTAACTTTAAACATTTAGAGTGTTTCCTTTTTAAGTTTTTTTTAAACTATTTTAAAGAATATGATGGACATTTTTGTATGTACTTTTTTCCCCCATTTAATTTCCTTCAAACAGACTCCTTGAAGTGGAATTACTTGGTCAAAGGGCACAAGCATTTTTAAGGGCTTTGGGGACATCCTACCTACCGCTGATATTTGCGCTCTTTCTGTGTGAGCAAGGGTCATGTTTGGCTTTGGCATTAGGGGCGGAGGCCTGGGGACAGTGAGAGGAGAATGAGATGTGGCCACTACCCCTACAGAGTCTGTGTAATCTACCAAGAGAGGCATACCCAGAAGTGTGGGAGCTGTGAGGACCTTTTACTTTGTAAGTAATTTACCTCGTCTTTCTGAAACAACACAAAAATTTCAAACTACCACTTGGAAATATCTTGACCTTGGCGTTGGTAAATTTTCTGGGATTTCGGGGCCATCTTTAGACTCATAAGTGGGACAGTCATGCTTTTGGCAAGAAAGAAACATACTCATATTTAATAAGCCATGTTCAGTTTTAAACTAGATTTGTGTATGTTATATCGGGGTGCTTCTTGAGGAAATTTTGATTAGTGGACAAAAAATTATGAGCATGATAATTTATTTCCTTAGCCACATACCCCTATTTCTCAAAGAGATTTGCCAAGAAAGGCTTATTTTAAACTATTTAAATGTAAGCTTAGCATGTATCCAGAAAAGTACACAGCTCAGAAATGCAGAGCTTGATAAATTATCACACAGTGAATACACTTATGTAATGGCAACCCAGGCCAAGCAATAAAAATGATTAGCATCCTGGAAAGCTCCATCTCATCTCTAGCCTTTCCCTCTTCTCCTAGAGCAACCATTCTTCCTGAGTTCCAGCAACTTGGATTTTGCCTCCTGTTGAGTTTAAGAAAAGTTTTTAATCATTTTGGAAACTTATTTTAAAAATTAAATTCAAAAGCCCTAGCTAATCTACCTGTATCCTTTATCTATTATGGTATAACAAATCTTCCCAAGCCTTTGAGACCAAAGATGACAATAGTGTTTATTTCTTGTGACTCAGTGGATTGACTGGGTGGTTCTGTTGTCCTCTTCTGGGCTCACTTGTGCAGCTACATTCAGGGCGGGGACCACAGGGCCCCTCCCCATGTAGTCTTTCATCCTGGGCATCTACATGCTCTGGCAGCTTCAGGGCAGCTTTCCAAAAGGACAAAGGTGGAAGCTCCGGGCCTCTTGAGGCCTAGGCTTTGGAATTTGCATGGCCTCACTTCTGCCACATTCTGTTGGCCAAAACAAGTCACAAGGGATCCAACTGTATCACAGAATCCAGAGAGTGGAGAAACTGCCTCCAACTCTGAATGGGAGGAATGGCAAAGTCACGTTGCAAAGGAACATGCATTAAAGGTGCGTGGCCATTAGCAATCTACCATATCACCCAAAGAGTGCTATGATCCTGTGTAGACCAAGTTTATTGTTAATACAGAGCTCTATAATACTGAGACTCTGTTCCACCTGGTTCACGTGTGAACACTGTCAGTTGACAGAGCCAGGATGCCTGGGGCTAGTAGGGGATGTATTGTCTCCATCTGATAGAAGAGGATTAGATCAGAAATAGGAGAGCTTTTAAGGATTGCTTTTCTTTGGTAAATCAAGTTTGATCTGTACTAAATCATTTTCTTTTTCTTGATGTTTCTTTCATTGTTTGAAATAGCCTCTGTTTATCTCATGAAGTGATTTGAAGTTAATGCTTTAACAACATGAAAACATTTCTGGACTTGGAATGGCTGTTCTTCAAAGCACATTTGTACCTTAACCCATCAGAGATAGAATTTATGGTATAGAGATGTCTTCTTTTTCTTCTGGTTCTAGATACCCCGTGTAAGAGAGTATTCAGGTGGCCCCATTCATTTAACTCCTGGGTCTTGCAATCTTTATCAAAGTGAAATAGTCAAGGTAATATCAAGTCTATTTGATACAAGAAGAGTCTCTGATTCATCAAAAACATCCAACTGACATATTACCCAGATAGATGCTTATAGGGTGGTTAAGTCTCACAATTTCTTTGACTTGTCTTTTACCCAGGTGTCTTTTCAAAATGGAGGGAAATGGTGTTTTGGATTTGATTTGGTGATTTCGTGATTTGGTAATGATAATAGCAAGGAGTGGATCCTTTTTATTGAGCATTTTCTATGTTCATGGAGTTCCCTGAGCTTAGTACTTTTCACACATTGTCTCACAGGGTTTGTGGGGAATGAAATTAGGTAACCCATGGTTAGCACATGATACATAATAAAAACCCAATAGTGGTTAGCCACCAACACCAAGAGATGGATAATAATAATTTTCATTTAATTTAGCTCTTACAGTGATCTCAATTAGATTCTATTTGTGTTATTAACTTGTACAATCAAATCATCACAAAACCCTCTAAGATTAGTTTTAGTATTACACCCATTTTATATATTAGGAAATTCAGGTACGCAGAGTTGAAGCAATTCACAGAGTTAGTAAATGGCAGAGCCAGGATTTAAACCCAGGCCAGGGCATCTGAATCCAGGGCATTGGTACCCTTTCTTGGTTCTTGGGAATGGAATCTTCACGTACATTGACTTGGTGTCTGGATTCTTGGAGAGCAAAAGTAAGATATCATCAACCCACTTCCCTCCTCTAATGTTTAATTCTGGGTCCAGGCATCCTGGGCAGGGGCTCTGAACTGGTGATGCCAAGTTGCTGCTTCACTCAGTTAATGATCTCTCTGGGGTTTTGGCTTTTCACTTAATCTGTGGTTCATTCTTCCCCTCTGAAGAGAGGAGCTGGCTTCCTTAAAGCCTGACAGCTTTTTTCCCCGGTGATGAACCAGTCATATAAATCATTTACAACTTACTCTTTAAAGAGATGTTCCTTTTTCCCAATGCCAGAATTCAAGATACTCTGTAAGGCAGGAGCTCAAAGCCCTTTACCTGGGCTAATTAGACCACCTATGCTAATTAGACCACCTCTTCTCATTTCTCTGTTTGAGGCTTCAAGTAAGAAGAAGTCTCCCATGCACTCAGTCTGAAGTAATTTCCATAGTTTTCCTTGGCATCACTGAGTATTTTGAGACATCTCGAGGCCTGTGTTTTCACAGAAGTTGTCTCCGGGTTACTTAGAAGAGTAAGGATTGGAATAGAATTGCAGGGTACCCCAGTTTTAGTCTCCCCATGGAGTAGTTCAAAGGAGTTTGAAATTGCAAATATAAATAAGACTTTATGGTTCATGTTGTTATTGCCACCCTTCCCAATTTAGAAAACCTTTGGATCAGATACCATACTAGGCATTTTACAGGTATTATTTCATGTATTCTTTAAAACAGTTTTATGAGATTGGTATTATCGTACCTACTTTCCAGACATGGAAACTGAAGGACAATTATGTAACTTGCCTCAGGTCAGGTAGGGAGGAAGTAGCCCAGGTGGTACTGAGATCAGAGCTCAGGTTTTTCATATTTCAAATCCTGTTTTTTCCTGGGTGACTTACCCCATTGATGTGTCCTTCAGGCACCCTTTAAATCTCTCGCAGAACGCATTTGGAAACCAAAACGGTTTTTGTCTAAAATTCATTATCTGGAACTTCTGTAGTCAGTACTCTTTCTTCACCTTATCCTCTTTCCATTTTTTCCTCTGAGTTCTTGGGATGAAGTAATGAAGTTTGGAGGCAAGAAGGCCTGGGATTAGGTTCCTTTTAAGTTACTTGGCAAGAGAAAACAAAAGGGTAGACGTCATGAGAAAGTTTCCCATTGTATCTCTAAGCTCAGTGGAGGATACTCTATTGGAAAGTTCTGTTCTTCCCATGAGAGGAATTAAGGAAGGGAAGAAAGATCTTGGCAAAATTCTGTTTTTTTTTTTCACCCTCTCCCTCTGACCAGCCTTAGTGCTTTGTGTTCACTTCTGCTTTCCTCTTCTACCACCCACCCTGGGTTCCTCGTAGTGAACACGTCATTCGAACTTGGTATCTTGTTACTCTCACGTCTCACTTGAGCTTCACTTGGCGATGATAAGAAGGCCTGGTTTTTAGGCTTGCAGTGGCCAGTTGTGCCTGCTTCTCCTGCCTTGTGCCCTGTACTTGCCCTTTGGTACTTTGTGCAGCTGCGGAGCTTAAGGGTGAGCTAGTCCTATCTTTTCCCTGCAGTAGAAGATACTTTTGAATGTGAAATCAGTATTGAGTATTTCGTAAGATCCCTGATTCTTCTTGTTCCTTTTTGGGCATCATGGTTTATGAGATTCTGGATCGTCAGCCTTGGTAGAATAGTTATATATTTATACTCCAGCTCATTCTCTTTTCTTAGGACTAACTCAAACAATACAAAACAGTTTTGCCCCTCACATTGCTTCAGATGAAAGCAGAAGAAAAGAATAGTTATTTATGTACATAATTTCACAGTAATCAGATCTTTCATTTTTCCCTGCAGGGATATTGGCAGATAGCAATCTGAGTGTTTGCAGGTATGACATGTTGAGGGTAGGCTGGGCGCAGTGGCTCATGCCTGTAGTTCTGGCACTTTGAGAAGCCGAGGCAGGTGGATCACCTGAGGTCAGGGGTTCGAGACCAACATGGCCAACATGGTGAAACCCCGTCTACTAAAAATACGAAAATTAGCTGGGCATAGTGGGTGGGCACCTATAATCCCAGCTACTCAGGAGGCTGAGGCAGGAGAATTGCTTGAACCCAGGAGGCAAAGGTTGCAGTGAGCTGAGATCCCACCACTGCACTCCAGCCTGGGCAAGAGAGTGAGACTCCATCTAAAAGAAAAAAAAAAAAAGTTAAGGGTAAAATATTGATTGATTCTGTAGTAATGTTTGTATGGTACCTTAACAAGGAAATAGGTTTTGCATTTTTCTTCCTCCTTATAGCCAAGCTTTCATTGTTCTTACCTTTTGATTGAACAGAGAAATACAAAGGAAGTTAATTTTATAATGAGATGGCCAAAGGCATAATGATATACTAATGCAGGTATGAGGTCAGGTAAACCTGGGATAGAATCTAGGTTTAGCCACGCTTATTGGCTGTGTCACCTCAGACAGGTTGTTGAACTTCTCTGAGTTTTGCTTTTATCATCTTGGACAATAATGCCTACATTTCAAGATGGTTGTGACCATTAAAAATAATTAAATGAATTCGTAAGCATCTTGGAGTGTCCTGTATATAGTGGGGCTTATATATTATTGTTCTTATTTTGTTTGCTACAAATGCACAGAACAAGCTGGTTTGAGGCACTTGTGTCTAGTAGTCATGTTGTGGGATCAACTTTGGAAAAAGAGACAGCTTTGGAATTATCTAGTCTGAAATTTTCATTATACAGACAAGGAAACAGACTCAGAAAAGTTAAGTGACCACGTCAAAGCTGTAGAACTGGATAGGGACAAAGCTGAGACTAGAACTCGTACCACTGACTCTTAGCTTATGGTCTTTTTATGCCATCATGACTTATTTGGTCTAGATATGTATACCAGCATCTCTAGGGCAAGATTTACTAAAATCACCTGGGAAGTAGTAGTGTTGATGTGGTTAAAAAAAGTACCTTCCTGGACTCCGTCCTAGATTAATGACTCAAATCTCTGGAGTATAACCAGGGATCTGCATTTTAACAAACATTTCAGACGATTCTTATGTATTTTATAAGTTTACATTTATTTTGTGATGTAATACAAAATACATTTACAAAGTGAGTTTGAGATGAGTCGTTTGAGTTTACTGGGTTTGAGTCTCTGTTCTTATGCTGTAATTAAGATTTGATTTTCACAGAGTTATCTGAGCACCTTCAGACACTTAAAGAGTGCCTGGCACATAGCAAGCACTTTACAAGTGTTAGTTATAATAACCCCATTTAATTGTTATAACAATCCTTTGAAGGTTTTTTTTTTTATTTCTTTTACAGATATAGGAAGCTAATGTACAGAGCGGTCATATAACTTGCCCAAGGTCATCCAGCTAACAGTTGACAGAGACGATACTTGAACTTCTGTGTGTCTGATGCTGAAACCCATGTGGGATAGTAGATTTTTTTCAATAAATATTGAAAGTTAAAGGATTTTTCTCATTAAAAGAATACCCCTCTGGGTTTGGTTGATATTAGTCTGTTGAGGTAGACCAAAGAGAGACCTCATATAGGTAAAATAATCCCTATTCTGGTTTTCAAAACCAAAAAAGTTCTGGAATGAGGCTTTCCTGAGAGTGAGAAAGCTGGCAAAAACAATTTGTTCGAAAGGGAAAGTTTTTATTTTCATTCTCTGTGCAAATGAAATGGATGGTTAAGGGAGAAAGTGGCAGCTGGCCGAAGAGCTTGACTCAGCTTCTTCAAGTCCAAAGAGCTCAGAGACTGGAGACCTTGGGGAAATTTTGTGTGCTGTCCAGTTTTGTGTTGCGACAGAGAGAGAGAGAGGAGGGGAGGGGAGGGGAGGGGAGGGGAGAGAGAGACTGAGCTAGCCTCTGGAGTTATGCGTATTATTTTCCCCATGTTCTTTTGGTTGAGGCAGTTGCAGTGGTCCAGCTAGGTTCAAGGGAATATAGACCCCACTGCCTGGTGGAGGAGTGCCTGTGTCTCATTAGTCATTAAGAAGAATATGTGGGATGGGATGTATGGGTGTGGCTATCTTTGAGATATAGAATCTGCCACACGTTTTGACTCTACTGTTGCTAAATAGGTTCATTCAAGGACTGGGTAGTTTTTGAGGTCCTTTATCCTCATAGTCAGTGTGATTTATGGATTTGCCGTTGTTAAAAAGGCTAAACTTAAACAGTTTTTGGGTGGAACCTGAACTGTGTTTATTCAGAACTATGTAAATATATGATGGGGAGTGTCTGGCAAAGCCTTACCTCATCATGGAGGAATAATACATTGGTTATTTTTTTCTTTTAGTAGGAAATAAATCCTTAGTCTTTGTCCAGAATCTTAGGCAGTACATAATCACTGTTTTTGTTGTTGTTGTTGTTTTTTGACTATTGTTAAATAGGGCCTAAAATGTCTTAGGGGTTTGTGAACAAGACAGCCAAGGTTCTACTCTTATGAACCTTCAAGTCATGTGGAAAAGACAGACAGTAAACAAGAAAATGTTTAAGAGTTGTGCTTCTAAGGTTCCTAGGTAAATGAATGGGGAGGGCCCATGGCAAGTGGTAGTTGTCATCGTCTTATTTGAGCCTAGTTGGTCAGTAGAGGCATCAGAAAAGCCATGTGAGGAGTTTCACTTAGCCTCTTCTCTGAGGTCCTGGTGTGTGTACTCCACCCAGAAGCTGAGATGAAATTGTCAGGGAACAAACATGGACTTGTTCACAGAATCCTAGAATAAAAGCTAGATTAAGCAACCCTTCCATATCTACTCTGCCAGTTCTTTTTCTTGCCTTCCTCCTCCAAAGAAAGGTTCAGTAGCGGTAATGTAAGAACATAAAAGGAAGTAGTACTTTCACACAGCAGACAGTAAACACATGGAATTTATGTGTTTTCCTTGAGATGGAAAGTGTGAAAAGATGGAGATTTCATAAGTTCATGAAAACTGGATCTATAACAGGTTATTTAGGGAAATTAGTAATATTATGATCTATGTCTCACCATTTAAGGATATCCAGGGACCTCTGCTTGATTTCCTTTCCTCATCTTACCCCACCCATACAATAAAGATTAATTGCCTGGCTTCTTTGTATCAGCCTCGGGGGTCTGGGGATAAAACAGCATTCAGGCTTCCTACCTTCATGTAGGCAGACAAAGAAGAAAGCAATGAGACACAAATCACTGTAAGTCATCAACTAGGAAAGAAACAAATCCTGGGTGATAGGGAAAGACTAATGTCAGATGAAGTGTCAAGATCTGTCCCTGAGGAGGTGGCCACAGGTTTCAAGTCTCACGGTGCTAAGCCCAACACCTAGACTGGAAGATATATTAGGACAAATCCAGGACATCATTGCCGTTACGTTTACGGTGTAATTAAGGAAAGATTGGGTGGGAGCTGAGGATGCAGCGGTTCCTGCAGTGTATTGAATCCTTGGAGCCTTCACATTGAATAAGAATCCTTTACCCTAGCTGGAGGTGACTGTTTAGTCACACTGAGTGCGGGCAACCCTGCAAAGCTCCTCAGCCTCCGAGCCCCAGGTCTGATGGAAACTGTAGATTTCTTGGCTCTGCTGAAAGCTTGTCCCATGAGTGCAAGGGAGCAGGAGATGTCAGAGGCCTGACTTCATCTTGGCTCCTGCTTTTGTTGGAGGGCAGTTGCTAAGCAACGCATCCCTCTGGCTGGAGCAAAGTAGATGGCTGGCGGAAGAGGGTAGAGACAAGGAAAGTAGAGTAGTGCCTGAGTCGTGTGGAAGGATGACTTCTAGGAACAGAAATCCATAGAGAGATTTTTGTTTTCAGAGGGAGGTCCTGTTGCAGAATTTCACATGTTCATTGTGGCTACCTCTCCCCACCTCTCTTGTGAGCTCTGCTCTTGGTTTAGGGGTTCATAGACTTTTGCTTGTTTGGTAAGAGCCATGCAAACCTCCAGGTCTGGTGGTAATTACTGAAGCATGGTGGCCTGGTATATGAGAGTGCATTTTCCCTTGTACAAGCCTTCAAGGGGGAAAGGGCTTTTAAATGGGAACATTTGGTTCAGATTATTTTGATTTGTGTTAATGGGTTGGTTCCAAAGTCATGATTCGCTTTGGGAAATTTAATGGAGAACACTTGCAGGGTGTTATATGTTTGCTTTTTTCAAGTGATATTTCCCCTGCATTCTTCTGTGGTCACCTTTCCTTATTCTTTAGATCCTCCACCAACATTTCAAGAATTTTTTTGTGTTCTGAAGCGGCATGTTTCTTGAAATTGTTCTTGAAAAGAGAGGAGTGTGGAGTTATCTGGGTATGTAGTCTGTGGGACAGAAGGTTTGTGGCCGCTTCTTCCATTCCTTCTACCTGTTAATATCTACCTCACCCATACTTTGTGTCATTTATGCCCCCGTCTTGTGTGCTTCTAAGCATAGCAGAACCTCTGGTTAGTGCAGTTTATTCTTAGGTTCAGCACCCAGCACAAGAAATCTTGTGGAGTAGGATAGAATAGAATAAGTTCATCCCTGTGTGTCGGGAAGGACTAGGAGAAAAACATGCCTAGAGGTCCCACAGGTGAAACCCAATAATTGATCTAAAAGTGCGTAGTAGTAGAGCATGGGATTTAGAAATCTGTCTTGTCACCTATCAGCCCTATGTCTTTGGGCAGGCACTTAACATTTCTGAGGCCAATTTCCCATTTGTAAAATCAGAATGGAAATTCCCTCAACATTTCATTTGGAGGAGGATTATAGGAGGTAATATATGCAATAGGCTTAGAACGTAATTGTTTAATAAATGAATGGCAGCTGTTACTGTGAATAATTGTCTTATGTGTGGAGACTTCAGAGATTATACTAGTGATGGTATATTCTTGTGGGACAAACTCATGAAAATTATCCTCCTTGAAGAATCACATCAGTTAGATCGACTTCTTGTAGGGATGTAGGGGACGTGATTCAAAGGTCCCCCAAACCTTTGTTCCCCCATACCCTGGCTTTTTCTTCTGTTGGCATATCTGGCTCAGAGGTGGACCTACCCCGCCTTTGGCAACTTCTTATACTTATTTTCTGGGTTGCTTTCTATGTCTGGAAAAGCTTGCCATGAATGTTCCCTACCCCCTGTAATCACACTGGAGGTTTCCAAGACCTTTTGGCACCTCAGATGATGTTGGATAGTTGGCTCTGGGACCCAGGCATGCTCCCAAGTCTCTCTGGCTGCTGCTGCTGTTGCTTCCCAAGCATGCAGCTGAGGCAAAGAGTGTGATCACTCCTGGGAGCCAAATTGAGGCCTGTGTCTTTCTGACACTGAGTGGAGTTCAGGGATGCAGGGACATGGGCTCATTGAAGCAACTAATGTAGGGTTCATCCACATAAAGATGATACCTTTGATTGCTAAGGCATGCTGTTTCACTAGATTGTCATGATTACAATGATGCCTACCATTCATTGAGTGCTTACTCCGTGCCAGACATGCCAGGCAAACCCACGTGCTTTGCACATTTTGCCTCCTTTTAATCTCAGTGACATACCTATGGAGTAGTGACGTATAATCCCTGTTTTTCTGCAAGGAAGCTGAGGGTTTTATGGTACCACTACACTTCCTTATGGCGTGTTTTTTTTTGATGATTAAAACATTTCTCAGTATGAGTTGTATGAAGACATGGGGCACGGTGGATATAGTAGAAAAAGCATTGAATTATAAGTCAGGTTCTAACCAATCTCTCATAACCTCTACCTTCTTTCCTTCCACTTTTCCTTTTAGTTTATAAAATCTGGGGCTTGATCTGCAGAAGGTGACACTGTGATATGGTGATGAAGAGCCTGAGCTTTGGCTTCATGCATTCTTAGGGCTGAGTCCTGGCTCTGCCATTTGTTAGTTATGGGGTCTTGGGAAGTGGTGTGCTCCTGAGCCTTGGTTTCCTCATCTAGAGATGATAACTGTCTCCTTCCATTGTTGTGGGGACTAAGTGAGTTAATATATAATAAGATACTTGACAAGTATCATTACATGTGAGCTAAAAGTGAGTTTTTTTTTTTTTTTTTTGAGACAGAGTCTTGCTCTATTCCCCAGGCTAGAGTGTAGTGGCACGATCTCGGCTCACTGCAACCTCCACTTCTGGGTTTGAGCGATTCTCATGCCTCAGCCTCCTGAGTAGCTGGGATTATAGGTACCCACCACCACACCTGGCTGATTTTTGTATTTTTAGTAGAGATGGGGTTTCGCCATATCGACCAGGCTGGTCTCAAACTCCTGACCTCAGGTGATCCGCCTGCCTCGGCCTCCCAGAGTGCTGGGATTACAGGTGTGAGCCACAGTGCCCAGTGCTTTATATTAGTCTTTCTCAGACATTCTTGTTTTCCATGAATGAGTTAGCAGTTTTAAAGCTTTTTTTTTTTTCTTTTTGAGGGTAGTGTCAAAGACTTTGAAATATGATGAAAGTTCAGGACAATTTCCCAAGAAAAAGCCTCTTTACCCAAAATTCATTTTCAATTTCAGAGGGTTCAGGGCCAGGACCTTCTAGAGCTCTTTGAGAACTCCAGAATAAGAACTCTTTTAGGCTGGGCGTAGTGGCTCACGTCTGTAATCCCAGCAGTTTGGGAGGCCAAGGCGGTGGATCACCTGAGGTCAGCAGTTTGAGACCAGCCTGGTCAACATGATGACATCCTGTCAATATAAAAATTAGCCGGGCCTGGTGGTGGGCTCCTATAATCCCAGCTACTTGGGAGGCGGAGGCAAGAGAATCGCTTGAATCTGGGAGGTGGAGGTTGCAGTGAGCCGAGATCACACCACTGCACTACAGCTGGGACAACAGAGTGAGACTGCGTCTCAAAAAAAAAAAAAAAAAGAACTCTTTTAATTGATTGTAGGATGGTAGCCCCCGTTTTGCAGGCTATTCCTCCCCTGCTCTCTGATGCCTGCTGAACTTAACTGAGACCAGCACGTGTGGAGGAGCCCTCTGTGAGGACTGGAGGGATGCACTTCCTTTTCGTCTTCTCCTCCGTTCGCTAGTGAGCAGACTCCTGATTTCTTGGCCTGTGTTGCTGCCCAGAACAAGCACCAGGAATATCCTGAGGAGCTGCAGCTCTTGAGGGAGGCTGCTACGAGAGCAGGGAAAATCAGTCTTTCTCTTCCTCAGTTGGGTTATTTCAGGGATGAGAGGAGAGGGAGCAGCAAAGACTCTGGGATTTTAGGAAGAACCAAGCTACTGTGTGTTGATCGTCTGTTCTGTACCAGGAACTGTGTCTAGGTGGTTTGCATTCATTATTTCTCATCCTTAGAAGAATGCTTCCGGGTGGGTATTTGTTATCACCCTGCTTCACAGATGAGGAAGCTGAGTCTCAGAGCAGTTAAGAATAGCAAATGTCCAAGGTGGGAGTCAGGTCAGCTCTCTGAAATCATGGAGGTCTTCTGTGCCATGCAGTTCCCCTAGATGGAGTCAGGCCTCTGGGGTAAAGGGTGACTTCACGCCCTTTGCTGATAAAGGAAATGCTTTTCCTTCTGGTGGCCAGACATCCGCAGTTACTGTCTTTGTTATGTGCTCTAGGTGGCCTTCTCAGTGCTGAACTGCAGACCCGTGTATTTTTAGAAAAGGAAGAGGCTTCTGTGTGTACTGTTTATGTACAGACACATATCAGCTTCTCAGTACTAAAATCAGCTAAAGCAGCTGAGTGTCAGCTCTGGCTGGTGTCCAGATAACTGGCGGCCCTGTCTTCTGGCTGGCAGGTCCTCACCATGATGGCTTCAGGGACATGACTGACCCCTCACATCTCTCTTCTTGATAGACTAAGCTCTGAGTCCCCACAGAGACCTGCCTCTACTTCCTCCCCAAGCTCAGCTCTTGGCTTGTCAGCAGTTGGTCAGGCTGCATCCTTTTCTTTTTTTCCATTTCCCTGCCTGCATTTTCTCCTTGTTTCCTCACCCACACTTCACTCACATGCCTTTTTTTCCCCTGTGAGACCAATCACGTTTTGATTTTTTTGTTGTTATGGTCAAAGAGGTTTATTTTGTGCACCGCAGTGAAACTGGCTACCTAAGGTATCCATGTGTGAAAGCCACGCATTAGTTTCAAGGGAGGGCAGTGTACTGCAGCGTTTGGGTCTCTGTATCACCATTGTCTGCTCACATTTATAGCTGACTCATGTTGAGTTATATGCCAGACGCTGGCTTTGTGTATTACCTGTTGGGCCACAGTTACCTGTGTGAGGGTGGTTCTGGTATTATCTCACGGGCCTGAGACCTTTCCAAGGTCACATGGCTGGAGTTGTATCCAAGCTCAGAGGGGTGCCGAGGTATATGTGTCGGGTGAGGAGGAGTCACCAGTGCATAGGTGGGAGGGTGGGGCATGCCACCTTTCGTGCCTGTCTCTTGCTCCCAGGGGAATGTCTTTTGGTGTGGCCCAGGTGAGCCAGAATTTCAGGTCTTTTTGAGGATTAGTCTGTTTGACCTTCTTCTCCTCTCTGGCAAAGAGGATTTGGATGGGATTTCCCTTCAGTGGGGATTTTATCTTAGTAAGGGCTGCAGAACTGGGCCTGCTGCTTCTAGGATGTGCTATGTCATTCCTGCTCACTCCTCTGCTGTGACCACCCCTGCCACTTCCCCTTTATACCCCAGAATGAAGACTGCATCTCATAGACATTTGGGAGCAAAAGAGACTTACATTTTGTGCTGTCCTGTGAGAATCTATATATAGGATGTTGAGTAACCACTTGTAAGACACTTTGGTATCTTATTTGAGTAGTTTGGCAGATGTCCTTTAGTCTTGTTTTCTCTTTCTTCATTCATTAATTCAATATGTATTGATTAGTATGCTTAAAGCATACATGTATGTGAATAACTCTCCCTTAAAGGAGGATACCATGGGGGGACAGTGAGATCCAGAACCACTCGGTGTGCTAAGGACTTTTCACGTCTTATCTCAGAACAACCTTATGAGGTGGGTAGGAAACCTAAGAAGGGGTCTGTGAAAAAATGGGTAGCGGGGGGTGATTCATGAAGGGCCCCATGTGGGGCTGCCAGAGTGAGAATCTCAGCTCTGTTGCTTGCTCTCGGTGCACCTTGGGCAAATCACTGTGCCTCTCTCACCTTCTGTTTTCTCATCTGTGAAACGGGGATAACAGTGCCTGTCTCATGGGATTTTGAGAGTCAAATGAAACAATGTTTGTAAATTTCACAGCATTTCTCTGATACACAGTAAGATCTCAATAAAAGGTGGCTATTTTTAAAATTACTATTATTAGGTACTGTTATCTCCTTGTTTTCAATATACAGAACCTGAGCCTTGGGGAAGCTGCCTCAGCTTAGGTCACACAGCGAATACAGCAAAGGATGGAGATGTCTTTTTTTTTTTTGAGACGGAGTTTTGCTCTTGTTGCCCGGGCTGGAGTGCAATGGCGCGATCTCGGCTCACAGCAACCTCTGCCTCCCGGGTTCAAGCCATTCTCCTGCTTCAGCCTCCGGAGTAGCTGGGATTACAGGCATGCGCCACCATGCCTGGCTAATTTTGTATTTTTAGTAGAGACGGGGTTTCTCCATGTTGGTCAGGCTGGTCTCAAACTCCGGACCTCAGGTGATCCGCCCACCTCGGCCTCCCAAAGTGCTGGGATTATAGGCGTGAGCCACCGTGCCCGGCCAGGATGATGATGTCTTAACTGCCATTAGGTGGCACAAATAGAGTGCCACGAAGAGGCTCAAGGGAGAGAAGCAGCACCTGTGTTGTATGGGTGGTGGGCAGTGCTGCAGGTGGACTGGCGTGGGCCTGGGAGGACTCCATGGATGAGATGGCATTTGGAGGTTTGGCCCATCTGGACACCTGGAGGTGGGGAAGTGCAACATTGCTGGTGGAGTGAACATCAGGGAAGATACTCAGGGTTGAGAATTGGGTTGTGTGTGAGCTCAGGCATCCTGATTCAGAGCAGAGGTGGGGCTGTGTAAGCCCATGAGGGCAGGGGCTGGGCTGGGTTAGTTCTGTCCTAGAAGAGTGCCTACCACCTGGGAGGGGCTCCACACACAGTTGTTCAATCCAATTGAATGGCAGTGTCTGAAGGTGGCAAGCTTTAGTTGGTGAAGGGGAGTGATCTGGGAGAAAGGAATTTTGAACTTCAGTTGGAGAAGTTGATTTCTGCCCACAGTGAGACGTGGAATTCTTTCATTTGTATTGCAAAAGGCTAGCTCTCTCAGCCGCCTGGTATTAAACTGTAAGTTGCTCTAGACACTAGTTTTGGTTTTATCTGGACAGTGAATCTGATACTCTCTGAGCTGTTTGGTCAACATTGCTTATGGTAATAGGAGATTACAGGACTGGGTGGCCATCACTCCCCGGGGTCTTTTAAATTTAAGACCACAGAACCTTGAACCAAACAAAAGCTTGTTTGAAGTGAATAGCGTGTGTGGCCCTGTGGTTTTCCCAGTCCCATTTTCCTCCTTTACTCCCTTCCAGTTCTTCCTTGTTTTCTGTGGTCAGATTCTCACCATAGGTGGTTCTCCAGCCTTGGCACATCAGCTGAGTGCAGGCGCTCCTCACTTTGTCTAACATATGTGTTAGAGTAAGGCTGTGTGAACATCATAGTTGTGTAGGTGGCGTGGAAGCTGCCGAGGTGAGCACAGTGTGAAAGAATTTTGCTTATAATGAGTCCTTAGTGAGGCAAAGGATGGCATTAGTTTTGAACATCTGTACCCTAATTCTGTATATGATTCTTTGCATGGTTTTTATATGTTAGGTTTTCCTGTAGCAGTCTACAAAATTGGAAGTTCCTTAAGACAGGGGCCTGCTCCCTCACTATGTAACCTAGCCATGGCTTGTGGGAATTAACCAGTGGGCATCCGATTTATGGGCCAGGCAGCTCTTTCTTTCCCGCCTACTTGGTTTCTTGGCCCTACTAAGTAATGACTGTCAGAGGACAAACATGGGTGTGTTAGAGATCTCAGGAGCAATTGGTTATCTTTGCACTAAATTGGTTTTAAACTAGAGGTAATGATCTGAAATTTACTGGAAGTCTCTTCCATGTTGTTTATTGGTTCCATGGTGATACCATGCCCAACTCTAACTTGATTTTTTATCAAATGTGTTTATTACCCTCTTCTCTGAGCCACAAACAACACTTTAGAAGGGCATAAAGGGATGGGAGTCAAGGTCAGCAGTTTTGACAAATGATTTGAAAGATTGAAACCATCTCAGGATAATTTTCACTAGCTAAAGCAATTCCAGTAGGTTTTCATTGTGAAGTAGGTGTGGACTCTTGTGTTCTCACTCTTGGGTAAGACAGGTTCTCACACCAAAAAGACCCAAGACTTCAGAGCAGGGGAGGCACACCTCTTATCTCTCCCCTCCCAGAGCATTTCCATTTGTATTTGGCTTTTCTTTTAAAAAGACAAATGGTGCTTGAGAAGGTGTGCATACTTTCAAACAGCCGCCGTGAGATTTTGCTAACATTCCTTCTCTGTGTTGAAATTCTCTCCTCCTCCATTGACAGTGTGCTCTCCATGCTTCATTCATCCCCTTCTGAACGTCCCTTCCTTGCTCACCTTCTTTGTCCTGTGGATCTTCTCAAGGTTCCCTTCCTTGTGGGCTTCTCCTCCCCAACCAGAAGGTCTGCCTCTCTTTGTCACTAATCTCTCCAGTCCCTAGCTTCTGCCACCACCCACATGAACATGACTCCTAGACTTCCCTCTGGCAGCCCCAGCCCCTCTCCAGTTCTTTAGTTTCTTGATGTCTGCTGGCATCTCTAATCTGTATGCATTGCTGGTGCCTCAATCCTGCCGTGTTTCTGTCCTCTTTCCTCCAGTCTGCTTCACCTCCCATGCTCCCTGTTTCTGTTAAAAATGCTGTTGCTGTCCCCGTCATCCAGGCACAACCTCTGGACCCACATGTGATGATTTGTTTCACCCAGTTAGTCCCCAAACCCCACGGGTGTTCTTCTGCACACACTCTTCTCACCACGCCAACCACTGCTGGTTCAGACCCTGGCTACCTCTAAACTAGGCCCCAGCCAGAGCCACCTCACTTGGATCTTTCCTTCCCTTCCTCTGTGGAGACAGAGACTCTGCTCTGCTGCCTCCTGCAGCCTCATGCCCTCATTGTGTTCCCTAGGCCTCTTCAGAGCTCTGCCTACCTCTCCTGCTCTGCCTATGGCTTGTCCCCTTCTTTTGGCCCTACTATTTCCCGTGTGTGCAGCCCAGTGTCCTGCCTCTGTGCTTTTGTTTAAATTGTCCCCTCTTCCCATAGGGGTTATTCTCCCCATCTCTCCTTGGTCAATTCCTTTGTGACCAGTTTAACTCCTCCTTCCTTAGAGGAACATCATCCTTTCAGTGGGGGCAGTTTCTCCTCTGACTGAATTCTTATTACAGATGCTCTCTCTCTCTCTCTATGGTGCTTACTGCTTTTTCTTTTTCTTGCAACCAGCATTAAAAACAACAACAACAACAACAAAACACACAAAAAAACAACATTCTGTATTTTTGAAGCATGGTAGAGTTGTTAAGAGTAAATTAGGAGTCAGACCTATACTTGCATACAAACTTTCGAAGTTATTAGCTATATAAGGTGGAAAAGTTTCTTAATATCTCTGAGCCTCAGTCTCTCCGTAAAATAGGTATAATGATGCCTTCCTGATTGAGCTCTTGGGAGGATTGAAGGAGATGGTATAAGTCAATGTCAGACACATAGTAGGTCCTCTATTAGTCCTATTTCTACCTCCTCCCTTCTCATTAGGCTGCTAACTTCTTCAGTCTGCATACATTTTAGTTTTGTATTATGCAGAGCCCTGTGCCTCATATGTAGCAAATAAGGAATAGCTATTAGCTGGATAGCCAATGGATCTGAAAGGACTTTAAAGAGAAAGGATTTTAAGAGAATCACTGGTATAGCCAATGCTTCTACTGTGCAAATGTCTAGCATTAGAGTGGTGGATAAGCTCGATATGCAGTGTCAACCAGGCCACAGGAAGATTTTTGTATCACCTCTGAGACACGAATAGTTTACACTACAGATTAATCAGGATGGATTTAATGATGAAATAATTTAATTGTTTCACAGATGAGTGGATTTTGTATTTTTGTTCCCATGGAAAATACATTTTTTTTTTTTTTTTCCTGAGACAGAGTCTCACTCTGTTGCCCAGGCTGGAGTGCAGTGCATGATCTCGGCTCACTGCAAGCTCTGCCTCACGAGTTAAAGCGATTTTTCTGCCTCAGCCTCCCGAGTAGTTGGGATTACAGATGTGTGCCACCATGCCCGGCTAATTTTTGTATTTTTAGTAGAGACGGGGTTTTTCCATGTTGGCCAGGCTGGTCTTGAACTCCTGACCTCAGGTAACCTGCCTGCCTCGGCCTCCCAAAGTGCTGGGATTACAGGCGTGAGCCGCTGCGCCCAGCCGGAAAATACATTTTTGACATTAGCTAAGATAACATCAGGCATTAGCTTGTTAGCAAACATTATTCTACCATATCCAGGCTTGAGATTGTAATTTTAGTAGTTCAGTTCAGTTGTTTTATTATGAACAGCTTGGCATTTTGCCCCTCATAGGCTCATGCACAAGAACTGAGTTTTACCTCATAATCAGAAGGTAACTCCCAACTATTTATGGATCACTGATGGAACTGGTGTCTCCCTGGCAGCTGTGCAGAATTGGTTATAATCCTTTAGGCCCTATGTGGCCGCCCCCTCCCTCCCGTTTTACACTGGTCTCACCACCCCTGCCCTTTCTCCCACGTGCTGGCCTTTAGTTGCTGTGTTTTCTCCAGCCACATGGTCTTGTGCACCTGGTGCTCTTTCGGCATGGCCTTCTCTTCTCCCTCATCTTTGTCAGGTTGACTTTATTTCTGCCTATTAATTTCACACTTTGTCATACAGAGGTCCAGAGACTTGCCTGAGGTCATAGCAGGTTATTCATGGAGTCTGGCTATTTCCAGGGTTCACTCTACATAGGCACACAGTCCCTCCCCAGTCTTGGAAAGATGATTCATGTTGACCAGAAATTCAGCTGTCCTCTAGCAATAGTTTGGGTTTGCTGACAGTCTCGCTCCTTCCGGAACTTGATAAAATAATGATAAGCACTTGTTCTAGAGGGTTGGATAGGTTTTCTGTGAAGAGGCAAGTAATGCTGTGCAGAGGAATGTTAAAGAGAAAAGAAAGAGTGAGGTATGCAGCCGCCGGCAAAGCATCAGAGAGGTAGTTTGGCCTGCAGGGCCTCTGAGCGGTCAGAGGTAGTTTAGAAGGGACAGATCTCAGGTGGGAGTCATTCAGCCTTTGCAGTGTTGTGGGATGCTCACATATGTTAGTGAGTATTGTTGAGGGGACCTCATTGTCCTCTGGGGACATGGAATTGGCCCTCCTCACAGGCATTGCTGAGTTCTTTACTAGTGCTGGCTAAGGTCAAAGGCATTCTTGGGAAAGCAAGTCAGCATGGCAGGATCAGCAATCTTAAAACCATCCTTCTAACTCTTACAAAATTCAGGGAGACTGTCTTGGAGCAGATTTATTTTATTTTTCCCTAAATGACTAATTATAGCATTCGTGCTATTAATATGGATGCCTATGGCTTGTAACAGTCGGGATTTCTGTTCACATCTCACATGCATTCTCGCATGTTGATGCATTTTGGCTGCTTGCTGCCTGTGGACTGCCAGCAGTTGAATTGGTTTTCCATGATTTGGTCGAGTGTCTTGGAAGGAGACAATGGGAAGGTTCTTTGATCCAGAGGAGGTCTGTGTTTCCCTGGAACTCTGTCATCATGATAACATGATCTCACTCAGTAAGTTGGTGACTTACTTACGTTCTAAAAGACCAACAAAACAGAGTTTACCATGTAGAAGCCTTGTGTGTCGCTCTGCCTGCAGTCAGGGATTCGAGCTGCTGTCTCTGCATGTCCTGTTGAAGCACCATGACATTGAGCCTCTCCTTTGGCACAGAGATATCAGAGTCTCTCTTTTGCAGAGGCCTGCTGCTTTGAAACCTTTGACCTCCCTCATTTCTCAAGCTTGCCTTTATCGAGCTCCAAAGGTGGAGGAAGTACTGATGAGGGGAGGCCAGAGAGTCTACTCAGCAGAGAGCAGTGTCAGCTGATTCTCAGTTTGGCCCAGAAGAAGTACTTAGACTCTGAAGTGGGTTTCTGGGGTGATTGGTGAGAACTTATCTTTATGGTAGCTTAGATTTTATTTTTTAATTTTATTATTATTTTTTGAGACAGGGTCTTCTTTTGTCGCCTAGGCTGGAGTGCACTGTTACCATCTTGGCTCACTGCAACCTCCGCCTCCTGGGCTCAAGTGATCCCCCTACCCCTACCTCTGCCTCCCAAGTAGCGGGGACTGCAGGCATGTGTCACCACATCCAGCTAATTTTTGTATTTTTAATAGAGATGAGGTTTCACCATGTTGGCCGGGCTGGTCTCAAACTCCTGACCTCAAGTGATCCACCTGCCTTGGCCTCCCAACGTGCTAGGATTATAGACGTGAGCCACTATGCCCAGCCTAGCTTAGATTTTGTATTGAGGGTTCTAGAGTCAGGCTTCTGGGTTTTCACCTTGGTTCTATCACTTACTGGCAATTTTCCCTTTTGTAAAAGGGATTTAAACAATAGTATCTACCTTGTAGGGATTTGGGGAGAGTTGAATGAATAATATCTTTGAAAGCACTTGGGGGCTAGCACAGAGTAAGCTTTCAACAAATCGTTGTCTATCATGATGTTGAAAATCCCTCAGAGTAGCCTTGACTCCACGTTCTCAGATGCTGTAGGTCCTTCTCAGTGTGTAGGCAGCACTTACCTTTTCCACTTGAGTCCACACTGGCAGGAGGCTACAAGCTTCCAGAGAGTTGGGTTATGCGTGTTTCTGTTTGTAGTGTAATGGGAAACACTAATGGACAGTACTAGCCCTTAGTAAATGTTTAATAATTACTTGTTGAAGGAACGAATGAAGCTGTGAGCAGGCCAAGAACAACAATGTGGCAGGGTGGTGTGTTTCCTGTAGCTAAGTCAGTTTTGTTAGTTTATGACTACAAGAACCTTCATCATCCTGGAGATCTTGAGAGATCATAAATGAGTAGCAAAATATTGGGGAAATTATTATGTTTTTAAAAGCTTGTCACACAAAAAACTGCATGTGTTTAATGGCACACTTTGATAAACTCTGTTACCTGTATACATTCATGAAGCCACCACCACAATATTGGGAGAATTCTTAATGCCTGTCTCTAAAGTGTTTTATTTCTCTGTTGCTGATAAACCACTTCCACCTTTGCCTTGAATATGGCTCCCTGCCTCATAAGGAAGGTAATGGGAATCTGCTTTGTTCCTCTCCACCATATTCTTTTCTAGCTTGCATCTGCAGTTTTACATTCTTGCCACTGAAATTTTCAGTGTTTATAGTGTGTATTTGTTGAGTGTCTGTCTCCAGTAGGTTGTAGGTTTGGGGAACGTAAGGACTATGTCAGTTTTGTTCAGTGTCTTATTCTCCATGCCTCCCACAGTCCCTGAAATAGGAGGTGCTCAATGAAGAGTTAAAGGATGAATGGGTGAGCCTATTGCCAGAATAAATATATGACACTGTTATAATATATGGCCCTGAGTTGGAAGCAAAGGAAACTTGACTTGTTCTTGGAGATTAAAAGTTATTCTTACCTTCAGCAAAGGAAAATGAAAGGGAAGAAAGGTCTCCTAGGATCTGAATTACTTTAACTTCGTTACTGATATGAGACCGAGTAGACCCTGGAAATGCAGGGAATCTAACATGGCTTAAGCCAGACCCAAAGATGAGGCATGTTGGGGTATTGTGAGACAGCTGTCATTCTGAGACCCAGCTGCTTTGTAGGAGGTTAAATGTTGATGTTGGGACTTTGTATTTTTGTTTCATTGCAAACTGTTTCTCTACTCTACGCTCCCATGGAAGGGGCTTTAACTGGATGTGCTGTTCAAAGGACCCCCCAGTCCCTTTTGTTCTCCTTCAGCTTGTGGTATCCTTCCCTTGCCTCCACATCATATATGACAGTAAAGTGTTTAGAGTCAGCTCTGGGTCCCTCAGAGAAAAGTCTCTCTTAAGGCACTAGATAAAAGAAGAATCACAAAAATAATAATTAAAAATGATACAACCTGGCAGCGGTGTGTGGTTTGCATTTTGGCAAGAGTGAAGTCACCGTTTTAGAACATAAATGCTCTCAGTGGTGGAGAAAGACTGGCAAAACAGCCTTTTAAAACCCCCATTACAGAAAGAAAGGGCAGGGGTGGGAAGACAGAGAGCATATTTGTGTTTGTGAAGCTGTTTTTCTACTAAATGTTTACAGAGGAGGTCGAATACCAGATGCATTTAGGGTTATTGTTTTTTTCAGATACTAGGAGGCTGCTGGTTGGTCTGAGATGAAATGAAGTGGAGGTTTTAGAGGTGCCACTTAAGGAGGCTCTCGTATCTTTTGCACTTTTGAGTTGTGCTTTGTGCACATTTCATCCCAGGTGCTTTGCTCCCTAGATATCCATCCACCCTTCCATCTGCCCATCATTATTGACTGCCTGTTATGCACTAGGCCTATATCCATGCATCTCTCTGTCCAACCATCTGTGTGTCCATCTATCCTGCTGGCTGCCCGTTATGTACTAGACACTATTCCTTCCTTCTATCCATCCTCAGTGTCTTCATCTTCTGTCCATCCAGCATTATTGGTTGCCTATTATGTGTCAGGCACTGTTCTCGGCCCTGGGTACCCTGAGTAGGAAATAATTTAGCTGGGAAGACAGGCTCATGAGCAAGATTGTTTTATTGTTTTCTGGTTTGGATGTGAGGCTACTAATGACTGACTTATATACTCTCACTTGTAATGCCATGAAGGCACAGCCTGTCTACTTTTTACTTACTGTTGTCTCTCCAGTGACTTATTACCAGGAATGTAGGTCCACAATACATAGATTTTTGAATGAATAACAATAAATGAGTGGTCTTTATGGCATAGTCTACTCCTTTAAGAGGTGTATAATCGCGGCTGTGAGAAGTCACACAGCAGACAGACCTCATTTCTGGACCAAGTAATGAAGAGTGAGGGACGTCTCTTTATGTTATTGTGTTCGCCATCTGTTTGCTCCTGTGGACAAAGCTGAAGTGAGCACTGGGCTGTGGGTGGTGTACGAGACTGACCTGGTCCCTGTCTTCTTGGAGCTGCCCATACTGAGCAAGTGTGAAAAGTGTTGGGAGAAACCCAGGAGCTGTGGGCACACAGTGGGGGCCAGCCTGGGCCATGTGCGTGAAGCCACACCTTGAAAGAGGTTCCTGGAGGGCCAGGTGGCAGTCGGTTGGTTGTGTTGGTCAGGGTGGGAGAGGCCTTTCGGGCCAAGGAGGATGTATGAGGGTGCTGATCTGAGGACACCTATCTTGGAAGATCGCTGTTTGGCCAGTGGGAGGGTGACTCTGAAGTGAGGCTGAACAGACCACCCACAGTGTTGAAAGAGCAAGGTTTCCTTTTTTCGTTGTGGCAGAACCCCTAGGTTTTGGTAACAATATGACTTTAAGGCCCAGGCTCCCTAAGGAGGGAGGTGTATTAGCCTCTTTAGGCTGACATCACAAATTACAGCCAGGCCTCTATATCTGTGGGTTCTGCATCCATGAGTTCAGTCAACTGCGGATGGAGAATATTTATTGCATCAGTACTGAACATGTACAGACTTTTTTTTCTTTTTTCTACTCTCAAGCAATACAGTATAACAACGATTTACATAGCATTTACATTGTATTAGGTATTGTAAGTAATCTAGAGATGATTTAAAGTATACAGAAGGATGTTTGTAGGTTATATGCAAATACTATGCCATTTTATATCAGATACTTGAGCATCCATGGATTTTGTTATCTGTGGGGAGTCCTGGAACTAGTCCCCATGGATCCCGAGGGACAACTGTACCATGAACTGGGTGGCATAAAACAACAGAAATGTGTTTTCTCACAGTTCTGGAGGCCAGAAATCTGAAATCAGAGTGTCAACAGGGCCATATTCTTTTGGAAGGCTCTAGGGAAGAATCATTCCTGGCCTCTTCCTGGCTTTCCTTGGTGTTCCTTGGCATGTAGCTGTGTCACTTCAGTTTCTCCCTCCATCTTCACAGGGCCTTCTTCCCTGGGTGTGTGTGTGTGTCCTCACTTCTTCTTACAAGGACACTAGTCATTGGATTTAGGACCCGTCCTAGTCCTATATGACCTCATTTTAACTAGTTACATCTACAAAGACCCCATTTCCAAATAAAGTCACATTCTGAGGTTCCGGGTAGACATCAATTTTGAGGGTACTATCCACTACAGGAGGGGATATTGAAGTGGGTGGACCTGTGCTAGGAGGCTTCCTCCAAGTCTTTTCATTCTTCAAGATTCCTGGGTTGATGGGCACAGTGAGGCTGCTTGGGGGAGGGTGGGCCAGCAGCTGCTAGGATTCCTGTCTCTGCTGAGGGCTCCTGGGTACAAGGTTCTTCTCAGGTGCCCAAGAGAAGCTGTGTGACTGAGAGAGGTGGCCCTGCTCATGCATGCCTCTGGCTCAGGGTCACCTCGTCCCTCCTGCAGCAAGGGAAGCATGTCAGGGTTTCTTTCTCACTGTCCTAGGAGCACCTTGATATAGGAGGAAGTGTCTGTGAATAAATAGCTAAAATAATTAATGACCCTAGCAAACAATGGCTTAGGGTTTTTCCACGGTTCTTCTCTCCTCTGGGAACAGTTTCCTGCTGCTTTCTTGGAGGTGTGTTGCCAGGGACTTTCCGGGTCTTCGGGACATCACTTTCCTTTTCTTTCTTGTTTCTCTGCTTGCTCAGGTTTAGTGCTATTAGCTTCTTCCATTTCTCTGGTATTTAAATATTACCTGCAGTGTCTTTCTGTAACAGTGGTTTTTAAACTTATTGTGCATAGGAATCATCCGGAGAGTTTATTTTAAAAAGGCATACTTTCAGATGTATTTTCCAGAATTTCTGATCCCATAAGTCTGGGGCAGTTGGATTCAGGTGAAATTCAAAAGCCAAATCAAGAAACACGTCTCCAAAGAGAGAGGGAGAGGGAGAGAGAAGGAATGAGAGAGAGAGAGAGAATCTGTGTGTGTGTGTGTGTGTGTGTGTGTGTGTGTGAGAGAGAGAGAGAGAGGGAGTGTGTGTGTGTGTGTGTTGCAGGCATGCTTTCCCTCAAGTGATATACCTGATGTATTAGAAGGGATGGTTTTTGTATTTACCTGATGTTAATTGGCACGGTTTGTCACTAGTTTATTTAAAATTCTGGCCTAGATACACTGTTTAGATACACACATGCAAATTCTTCTTTTATCATTTGCCTAGTGGCAAAGTGGTTTTAAAATAATATCAGTGGTACCTTGAAAACATTATAGGCATCTTGTTGGCTAAGGAAGAAAGTGAGTGGGGAATGGAAATGGGTGTTTTATGGCTTCAAGACTAAGCCTAGGAAATGGTGTTCTGATTGTTTTGTGTGTCGTGAAGGAGTGAGTAATGGGATGGCTGTTTTGTCTACATTTCTGGGACTTAACATTCCCTTTTTAGAAAAAGGGGATTGCAGGGTTTATCATTCTTCTGACCGAACTCTTAAAAAAGGTTACATTCTTATTTGCTTGCTTATTTATTTATTTAGAAACATTATTGGGGGCTTCTGGCGTGCTAGAATTGTGATGACTATCCTTTTATGAACAAAACAGTCACGGCTACTGCCTGCCTGGGGTTTATAATGTCATCGGAGCTGTTCACATTAAACAGTCACCACACTCAAAGAGATTACCAATTGAAGGGATAAGAAAGGGAATTCTGGGGAGCTATGAGAGTGTACCCCTGGGGTGGATAGGGAATGCGAGGAGACTGCTTCCCTGAGGAAGTGACCCTTCATGGAGAATCTAATGGGCTAAGGGGCAGTAACTAGGTGGGGAGACAGGGGAGTGTTTCAGAAAGAGGGCACAGGACAAGTGCTAGGCTTTGTGGCCGGATGGATTGCGGCACCTTTGATTATCTGCAAGTTGGCCAGTGGGGCTGGGTATGGAGTGAGGGCAAGGCCAGTGGGGTGTGCAGACGAGGTAGATTTTGTAGACCTTGGTTGGATTTATTTTGAGTGGGGTGGGAAGAGTTATAATCAGGGAGGGTATGGAAGGGACCATCAACAAGATCAGGTCTGCCTTTTGAATAGGTTGTTCTGGGCAGCTGAGTGACAAATGGACTGGGAAGCATCAGGAGGGAAGCGGGGAGGCCAATTAGGAGTCCAGGCCAGAGATGATGGTGGCATGGACCCAAGTCTTTCTCAGGGTACCAGTTGGAGGAGAGGAGAGCTAATTGAGGTTGTAAAGCAATCCCAGGGTATTCCCGTGCCCAGGACTGGGTACTTAATCTGTGGGGCTCCTTTTCAAAAAGCAGACATAAGTACTGTTAAAAGCATTAAAATAGAAAGCTGTTTTCTTTCTTTTCTGGTTTCTTTCCTGATGTGTGGTGGTATTTTTAATCTGCCCATGTTCTTCTAAAAAGGAAGAATTAAAATTTTAAATTATTAGTATGAACTCTTCTGTTCATCTTTATATTGTACAATGCCAATTTTCAATAAGATCATCTGACTTATATGCAGAATCACTAGAATTATACAATCCATATTTCATAGCTCATATGCATTTATTTCATTCTTCCAAGAACAGTGGAAATGTTGCACAAAATCAGTTTTCATTTTTCTTCTTGATGCATGCACATTTTCCCAGTGTGCTCCACCTTCAGCGTACGATGTGTGAGGAGGGCCTGAAAGGAAAGGAACTATGGGTTGCCCAGTCTGTCTCTGTCCTAGGTTACCATGATCAGTGTCAGTGGTTGGCTTATCCAGGGAAATAACATGAGGAAGAAGGCTATGATAGGGTTCCTGGGCCGTTCATGTTTCTTTGGATGCCATTGTCTCATTGTCATCTTCTTGCATCTGGCAAGTTCTGGTTGAAATGGTAGGTGTAACCCCTCAGGGCTGTCAGCGTTCCCCCTTACTCAGTCGTAGATATAAGACACTTACCTTGCACTTACTTTGAGTCTCACTGAGCTCCCACACATGGTGGGTCCACCAGAATTCTGTGCACTGGGGCCACAAGGAGCCCCAGTGCGCCCGCATGACATCCCGGTTGTTGTTCCTGTCTCCTCTGCGCACACATGCTCCACTGTCGCACTGGATCTCACTTGCAAAACACAAGTTCAAAGATAAAATTATTAAAAATTTCAAGACAGCTACAGCAGAGCATTAAGCCAAGCAGGCCCTTCTGAGCATGGGACCCTGTGCATCTGTACTGGTTGAATGCCCATGAAGCCGCCCTGCCTATACCTTAGGCACTTGGAATTTTCAGCTGCCCTGTGAGCCTGTTTTCTGGATTCACTTGAGTCTGTATGTCAGGTTTAATATTTGCAGGCTCAGAGAAGATTAGCTGGGCAGAGCCTGTATTGGCAGCTCCAGCCTAGGACTGTAGTCCAAGAGTGCTTGGCTCTCCAGCTGCCTCTTCTGTGGGAAGCCTGGTTTCCGGATTGGTTTCTGGGCAGTCAGCACCAGGGCCATTCATCAGCTCCAGGTGCCATGAGCTGGGTTTCTACAAAACAAAGATGTGTTCCCAGTCAGTTGTGTAGGCTTCAGAATAAGGAGACATGATTGAGAACATGTTTTGAAGAAGACTCAGGCTTCAGAATTTGTGATTTTTAAATTGAATTAGGATGTTTCCTCCTCCCACCCCTGCTGTCACCTAGCTTTCTTCTACCACGAGCATTAATTGCCTGCTTTGGGAACATTTGTAAACCCACTGTCATGATTTAGAAGATCCGGCTTGCTCTGTGGAGCTCCACCTTTGTCATCTGGAGGGGTTCCATTACTGGTACTTAGTATTAGATGTTCTGAAGGGTTAGGTGGTATCAGCTCTCAAACTTCAGCATGGATAAGAACTGCCTGGGAAGCCCAGGCTCCTAGGCCTCAGCCCTAGAGATTTTGATTGAGGGTGGGCTCCCTGGAAGGGCTCTTGCAACACCTATTGCAAGCGGTGTTCAGACACGTTTTGAGAAACACTTATCTTTGGCCTCTCTCATTCTGTGGTGGTCTGCAGTGGCAAGGGGTACTCCTTGCTGGAGCATGAGTTCCTGCCTGGACTGGAATCCAGGCTGGAGAGGAGACGGTGCAGAGTGGGGAGGCGGGGAGCCTGGGGATTTCGTGGGCACCTATGAGGAGGGTAAGTGTTTGCCCACTCAGGCTTCCGTTCTTGGTCCCTGGAGCACAGCCTCCCCTGAGGTATAGCAGAAAAGTGACTAATTAAAGAGGGGATAAAAGAAAGTGAAACCAATTTCTGGGAATGTTATTAGGTGTGGCTTTGTTCAGAATGGCTAGGTCCGTTTTTTTTTTTTCTTTTTTCTTCCAGAAACATGAATTTCATCCAGGGGGAGATGAGCGGATTTTTGTTTTTTAACTGAATTTATTCTGATGCTTAGGAGTTGCCACCTTGCTTCCTGTGGTATTAGTGGCAAGGAGTGTCTGAGCTGTGTCCAGGGATCAGGTGGATTCAGTTTTGATCCTAATTATGCTGTGTGGACTGACGGTGAGGAGGGCGAGAGGGAGTCAAAGTGGTAGGGGCCGGGTGGCTTCATTGTCCTTTCATTTTTACGCAGAAACAAATCAGCCTGGCATGTTATTTATTAAATATATATGTAAATGATTCTAATACCTATGGTTTATTGAGTGTTTGCTGCCGGCCAGGCCCTGTGCTAAGCACTTCAGTGCATCATCTCTCTTCTCACAGGAGCCTCAGGAGGCAGGTTTCCCTTTAGTGCCTTTTCACACAGGTGGAAATTGAGTACCTTGTAAATGGGTGAGATGGGATTTTGAACGCTGGGAGTCTGTTAACCACAAATCTAAGCTTATTTGGCTGGATGAAGGCCTCGATTTACCCACCATACCTTGTTTTTCTCTTGATTGCCCTCAAATTCACGTTAGCTGTTGGTAGGAACAGTGCAGGGGTTTCTGATCCTTGTGTATGGCTCCAGGTTCTGCCGTCTGTGACTTTCCGAATTCACAACTGTTGAATGCCAGTGAAACTCTGATTCTTTGGGCTTGGTTATGGGTTGGCTTGTTTGTTGTTCCTTTTTTTCTTTTTGTTCTTTGCTAGAGAAAGCTAGAAAGCTCAGGGATTACAGGGAGGTGACAGGCCTTGGCTTCTCTTTTCCTGCTTTTCAAGTGAGGTTCTTGCTTGCCCAAATTTGTTCAGGGCAAATGTGATTGCATGGACCCTGGAAGAGGCAGGCCTAAGGATGTGGAAAGACAGTAAGTTGTAGAACTTATAGACGTTGAGTTTTCCATTCACAGTTCTAACTCCAGTCAGAAAACCTTGTAACAGAAAGATTTGCATCCTGTGATGACCTGTGGAGAAATTAATTTGGCTGGAAATGTATTATCAGCCCTAATTTGTTATTTTGAAGTTGTCCTCTTTTTCATTTAAAAGTTTTACAATTATTTTGGTAAATATTTCTGCAGACTTTTCTGAGGTAGCAGTATTTTCCTTTTGTAATATGTATGAAGAAAGGCATAGAACAAGGATAAAATGGCAGTCTTTTGATAACTCCCTGGTAGAAGTGGTGGTACTCAGATTTCTAACTGTTTAACCAAGTTCTGGGTTCTGTCTGGGTGCGTGGGCCCTGACTGTGTGAACCTGGAGAGGCAGAGCAGTCCTTCCCAATTTCCTCATCTGCTTGACTTCTCTGGCTCTTTGTCCTGAATTCCATTTATTGGCAAGGCCTTTCTTTTACTTATAAACCTCTTCCAAGAAGGTCTGGCTTTCACTGTAAGTTTACGACGATAAATTTTCAGATGGTACACGTCACCCTCTTAATCTAATTGAGCCAGCACATCATTGTGAAGACATCATTTCATTTGGGGAGTATTAGTTGCTATGGTTATTTGCTGAGACTAACAGAGTCTGTGTTCTCTCAATTGGATTTTTGGAAACTGCTCTTTGAGAATGACATAGAGGTGTGCCTTGCTGTAGGAATATCCAGTATATAACCTCACCATTAAAAATAAAAGGCACAGAAAAGATACTTTGGGAGGGATCTTAGAGCTACGGAAAGGGGTTGGCTCCTTGGTTTTCAAGTGAGGTTTTTTTTTTTTTTTTCTTTTTGAGAAGGAGTCTTGCTCTGTCACACAGGCTGGAGTGCTATGGCACGATCTCGGCTCACTGCAAGCCCCGCCTCCTGGGTTCAAGCGATTCTCCTGCCTCAGCCTCCCGAGTAGCTGTGATTACAGGTGCCCACCACCAAGCCCAGCTAATTTTTGTATTAGCCAGAGACAGGGTTTCACTGTGTTGGCCAGGCTGGTCTTGAACTCCTGACCTCGTGATCCGCCCACCTCGGCCTCCCAGAGTGCTGGGATTACAGGCGTGAGCCACTGCGCCCGGCCTCAAGTGAGTTCTTTTAAGGCCGAGTGTGTCACATAACTCTCCCTAGGTTCACATGTATAGTTGGTGGCTGCACAAGGAGACACGCCATTTCTGGTTCTTTTTCTGGGTTCTTTTCTATTCTGTCTGCAACAGCTTAAGTTCTCTCAAGGAATTTATTCATTCATTCCTCCAATATATATTGAGGTCCTGTATGTTCCAGGCACGTGCTAGGAGAATAAAGAAGCTGTGATCTTCTCTGTCAGGGTCTTGAGTGGGAGTCCAAACCCTTGCCTTGGAGGGTGTGGTGCCTGGATCAGCACCATTGGCTTCACCTGGGAATTAGAAATGTAGACTCTCGGGCTCCCAGGCCTGCTGGATCACATGGGAATTTTGACAAGATCCCAGGTGATTGGGTGCACCTTAAAGCTTGAGTAGCTGTCTCTGCTGCAGAGGAAAAGGCATTCCAGAAACAAAATCTAAGTCTTGAGGCTCAAGCCAGGATCAACCCTCCCAGCCCCACTGCCTCCTATCTGCGCACCTGCTTGGTGTTGAGCAGAACAGAACTGCTGAGGTGTTGAGAGAGAGGAATCCCTGCTCCACCTGCCCCTCCCCACCATTCTTAGACCTCTATCTCCCTCTATCTCCACCCACCAGCCCCTACCGGTTTTTCCAGCCCTAGTCTGACCCAGTGAGTGGGTCTGACTTGTGTGGTCTCCTCTTAATTCACCACCCCCTCCCCTTTCTAGAAACGTGTCTACCTTAGGGGCCAAGCTCAAGTTCCACCTTCTGAGGAAGCCCAGTACTTCAGGCCTGTGAACGCTGTCAGTCTCTTGTGTCTTAAATGTCGTCTTAACACACTCATTCTTTTATCTGTTTCATCTGGGGCTGGCCTGCCTCCCCAGGCAGTGGACAGAAAGGATTTGATGATAGCACTGTTTCCCCGGTGCATTTAAAAGGCACGACTTGAGCTTAATAAACTTCACAAAAAGAAACCCATACTGCTTTGAGTTCGTTTAGTTAAAAATTGGTTTAGTTAAAAAATGGTCCATCCGGGTTTTGCCTTGCCTTTCATCTGCCAGAGGTGAAAGGAAATTGTAAATTTGTAGAAGCATTAGGGGTTTTCTGAGCACTGAAGAAAACCCTTAGGAACTCAGGTGTGTTTTTAGTAGTTCACAAGAATGGGGTTGATCTGGTGACTCAATGAGGCAAAAATTGCTTAATTGTTATGGTAATTAAGATTCTCCTTTGGTTGATTCTCCTTTCTCCAACCTGCTGGTAAACTTCCACTCCACCTCTGCTGTGGGAAGGAAAGCAAGGCAGGGCCGGGGGCATCCCTGTCCTCTCTCTTCCAGAACATGTGTCTTTCCTATTTTGAATTCCCACAACAGCCCTGTGAGGTACATACTGTCCTCACAGTTACATACATGCTTGGAAAGGTTGGGTAATTTGCCAAAGGCCACACAGCTGGGAAGTGAGAGACCGGGATTTAAGCTGATGTTTGCGCAGCCAATGCGCGTCATACGCCTCTGAATTACCTTCCCCTTGCCCCGTGTGTGTGTGATATTTGTACTTGAGCTGCCTGGAATTACCCTCTCTTTTTTGTTCCCTCACTTGATTAGTCCCTCTCAAAATGGGTTTCTTTGTTTTCATTAAGAAATGTCCACAGTCTTCCTTGAGGGAGTTTTTCCTGTGGTGACCTTCTGCTGTCTTATCATGTCTTGGGGCAGCATGTGAATGCAGTTGTTCTAAATACAGTACCTCAGTTCTCTGTGCCAGGGCTGAGCTGGGGCTGGGCTCTTTAGGGGTTGAGTTTTCATCGGAGATCCAATGCTGACTAACTCACTTGACACAGCGGTCATTGATCCAGTAAATGTTTATTAAGCACCTACTATGTGACTTGCACTGTCATTAAGCCAGTCCTTAATTTCTTCATCTAGAAGAGGTCAGGTGCTTTCACTTAACTCTCAATGTTCTTATGAGGAAAAGCCAATACAGCACTTTGGAAATACATATGTATTTGTATACATTATTTGCATACAGTTATGTATAAGTCGTAGTGGGCCCAGAACTTGGAGTTTTCAACACGGAGAAGTTTTTTTTTTTTTTTTTTTTTTTGAATCCCTTATAACTCTTTCCTTATCTCCTGGCTGACCAATGGTCTGTGCACAAATGTCCAAGTTGAGAGGTGTTGCCTGTCATTTAGTTACCTACAGGGAGAATGCCCCTTGGCTGTGGTTGCACATTCTCATAGTGAAGCTTGCTGGAGGAGTTACAGTAGGTGTCTCCAACAAAGTTCTGGGCCAGCTCCTTAGTAAAAGGCTTAATTGTTGTTTAAGTTGATCTTGTTGCTCCTCTGTATAACAATCCAGTTCCCATTTCTTTAAGGGAGTAAGTTCAAATTCCTTAGCTTGGCATACAGGTCCTTCCATGGTTTGATTCTAACCGGTCTTCCCACTCTGACCTCCTGTCCATCTAGTTAAACTTGCTGCTTTTTCTGGGTAGGTTCTGCATTTCGCATCTCCTTGCTCCATGTTTCCACTTCTATAGCATCTTCCCATGACTGCTTCCGCTTCCCTTTTCTACATATCCAAATAGGACTGAACTTTAAGGTTCAGCTCAAACGCTACTCCCTGTTCTTTTTCTTTTTTCTTTTTTTTTTTTTGGAAGCCCCCTCCAATGGCCCTAGCCGGAATAATATCCCACTTGCATTTCTGTAGCCATTTTTGTCTACTCTCTGATTGCCCTAGCACAGTCTACCTTAATTTTGTAGTTTTGCACACACAGATTAGGCCCTTCTAAAAATTGTATTCCCCTTAAGGCACGGAATGTATACATACCATCTTTTCATTTCTTTGAATACATTGATACCAGATTCTCAAATATTTGAGTAAATGAGGCAATATAGTGTAGTAGTTAAGAGTTTTGGAGTCAGAGAGACCAAGTTTCTTACATTACCACTCATTCCCTGCATGATCTTGGGCACGTTATTTAACCTCTCTGAGCCTCAGTTTCCCATCTGCAAAATGGAGGTAATAATATCTACTCAACAGAATGGTTGTGAGGATGGAGGGATTTAAAGTACTTGGTAGGTACAGTATTCAGTAAGTTAATGTATATAATATATTCATAGTTATTTGGATGTAGATTAAGGTGAGTTTGGGTAGCCCAAATTATTTTTAAGGGGTATTTCATCTAAATAGAATTAGAAACCTCATTTTGGAAAGAGGAGCACGTCTTTATTCTACTTGATTTCATTTTAAAAATCAACTCTGAAAATTTCATTAGCCTTAGTGCTCTGGTTGGAAAAACAAATTTTCCAGAATCAGTGCTGGTGATGGCCTCATTTAGGAAATGCTGTTTTAGGGAAATGGCCTCAGGAAAAGCACGCAGATGTATGATCAGAATGCATGTTATGTAACGTACCGTGGCTGATGTGGTCGGTGGGCACATCATCCGCCTGGGGGAGATAAGAGGTTTTCTGAATCTGCTCCAGCCAGATCTGAAAGAATGTGAGAGACACTGTGGTGGTGACTTCATCCCTATACCCCTCCCACTCCATGTCTCAGGCTTGACTTGCTGTATGAGAGCACAGGCCCTCCGAATGTGTTAGAGCACTTCTTCCAATGTGGAAGCCAGGGCCCCTCTCTCAGTTGCTGAGTGTCCACTGGACATTTCTAGGTGGTTATTTGTTCCTCAGTGGGACAGGATCTGTTCTCAGCACTGCCTTTAAGGCTGGCCCTGTCATTTCTCCTTGAGTCTTAGCTGTTGTTTAAATTAGCTGCTTGGTCAAGGTGTTCTCTGATATAGTTGATTGCCACCTAGTGGCCACAGGTAAGACCGTGTGTCACGGAAACGAGAAAAATGCTATGGAGAATTTTGTTTCATTCTAAGATTTGCACAGGGTGTGTGTGTGTGTGTGTGTGTGTGTGTGTGTGTGTGTGTTTTGTTTGTTTTTGCTAGTACAATGCCAGGAGTCTGGGCTGCAGAATGGTATTTACAAGGGACTGTAACTTGCTTTTCTTATAATGAAGCACATCGAACTAGGTTTAAACTGCTACATACAGACTTGGGGAAATGGGGAGTCGTTGGAAATGCCTCTCTCCAAGCACAGTTTCTGATTGGATATGTTCTCAGTTTTCCCAGATACGGGGAGAAAGAAAAGAGCGATCTCTGGGGACTCTTCCTTAAACCATTTTAACTGCAACCTGGGGCTTGTGCTGGGGCTAAGAGAGGACAGTTGGTTGTGGCCAGCAGTTGGGTTGTATGTAGCTCATTTCTCCAGCTTCCTTGGTATAGGTGAGGTTTTATTTTATGCTCCTGCTGGTGGTAGCTCTCCCTCCAGCTCTGTGGGACTCTTCCTCAATGGACAACATGAAGGGAGGTGGTCACATGCTAATAGGAAGCACATTCCCACATATATATCAGGCTCTAGCCAGACTTACATAAGTTGGAGAGTTTGTCCTAACTTACCTGCTTTTTTTTTCACATGTCAAACATTGAGTTGGGAGGTTCACCTCTGATGAAGGCTAATGGACTTATGGAGTGCCCAACTTCCTCTCTCTTTGTTCTTTCTGCAATACCTGCTCTCAGTCAAGCAGTAGAGTGTTGGGCTTTGGGGATAGAGTGGTGAGCATGAAGGGATATGATCCTCATCCTTATAGAATGTACTAGTTGGGGAGGCATTACTTGAAGAGAAGAATTACCTGAACAAATATAAAATTGCTCTGAAGAAAAGATCTATAGTATAGTACTCAGAGAGTGAGAAATAGGGTTGGGTTTGGCCTGATTAGAGAAGTCAGGGAAGGCTTCCTGGAGGAAAGAACTTTTGGGCCAAGGGCTGCAGGCAGAGGTGGCATGTGGTGGCAGGTAGGAGTTGGGCATGCCCCGGGAACTGGCAGAGGCTGGAGCAGCTGGAGCCCAGAGAGGGGTGTGGGGAGGCCAGACCCTGCAGGGCCTCTCAGGCCTTGGGAGGGACTTTCGTCTTCACCTCCAGAGCTCTGGGAAGCCATCACAGGGCTCACTGCTGGTATTGACACAACTGGGTGGAGAACTGATTTGACGGACAAAAGTGGATGTGGGGAGGCCAGAGAGGAGCAGTTGCAGTTATCTGGGCAAATGGAGGTGTTTTGTTTAGGGGTTGCTGATAGTGATGGGAAGGAGTGGGCAGAATTGAGATGTGCTTAGGAGACTTGGGAATGGACATGGCACATGAGGGAGCCTGCTGTGTGAGAGGATGACATGTACTGGTGACTTGTGCGGCAGGGTGAATGGTGGTGCCCTTCGTTACACTGGGGATGCAGGAAGAGGCCCTCGGCTGGCTCTCTGGGGAGAGGGTGGCAGAGGGTGTTTGAGTAGAGAGAGTTTTGTTTTGAGTGTGTTGAGTTTGACCTAGGAATGGGGGTGTGGGCTAAACCTGAAGTCTCTCTGGGGCTCGTGTCCATCCATGTCTCAGCTGTCTGTCATGGGTCCTCTCTGGAGACTCTCAGGTATTCCACCTGTAAGCCAGCTTGTGTTTCCTTGCCCGCTCACATCGTACAACAGGTTTGGAGGGACACTGTGTCCAGCCCTGTCCGAGGCACTCTTTGTGCATTGTGACATGAAGCCATTCATGACTAGTTCCAGAATTATTCCAAATACAAGGTGATGAGGCACAGAGAGTAACTGGCGTCCAGGAAAGGAAGAGATTAACAAGGCCCGGGGACTTTGGTATTCTTGAACTTTAGGCAGCCATGAGGCCAATCCTGTTGCAAGTTCTAACCTCAATGATGGCCTTTCTGAGCTGTAATCACTTTCTTTTCTTTTCTTTTTCTTTTTCTTTTTTCTTTTTTTTTTTTTTTTGAGACAGCGTCTCACACTGTCGCCTAGGCTGGAGTGCAATGGTGCAACCTCGGCTCACTGCAGCCTCAGCCTCCCGGGTTCACGCGATTCTCCTGCCTCAGCCTCCCTGAGTAGCTGGGATTACAGGTGCACACCAGTACACCCGGCTATTTTATTTTATTTTTTTTTGTATTTTTAGTAGAGATGAGGTTTCACTATGTTGGCCAGACTGGTCTCGAACTCCTGACCTCATGATCCACCCGCCTTGGCCTCCCGGAACTGTAATCACTTTCTAAGTCCAAAGGGAAAGATGTGACTGAGCAGCAAAACATTTCAAGGGTAGTTAATACACAATTTTGGTAACTTTGGAGGTCACAAAGGCAATAGATGCACTGAAAATACAGTAGTAAGGTTACCTGAGTCCATGTTTGTGTGTGCACATGTATGTTAAGTTTTACCCAAGGAGAAAAAGGAAATGGCTTGACTTGTGGTATTACTGGTACAACTTGTATAAAATTAAGGTAGATTCTAATTTTTAAAAAATTATGGTAAACCTTCTGTGTTAGTGAAAGTTGGATCTATTTGGGTTAAATTCTCTTAAATCCGGTGCAGATTAATATCTGCTGGCATCTCCAAGAAAAGAAGGGCACTTCCTCTAGTCCCTGAGTGAGCAGGTGGCTCTGGGAGCAGTCTCTCAAGGCCCAAACTTCTAGCTGCTTCCATATTTCTTAGCCATCTGGTCCCCTCACTCAGAGAAGCACAGCCCTACCTACTCTGGAAAGCAGATACTTGGCCTCCCCAGATGCCGGCAGTTATGACTTCCCTCCACTCTGGCCAGCATTCTGCTTTTCTAGCAACAGATGTTTCTGCAAAGTAAATATTATTGACTCTGCTTGGCTCCTTGCTGTGTCTTGCACTGCCTGCACATGAAACAGCAGGGTTATATGAGGAGGGTGCCACGACGCTTGGCATGCACCCAGCACCAGTGCCAGCCTCTTCTCTTTTCTCTCTCCTCTTATTGGAATGTGTGTGTTAGATTCCTGTGTGCATCAGAGGGAAAGCTCTTGAAATAAATCTTTGGGCTGCTCCATATCCAAGGTGAAAATCTACATAAGATACCACCAATCTTACTGGATTGAAATTGGCAAGAAGCAATGGTTTTTAGGTAGAGAGTTCTCTTTTTAGTGTTGTTTTCAATCTCTCAAGTAACATAGAGGGTTTACCTTAATGGGGTGAAGTGGTATGGTGTTCCCACATACTACAAGGATCTCAGTTCACAGGACTTAAGTCACAGGTCCTCTCCTTAGTGGCCTTGCACTCTTAGGTCAGTCCTTTAACTTCTCCGAGCTCCAAACAGTTATTCATGCTTACCTTTCCTGGTTCCTCTTACTGGAGGATTCATATATGAGGAAAGAATAGCCCAGCTATACCTAGAACTGAGTCTTGTGATGTGCAGAGTGCCTATACAGTGTTTCTCACTGGATCCTCCCTGCCTAACCCACGGGCTGACAGCCTCCGTCAGATGAGATAACTGAGACTTTATGACTAACCCAGGGTTGGTTACATATCTGATCTATGTTGGAGCTGGAACTTGAACCCAGGAGCTGTGGGATTGGGGTGGGGGCAAGGGGTTGGGGTTGATCACCCTGTCACCATCACCCCATAGAATGCAAGTGGAGAAGGGAGGTTCTCCAAAACAAGCTTGAGATGCTGTCCCAAAGTCTGGGGAATGGATTCCAAACAAGTAAAAGGACAGGTGTCCACTTTAGCTGTACTGAAAAATTCCTCTATCAAGCCTGAGGTGAGTTCCTTTTTCAGGTCCATTCATCAGGATTCTCGCTCTACCCAGCTTTCCTCATTGGCTTGAAGCCCAATACTGACTCCATACCAGCAGTCATTACCTAATCGTCTATCGGGGGATCGGCCTGTCCTTCAGCTTCATGGGGTCCTCACTGCTTCTCAGGCTTGCACTGTGGCAGGGTGTGCTCTGTGCCAGTGGACAAGGAAATCAGGTCACCTGCTGGTCATAAGCTAACAGGCCCTGCCCTGGTTCAATGGGTGCCCCTGTGCAGAAGCCTCACAAAGGCCCCGTTGTGCATGACCAGCCACTCCCTGATCCTCCTGGCAGCTGCCCTTGGCAGTGCGGCTTTTCAGGTGTGTGCTGGGAGCTTTCCCGAGCCTGGCTTGCATTTCACCTGTTTCCACTTTGTTGAGATGATTGAGTTTCTCTTGCTTATGGGGGAGGCACAGGATTGTCGGGTGGGTAGAAAGGCAAACCTGTGTTACTCTTAGTGCAGACTTTGTGCGTTCTCATCAGGGAACATTCTGACTAAAATGGGAATGTGTATAACCACACCCACATTTGATGCACACACATTTGGAGGCTCTAACAGAACATTGTCTTCCACTCTAAAATATTATTCTTTCCCTTTTTTCTTGTGTCTACCTGTAGCCTCCTCCTGCCTTCCTGCCCACGGTGTTCTGGCTTTTGGGTGCATCTGTTTCCTTCCTGGCTTGCCTTTTGTGATTTGTGTTCTGAGGGATAGCCTCAGCCTGGGCTGGCCATTTTTGTCAGATGCCTGAGTCCCCTGCCAACATCTTTTGACATTTTGGTAAGGACCATTCTGTGAAAGTGACTGAACGAGGGAGAGATCGGAGACTGTTGGCTCCTGTGTTCCCCTTCTCCACCCCAAGTGCCTTCTTTTGGTGTAGAGCAGAGCGCTTTGGACAAACCGCAGCTATCTCGGGACCGTGTCATCACAGCGTGTGGGAGGGCAGTCCAGGAGCAGGAGCTGCAGCTGCTGTCCATGCAGTAGCTTGAGCCCTGGTCCTGAGAACAGCAGCACAGCCCACGCCCAGCTCTTCCACTAGCAGCCATTGCTTGGAAGGAGCACTGGGGATTGGATTTGTATCCAGTGCCCCCACTCCCACCGCCCCCCACATTTATTCAGCATACACTGAGCAGGATGCACTGCCAGGTACACAGAGGAAACAAACCAAAACAAACAGAAAGGTGGAAAACACGATCCCTAACCTCAGGGGACAAATCTGGGAGCTAAGAAAAAGTACTGGGAGTCACGGATGCTTTTATTCTAGTAGCTTATGTTGATCTGTGCAGCCACAGTACACCCCCCCACCACCCATATCTTATTAAAGCCAGGCCTTGTTGCTGGTTCTGCCTCATGTTTCCCTCCCTTGGGCATTTGGACATAATGCCATTTCCCCTTCAATGAGGGAACCATGTATGAGGGTAATTTGAATGATTAGCCTAATCTGCAGGAAGACTGCACATGGAATTAAGTTAAGCACATTTGTCCTCAGCAGCCAGATCTGCCAGTCCACTTAAAGGTACCTTGGTGGTTTCATACCCTTAAGAGATGTTGAAGACTCCGGAAGGATCACTGGCTTTCATTACTATCTTCAGTGAAAGTTTATGATGATGACTTTTTAATGATAAGGGCTCTTGAGAGTTTTTCTTATGGATACTGCGTGTGGCATGTGTTTTTACCCTAATACAAAATGTTGCCGGGGCTTTGTTCTCCTGGTGGTGTTGGATGTGGCCAGCCAGGAAAATTCAGGTGAGCTTTGTCAGGCTGGTGGTCCACTCTGCTCATGAGGAGAGTGGAGAGGGTTGTGAGAACCTGGGCCTCGCCTGTGCTTGAGTCAGAAGAGGAAGGCCAGGTGCTATGGGCAGGGCAGTTCCCAGCCCCTCCTTCCAGCCTTCTCCAGGCTCCCTCCCTAGTGAAAGTTTGTGTTGTGAGTAGGACCTAGGGGAAATTACTGTTGAGTCAGACTTGTGGGGGAAACTGCACTGACTGTGTGGAGGGTCAGTGGCAGAGCAGACCTGCAGGCTGTGGACACTAATGTTGGCTCTGATCCAAGCTTTCTCCCCGACTTCCTTTGGCAAGTGGATTCCCACATGTCAAACGGAGATGACAAGTTGCCTTTAGAAAGTAGAGATAGAACTTAAATTGTTAAAGCCAATATAACAAAAATATTAACTTCTAGAACAAATCAGTGCTTCATATTGTAACCAAGTGTTGACTATTTTGAATTTATATTCTTTTGTGCTTTGAAATGGACTCAGGAACAAATCCGCCTCCTAAGATATTCCTAGAAGGACCAATAAGGGCAGCAAATCAGAAAGCCAGTTTAATTTTAGTAATTCCTGATTTTTCCTGTCTTTTTCTTGCTAGATTTGTCTTCAGCGAAGCGGAAGTTTGCAGATTCCTTAAATGAATTTAAATTTCAGTGCATAGGAGATGCAGAAACAGATGATGAGATGTGTATAGGTAAGTCATAACTGTGCAGAAGATAAAAATGTTCATTGTTTGTCATAGCCTTCAGTGTCCCAGCAGAGCCTTTTCCCTGAGATAGGAAGTCTCTAAGGTTAGTAAACAAAGAAGTCCTTAGTGGAAGTGGAGGGCCAGAGATATGTGAGGATCGGAGCTTGGGGCTACTCTGGTCTTCTCGAGTTTTGGGATTGCCTCACCCTCCAGCATGCAGGAGAGAAAGCTTGAAGTTTTGCAGTGGGACTCTCCTTTCCACCTCCCTTTAGTATTTTTCCGGCTGGTGACATTCTTCCCCTTCAACCATAGTACTAAGAGCTTAGAGCATATGTAGAACACAGGTAGATGAGGGGAAATTTAGATCAGAGGTTGCAAAATAATAGGCTGAGATGAGAACACAGCCCAGTTTTCTTTGGCTCTCATTTTTTAAAATTGAATTACCATATAAATTCAATTTATAATCTAAAATTCCAGTTTTCCAGCTTCTTTGAAAAGTTTGAGAATTTGATCTACTGGCTCCCTCTTCTGACCTGGCAGCAGTTGGCTGAGCTATGCGTCTGCCACTGCCTTCAGATAGGGAGAGGAGCTCCGTATCTGGTTCTCCTGTGCTGTGGACAGGGAGGTCCCCGCCACTCCTGTTTCCTTAAAAAGAGGCTGAGGTGGGTTACTGTTTATCACCACGGTGTGTTGCTTCACTCTTCACCATCACCTGCCTTGGTCTGTAGGCAGCCGTAAGCATGGAGGATTCGCAATGTCAAGACACCTTTCTTTGCCAGGGCCTTGTCATTGCACACTATTCTTCTATAGGCACCTTGGTTGACTCCATTAAATGAGCGAGAATTGAGAAAGTTTTATTGGATTAATTAATTCATCAAATGCTTATTGAGTTCCTGTTGCCATGTAGAACATCAGCATCTGGGGCTGAGTACAGGCAATTGGGAGACAGCTGAGAATGGTGAAAATGTATCCTTGTAACTTGTGAATGTATGGCTGCTTTTCCCAACATGGCTCAAGGGTCTCGAGTATCCTCAGGGCCATTGCACGTAATGCTTATTGCTTTTATGAATAATTTTGGCAAAGACGACTGTTCATGTATGAGCACCATGCTTCGAGCTGCATTCTATTAATGAGTGGCTTGAGGACTCAGGAGGAACCCAAAGAGAAGCCAGAGATGTGGCTTCCAATGCCAGCAGCATTGTTTATTTAGCTCTGGTGCCAAAGAAAAGGCTGGGTTCTGACGCAACGCCATGACAAAGGTTGAGGAGGTCGAATCCAGACAGGAAATCCTTCAACTCCTAAGCGGAACTCTGCCCCTTCCAGCCCGGGGCCTGGAAGCCTGCCAGCATCTCACCAGTCCTGGATACTCTCAGGAACAGGCAGATCTTTTCCTTGAAGAAATCATTCCCTAGCTAGAGTGCCAGGTGGAATTAACCTGCATTTCTGGGTCATCCTTAATGGTTAATGATTAAAAAGATGAAGGGAGCCTTGGGAAGCAATTGACTTTAGGCATCTGTATGTGCCAAGGAATTAAAATCCATAACATAATAGCCAGAGCTGGAAAGGCTCCCCAAGGCCCATGACACTCCTTCCACCTCATGGCCCCTTTCTGTTTTCCAGCAAGATCTTTGCAGGAGTTTGCCACTGTCCTCAGGAATCTTGAAGATGAACGGATACGGATGGTGAGTAGGGCTGGGCTACTCTTGGTCCCAGATAGTATATTCGTGTTGAGGGAGCAAGGGATGGGTATCAGAAGAACTAGATTCAAATCCAGACTCTGCCATTTGAATGTTTTGAGCTCTTCAGCAAGCCTCATCTTTGTAGAGTTTGAAGGCTTTTGTAAATATTAAAGGATTACTCTGGTGGATAACTTTAGAACAACGTAGTTAAATGATGTCCTTCTGAAGATTCATTTTAAGGTCTTTTCATAAGGTGTATGACTTAAGGGTGGATCTTTTGAATTATTTCACTTTTTTGGGCGTCGGATTCTCTACCAGCAGAATGGGAAAGAAGGTGCCCCACTCTGCCCCTCCCCCCATCTTATTGAACCTGATCAAGAGCTCTTTGAGGGCAGGATCACTTCCCTCTTCATTTTTAAGCACCCAACACAGTGCCTGCCAGGTAGGAGGGACCCAGTAAACAGGTACTTTGTAATGAAGGTAACTATAAAAAGCTCTTCAGAGAGGCATTGTCCACATTTAAGAGTCAAATGCTGATCTCCAGGTTCTTAAGAGATATCTTTTGTACTAGAATTTATTGTTCTGGAAGACAGAGAGGGTCTCACTCTGTCACCCAGGCTGGAGTGCAGTGGTACCATCATAGCTCACTACAGCTTCAAACTCCTGGGCTCAAGCGATCCTCCTGCTTCAGCCTCCTGAGTAGCTAGGACTATAGGTGTGCACCACTGTGCCTAGCTAATTTATTTTTGTTTTTTGTAGAGATGAGGTCTTGCTGTGTTACCCAGGCTGATCTCGAACTCCAAACCTTAAGTGATCCTCCTGCCTTGCCTCTCAAAATGCTGGGATTACAGGCATGAGCAACCCTGCCTATAATTTATTCTGATATAGTTCAGCATTAGCAGATAAGAGATTCCACATCTACAGGAAGTTCCTTTGCATTTTTCTCCATATCCCTAAGATATGAGGAATGAAGTCCCCTGCTGACTTGAAGTCCCCTGCTGCCTGTACACTGATTTTCTGCTAGGAGGGCGTGTCTTCAGGCAGCAGTGCTCTAAAGTCCTAGGAAATACTGCATCAATCAACATTTTCTTTTCTTCCCATGCTAACAGTTGGTAGTTCGAACACTATTCACCAAGATGCATTTTCTATTTTAACCCCCATGATGACTCTGGGAAGTGGTATCTATATTATCGCCATTTTTCAGATGAAGATATTGAGGTTTACAGAGGTTAAGTAACTTGTCACAGATCACACAGTTAATAAGTGATACAGTCTGGGTTCAAACCCAAGTCTGCATTATATTAAAAAATATTAAAAAATGTGGGGGCCAGGTGTGGTGGCTCATGCCTGTAATCCCAGCACCTTGGGATGCCGAGGTGAGAGGATCGCTTGAGCCTGGGAGTTCAAGACCAGTCTGGAGGCAACATAGTGAGACCCCATCTCAACAAATTTTTTTTTTTAAGAAGACTGGCATTGTGACGTATGCTTGTAGTCCCAGCTACTTGGGAGGAGGGAGGAGGATCGCTTGTGCCAGGGAGGTCAAGGCTGCAGTGATCTGTGATTGAACCATTGCACTCCAGCCTGGGCAACAGAGCAAGACCCTGTGTCAAAAAAAAAAAAAAAAAAAAAAAAAAGGATTTCTTTAAAACTCCAAACAGAGTAGAAACCTCTTACCTTTTGCCCTACGGAAAGACCACTTTCTCTTGATTGCTCACTGCTGGTGCCTGAACCAGAATCAGAAGGGTGGTGGTGGCAGCAGTGGGGGTTGGTGGTGGGTGGAAGCAAGGGAAAGCTTGTGTGTTTGTGCATGTGCTGGTGCCTAAGAAAGGGAAATGATTCTTTTGAGTCTGATTCTTGGCTGAGTTAGTATTTGGGGGTGGGGGTGTGGCAAGCAAATCACCATGAATACCCTGCAGATTGCTATGGCCTGTGGTAAGGGAACAATGACTGGATTATACTTTTCAGCTTGCCTCTGCAATTTTATTATTAATGTCAGTGAATTGAGTTTCTACTGTCTGCATCTGAGTATCTGGCCGTAGCAAGCCCCTTCTCTACCTCCTTGCCCTGTGACAACTCCATCAGTTCAGTTAAGCTCAGCAAGCAAAGCCGCACCTTCTCTGGGAAGCGTTTCCTGACTTCCTGGGTTATATGGCTACCCTTGGTATTTTCTTAACATCCAGTTCGTGCTTCTGATCCTGTGTTTACCACATTGTGTCCTGATAAACATTGTACCTGTCTGTGCCCTGTAGTAAATATGAGTTCCTCAAGGGCAGAGACTGGGCTTCCATGTCCCCAACATCAGGCAGTGTTGGAACCAAGTGGATGTTACACAGTCGTAGAATCTTAGACTAAGTGGGACCTTATTCCTCACCATCTGCAATTGCTCATTTGACAGATGAGAAAACAGGTCTTATTAAGGCTGATAGCAAGTAGTAGTATGGCTGGGCGAAGGACTTGGGGGTCCTGATTCCCAGGTGAGCAGTTGAGCACTTTCGTTTTATAAGCGACTACTTATGACTGCATTCTCAATCATGGATGTCCACTGGAATAACTTGGGGAGTTTGAAAAATACTGATGTCTGGGACTAAGTCCAGGGATTCTGAGTTAGTTGGAGTGTAGCCTAAACTTAGGGATTTTAAAAGCTTTCCAGGTGATTCTACTGTGTAGTTAAGGTTGAGAATCATTGACTTTAGGGGCTTGGCACACCTTTGTAAGCTTCAGAGACTTGCAGATGGTTTGTGGAGAAGACTTCAGTGAACCAATTAAGTAACATTGAATAACAATAAAAATCACAAAATCAAACAAATTAACACCGCAACACTCTAGTCTTAAATTTCACTCTTCTGAAATAAGTGATCTCCAAATTGAGAAAAAGGCAAATGGGAATAAATTTGGAGACTTGACTTTTTCTGTCCCTTACATTGTTCAGTTAGTTCTTTACTGTGTCCATCTGTGACTTCTGGCATTTACCCGGTTAGTTTCATTGCAGTGGACATGCATGTGGTTTAGGAAAAATAATGCTTTGTTGCAGCGAGATTCCTGGAATAATTAGTTGAGCGAAGAGTGATAAATGAATGACTTAAAAGGAAAAACTGTAAAATATTGTACTGCCTTAGAAAAGACCATAGAATCTTAGCGATGGACAATTCAGCCCACTCGTTTTGCAGATGACGAAATTAGAGCCCAGAGAGGTTAAATGTTTTGCCCATGGTCACACAGTTGGCAGCCAATCAAGAATTAATCCATTCATTCATTTAGTCGTTCAAATATGTTTGAGTGCTGCTTTGTCTCAGCACTCTTCTTTGTTTTGGGGATAGTGGTGGCAAAGTGAGCCTTTACAAGATACTGATGTGTATGTGTGTGTGTGTGCACGCATGTGTGTGTGTGTGTATAAATGTGTAGTGTGTAGTGGTGAACCAGAACACACTTGGTAGGGGAGGGAAGTTGAGTTATGTTGGTAGTCAGGGAAGGCCTCCCTAAAGAGGTGACCTTTAAGCTGAAATCTTAATTACATGAAGGAGCTGTCCCTGTAAGGGTTTGGGAACACAGTGTCTGAAAGAATAGCCAAATGCTACGGCCCTGAGGTGGGACGAGTTTGGTGCGTTTGAGGTGCATTGGAGTGCCAGTAGGTTGGAATGCAGGACCTGAGGGGTGAGCCCTGTGAGATGAAGTTGAGAGGCAGCCAGTAGTCAGGAGGCACAGGTGTCCTGGCTCTAGTCCAGTCCTGTCTTGGTAGAGCAACACAAAATCAAGCTTGGAAGGTTTTTATGCCATCAGATGTCCAGAGGTGTTTCTTTGTTTATTTGTTTTTAACCTAGACTCAGTGTTGATCTACTTTACCCATAACTTGGGTAAATGAATATTTGCAAGAAAATGTCACCGAAGCTTGTAACTTAGACCCCACTCTTTTACCAGTTCCCCTCTGCCCCTTCAGAGGATCGCTTACAGTTTTAGAGTTCCTCATTTTTACTTTTAAATAATCAGTATTAATCATGCATGGGAGGAAGATTATCATGTTTTGAAATGATGACAGTTTTGATTTGACATGCTATTAGTTCGAAGGTTGTAAACAGTTGACATGTACAACACTGCCTCCCCAAATTTTATTTTAAGACATGGGGAGGCATCTCATGCTGGAGCTGCTGTAATTCTTTACTGATACTGCTTTTGTGTCTTCTTTCCCTTACTCTGTTGTTCTTCACCAGATTGAGAATGCCAGCGAGGTGCTCATCACTCCCTTGGAGAAGTTTCGAAAGGAACAGATCGGGGCTGCCAAGGTGAGAATTTTGCAAGCTTTGGTCTGGATTTTAGGGTGAGAGGTCTGGAAAACATAGCACCTTTCTTTAAAACAAAGTCTTCAGAAATGTCTTCAGAAAATCGAAGCCCACCTTCTTCAGAAAATCTTAGGCAGAAAACTCTATAGAGCCCAACTCATCGGTTCTTTACGGGTGACTGAAGTACGACCATCTGAGCCGTCAACCCCGGAGGGGCCATTCTGGTATTTTGTTACCTCATTGTTCTGTGCTTGTTCATAAATCATCCAAAGGTAGAAACCACACCTCATTTGTGTTATTATAATAGATAGCTGTGTGCTTAGACAATTGTCTTTATTGAACAATACATTTGTTTTCGTGGAATTGTATTTTGTGGAGGTCCAGGACTTGCAGCCTAAGCAGGGGTTACAAATTTGTGCCCTGTGGGTACAGGGACTTTCTTTAAAAGGAGGCAGCTGGTACTTAGGTTTAGCTGATTTTTGTTGGGTCTGGAAATGGGCCCTCTCTTGCTGATTCTTTAAATGTTTCAAGACAAACTGAAAAGCCAGTTTTATGTGAAATTTCTTGTTGGCAAATAATTTTAAAATATATATTACCCATTGTGCAGGTCAAAAAATGACATCTGCAGGCCTGCTTCAACCTGGAGATCACCGTTTGTTATCACTGACCTGGAGGGACTGTAGCCTAAGCTTGACTAATTCTAATGTGTTCTTGAGAGACTGCAAAGGGAATCCTGTTCCTTTTTAAAAGGTGGATTCTCCAGGGCTCCTTTGCCCTGTAATAAATCACTAGGAGGGCTGGGCGCAGTGGCTCATGCCTGTAATCCCAGCACTTTGGGAGGCCTAGGTGGGCAGATCACGAGGTCAGGAGTTCGAGACCAGGCTGGCCAATATGGCGAAACCCCGTCTCTACTAAAATAGAAAAATTAGCTGGGCATGGTGGTGGGTGCCTGTAGTTCCCAGCTACTCGGGAGGCTGAGGCAGGAGAATCGCTTGAACCCAGGAGGTGGAGGTTGCAGTGAGCCGAGATCGCGCCACTGACTGCAGCCTGGGCAACAGAGCAAGACTCCATGTCCAAAAAAAAAAAAATCACTAGGAAACTCTAGCTGGTTTGACCTTCGGTAGAGTGTTAGAGGCTACCTGCAGAGAAGATGTTTTCATTGGAATCAATGAAAGCAAAAAGATTTCCAACGTTTTCTTCCTGTTTTTCTGGAACTGTGAGTCAATTCAGCTGCGGTCTCTTACGCCACCTGCAGGGGCTTTTGGGCAACACCACCCTCTTACTTTGTGTGGATTTTGCTTAGTTGCAAAATGAGGTATTCCTCACCCCTACAACACACACACCCCTGAGTGCATCTGCTTTCTGGAAATAGATATGATTAGGGCCTGCAAAAGATGATGTTTAGTCAGGGTCTTTCAGAGGGATGGTTGATTACAGTTTGAAAGAGGGACTGTGGCAAAGACTTTCTCCCAGTTTTAGAGTATTTTCTACTAATTTTAGTTTACACATTTATGAGGAAGTGGGAGCTCACTGGTGCTGTATCAGAGATTAAGGAATGTATAATTTACACAAAGTCTTATTCCACTAAGAATTCATACAGACTGTGAACCAGTCCAGTGATGGCAGTTAATAAGCCGTGAGCGAATGCTCCCTCAGTTCCTGGCAGTGCAGGCCCTGCCCGCAGGGCTCCTCTTGGTGGCCTTGGGGCCTGTGCCTCCCCACTCTTGAACATGCTTGGCAGTGGCTTCCGGGGGTTATGCAGAGCTTGGAGACTGAGGCAGAGCAGAGCTGTTTGTTGAGTCATCTTTTCAGTAGTTACTTCTCCTTCTGAGCACAGATGCCTCTCTCTCTGGCCTCTTCTCTCACTGGCTTGAGGGTTACCATGGTTACCAAGGAGGTGAGGCAAGAGTCTGAGTGAGCTCCCTTTGGGCTTGATACCAGTGATCTTAATGATAGGAGGAGCTACTGTCCCCCGGGGCGGCGGCTGGGGGGTGGTATAGATGGTGACATACTAGAATAAAAGAATTTAAGTAGTCACTCACCAAAGCATGTTTCCCCTCATGCATATTCTATTCTCCTATTCATTAAACCATGAATAATTATTGATTATTAAATAACTTTTGGATGATCACTAAAGAAGAATTGTGATGACATTTGGGTGATGTCTCATCCTTCCCCATTTGTCATTTTTTCCTCCTGGCATGTCCTCCTTTGCATCACTCCACACACACATACATTTATATCATAACATTATGTAAATTTAAGAGACAACAAACAAGCAAACAACAGATCCACTTCTAGGCGACCCAGGGAGCAGTCTCAAGAACATCTCAGAGCCAGCAAGTGCTCTTCAGCTGGTTTGGGTATTGGCCAAGTGGAGGTTCTGAACTCTGTCTGTGCCATGCTAAAATTACTTTTTCCTCCTCCTCCACTCTCTGGTGCTGCTTCGGTTGCCATAACAGCCTGTTGGAGAGTGCACCATGTGAAGGCTGCCAGGGAGGAAGATTCTTGGGCATTCTTATGCTAATGTGCTACTCTGGAGTAGGGCACGACCCCTGGTGCTTGACATAACCATGGCCCTAAGTTTCTATTTCCAAGTTTGAGGAAATTATTTTTTCCTGTATTAGAGGTACATTTGGAATGCTGGACTCTAGAATAAGTATAACAGACATAAGAGAGTAGCGTAGAGAGTGGGTCTACAGCTAGACTGTCTGAATCCAAATCTCACTTCTGCCATTTGCATGTAGACTTGGGGAGGTTACTAAACCTCTTCATGCCTGTTTCCTGATCTCTAAAATGGGGGTAATAATAAAACTTGCCTCGTAGAGTTATTATGAAGAAGAAGTGAGTGAACTCCTATCAAATGCTTAAAACGGTGTCTGTCGTATAGCTACCTGAACATGAGAACAAGGTTGGTCATGTAGTCATTCAATGTTAGTGATTATATTAGATACACACAGTTCATTTGTTTAAAAAATATGTGAGAGCCTGCTCTGTGCCAGCACTGTTCTGTGCCCTGATATTTGGTGGAGAACAAGGCAGGCGTGGTTGCTGTGCTCATGAAGTAGCTGGGGTGAAAGACATCAGACAAAAAGATACAAATAAATGTCTAATTTCCAATTGTAGTAGGTTCTTGGGACGGTTACCTTCATGGCACACAGGACATGGAAAGCAGGTGTGTTCTTGATAAGAAGGAGGCAGGTTTAGGTGATGAGCTCACCACTGTCACCACCATTGCTGACATTTATTGAGCACTTTCCATGTGGTAGGCACCCTGCCAAGCACTGTATGTGGTTTATTTCATTTAACCCTAGAAATCCTTTGAGGAGGGGGTGTTCTTATTTTTATTTTGTTATATGGTCCTTGAGCTGAAAGAAGAAACCCGAGCAATTATCTAATCATCCTCAATTTATAGTTGAGGAAATTGAGTCCTGGAGAGGGATGGTGATTTGTTTCTAGCCAGTCCATATTGAGTTGGGAATAAATTTTAGGATTCTAACTCAATCCTTGACTTAACTACCCCACAGTAGACTCTCTGGAAGGTGAAAACCATCTTGTGTCCTGAGTAATGGACACACTCTCCCATCTTAAGAACATTATCTAAGCTGTAGTACTTTTTTGCTGCAGAGGTCTTATTGCTGTTTTCTCAGGACAGAAACGGCTTCCCTTTCTCCTTATTTTTTTCTCTAACTTTGGGTGTCCTCTTAAACATGGAATGTGGAGGCACAAGTTGCCAGAATGTCCCAGAATGCCAGTGACTCATGTTCCCTGGCCTTTTCTCACCTCTGGCCAGCTGGACTGTCTGGGACCAGGATTCTCCTTTTGGAGTTGCTGATAAGGCTGGTGGGAGCGGATACATGTGAGCAGCATTTGGAGTTGGAGCCCCAGTTCAAAGTTGCTGGTTTCACTAATGGAAAAGAATTGCTTGAGTCAAGTCTCTTGCCTGTACCCTCCTCAAATTTGAAGGAGTAATGTGTCCTCAGGCTTTTTCTTCATTTGCTGCTAAATGTTTAATTGTTCTTGTATGTGAACAGTCTTTTAAGCAAAACTCAGATTCATGGAAATGAGTATGTGTCAGCTAAAATGGATATATGGTTATTCTGCCCACTCTGTGAGCATGTACCAGAGGAGTGGTATTCTGACATAGCGGAGCTTGTTAGGGCTCCGGGTGATGGCTTCTGGCTCCGAGTGTCCTGCCCCAGGGCATTTGCACTTGATGGTTCTGCTCTAGAAGGCTCTACTCTGCTCCTTCTGTATTTCACAGGTAGGTCTCAGCTCACATCTCCCTTCCCCAAATGATGCCTTTCCTGGGTGCCCTATCTACAGAATCTCTGTGACTGCGCCCTGTTTATTTCCTTTGTAGCACTTGCAGCAGTCTATAATTATGCTGATTATTTGTTTACTGGTTAATCATGGTTCTCCTACTAGAACATTTCTACCGTGAGGGTTGGGACCATTTTTGTCTTGTATTTCTGGTGCCTAAAGTAGAGCCTTACACAGAGTGGTTGCTGATTATAAATTTGTTAAAGGAATAAAGAGATGTGTCTGAGCTTCTTTATTTGGCCAGAAAATATTTTTTCTCTTCTAGGCTTTGGAGTTGCAGAAAAACATCCCTATGGGTTCAGGCTCCACATGAGTCAAAAGCAGGAATAATGTACCCAATTAGCAAATTTGATCCCGTTTATCAGCCAAGTGCCAACCTTCTTCCAGCTTCCTTGCCTGCTCTCCCCGTTGGAATGTGGAAGGAAGGCAGACTGCCTGTGACAATCTGTCTCAGCTGTGGTGGAGAACATGGGCTTTGGAGGCACATTGTCCTAGGCTCCAATCCCAGCTCTGTCACTCTCCGTGACTTTTCACAAGTTCACCTCTTTGGGTCCAAGTTTTCTTATCAGTCAAATGGGAGATAGAAATAGAACCACAGTGACCCAATGATTCAGTGGTGGGGAGCAGGGATTAATTATGGTAATTATTTTTCATTTTGAAGACAATAATACGGCTAATAATTTCTTAAAGAGAAGAGAAAAATAACTGTTACCCCATTACCATAACTCAGGTATTTGCCTATAAGTAAATTCCCACCTCATCTTTGTCCATAGGTAGACACACTCTATGTAGGATGCAGCAAGTTTATATAATGCTGTTTTACTTTTCTCTCTAGTTTTCCAATGACTAGTTATGCTTATTGGATGTTCCGTACTTTAATTATGCCAAACGCTATCCTTGGAAGTGATGTTGCTGCTGCTGCTTTTATTTTTCTTTTGCTAGCATAAATGGTGCCGTAGTAAACAAATGTGTGTGAAGATAATATTGTTGTTTTGAATTATTCCTCAGCTTAAAGACCTGCATGTGATATTAAGTGTCAAGAGATATTTAGGCTTACATACCAAGAAGTGTTTTTGGGACAGTATTAAGGCTGGATCTAGCCTTAGTCTAGACTTGTCTCATTCAAGCTGTGAGGATATCTTCCTTCCTTGGTGTTAGCTTCATAGGTACCCCCACTGCTGCTGCTCCCCAGCCCCCAACCCCTGGCTGCCTTCTGGCCTTGAATATCCTTGTGAGTTAGAAAGTAGAAATTTCTGTTTCACAAAGTTCTTAGAGGGGGAATCTTGGCTTTGCCACCATTAGATATTCGTATTTACCTCATTTCTGGTCTTGTCCTGGTTGGTGCCTCTCTGCTAGACACTCAAACTCAGGGGGCTGTTGATGGGTGGCTGCAGGATTTAATGGGCATTACCTGAAAAGTAGGAGCTGAGTCGTCATCTGTGTTCTGAGCAGAAGGATCTTGAGAGATGGAGGCTGCTTTTATTCCTGCAACGTGTTACTCTTTTTCTTTTTCTCTTCTCTTTTTTTGCCAGGAAGCCAAAAAGAAGTATGACAAAGAGACAGAAAAGTATTGTGGCATCTTAGAAAAACACTTGAATTTGTCTTCCAAAAAGAAAGAATCTCAGCTTCAGGAGGTAAGAGACTTTATTAGTATCCTGAATAAAGTGTTCAATTTGTACATGATGCTGTGGATATGTGCTGGTTGCTCTTTGCTAGAAAATCTTAGGGTTAGAAGGGACCTGGGAAGCCAGGAGATTGCTCCTGATCCCTCATCCAGTGCCTGATGCCTGGACTGCCTTTGTGTCCTCCCATCCCACCCCATCCTTTGTAGCCTTCCCGCCTGTCAAGGTGGAAGACACTGCTGGCCGAGATGACCACCTCCTTGTTGGGCTGCCCTGATTGCTAGATGTCTTCATTTCATACTGACATTTCTTTTCCTGTTTCTCTCACCCTTGGCCTTAATTCTGCCCTCTGTTACTTTACCTTTTGACTTCCTGCCTCTTATCAGTGATTTGAAATGTTAGCATCTCAAACACTTTGGTTATCCTTCCTTAATATTGATTTTTTCATTATTTCAACCAGCACTTGACATTAGTTTTCTTTCTTTTTTTATTTTAAAGCAGTGCTTTATTGTCCTGTATATATTTTGTGCTTTGGTAATGTTGTTTCAAGAAAATACATTCTTAAATTTGCGCTTGGTTTTTCTGGGTTTGCATGGTGTCTTTTAAAAAGTAGTTCACTTGGAAAGAAAAATGATGGAGCCATCGCAGCCGTGGAGCTGTGACCATTTTTATTTAGTTCATGAAGATTGGCATGCTAAGGGAGTTTATGCTTCTTGGAGATAGGGAGTTTCCTAGTGGAACCTCAAATTTGGCTTTAAAAATGTCATCTTATTTAACTCAACAGTTTGCTTGACCTCTGTCATATGTTTGCCAAAAGAGGCTACCGTGGCTTCCAGGCCGGCCCTTTTTTTAAAATTTTAATTCTTTTTGAACAGATACCATGCCAGTACTTCTGTTAGGTGAAAGTTCATATGAGGACAGTAGAGTCAGAGGTTGAAAGGTTGAAGTAACTCAGGAGATGGTGGAGTTCAATCCCCTCCCAACCACAATTGGTTACACATCTTGGGATAGGAATGTGGTGTTCTCAGAACTCTTTGCTTTGAAATAAGTATTTAATCCAGTTTTTAGAGTAGTGATAAGGACCATTACTCAACAACAATGACAACTGTAGCAGCAACAAAGGTTTATAATGGACTTTGTAGATCAGTTCTTGGCCAGCCAATAAACAGCATTGACTATTTGGTGTGTGCTTTACAAAGCAGAAAATACTAATTTATCCTTGAAGATCTTGTGCCTGAGTAGGGAAAAAGAAACAAAAGCGGAGGAAGTGCTTCTTGAAGTGGCATAGCTACTCAGGTAAATCTTGTCAAATGTGATTGAAAAACCTAAAAAATAAAAAAAAAAAATCTTATTTTCACGAGATACAAAGGCTATCCCAACTTGACATGAGGATATGGGCACTATCCCACAGACACAGATAATCCATGATAAATTTGGGATTCCATTTAGAATCTGTCTTGGTGCCCTGACTTTTTAGTTATTCTTCTGGCATCACTTGGCATTTAGGATTTGGAAACTAACTTATATTTAAAGAAAAGCTTTTTGGCTGTGCTTCACAGTGACCAGGTCTGCCCAGCTCTCCAGTTTCTAAGCAGGTATAAATTATGGATTAGATGACTATGCATCATTAGTACAGATATTCAGAGTATTCAGAGTTGAGCAGGTGTGTGGTTATTCTAGCACCTACTGAATCTGGGAGGCCCACAGCACAGTTACCCTGTAGGCATGGCATTCTCTGGAACAAAGGTGCTTCTCCACCAGATCCATTCTCTCCGTGGTCAAATATTGCAGACTTGGTCTGGAATGAGTCCAGCATTTTCTTTTAGGGCTGTGAATGTCTTCTGAATTACCACAGTGTAGGGACCAGAACGCTGGGCTGGCAAAGAGGATACCTTGCCTCAAAACCTTCTCTGCTGTGTATTTACTCTGTGACCTAGGGCAAATTACTTAGATTCTCTAAGCTTTATTTCCTTTATTTGTTAAATACTCATGAAATATCTGTCCTACTTATGTTATACATGAGAAGGCAAATATAACTGCTGCTCAAGTATGAAGTATATTTAATATAAAATGTGTAAATATCCTTATGATTGGCCTGTTCCGCTCCATTTTCTGTTCTCAAATTGGATGCCACTATTCCTGACTTTGACAGTTCTGTATTTCAGTGGATGTTTTCCATTATGCTCTTTTATTATAGTCCTTTATGTTCTTGCCTTTGACCTAGTCACACTTTCTAAGTACTTTGAGTGTAAGGATTGGGTTCCAGATCTTGCAGGTTCTGGTCTGTTCAGGTCAGTTCTCAGGCATTGCTTTTTAGTTGTAACTGAACTAAATTAAACTGTATAAAAATCTAACACTAAAGAGGTAAAGAGATCGAGACCATCCTGGCCAACATGGTGAGACCTCGTCTCTACTAAAAATACAAAAATTAGCTGGGCATGGTGGTGGGTGCCTGTAGTCCCAGCTACTCAGGAGGCTGAGGCAGGAGAATTACTTGAACCAGGGAGGCGGAGGTTGCAGTGAGCCACAGTCGCGCCACTGCACTCCAGCCTGGGCGACAGAGTGAGACTCTTTCTCAAAAAAAACCAAAAACCAAACATCAAAAAACAAACAAAAAAAAGAACAGTGATGATATTACTACTGCCACTAACCACATCAATAGCAACTATAATATAGGGAAACATTTGTTGAATGCATATTTATGGCCTGGGTATGGTGTTAAGCACTTTACATGGAATCTTCTGGAATCCTCACCCTAAGAGGTATAGATGTGGTTACTACTCTGTTTTACACATGAGGAAACTGAGGCTCAGATAGGATAAATAGCTTAGTGGTAGCGAGTTAACTCCAGCACTGGCTGTGCAGCCCTTTCCCTTCACCCAGTTTGCTTTTCTACGTCTCTATCTGGGGAGGGATGTTGAGGCTCTCTTGCCTGCTGACCATGTTATTTAGTGCCAGTGTCATGATATAGAATTAGAGAGAGGGAAGGACCTTAGTGATCATCCATTTCAACTTTCTTGAATTACGTTTTATGAGGGAACTGAGTTTCTCGTAGGGGTCAGGTGTTTTGCTCAAGGTGTTCAGCTATGTATTGATCATTTTCTTCACATTTATTAAAAATTCAACTTTTAGGAACATTGTTGAGCACGTGGTACACCTTTGATGAAACCTTCCACTCTGATTATCCAGAGTTGTTCCCTGATTGCAGGGTTCTGCACGGAATGCTTTTAAATTCCAGCCCATCCCTAGATCCCTGGAAGTAGAAACTACAGGGCAGTGATGTGGAATGGCACTGCCATCTAGTGGATGATTTAAACAAATGCATAGTTTTTGAATGGTAAAAAAGCTCGCCTCAAAAACAGTAGTCATTGATTCAACAAATACTCACTGGACGCTTCTGTAAAAGTCTGTCCAGGCACTGGGTGTTTTGTAGAAAGTGAAATGAAGGATCTTCTTTCATGGAAATTACAATCTAGGAGGAAGTCTCTTTTCCAAGAAACGCAGAATGGTTGACGGGTTTAATCAAGCCGGTAGATTTATAGCTTCTCAAGTGGCAGGCAGGGAAACTGTCTTGAGCGGTCTGCAGGGTGGGTTGGGATCCTGGCTTATAATTCCATTGCAGGGGGCCCAAGGATGTGATGGATTCTGTGGCCCACACCATTCTGGGGCATTGGCAAGAGAAGCATAACATTCCGCTTAGGATTTCTTCTTCCTTTTCCTTTGGGAATGCATTGAGTTATGCATTTGTTCTTAGTTCTGGGTCACTGATGGGACATGCCTTTGGTGCTGACTGATGGCCACATGGGGATCAATTCATTCATTCTGCATGCATCTGTTGAACGTTTATTATGGGCCATACACCGTTCTGAGCACTGGAGGAGAAAAATGAAAAAATTAGACGAGGTCTTTGTTCTCATGGACTTTATATTCTAGTAGTCTAGTAGGCCAGGCACGGTGGCTCATGCCTGTAATCCCAGCACTTTGGTAGGCCAAGGCGGGTGGATCACTTGAGGTCAAGAGTTTGAGACCAGCCTGGCCAACAAGGCGAAACCCTGTCTCTAGTGAAAATGCAAAAAAAAAATTAGCTAGATGTGGTGGCACGCGCCTGTAATCCCAGCTACTTGGGAGGCTGAGGCAGGAGAATCACTTGAACCCAGGAGGCGGAGTTTGCAGTGAGCTGAGATCATGCCACTCCACTCCAGCCTGGGCAACAGAGCGAGACTCTGTCTCAAGAAAGGAATAGATAAGAGTTTAAATTGGGAGATGAGACAGAGATTTCCTGGTAACCTATTTAAAATAACATAGTCAATGAAAGCCTCTCCTAAAGAGGTAACATTTAAACTGAGCCCAGAAGGAATGAGCTAATGAAAGGCCAGGACAATCTTCTTCAGGTTGTGAGTGTGTCGCAAAATCACAGTTTTTGGGTTATGCAATAGGGTAGGCTAAAATAGAATGAAAAATACAAGGCCTGGCGCGGTGGCTCATGCCTGGAATCTCAGCACTTTGGGAGGCTGAGGTGGACAGATCACCTGAGGTCTGGAGTTCGAGACCAGCCTGACCAACGTGGAGAAACCCCCATCTCTATTAAAAATACAAAATTGGCCGGGCATGGTGGTGCATGCCTGTAATCCCAGCTACTTGGGAAGGCTGAGGCAGGAGAATATCTTGAACCTGGGAGGCGGAGGTTGCGGTGAGCCGAATTCGCGCCATTGTACTCCAGCCTGGGTAACAAGAGCGAAACTCCGTCTTAAAAAAAAAAAAAAAATATATATATATATATATATATATATATATATATATATATATATATGAAAGTGCATTGCATTTAACCATTATAAATGTGTGTTTATTGAGTCATAATATAAAAAGTATTTCTTACTCTATGTTGAAGTTAAAATGTGTGTTTATCTAGGAGAAGAGGTTTTTGGGCAGAATGAACACCAGGTGAAAAGGTTGTGGGAAAGAAAGCGGTTTGGAGTGTTAGAGGACAGGAAGGAGATCCAGCAGTTACTCATGTCACCATGCTGGAGCATGGTGACAGTGGGTTAGGATGGGAGGAGGTGAGGCTGGAGGGTTGGGCAGATTATTACACAGGGTCTTGCAGACCATGGTAGAGGCCATGAGAAGTCCTTGAAGGGGACCATGAGACCATCTGATTTAGATTTTAAGGAAGATATTCTGGCTCCTGTGTGCAGAGTGGATTGGGGCAGAGGGAGAGAATGAAGACAGAGAGACCAGTTAGGAGAGAAGTGTAGTAGCCCAGAGATGATGTGGCTGGTTTAGGGTAGAGCAGGAAGTGAGACCCCTGTGTTCTGAAGTGCCTGGTGACAGCAACCACCGACATGCACGGGACACTTTCCAGTTTTCAAATGGTTTACATCATTTGGCCCATTTTCTCTTGGAAACACTCTACTCAGAAGCAAGGGCTGATATTATCTCCATCTTCTAAAGAAGATCAATGACTTGAGCAGGTCTCACCAGCTAGGACATTGTAGCATTGGAGCTTGCACTTGGGCAGCTCTCTGATGTGGGAGTCAATTCTGTTTTCCTTATAGGGATTTCCTTCTGGATCCTTCTTCTCTGCCTTTGCAGATTTTCAGAATGATTTCTCCTGTTTTCCCCCTCCACTTGCAGTGTCAGTTGGCAAGCCCAGGCAGAGAGAAGCTTTGAGGTGTGTGGGGTGGTTGGGAGTAGATGCATCTCTCCGTGTAAGCGTGTTGGATTTGCGCTACAAGAAGATCAAAGGCTACAGGAACACATGGGGCTTAGCCGCAGGAGCCCAGTTGGAAGGCGTATCAGCCCAGTTGTCTAAGCAGCCACACGATGCAGGGGGTGGTGGTGGTGAGAAGCAGGACCTTCTGAAACCTGTCTCCAAGTAAAGATTCATCAGTGCTCAGATATCTCCTTTCCCTGATTGGAAGTCTTAGAAAATGCCCCCAGTCTTAGCCTTTCAGATTGGTTTGATCCAGCAGTTACTCAGCAGACTGGCTTTTGAGTATGAGAATGTCCATTGCTGTGGGAGGAAGTTGCTAGCATGAGAGACTTGAATATATTCTTTCGGGGTGTTTTATAACATAATGTGTTTTACCAGAGCTTGTAGTTTTCTCTTAACTTACTTATTTGACTAATGTCTGTTTTCTTTACTATGCTGTAAGTTCTATGAAGGAAGTTTCTTTTTCTCATGATGGTGGAATGGATGGATGATTTGCTAAGCTCTTAAGATGTCAAGTAGCATATTGTATTTGGTATAATGGAAGTAGGGGTCTGTTCCAAGTTTCTTCTGTAGGAATGTTGACAAAGGAACACTGAAAGAAATATGCCTTTGGGAGCTGTGTCTTAGTAAAGGGTGTTATAGAACGGTTTCTGACTGTGTCATTTCTAAGGAAAACAGTGTTTTGTTTCTTACTAGCAGGATATTCATTTATATTAAAAATATATATTCACTTTAGTGTTTTGTCATTGAAATATGCTTTCAGTGTAATTATCTGCTTTGAAGGAATGATTTGACACACATTATGGAAAGGTTTAGAGCTTTATAGTGAGAGTTGAGGTACTTCCCAGCATAGCATCTTGCAACTCCATACGTGGAGTTTCTCCCTGGGTGCCAGATCCCAGATCAGTGGTTCAATTGTACCCGCTCGTGGGCCTGTCCTGGACACACACCTGCACAGAGGGAGAAGTGAAATTGAGAGGGAGTGTTGAAATTTCCCTGCTTGGAGTAAACTGTTGTTCTTATCACAAAGGAAGTATTTGGGACTTCTGTGAACATGGCCCATGGCCTTTTCTGAGATTCCCTGCCCTCTGACAGCTTGTTTTGTGTATTGGAAAGGTCTAGATGAGGATGGCTCTGCAGGAATTTCTTTTTCACTGTAAGAATCTGTCTCCCATGGAACCCAGGTTGTCCCAGGGTATGGGGAGACAGTGGAGACTGGTGGTTTCAGGATGATCCAAGGGCCTTGGGGGCAGATCCACCAGGACAGAAATCCCAGCTCTGCCGTATACTAGCTGTGTCACCTTAGTCAAGTTCCTTAATGGCAATGGATTATATTTTCTTCCTGTATGTTAGAGATACAGATAATATCTCTTTTCTAGGAATTTAGTGAAGATTAAATAATTAAAATTAATGAGGATTAAATAAGGTAATGTATGTACAGCTATGGGCATGATTCCTGGCACAAAGTTAGTGCTTAGGTAACCATTATCATTATTCTTATTTCTGTTTGGTTTGTTGATTACTTTTAACATGTGACATACTATTTGGGCTAATATGACGTCTGTTTGGCTCACCCACTTACCTTTTTTATTGATATGTAATAATCATACATATTTATGGGGCATGTATACTATTTTGATATATGCCTATAATGTGTAATGATCAAATCAAGGTATTTAGGGTATCAGTCACCTCGAACATTTATCATTTCTTTGTGTTGGGAACATTTCATATCTTCTAGATATTATGAAATATACACCGTACATCAGTTAGCCATAGTCATCCTACTGTGTTCTGAAATACTGGAACTTATTCCTTGTATCTCACTGTATTTTTGAACCCATTAAGCAACCTCTCTTCATCCTTCCCACCCCACCCCACCCCCCCGCTTTTTTTTTTTTTTGAGACAGAGTCTCGCTCTGTCACCAGGCTGGAGTGCAGTGGTGTGATCTTGGCTCACTGCAACCTCCGCCTCCTGGGTTCAAGTGATTCTCCTGCCTCAACCTCCCGAGTAGCTACCATATGTGCTACCATGCCCAGCTAATTTTTGTATTTTTAGTAGAGATGGGGTTTCACCATGTTGGCCAGGATTGTCTCGATCTCTTGACCTCGTGATCCGCCCACCTCGGCCTCCCAAAGTGCTGGGATTATAGGCATGAACCACGGCACCTGACTCCCACCCCTTTCTTAGCCTCTGATAACTCTCATTCTACTTTTTACTTCCTTGAGATCCACTTTTTTAGCACCTACATATGAATAAGAAGATGTGATATTTGTTTTTCTGTGCCTTCACTTGACATAATGACCTCCAGTTCCATTCATGTTGCTGCAGATGACAGAATTCCATTCTTTTTCATGGCTGAATAGCAGTCTGTGTGTGTGTATTTATCCATTCATCCATTGAACACTTAGGTTCACTTCATATCTTGGCTGTTGTGAGTAGTGCTGCAATAAACATGGGGGTACAGGTATCCCTTTGATATAGTGATTTCCTTTTCTTTGGATAAATACCAAGTAGTGGGATTGCTGGATTATATGGTAGTACTATTTTTAGCTTTTTGAGAAATCTCCATACTGTTCTCCATAATAGTTGTACTAATTTACATTCCCACCATCAGTTCCCTTTTCTCCCCATCCTTACCAGCATTTGCTATTTTTAATCTTGATCATAGCCATTGTAACTGGCTTGAGATGATATCTCATTTTGATTTTGACTTTCATTTCCCTGATAATTAGTGATGTTGAACGTTTTTTAATATACCCTTTGGCTATTTGTGTGTCTTCTTTTGAGAAATGTCTATTCAGATCTCCTGCCCACTTTTTAATGGTATTATTTGTGGGTTTTTTTTTTTTCTGTTGAGTTGAGTTCCTTGTATACATTTACCTTTTTAAACCAATAATCTCATTAGAAAGCTTTTTTTTTGTTTTAAAAAAATATGTATTTAAGTTGTATAATATGATGTTTCAGTATATTTTTGCATAGTGAAATAGTTACTATAGTTATTCTTCTTCTGTGTAATGCTATTTGATTTGTTTTTGAAAATTATCTCCCGAGATTTTTTTTTTCTGACCTGCTTTCGGAATGCTATCCTTGGGTAGTGACTTGATTTTTCTCTTAAATTCCATCTTGTTTGTAGGCAGACAGCCAAGTGGACCTGGTCCGGCAGCATTTCTATGAAGTATCCCTGGAATATGTCTTCAAGGTGCAGGAAGTCCAAGAGAGAAAGATGTTTGAGTTTGTGGAGCCTGTAAGTAGATATTCAGGGTTTAATGATGTACCCATATATTCATCCCTCATTCTAACTAGTAGTAGATTACAAAATGCTCTAAGTTGTTGATGAAGAGGTTGAGCAGCCCTGACACTGTCCCTTCTGTAAGTATCAGTGCTTTGCGAGCCTGGCTGCCTTGGATTCTTCCCAGCAGCCATTCCTGTACAACACATAGCAATGGAGATAGAGCGTCCAGCAGTCATTCCTTCCTCTGGCTACCCAATGATGTGCCATATGATTTTCAGGTGGACAGAGTGGAAATGGGAGTCCAGAGGGGAGGGGTTCTCTATCTTGCCATGAAATAGTGATTATACCTTAACTTCCCTCCTCTCTCCTACCCTTCTTCTCTTCCTCAAATAATTCAGATGTAGTAGTCACCCAAAGACATAGTACATTTCTCTTTTTACCCTGTGGTTCAAAGCCCCTTCTCACCCCATTCAGGTATTAAAAGATGCTATATAAAGTTTCTCACATGGATTTCCCACATGGATTTGTTATAAACAGAACAGCATAGAGACTCTGCTGAGTGGACCATGATGGAATTTGGACTTGGACACTGTCCCAGTGAACATGAAGATTGCATTGTGGGAAAAAGCCTGACTTTAGTTTAGGCCACACCAGCATGGTTGTGGTTTCATTTGGACATGGTGCCACTCCACTTTGCTGGGTGTGGCACTGGTGTGGAGAATCCACAGCAGGAAGACTTCATGGAAACACCAAAATAGTATATGGACCTCAATTTAAAACTCTCGCAGACCATGGATTTTCCAGCCAAAATGCAGCCTCTGATTTAGACTCAAGCATGGCATCTCTGTACAAATAAGATTCTCTACCTAGATTTAAGAAAGGATAATTTTCTTTTTTCTTTTTTTTTTCTTTGAGACAGCTTCTCGCTCTGTCACCCAGGCTGGAGTGCAATGGTGCAATCTCAGCTCACTGCAGCCTCTGCCTTCTGGGTTCAAGCGATTCTCCTGCCTCAGCCTCCTCAGTAGCTGGGACTACAGGTGCACGCCACCACGCCTGGCTAATTTTTGTATTTTTTAGTAGAGACGGGGTTTCACCATGTTGGCCAGGATGGTCTCGATCTCCTGACCCCGTGATCCGCCCGCCTCGGCCTCCCAAAGTGCTGGGATTACAGGCATGAGCCAGCACGCCCGACCAAGAAAGGAGACTTTTCTTAAGCAAATAAGAATAAAACTGTAAGAAACTGAAAGGAGTGGCCACTCTTTCTAGTAAAGAGCATTGTGTACCCCATGTCTAATTTATAAACTTTTGGGGTGGATTTTTTTAGGCATGTAGACTTGCTGGTAGTTTCATCAAGACTCCAATTGGTGGCCAGGCACAGTGGCTCATGCCTGTAATCCTAGCACTTTGAGAGGCTGAGGCAGGAAGATCACTTGAGACCAAGAGTTTGAGATCAGCCTGGGCAACTGGGCAACATAGTGAGACTCCATCTCTTAAAAACAAAAAAAGATTACAATCGGCTTTGGAACCTTATGTCTACATCTTTTACTATGCTAGAACTATAATTTCTGGATACCACTCCCAGCTACCTCATTTGGCAGATTCCTTAAAGTCGTCAATTACTTCAGTCTCCATATATGAATATTAAAACCTTAGACCTAACTTCCAGCAGTGTGGTTTCAGTCAAGGTCCCAAGTCAAAAATCCCCATCTTTCCACAGGGTCTGTTAGGTGTGAGCAGCTATCTGTCAGATAAAGCAGCCTTATTGATTTTCCTGCTTAAAGCACAAACTGGCCTTTCAAGCAAAGGTTTACTGAAGACTTGCTTCCTGTGGTCAGGGCAGGAATGCAAATGCTGTCACATAGAATTTGCCTTTAGCATTATTTTTATTTGCTTTTGCCAGACTTTCTAGAGAAAAAGAACAGTGCATTTCTAATAATCTTTATATATACTTCGATTAATATTATTCCAAATTTGCTTGCTTTTGATGAGTTTTTTTTGTAATTGGCCCATCCAACTTTTTTGAGGTGAGTGTTTTGTTATCCACTTTGATCTCTCAGTAGGCGTACCTAGTGAGTCAGGTATTTTATCTGTTGGCTTTTGCTGAATGGTATCCACAAAACCTCATACAACAATAGATGTTTACTTCTCACACATCTGTGAGGTTCAGCCAGCTTAGGCTTGGCTCAGCTGGATAGCTTTGCTGATCTAAATGGGTTTTCCTCCTCCTTCTTCTCCTTCTTTTGTCTCTCCTCCCCCTCTTCCTTCCTTCTTTCTTGAGAAAAGAAATCTCTAAAGATTTACCATTCCATTTCCTGGCATCCTGTTGTAGTGTGTCCATGTCTTAGGGAGTTTTCACTTTAAGAAGCAGTAGCATCATGGTTAAGGATTCTAGAGCTAGACTCCCTGAATTTAAATCCCAGCCTAGCCATTTACTAGCTGTGTGTTCTTGGGCAAGTTATTTCTCTGAGCCTTACTTTCCCCATCTGCAGAATGGGGATAGTAATATCACCTACTTTATAAAGTTGTATGAGGATTGACTGAGTGTTTATCCATGTGAGGTGCTTAGAACAGAACCTGATTAGAACCAAATAAAAACTTAGCAATTATTATTTTTTATTTATGAGCAAACGAGTGAAGTACCAATATTAACAGGGCCTACCTGTTTTAATATAAACAGTTTTGGTAGCTTTAAAAGTATGTATTTATTGAATACCGTAGAAAATGCTGAAAACCCAGGTGCTGTGGCTGAGGCATTCACAGCCTCACTGGGGTAAGCAAGATGTGTGTAGTAGAGAGCTAGTCAAGATAGCAAGCAGTTCAGTGACAGCTTGGACAGGATGGATGCTATAGATGTGCCAGAGGGATTTAAAAGTATAACCATCGTAGTGTGCAGATGTTTTTCAGTTCATACAGTGAGAAACCTGGAGAGCTAATGAAAAGAAATTTTCAGTCTCATGTTAGGACAAAGATAGTAATAGGGATTTGCCCAAAGTTAAACTAAATGCTGAGAGGCTGGATATAGGATTCAGATGTTTGGCCTTTGCTTTTCTACAGAAGTTATTGTCTCTGCACATCAGCTTCTAGGCAGGTCAGTGGCTTCAGGAGCTGGGGATGGGGAGAAGGTATTCATACAGTGAAAAAGCTACTGATGAGATCAGTGATTCTCAGTGTTAGACATGCACATTCTCAGGCTTCACTCCAGACCTGAAATTTAAGGGAGGGGCCCAGTAGCCTGTAGTTTAGTAAACCTTCCCCGTGATTCAGCTGCACATTTCAGTTTGAGCCACTGGCCTAGATTATACAAAGGAAGAACATGAAATAACAATTGATGATATTATCTGAAACTGTCGTGTACCGTGCTAAGCGCTTTACCTACAGTATGTCAGTCAAACCTTATAACATCTCTGAGGGTAAGTACTGTTTTTATCCCAATTTTCAGATGAAGAAATTGAAACAAATAAGTTTCTTTACCTGTCCAACATCATATCTAGTAAATAGCAGAGCTGGAAGGGTCTGACTTTTCATCTCCATGAAATAGCATTTGATTGCTTACAGGTGGGAAAGAAACCAGCAAGAAGTCTATTGAACTAAATTGCTGGAGTGGGTATTCATATTTGAGTTGGTTACAGTCAAGGGAATCTTCCAGTCATGTAAGGGACCTCTATGCAAATCGACCGTGTTCATTTGTTTCTTGAAAGTAACTTCAAGTACCAGGATATTATTGACCTTCAGAAAAAGAAACAGTTGTAGTATTCCCAAGGAAGAAAAATCAGACTTCTGGGATCTAAATCAGATCTTTTGGGATATATATGTGTGTATATATATATACACACACACATACACACACACACACACATATATACACACACATACATATACATATATACGTATGTGCATATATATATGTATATGTATGTATATATTTGCACTGGAAGCTTTAATTTTCTTGTCACAGTACTAAATGTTCTTGAGATTTGGATTGCAGATAATGACATATTGACTCCATGAAGGTGAAGCCACATTCCCTCTGTTGCCTGAGTTTTCGTAATTGAAGGTTGGCTAGTGCCCCAGAGAACTCATTCTCCATGTTCATTAGGCCTGCATCCTCCGAGTTTTCCATCCTGAATATTTCTTGGTGCAGTGTCTCTTCCTCTCCTTTCCCTCTGCTTCTGTCCCATTGCAGGCCTTCATTCTTTTCTCTGGACTTTGCATTCTGCCTTGGGCCTCCCCGTTCTCCAGTCTGGCCTGGACCAGAATGCACCTTCTAACACGTCAGTCTGATTCTCTCTCTCTCTCTTTTGCCAAGAAGCTCCTGACAGCACTCCTGTGCTAAGCCCATTACATGGATGATCTGAATTAATCTTCACTGCAACTCTGTGCAATAGTAAAAACCACTGTTATCCTCTTGTCAAAGATGAGTTAAAGGGAGTTATGTGGCTTAGCCCCCTCAGCTTTTCATCACTCTACTAGCTGCCCTTCTCTTTGTTGCCTGTGCGGATGATTCTTGGTAGCTGTATTAGTTTGCTAGGGCTGCTGTAACAAAGTACCACAAATTGGGTGTCTTAGAACAACAGAAATCTGTTGTCTCACAGTTCTAAAGCCTAGAAGTCTGAAGTCAAGGTTTTGGCACCAAGATCCCTCTGAAACCTGCAGTGAAAGGTGACTTCCTTTCCTCCTAGCTTCCCGTGGCTTGTGATCATGTTTGGCATTTCTTGGCTTATAGATGCCTCCCTCCAGTCCTTCATCCTCACATGGCCATGCTTGTCTGTGTGTCCACATTTTCACCTTTCTAAGGACACCAGCTATGGCATCTTTGTAAAAGTACTAGGGCCCACCCTAATGTCCTCATTTAACTTGATTACCCATGTAAAGACCCTATTTCCAAGTGAAATCACCTTCAGAGGTATTAGGACTTCAACATATCTTTTTTTGGGGGACACAATTTAACCCAGTAAAGTAGGTCTGTTCTATGAATGGTGACAATCCAGAGTGATGCAGCCAGCATTAACTTGGGCAATTAGATTTTTGCTTTTTAAAATGAAAAAAATAAATTATGTTGTCAGCTAGGAAGTAGGAATAGGTTTTGCTTATGGTTATTCTTTTAGGATAACAAGGATAGAGAAGGAGGCACAGGGAGGCGGGAAAGATCTTTCCTATGTCAGGCTGTGATGTTGTGGTTGCCCCGTGGACAGCTGACCCCTCTTATTTGATAACCAGGTGGGACTGCAGCAAGCTCTTCCTCCTAGTGTTTGGGTAGAAGCATTTCTTTGAAGCAGACAGCTCCCCCATCTCTGGAGTCCCGTGGGCTTCATCCTGCCCCCTGAGGAGTGGACTTTCATTTCCCACTTTGTAATACTTCAAAGGTTCATATAGTGTTGGGGGTGGGGGAGAGAAAAGGTGCTGGGAGGAGAGAAGCAAGGGGGAAGTGGGCCAAAAATAGCAATATGTTAAGGAGTCATTTCCCATAAAAAAATGGACAATCAAGGCATGAGACTAAAGGAGGAAAAACAAAATAAATATTAGTAACTCCCTGCCTTTGGGGAGCACTTGCGGGTATGCCCAGGTGGCATCTTAGTGAGCTGTTTGAGAATATTTAATTACCCCGAGCAAGAGAGGCTCTGTTTACTATGAGTGAAGGATAAATCATAGTTAATAGGAGGAATGACCTTGGAATTAACTGCTTATCTTCTGCGTTATTCTCAAGTCAGGGGTAGTGTCATGCCTTGGAAAGGCGATGGGGCAGGGCATTTGCAGATAGCAGGGAGAGCAGAGTTAAGAAGAGGCAAAACAGTTTTCACTGTGAATGCTGGGACTCGGTTTGGCAGAGGAGCCTCCTCTCCTCTGTTATTGGAGCCATCTAAAAGGAAAGGTATGGGTCTTCCTCTCAGAAAAGTATTTTGTATAGAATAAGCCCAAAGCCTTCGGCCGTCTTTGAAGAAAAACATTCATTATCAGTCTCTAGTGACTCCATGGGGCTTACCACTCATTCACGGATTTATGTTAGGGGTCTGTATATGGTGCCACTGGATAGTTTTATAGCCAGAGGACCCAGCAATGCCTACTCTCCCACCACCCATGAGAATCTAAGGGGATAGATGGGCCGGGGACAGTGGCAATGGGAAGTTAAGGGCCATATTGTCATAATCTGGGTTTTATCTTCACAGGGCCCAGATCTTTGATTAAACTGGGCTGGCCTGCCCTCTGAGTTTAGGTCCAGTGCTATATACTTTTGTGCTTACTATTCCTGCTGCAAACAAGGTGGGAGAGTAGGGGGAGGGGGGGCGGGATGAGATTCCTTTACCGTCACTTATTATAGCTGCCTCTCAGAAAAGGAGAGTTAGTTAGGTGAAAATAAGTGGGATGGGATTATGTTTAGTAAGTAAAGTAAATTTTTTTTTTACATAATAAGTAATGTTTAACAGGTTAAAAAAAAATCATTTAGGGACTGAAAATCTGAAGACCACAATGTAAAATAAAGCAAATGTGTCTTGGAATAAGGTGGTATGGCAGGTCAGGGAGGTCAGAGTGGACCCCTCAGAAAATGTGGGTCAGCCTTCAGAAGCCGAAGTTAATGGGATAGTCCCCAAATACCATGGAGCTGTGCTTTGTGATAGAGGTGAGGCACTGGTCTTTCCTAAATCTCGTTCGGGCTTTTATTATAATCCTTTCTTCAGGTTGAAGTTTAGAACTGAGGGAAGATGTGTAGAACTTGAGAAGGGGCCAGGAAAGCATAACAACAGTGAGGTTTGGATGTAAGCTCCGAGAGGAAAGACCACAGGAATGCTGTTTGTTTAGTTTGGATAAATGAAGGCTGGTAGGGGCTCAGGGAGGGGACATTAATAGTTTTTAAGTATATGAAGCCGTGTGGTGAGCATTGTGGTGAACAGATGTTTTTACCATTCACTAAAGACAAGACTAAACAATGAAACGGGCTTACCTTTTAGCCTGAGGGATTTAATTGAGAATTTAGGGAAACCACCATAAGTGAAAATGTGGGAATATGGAAATATTTTAATAAAGGAATCCATAGTGTTTACTTTTGAGTAGTTTGGGGAAAGCACGGAAACACACTTCAGTTGGATGATTTTCTTTGATTTGACTTTGCCTGTTAGACTGTAGACTCAGGACACCCCACTTCCTTTTCTGCCTTCCTCTTCTGTGTAATAACCTGATACTACAAATGTACTAGAGGGAAACTGAGTCAGAACCCTGGTCTTTGGTTTCTGAGGAAATGATGTTCTCAGCAGGTGGTGAGGCCCACAGGGCAAGGGCATGGGTGTTGATGCCAAGGAGACCTGGTTTCAAGTTCTGGCTGCCACTTACTGTGTGTTTTGGGGCAAGTTTCTTAACCTCTCTGAACCTGCTTCCTCATTATTAAAATGGGGATAACAGTAGTGCTTAGGTCATGGGATGTTGTGAGTACTCACCCAGGGCATGGAAGGGCATAGTGCCTGGCACACAATTGGTGCTCTTTAAATGTCAGCCATTATTATTCTTTATTTTAGACTTTCAAGCCAGTGTTGGGAGCTCAGATACAGCTACATAATACCTCTTTTCAACCTGGTTATGTGACCTTTGCCTTTCTTCCTTCATTACAGCTGCTGGCCTTCCTGCAAGGACTCTTCACTTTCTATCACCATGGTTACGAACTGGCCAAGGATTTCGGGGACTTCAAGACACAGTTAACCATTAGCATACAGAACGTGAGTGGGCATAGGGACAGGCTTCTTTTATCTGGTTAAGGAAAAACAAAATATGGGCCTGATTGCCCTAGAAACCATCCAGGTGGCTTGGAATGTAGGTGAGGAGGGTGGGTCTTGCTTGGGTTCAGAGGGAAACTAGGGGCAGGCGTTTCTAGAGTGCTTGGTGGTTCTGAGTTAGACCATCATCCTCTTCTCCATTATTTCAAAGCCCTATTTATGTTCTCGGAAGTGCTGCTGCTGGTTATGTTTCAAATTTGTAGCGTCTGTAGCATTGGAGTCAGGATTTCCTTTGGCGGTGGAAATCCCAGCCCAACCCAGCCTCCATTCTATGCATCTAGCTGCCTGACTACATGAGACCGTGTGGAGTGTGTGTTCTGGGAATGGGGGCTGGGGACACATGCTGGCCTCCAGCTCAAAGGATGTTCTCTTGTCCAACTCTTAGGAAGGCTGGCAGGAAATCCAAGTCCGTGCTTCGCTCCCAGTGTGGTCAGCATTCCCAAGGTTTAAACACAGGACCTTTTGGTGCACAGAATCCTGCGTAGGGCTTTTTGGTTAGCAGTCACTGGGGCTTGAGCCCCCTTCTTCACTGTGGGATTGGACCATGTTATTCTTCTTATTTTCTTTGTCTCTAGGTGATCTTGTGTCCATGTGGGTTGTACTGCATGGGTTTTAGAAGCCTGGAGGTTACATAGTAGTCAGTGTTGTCTCAGAGAACAGGAAGTTGCAGAATCTTGGAAAAGGTTTCACAAAGCATGGCTTCCCCTTAGGCCAGGTTTCTCAGAATGCAGGCTCTGAAATCGAGATTGACATGCAGTGGGCTTACTGGAGGTGGGGGCAATGCTGGTGAAAACACCTGTGACAGAGTGAGGGCACCTGGACTCGCAGAGGGGGAAATAGAGCTGTGATGCAGATGCAGCAGAGGTCTCAGTGCAGGGGAGGCTCTGGAGCTGGGATGATCCTTCAAAGTCGCCCTGAATACAAGCAAGGGGGCCAGGCTTTCAACCCCCTTCTGCCTTTCCTCTAGCCTTGTCTAGTCATTGGGTGCAGGCTGACCTTGAGTGAAGGAACTCCCCTTTTAAGGAGGGACTCATCTGTGAGCCATCAGCAAGCAACATTCATGGCAGCTGGAGAAATGAACGCCTAGGTCCTTAAGTCATACAGGCCCCTAGAGCATCTGAATCAGAATCACCTGGGAGGCTTATCGTAAAACACACTTTTTGGCATCCAGAGGTGCTGAATTGATCTGTAGGAGTGAGGGCTGGGCATTTGCATTTTCTATAAGATCCCTAGGTGATTTTGATAGTCACTAGAGTTTGAGAGTCATTCTGGTATAGGACTTTAAGGCCAAAGTATACTTGTCATAAGGGAGTATTTGGCCAGTTCCTGGAAGGTTGAATGTCCTTTATCTCATTTTAGATCTAAGGATTCTATTAGGTTGATCTGGATTGTTAAAACAGATACTTTGTTTCTTTGATTTGAATAAAATTATTTTCATCCTAGACAAGAAATCGCTTTGAAGGCACTAGATCAGAAGTGGAATCACTGATGAAAAAGATGAAGGAGAATCCCCTTGAGCACAAGACCATCAGTCCCTACACCATGGAGGGATACCTCTACGTGCAGGAGAAACGTGAGTGCTTTGACTAGCAACAGCTTGGGATGTACTCAGGCCTCTTACCTAGAAGGTGGAGGATGTATTCAGCAGTGCCTACCTTACTGTAGATACATGCTTGGATAACAAGAACAATTTTATAGTTCACCTTTCCAAAGAGAAAGATGATGTCCACAGAATCTTGTCTACCTTTGTTTTTCTTTATGAATGGGAATTCCTTTGGGAACCTGCAATTCTTTAAGGCTCTGTGGTTGCTCTTCTCTCTCTAATGTTACTCTACTCTTGGGGTTCCTGTACCCCTAGTCCAGCTTTATGTACCATACCCTGAGCATAGCAGCCTTGGAAAGGTCTTACATGCTAGGCCCCTGTTATCTATCAGCAGTGTATCCTTTGGTAGACTTAATACTTGGTGATTCTGTTTTCATTTGACATTGTTTCAGCAAGGCCCAAACAATCATGACTTAGGCCTTTTTCCTCTTCTCCTCAACTCATTTCATTCCAACACTTGAATTTTATGAAAAGTAGGAACAAAGGCTCACTTCAAGAGCCAAGAAGAAGGCTGCATGCGGTGGCTCACGTCTGTAATCCCAGCACTTTTGGAGGCTGAGGTCGGTGGATTGCTTGAGCTCAGGAGTTCAAGACCAGCCTGGGCAACATAGTGAAACCCTGTCTCTACAAAAATACAAAAAGTAGCCAGGTGTGGTGGTGTGCACCTGTGGGCCCAGCTACTTGGGAGGCTGAGGTGGGAGGATTGCTTACCGGAGTGAGCCTGTTGAGGTTTATAAGAGCTCAGGAGGTGGAGGCTGCAGTGAGCTGAGATTGCCACCACTGTACTCCAGCCTGGGTGACAGAGCAAGACCCTGTCTCTTAAAAGAAAAAAAAAAAAGAGCCAAGAATACTCATTGTTCTGCCAGTGATGTCTAGGAAAGGAATGCCAGGTGCTGCTAACATGGACATTTTAGTGATGACTCACAAGTTCATGCCTTATGGCTGGGGAAAGGCTCTGTGATGGGGCCGTGCCGTTTAGGATAGCACATTCAGACTTAATTCGTGTATGCAATGCTAGGAACGAAAGAAAGTGAATGTTTTTTTCTTTAGTGGGTAATTCTTCTCCTAGTCCTTTGGTAGAGAACATTGGTCTTTTCAGATTTTTGCAGGTTTTGTGTTCTTTCATGTCCTGCTCTTCATGTAGAGTTAGGCAGATGTCTTCACTCCTAATAGCTTTCCGATGGGATAGAATAGAAATACTTGGTTTCACTAATTATTCTATTTAGTAATTACTCAAAAATTTGTTTGGACTTAAGTTTCCTGGTAACTGGGGCAGTAGTGGTGTTGGAGTATTGGCTGTGATGAGGATTACATTCCTTATTCTTACAGAGATGAGCCTGTTGAGGTTTATAAGAAATGTAGCTACTTCAGCTGTGTGTTTTGTATATGCCTGAATACAAAGTGATCCCCTCTTTGCCCAGTGAGAAGATCCCTGCAAAAGGTTTTAGGTCTACTTGAAAATATAAATTTTTAGGACTCTAAAAATATAGTTCAAAGTCCACCTATAATACTTAATTTGTTAATATATCATTCACTTACATATATAAAATCAATGTTGTTTTTTTGCACTCTCATGTCACACACTTTTATTCAGACACTTCACATGCTCTTTCAACATTAGTGTGTTGATTATCATGAGGACACTTTTTTGTTCCCTAACACAGTCCAGAGCACATGATGGGGATACAGCACTTTTTTTTTAATTTTAAATTTTTTGTAACTTGTTATTTTGAAATAATTTCAGACATACAGAAAAGTCGCAACAATGGTGTAAGGAACAACCATAAACCCTTTACCCAGTGCATCAATTTTTAACATTTAGCCACAATGATATCATTCCTTCTCTCTCTGTGTGGGTGTGTGAGTATTCACGTGAGTACAACTTGCATACACACACATACACACTTTTTTCTGAGTCATTTGAGAATATGGTTGCATATACCATGCTTCTTCAGTAGTGAGTATTTTCTAAGAATAAAAGATATTCTTTTTATGTAAACACATCTGTTAGGTTGGTGCAAGAGTAATTATGGTTTTTGCCATTAAAAGTAATAGCTAAAATCGCAATTGAACTCTTGCCATTAAAAGTAATGGCTAAAATCGCAATTGAACTCTTGCACCAACCTAATATCAAATTTAACATTGGTGCAATATTTAATCTGAACTACAGTCCGTATTCCAGTTTTGCCAGTTGTATCAATAATGGCCTTCTAAAGCATTTTGTTGTTCTCCAGTACAGAACCTCATACTGCATTTAGTTGTCATGACTTTAGTCTCCTTTAATCTGGAACAGTTCTCCAGCTTTTCTTTGTCTTTCATGACATTGACATTTTTGAACAACACAGTCCAGTTCCTTTATACAGTTTTCTTCAGCATGGGTTTATCTGGTGTTTCTTCATGATTAGATTTGGATTATGCATCTCTGGTCAAATCCTACATAAGAGTTCTTCTCTGGGGCCACATCTGGACACATGTGGTGTCGACCTGCCCCTCAGTGGTGATGTAAATTTTGATCACCCAGTCAAGGTATTGTCTGGTTTCTCCACTATACAGTCACTATTTTCCCCTTGTAACTAATTAGCAATCTGAAGGTAACACCTTAAGATCATGTAAATATCCTTCTCCTTATCACACTTTACCTCCATAGATTTAGCATCCATTGACAATCCTTGCCTGAGCTGATCTTTACTATGATGGTTGCAAAATGGTGACTTCTCAGTTCCACCAACCCCTCCACATTTAATAGTTGCCATTCAGTGTACTTATGTAAGGAAGAGTCCTGCTCCTCTTTCTTCCTCCCTCTCTCCCTTCCTACTGTCTATCCATCCATCCGTCCGTCCGTTATCCATCTTTCCATTGTCAGTTTGGATTTATGGGTTCCTCTTTTGTTCAGGAGGCTATAATTTATAACTGTCCTTATTTATCTTGATGCTCAAGTTGTCCAAGATACAGTGCTTTGGGAATCTTTGTGTTGTTCAATTACTGGAATTTTTTCCCCAGTCTGTAAGAATACACTAAGATGGTTTGTATTTTCATTTGTCCTTGACGGCCCAGTGGAAACATTTACTGTTTTGTTTTTTAAGTTTACTAAATGACATCTAACACTTGCAGTTGGCAGTCATGCCATACCATTGATAATTATTAAACGTCTGCTAATTCTCTTTATGTTTAAACAATTTTTTTTTTTTAACAATTTCTGCTGTGTGATCTCCATAAGCACCTAAAACTAGTATTGGTTGAAGTCCTTTGCAGGCTGACTAATGCCTTCTTCCTTTAATAGTGCTTTGTTTTCAAGTAATTGGCTAAGCACTGAGTAAAATCAGAGACTTGGCCAGAATACGACTGCATGGCACCTCCCTCTTGAGGTGACATACTAATCTTGAGGGACATAGTCCTTAGAGGTTACATGTGGGCATTGACAGTCACTTCCACTCTGCATCTCTGGTGTCTCTGAGCTCTCCTTGTCTGCTTTTCAGATCTTCTTGAGTTCTGCTAAAGTAAGTTAGGGGTTTGGAAGTAGGTCAGAACCCCTGATGTCTGTGCACAGAGTCACAGAGCAGCTGTGTGGGAAGCATGATGTCATCGCAACAGATGGGAATGGTCACAAGCGCTTGGAGGAGGCTTTCTGCGTTCTCTCCTCAATCATCTTACTCCTGTCAGTGAAGAGAGTGGAAACTTCAGTTGGGGCTTGATGATGGGAACGGGGATTAGTTTCCCCAGGGAACCTTTACTTCCGTTGTATTTTAAGACCCACTGGATGTAGCATCAATGGGAAACAGTCTTCTTTGGTCCCTGGGGGAAATCCCGGGGTTGGTTTCATTTGAGCCTGTGGGATCAGATTTCTGTCTATTCATTCTAGCTAGTGTGGAGAATATATTACTTCTAACATAGTTTAAGGGTAGGGTAGATGAGCATTATGAATTATGGGTTGTGGTTTTTCCAGCTCATGATGTATAGCATACAGTGGAATGTATAGATATTTTATGGGAAATATTACCTTTCAGGTCACTTTGGAACTTCTTGGGTGAAGCACTACTGTACATATCAACGGGATTCCAAACAAATCACCATGGTACCATTTGACCAAAAGTCAGGAGGAAAAGGGGTGAGTTCATTTTTAAAATTTGATGTTTGATTTGCTTGGCTAACATATAATGATTATAATGCATGTATAAAGTAACACCTCCAGTGTTATATTTATGTTTCATCATAAATTTAAAATTAATAATTTAAAAAATTTTTATATAGTAGTTCAGGAAGCCTAAGAGGCTGAAGAATCGCTAAAATAAGATGATTACTCTTAGCTCTAACTTACGTTAGGAACTGCAGTTAAGAAATATTTTTGTATTTCACATATATACAATATCAAGCGTATCAAATATTTTTATATGCTGAAAATTATTGAATAACCTCATCCTGTGAAACTGATTCAGTCCCACTCCCACTTGATACCTGGAGAGCTGCCAGTGGCAACATAGATGTCCTGGTTACCTATTGCTGTGTAACAAGTCACCCCAAAACTTAGCAACATTTAAAACAACAGCAATCATTTTAGTATTTCTCATTGTTTCTGTGGGTCACGAATTCAGGGGGCATTTGGATGGGTGGTTCAGGCTTGAGGTTTCTCATAAAGTACTAAGCAGACAGTAGCTAGAGCTAGAACAAGGAGGGTCTGAAGCAGCTCAAGCTGGCCAGATACAGCTGTCATCCTCTCTCCTGTATCCTTTTCTTCCCTTTTCCCTCTTTCTCTGCATACTCCCAGGGCCTCGCCATTTGGTCTCTCTGTATTAGCAAGTTTGGGCTTCCTCACAGCATGGTGGCCTCAGGGCAGCAAAAGGTTTTAGGAGTGAATGTTCTAGAAACTAAAGTAGACACTGCATTGCCTTTTCATGACTTAATCTCAGAAGTCATAGAGCCTTACTTTTACCTTATCTATTGGTTAAAATGGTCACAATAGCCCTCTCAGTTTCAGTGGGGGAGGAGGTAGACCCTGCCTCTCCATGGGAGGGGCATCAAAGTCTCATTGTAGGAAAAGCACGTGGCATAGAAGGTGATATGTAGCTATCTTTGGAAGAGACAGTTGGGCACATATGGCTCCCTGGTGTCCCCGCCATTGGGCAGCTCCTTGAATGCTCCTAGTTCTTCCCTCCTCCTGGCTGTTGCCTCTCGCCTCCTGCCTGCTTGTGAGTCTCCTCTGAGTGTTCCCACAGCAGGCCACATGCATTTCTATGGAGGTGACCTGTCTTTTCTCTTTGCTCCTATGCTTTATTTTCTTCCTTTGATATTCTACATTTCATTATGATAGCCCTAGCTTTGATTTTTTTCTTTTTTAATCTATTGCTTGGGAGGTTTTGGTTTTCCAGGATTTGAGATTTGGTCTCTTCCAATAACTCTGGAAAATTCTCACCAATTATCCCTTTGAGTTTCGCCTCCTTCCCATTCTATTGTCTCCCTCTGGAGATATTTAAATGTTTTTAATACAAATATTTACATGTTTTATCTGTTTGAGTCTCTGGACTGTATTCTGAATAATTTCTCTTACTCTGTCTTCAGCTTAAATAGTTTTTCATTTGTGTCTAACCTGTCGATAAACTAGTCCTCTACAAGCATTCCACTTCGGTCCTCTCTGCAGTACATTTTTATGCAACATGTTGAGTTTGCGTGTGTGTGGGCATTATAGAGTAGGGGTTAAAAGCGCTGGCTTTGCTCTCAGTCTGCCTGGGCCAGTGCTGTTAGGTGCTGTTGTCATTACTGTTAGGTACTCAGCCATGTTGTGCTCCTTGTTCTCTTCCACTTCCAGTTTTTCTTCCTGGCTTTCTTTTACTTAAGCCATGATAGAGAAGTTTATCAGCATCTCTGTTCCTTCCCTGAATCAAAGCAATAACAAAGCCCTTTTTATGTTTCTTGGCAGGGGCAGGATTGATTTATAAATAATCTCAGGAAAACAGACATTAAAATGTCATAACAGAGAAATTACATTTAGGAGGAATATTAAAAACCTACATTATTAGGTGTCCCCTAGTTTTCATGAAATGGAAACAGAGTTGTGCCTGCTTTCCTTGGATTGAGCCTTAGTCCCTTCCCAATTCTTAGTCCTTCTAGAAATCAGCTTCACCAAATTGTTCTCTCACACAGTCTGTTTTTGGGCCTTTTATCTTGGGCTTTCTCAGACTTTTAATGAAGAACTCTTTTGTATTTTCTCTATTCCTTTCTTATCACACTTGAAAGTGAAGGGTAGAAACCAATTATAGTGGATGTTTGGTTCTCCAGAGACTTCAGAGAGTTACTAGAAAGCATGTCATTGGGTAGTGAAGAGGTTTATGTGAATTAGTATATAAAAATTTTTTGGAACAAATCCTGACACATAATGGGTGCTATATTAGGACCTTGATATTATAAGAGTTAATTTTCCTAGTAATTCCTTACATTTAAATTATGTTTTATATTTTTCTGCAACCTTTTATTTATATTACCCTGTTTGATCCAGTTTTCCTCCTTTTACAAAGGAGGACATTGAGGTTAGGAGAGAGTATGATTTCTAAGGTCATTTAACAAGTTACAGAGCTGGTGCTCAAACGCTCTTTCCACAGTCTGAATCTCCTGATTCTGAACTCATTATACTTCCCATGACGTCACTATTTCCTCAGCTTTAGGGTGAAGGAAATATGAGGACTGGCTGTCTAGAGGTGATGTCTTCTCGATTGTGTAGAGGAATCATGTGATGTTGTTGTATATATTTTTTAAAAATAGAGACCGAGGCCGGATGTGGTGGCTCACGCCTGTTAATCCCAGCACTTGGGAGGCTGAGGCAGGTGGATCACCTGAGGTCAGGAGTTCAAGACCAGCCTGGGCAACATGGTGAAACCCCATCTCTAATGAAAATACAAAAATTAGCCGGGTGCAGTGGCGCATGCCTGTAATCCCAGCTATTTGGGAGGCTGAGGCAGGAGAATCGCTTGAGCCTGGGAGGTGGAGGTTACAGTGACCCAAGATGGCGCCATTGCATTCCAGCCTGGGCGACAGTGCGAGACTCCATCTCAAAAAAAGAAAAAAAGAAGAAATAGAGATGAGTCTCACTATGTTGCCCAGGCTGGCCTCAAACTCCTGGTCACCTTGGCCTCCAAAGTACTGGGATTACCAGTGTTTTCTACTATGCTTGGCCTGCATACATGTTTGAACAGAGCTCTCCTAGGAGCTAGAGGTAGATAGAACATAGATAAATAGATAACATAAATATCTTTTAACCTAGATAATTGGGTGTTTTCTTTTCCTAACATGCTCTTTCTCCACCTGTTAGGTTCCCTCACTGTCCTTTTCATTTGGATTATTTTCCTTTAAAAGTACCCACTGTTCTCATAGCTTCAGATCTGGAGTTGTGAGCAGATTTGCCACATCCTCCTGGAGACCAGACCCTGTGTGTGACGGAAGAATTTCCCTGCATCCTACACTCTGACCTGAGGCACCTCTGCAGATCTGGAGCAGCCCAAAACCGATCCTATCCCTTCTTTTGATTGAAACCCTTCTTTATTTTCCTGCTGCTCTCAGGATACAAACGAGAATCCTACATGGTCTTGCCTCTGTCACTCCTCAAAGTCTTCTTCTTTCTACTTTCCCTCACTCTGGGCTTCTAGCCACACCAGCTGCCCTGCTGTTTCTCCAAGCCTATGTGGACCCTGACCCCAGGGCCTGTCCACCTGCTCCATTCCCTCCTCCTTATTTTATTTCCTATGAATTCTTTCAGTTTCAGCTCAAGAAAGCTTTTCCTAACCTTCCTGACCAGGTCAGATCTCCTTAACTTTGGCTTTTTAAAAACAGAATTTTTCATGGTTATAACTTTTCATTTACTTGTTTAAGTGATATCCACGTCCCCCACTTTTTAAAGCAATCAATAGTTGAACAGACCATCTTTATAGATTTTTGCTGATATGGTATGGTCATCCTTGGAACAGAATATTAATCTTCCTCCTCTTTCTGCATGTATTTGGTGATCCTTTATATATCCCTATTCCCTCCCATTTCTCTGGGACACCTCATGTAATCTTTCAAAGTGGAAGCTGGTCCATAGCCATTAAATCAGATTTATAGTTAGACATCAGCAAAGTCAGAATCTCTTATGTTTGGGTGTTTGCACTCAGATATTTTACAGACTAGAGAAAGAGCAGTTCTGTCTGAGAAATTAATCTTTGCTATTCAGTGGAAGACAATAGGTATAAGGCCTGTGAATATAAACTGTCTCCTCCTAGGCCTTCTGTGTTTTGTTTGCTCTTCTGATATTAGTGGGTGGTTAAATTTTACCTTATGTAGCCACACTTTCTGTTATTTCAACAAACTGGGCAAGCTTGCTAATTTCCCCTGTTAGTTTAGATAAAAAAGATTGACAGAGGCAGGAGAAACAGAAACCCTAACAAATTCCTAAGTGACAGTAAGAAGAAATCAGGGACAGCAACTTCTGTGTTTCTGGGCAATAAACTAGTGCTATGAGATGAAATTGTCACATTCAGTTGAACAATGGAATACTACTCAACAATAAAGAGAAATAAGCCCTTGATATGCACAACAATGTGGATGAATAGCAAAGCAATTACGTTAAGTGAAAAAAGCCAGACAAAAAGAGCACATACTGTGTAGTTCCATTTATATAAAATTATAGACTATGCAAACTAATCAATAGTTACAGAAAGCAGATTCAGCGATTGCTTGGGGATGTACTAGGAGGAGGGATGGATTGCCAGGGGATACAAGGAAACTTTTGGGGATGATGGAATTGTTTGCTGGCTTGGTTGTGGTGTTGGTTTCATGGATGTATATGACATCAAAATCTATAAGTTGTACAGTTCAACATGTACAGCTTATACCTTAATCATATGTCAGTAAAGTTGTTAAAATGTATTTATTGAGGAGCTACTCTTTTCTAGGATCCAGTTGGGCCCAGGAGACAAAAGTAAGCAAAATTTGACCCAGTCTCTGTTCTCAGGGTCCTGTGGTCTAATGGAGAGAGAGACATTATTGTATTCATCACCTATATCAATGCGCAGTTTCAGCTATGGTCAGTGCTGTGATGGAGGGAGATGTACATGGTGCTTTGTGAACACGTTCTGGGGATATTTGTTCTGATCCAGGAAGATTTTTTTGGAGAAGTGATGACCAACCCAAGATCATAGAAGCTCAGAGTTAGGAGGAGACCATCTTCTTCTACTCTTATCAAACCTGCAAATTAAAACAATGTCAACACTCGTTTATCTACCATGGACAGATGCGGTGCCATCATGATCCACCCGTACTAAAGATGTTTGGGTCCAAGTCTAACATGGTATACGAATGTAAGCTGCATGAGGCTTTGTCCTGGAAAGGTTTATAGTCACCCTTCCACTGCCCATGGTCATGAGCACTCAGATTTGAGAAGATGAAATGATTGCTCCTGTTTACATGTCATGTATGTCCTGGGAGGAGTAGAGCTCCCATTCTGGCCTCATCTTGATAGTCTGTGTGTTCCCACTAGGGAGAAGATGAATCAGTTATCCTCAAATCCTGCACACGGCGGAAAACAGACTCCATTGAGAAGAGGTTTTGCTTTGATGTGGAAGCAGTAGACAGGTGAGTAGCTAGCATGCTTTTCTCAGGAGCAAATAGAGCTGAATTTCTATATCTTACTTTTTCTTTCCAGTCAAACCTTTTCTGCTTTTTTCCCCTTCTCCCCCTCCCTCCTTCCTTTCCTTCTCCCCCTGCCTCCTTCCTTTCCTTCTCCATCCATTCATCTATGTCCAGGGTGCTGGATCCAGGCTATTGCTGATTTGCGAGAATCATTAGAACCTCCCTATCTTTTGGGTTCAGCACTGAATCACTGGCTTGGTTTTGTTTTACTTTAATATTAGTGCTTTCATGCTCAGAAATGTGTGTTATATCTCCAGGAGATTGAGTAGTAGACTTTTAAAGAAAAGTATTTAGCATGATTGTATCAGCTATTTGAATTTTTTTTAACTGAAAAAGTTAGTATAATGATTCGAAAGGCATTGAAATGGAAGAAATTTTTCTCAAATAAAAAAACAGCTTTTAGTTACATTTCACCTACCAGTGTGTGTGCGTGCCCAGGAAAGACACCAAACCACTCGTGAAATCACAATTTTTTGGAGAGAGAGCCGTGTGTTGTATTCCTCGAGATTTATAGAGTCTCTCATTAAGTTGTACCATTTCGTGGTGTTAAGCTAGTTTGACAACATTCCAATTCTTTGAGACACTTTACTTGGCAACAGGTTAATTTTTTCAATGAAACCCACGTGTTAAGCTTATTTGAGCTGCCTGTTCAAGATCAGGAATGCTAGCACCAAGATCCTTAAATCTCAGCATGATACTCCGTATAATGCCATTTAATCTCTTCCTTTTATTAAAAAAACATTATACCATTTCATCAAGCCAGTACTCACCCCTCCCTGGGAAGTTCATCTGTGGCCACCTTTCCCTGGCTCTATGGCATCCTGAGACTGAGTACTGCCTGGGGTTGCACTGCCTTCTTCTGGCAGGTGTCTACTCTGCACTGCAGGCTGCTGGGGCTGCTGGAGGCTGTTAGGCCTCCCATGGAGACAGCGTGCCCCCTTAGCCTTTATCAGAAATTCGTGGAAACTAACTGCATCTCTTAAGCAATTTAGTCATTACATCTTTGGCTGTCAAGCCAGACAACCTGGGTTCAAATTTTGACTTTGCTGCTTAGTAGCCATGTGACTTTGAGCAAATTACTTAATCTTTTGGAACCTTGATTTTCTCACCTGGAAAATGAAGTTCCCAGGATGGTTATAAGGATTCAAGGAAATAATGCATGTAAAATGCTTGGCAGAGGGGCAGATAATAAGTGCTCAACAAGTATTAGCTGTTACTCTTTTTTGCTAATAGCTTATCCTGCGTGCTCCTCAGACTTGGTATTTCACTTCTAAACACAGAGAGGTACATATCCTTTACTGTGTGTAGAGGTGTGAGAGGGGAAGGTAAAGAAGAATAGCATGGGTGTGGGGTCGGAGGATAGCTTGAACTGGGGTAGCAAAGGGGAATTGCAAACAGCCTTCCCCAAACCAAATTTTGTTATTACTGGTTTTAAACAAAACCTAAACCTTGGTGCTTTAAGCATCTCCCTTCTCTTTTCTAAGCATGTGATTGAAGGGAATTCATATTATTGGCATCCTTGAAGGAGGTTCAGAAGATCTGTTTGCATGGAAGTACAGCCACCTGTGATGCTCATCAAATGCACAGTTCCTAGAGATAACCGTCTGCTGCAGAGCTGCTTTGAAGAGGGCATGCTTTGTGTTGCAGCTCTCTGTCAGATTGGAAACAAGCCCAAATTTGCTTTCTGAAGCTGAATTATTTTTGTGTTTTCATCTTCAGAAGTTTCCCGAGAAGTTGCGGAGAGTGGCTTTTTAGGCGATTAAAGCTCACTGTGGCACCTCCATCTTATTTCCACCCTTGCCAGCACTTCCTAGCACCTTCCCTCCTTTATGACTCCCACAACAGCTGTGCATGTCCCAATCATAAGCAAAGAGCGAATGTGTCACATTCAGCATACTGAGTGGGCTTGCGAGTCGATTGCTCCTGAGTTTCTGTCCCTGGTTCCCTCTGCATGGCGTGGAGAGATTTCAGTCATGGTTCAGTTGAGGGGGCTGAATCTCCTCTTTTTTTTTTTTTTTTCTTTTTTGAGATGGAGTCTTGCTCTGTCACCCAGGCTGGAGTGCAGTAGCATGATCTCGGCTCACTGCAACCTCTGCCTCCCGGGTTCAAGTGATTCTCTTGCCTCAGCCTACCGAGTAGCTGGGACTACAGGCACTCGCCACCATGTCCGGCTAATTTTTTGTATTTTTAGTGGAGACGGAATTTCACCGTGTTGGCTAGGCTGGTCCTGAACTCCTGACCTCAAGTGATCCACCCACCTTGGCCTCCCAAAGTGCTGGGATTACAGGCATGAGCCGCCACGCCTGGCCTGAATCTCCTCTTAATGAACAGGAGGTAAGTAGACCGTCCTAGGAAACACCTCCTCTCAGTTTTCTATATAGATCCCAAAGATTAGGTTACAATACAGCAGGATTTTCCTCCTTTCTCCTTTTTTGACCCCAGTGCCTTTCTGTTTTTTTTCCCTCAATATTTAGAAGGGAGTCCGGGTAGAGAAGGAAAAGGCATTTTCATGCGCTGGGTAGCTGCATCCCTGGGAACTCTGCCCGGAATCCTTTTCTCTCAAAGACTCCTGTACTTTCCTTTTTCACCAATGTCCTTTAGCGAGGAGGTGATTGCTGCTAGATGCCCTGCTGTCCTGCCTTCCACAGGTTCCCCAGCTCCACCTGCTGGACCAGAGAGGCAGAGGATCAAAATGCAAGTTTAGCACCTAGGAAATGTGGAAGTGAAAGAGGGGATGGTTATATTTAATCGCATAAGGGTTTAAGGTACTCCTGGAGTATGTTAACTGGAGAATACACAAACATTTATGTAGTGACTAGAAATGTTTTATTCTATCAAGATACAAATACATGTTGAAGTGTGAAGTATGTGACTTAGAATATGGGATATTGTGGATTTTTAAGATTGAATACATTTATCCTTTATACTTAATGCTGATATATCATGTTATTTTGTAACAAAAGCTGTATCCTTTAGGAGGTGATATCCTAGGAGGTCAATATTGTGAGTTGATTACCGTACATCAACGTATTTTACTGTGGTGAAAACCACGTGCACTCAGTTACAGATTCCTGGTGCTTGTCCCACACCCACACAGTTCGACTTTCTGGGACTGAGACCCTGAAATCCATATTTTCAAGCTTTTTAGTTGTCCTTTATTCTTACTACTACTTGGTATGTTAAATACAATGTGTTTCACAATACAGTTTCATCAGAACACATGAAAACATTTTCCTAATTTGAAAAATCACAACAAGCAACTACAGCAAAACAAAACAAAAAAAAATTCAGGCTCCTCTACTAAGGAGCTGAATGCTTACCTGTATGGAGGAGGAGAATGTAACTACTAGGAAAGGTGATTTCTGGTCTCTGAGACAGATTACTTGACCAGGCAAAAGGCAAAAACAACCACCACAATAAAACCCCTGCCTTTTTAAAGGATGTGAAAATGGAGGAGGAGTGAGGCAACTGGTAGTATCAGAGCATTTCCTATAAGCTGAACACTTTCATCCTTGTGTTGTGTCATCCTCACTACAACCCAGGGGGGTAGGTCCTCCATTATTCCCATACTGCTGAGGAATCTGCAGTGTAGGGTGGTGAGGCCGTTTACTCAGGGCTAAGGTGGGATTTGAACTGAGGTTCTCAGGAGCCTGTTCCAGGGCACATTGGTGCCTCAAGACTTTGGAATTTTTTTTTTTTTTTTTTTTTAGATGGAGTCTTGCTCTGTTGCCCAGGCCGGAGTGCAGTGGCACGATCTCAGCTCACTGCAGCCTCTGCCTCCTGGGTTCAAGCAATTCTCCTGCCTCAGCCTCCTGAGCAGCTGGGATTACAGGCATGCACCACCATGCCCAGCTAATTTTGTATTTTTAGTAGAGATGCGGTTTCGCCATGTTGACCAGGCTGGTCTTGAACTACTGACCTCAGGTGATCCACCTGCCTCGGCCTCTCAAAGTGCTGGGATTACAGGCGTGAGCCACCACACCTGGCCTAAACTTCAGATATTTTAGAAACATTTTCCAGTGATGAGCTCAGAGCTGTTGGTGGTTGCATTTCAGAGACACCGCAGTGTCCAGTTTTCAGGCTGTGAAATCTGGGAAGTGCTATTGGCACCCTGTCAGTTGCATTTGGCATTGTAAACTACAATGAAACTGTACAATATAAAGTACAATGAACTGAAGCAGCAAATTTGCCTCTCTTCTTATATCTACTCCTCTGTGACCTTCAGAAAGTCCTCCCGTGACTAAATTAAAAGAAGCAATGCAGATAGAGCACAGTGACAGGCACATGGCACTGAATAGGTGTTCCATGAATGGTTTTTTGGTTTCTGTACACCTTTTCTTCCATCTTTTATTTATTTGTTTAGAGGTGGGTGGGGTCTCCTCATGTTGCCTAGGCTGGAGTTGAACTCCTGGGCTCAAGCAATCTTCCCACCTCAGCTCTCGAGTAGTTGAGAAGATAGGTACACCACTGTCACTGTCCCTAGCTCCACCTTTTATTTTTAAGGTGACACTCTTTTTTTTTTTAATCCAGGACAGCTAGCATGAGTAGGAGATATCCTAGCAGTAGTATCACTTGTCAGCTAATTGTTTTCATTGTATCACAATACATTGCTGTCAGTTTGTTAATCCTCAAATCCCTGACACATAAGTCCTACAGAAAACTGTTGTCATTCTTTGAACAACGAATGAACTGAAAATCAAATTAAGTGTTAATCCAGGCCAATGGGATTTAGATCTATGGTTCTTGAACTTTATGTTTCAAGGATCCATTTTATTTTATTTTATATTTTATTTTATTTTATTTATTTTATTTTTGAGACAGAGTCTTGCTCTGTCACCCAGGCTGGAGTGCAGTGGTGTGATCTTGGCTCACTGCACCATCTGCCTCCCGGGTTCAAGCGATTCTCCTACCTCATCCTCCTGAGTAGCTGGGACCACAGGCATGCACCACCCCGTCTGGCTAATTTTTCTATTTGTAGTAGAGATGGGGTTTCACCATGTTGGCCAGGCTGGTATCAATCTCCTGACCTCAGGTGATCCGCCTGCCTCGGCCTCCCGAAGTGCTGGGATTACAGGTGTGAGCCACCGTGCCCGGCCGAGGATCCTTTTTAAAACCAAATACATTTCTAGAAATCTACTTTTAATTCTTATATATCTAAGTTGTTTTACCTTTGATATCTAAAAAGTAGACCTATACTCTCATCTCTGTGTCCACACCCTTTTGTATTGGCTTCTACATGATTTCAGAGGTCACATCTCCTCTAATTTCTTTTCTCTAGTGCCTTCCTTTTTTTCAGAACTAGTTTTTGGGGTGGGGGGGATGTTCAAACCTGAACTACTGAGGACCCTAGGATTACATGGAGCAAATGTTTCACAGACTAATGTTAGCTCTTCATATCTCTGCTTTCCCTCAAAAAGATTTCATTGTTCCTAACATCAAAAAGCTAAAGTTAGTAGAAATTCTTTGTATTTCTTCAATCTCAAACCGAAAACTTGCTTGGATCAAGGTATCATGTCAGTCCAATCAATATAATGATTCTTTGAAGGTTCCTTCTGATTTCTTTTGAAATTCAGTTTAAAGACTCTAGCATTAATAATATGATATGGCTTTAAATAAATGTAACTTGTAGTAGTTGTGTGGTATGGCCACAACATGCTCCAAAGGATAATTTTAAAAAATTTCCTAGCAGATACTAGTTATAGATTAAATTGTGTCCCTGCCAAAATCATATGCTGAAGTCCTAATCCCCAGTATCTGAAAATGTTGCCTTATTTGGAGATTACTTGATAGAGATAATCAAGTTAAAATGACGTCATTAGGGTGGGCCTTAATGCGATATTACCATTGTCCTTGTAAAAAGGGGAAATTTGGACCCAGAGATGGACATGTACACGAGAAGATACCGTGTTAACATGAAGGCAGAAGTCGAGGTGATGCACCTACAAGCCAATGAACACCAAAGGTTGGCAGCAGAGCACCAGAAGCTAGAGGAGAGGCATGGAGCAGATTCTTCCTCACAGACCTCAGGAGGAACCCTTGATCTTGAACTTTTAGCCTCTAGACCTGTGAAGCAATAAATTTCTGTTGATTAAGCCAGCCAGTTTGTGGCACTTTGTTACGGCAGCCCCAGGAAATGAACGCAGTTTGAATAGGGAGGGCCTTTCTCAATGAAGCAGCACTCATGCACCCAGCAGCCTTTAAATGGATAACTCAACACCTACTGCTTGAACAATCCCATTGCCAAGGAACCCCACTTCACAAAGCAGCCCATTCACATAAATTACCTTCTTCCTTTCTTTTCTTTTATTTTTTTACATGATTATAGCCTAAGCTTTCATTAGCTTTTTAAAAATCACCCTTTTTTGGCCTAGCGTGATGACTCATGCCTGTAATCCCAGCATTTTGGGAGGCCGAGGCAAGTGGATCATTTGAGCTCAGGAGTTCAAGACCAGCCTGGCCAACATGGCAAGACCCTGTCTTTACTAAAAATATAGAAAAAAATTAGCCGAGCATGGTGGTGGGCACCTGTAATTCCAGCTATTCAGGAGGCTGAGGCAGAAGAATTTGCTTGAACCCAGGAGATGGAGGTTGCAGTGAGCTGAGATCGCGCCACCACACTCCAGCCTGGGTGACAGAGGGAGACTCCATCTCAGTAAAATAAAATAAAAATCACTTTTTTTATTCTTTAATGAAGCAGCATTCTTGGGTGCTTTTGTATTACTTTGCCATAGCACCAAGCATTTGAAGGTTTATAATTTATATTGGTTAATTGAATAAAGACTAGATTGATCATTACAAAATGTGTCAACTCTTTGAGAGGATTTAGTGTAAAATTTCTGGGTTAAAAAATGGGACATGATTTCAAAGCAGCCATTAGTGGTAGCAGGATGTGAATCGGTAGTACTTGCTTATGTCTGTGTTCTGTCACTTTGAATAATTCACTCCGTCATGCAGTGTCTTAAGGAAATTCATGAGCAAATATAGGGAAAATATTTGTTTAGGCTAAAGAATCATGGTACTAGTCATTTGCCAGCATCCCTGGATTTGTTTATTTTCAAGAAATTTCTCACAGATGTAAGTGACACGTGGATATTTTCTCTCAGGTGTTTTCCAGGAGGGCCTAGTAAACCATGTGAAAAATAATAAAACTTTTTCTGATTCCCTGAATCAATAAAGTCTCTTGAGGGGCAGTGTTTACACTGGGGAAGGGAAATGATTACTTTTTTCTGGGGTTAGCTGACTCTCACCAATGTCCATACATTTGAAAATGCTGTGTGTTAAGTGCCCCTTTCCCAGCATTGGTACTCTCTAGAGGTGGGCAGCAAGGATAGCTTCTTAGAGATGGCAAGGATATTTAGTGCTGGAGTTGTAATAAGGGATAAGGCAAGAATAAACTTATCTTCATGGAGCTTACCTTTGAGTTTGGAATGCTCATATATACTCAAGCAACTAAGGTATAAACACCAGGATGTTGAGTGTTCCAGCAAACCTGGAGGGCCAGAATACTGGGGGGAAAGTAACAAACAAGAGGACTTTACCCTTCCATTCTTACAGGGGACGATGGCATGACTGGAATACGCTGAATTCATTCCCTCCCTCCTTCCTTCCTTATTTTATTGAGCATTACTACATGCTAGAGACTACTGGCAGTGGAGATATAAAGTTTACAAATCTGTAGGACTTTCTTAACAGACCTCATCTGATTTTCTTTCATACCAGTTCCAAAGTCCTTGTTTTGCAAGCTTTCCATGAATAGGTAAAGGGCAGTAGCTCTCCTCTGATCTAGTCCCAACCTAGCATTTCACATCCACTGTCAACTCTATTCTTCTTCTTCCCAGGTAACCTGCATTTGCACAGTAATAAGCTTTTCTTTGTATTGGTTGGTTGGGTGTTTAATTAGGTATGTTTTATATACCTCTGTTCAATTCTAAATATCTGTCTCAGGTGATTTGCTTCCAGAGGCAGAAGAACATTTTATGCAGCTTTTAATACAGTAATATGTGCATATGGCTGTTCAATTTTATTTTTTATGGTGACGTAATTTTGACATGGGTTAATTATTTTCTTTGAGGCCATGGTAAACTATTGTGTAAGAGACTAGAGGAGCTTAATCAAGTTAGTTGCTATTTAAACTAAACTTTTAGCAGGTGCTCACTTAACCTGCATTTGTGTACTGTTAGGGAAGAGACCCAGGAAAACTGAAGATTGGTGAAAGTCAGAATAGTGGAGGCCAGAAAGATTTTTGAAAGATCTGAAGAATCTACTGGAACCCTCAGCACCCTCATTTCAAATATGTTTGTATGGCAGGCTGCATGATGCAGGTAAAAAAGATAAGAGCATTCCTAAATTTGAATTTGGGATCTGTTCCTTACTAGCTGTGTGACTCTGGGTAAGTGGTTTAACCACATCTGTAAGATGGGGTGAATTATCACTACATTGCAGGATTTTTTCTGAAGGTGGAACACACTAATATTCCCCTCTGATGGAGTCCTATGTCTGAAAACATGGCTGTTGAATTTTTTTCTATACCCTAAAACCTGGGGCTTTATTGTTGTGATGGTGAACCTTAGCTTTGGTGGATATTCCTGTGAGCCTGCTTTTTGTCTTAATGGTGCTCCTTTTCCTGTAGTGTCATGAGTTTTCAAGTTATCTATAAGCTGAGAGGAAATACAGGTGCATTCGGGTTATATGTGCAAAGGGCCTGCTAGGGTAAGATTCCATTTTCAAACTGTGTATGTGATAACCTGTTGTTGATACATGCTTCAAATAAAGATAAAGTGTTATGCCCTCTCTTTCCAATTTATGGCCTCAAGAAGAAACTGTATTAATTTTAAATTAAAATAATATTGTTTCTTCTAGCTTGCTAAGAGGTGTGTGTGTATGCATTTGTGTGTTTTTGTGAAATTGTGTGACTGAGATTATGTGTTTTCCAAAAAGGATCATCTTATGTAACAGACTTTGTTTCAACATTCAACCTCTAGATGGCAGTTTTGTGTATGTATTAGTAACTATTAGAAGGTCCAGTTGAAAATCAGCTGTCCTATATACACCTTGTATACATTGACAGAAGAGTGTGTGTGTGTGTGTGTGTGTTTTCTGTAGAAAAAAATAATCATGAGAGTATTATTCCTTAAAGGAAGAAGAGTATCCTAAATGACTCATTCATTCTCTAGAAATTCCTTCCTCCCACCCTTTCATCACAAATCATTCATACCCACTTTCTTGCAAAAACAAACATGCTCAGTTAGTTGGGCCTCTGTTTAAACATTACCCTTTACCTGGCTCTTTGAACTAAAGTGCCAGGCCCTTTGCTTTAGGAATGGCTTATTTAGGATGGTGCAGAAAAGATGAGTGATTTCACTGTCCTGTGTGTGCTGAGAACCTGGCAGTCCTACTTTTCCCTCCTGGTGCAACGTGCCTTTATCTTTTGCAACACATGAATCCATTTTTCCTGGTTTCAGACTTCCCCTCCCTCCCCTTCTCACCCCTTGTTTGAAATAATATTTTATTTTGCCTTCCTGCTGGTTGGATTAGAGTGCTGGTCTCAATGCCATGACATTTCAGGCAGGAAATGGAGTTTTCCTTCCTCAGAGGGTGTTATATGACTCTGACTTCCATGACTTGAGTTGGGAGACGATACCATAGTTTCTGAATTGCTTTTTGGCTGTTCTGTAAAATAAGTTAGTGGAGAAGTTCTTGGAGTCTTAGAATTCATGTAGTTTGAACTTGTCATGGAGTTTTTTTTTTTCTTTTAATTAAATGAGAGCATGCCTGTTTGCTGTTTGATTCTGGTTTAACAAAGAATGGGGTATGGTGGTTAATGGACTTGATTGGGAGGGTGATTGAGGCAACCCTATTTTTACTCTTTAGTCTGCCTGGTGAAATATGGAGTTTTATTGGTTGAATATACCAGTTTATTTACCAATTTCTAAATATAAAATGAGTTTGTCTTTTTAAAATCAAAACCAAAAATGAGCTATTATGTAATTCTGGATAGAAGAAACAGTTCAACCAGTACATTCCACTTATGTACATTTCTGTTGATTGTGAGATAGAATAGTAAAAATGAAAAAAAAATACATGAAACAGAAGCTATATTTTCATAGTTTGTTATCAATAGTAGTAACAGGTATTTGCATTCTCCTTGAGTCTCACTCATCCCATCAGTGAATAATGCCTTGTCCTTGTGCAGTGTGTTAACATTTGCTTGCTTCTATGTCCCTGATACCTAGCATGATGACTGGCACATAATAGGAACTCAGTCAATATCTGTTGCATTTAAGAGCCATGCAATTTAATATGCCAAAGATGTCTTTGGGCTTCCCGATGTTTTACGACTTCAGTCTCTCATAAAAATGTAAGAACTTATCTGATGTGGTTGGTGATACCTACTTTTTAGACTATTATTATTGCTATGATCCTAATTATTTTAGGAACATTCCTCTAAAAATACTAAGGTTGCAGGCTTTAATAGGTTATGATTCATTCATTTATTAGGATCAGATCCTTTTTTTTTTTTTTTTTTTTTTGATACGGAGTCCTGCTCTGTCGCCCAGGCTGGAGTGCAGTGGCGCAATCTCCGCTCACTGCAAGCTCCGCCCCCCGGGTTCGTGCCGTTCTCCTGCCTCAGCCTCCCAAGTAGCTGGGACTACAGGCGCCTGCCACCGCACCTGGCTAATTTTTTTGTATTTTTAGTAGAGACGGGGTTTCACCGTGTTAGCCAGGATGGTCTCGATCTCCTGACCTCGCGATCCACCCGCCTCGGCATCCCAAAGTGCTGAGAGGATCAGATCCTTTCTAAATAATTGATTAGAAGCTACTTCCAAAACCTTCTTAGAGGGTTGACCCTTGCTTCCTCCCTCCCTCCTCTTTCCAACTCTCCTTCCCTCCCTCCCTCCTTCCTTCCTTTCTTCTTCTCCTTAAGATGCTGGTCTTTCTGGATCCCAGGACATGTATGCTACATGCACAGGGGGGCAGTACAACATTGTCATTAAAGCATGGGCTTTGCTTTAGATTCAGGCACACCTGGGTTCAAGTGCAGGCTTTGGCACTTACTAGTGGTGTGACATTATGCAAGTAATTTATGTGAGTCTCAGTCTTTTCACTTTTAAAAGAAGAAATAATGGTAGTGTCTACTTCATACAGTTATTGTGAAGAATGAATGATAATACAAGTAAAGTCCTTAGCACAGTGGTTAGCACATAATAAACACTCAGTAAATCTACCTGTGGTTTGGGGGCTGCCAGTTGCAGCATCTTCTGGTTTCTTACTTCCTCTGTCTCTCACCTGTACCACACCCAGATTATCATGGCATATTATTAATTCTTTCCATGCACAAAGGTCTTGCAGAAGGACCTCAATGGTTTATTACATCAGAGCACGCATAGTAGTGCAGATTCATATGTTCTGTCTCCAAATAGTAGATTACCATTGCCTTCCAGTGATGGCACTGTGTCCTTGAGTATTGGAAGAAAAAGGGAAGTAGCCCAAGTTCCTCCTTTGTGGATGACCTGGAGATACTCTCCTGAGTTTGACTGTAAGGTGAATCAAGAATATAGACAGGCATCCTTCATTGTTGGTCTTAATGCATGAGATGGATGACTTTATAACATGTAATGATGACCTAGGGTGAAGCTCAGATAGATTCAGAGGAAGACACAGACAACAGAAGTTGCAAACTGGTGGTCCACAGACATGCTTGGTTTGGCTTGAATAGTGTTTGAGGCAACAGTTTAAAACTGAAAAAAATCTTTAACTGCTGATCATGCCTTCCCGCATGCCAGCTACCGGTTGAGCTGAATGACAGATATTTCCTTTAGGTGGGGTGTGTGCTCTCTGTTCTGCCGCAGTCCCCACCATGCCCTGTTGCCCACCTCCCCCATGAAGACGAGTGACAGCTTTTTTGCTTTGCACTTGCACTGTTGTTTTTCCCACAGAGGGGAGATAATTCTTTGTTCTTTGTTTCTATCTGAAAGTAAAACTGCAAAAGAAAAAACCAAGAGCAACATAAGACCAAGTCTATTTTCCTTGGATTAAAGAATTTCTTATCCAGTTTCCCTAATTTTTCTTACTTACCGAGTCTCCGTAGACATTTGGGTCTGTAATCTCATAAACAGACATGGAAAAGGTGTCATTCTCCAAGATTATTCTATGTGGCTTTGGCCATATCTTTGTGTAAATGAAGCTCTTCTGAACCCGAACCATTGCATTGTCCAGGAACTGTTAGGAATTCATTTTCCCAGTAGCACTTTAGAAACAAAGGACCACTTCCCTTCCCTGGCACTTGCAAAACTCTTCTTGCAAGTGGATGGCAGCTGATGCTCCATTCCTTATCATTCCCCTTTGTCTCCTAAATAAGCATAAGGGGCAGGTTTCAGACACAGGCTTTGAGATTGTGTGTTCCTGTGGGTGCCTCAGCTCTTCTACTTTGAATTTGACCCTTAAATATACAGTAGTGTGGATGGAAGCTGGGGAATGAACTCTTGCCAACAGAAGATTTATAGTCTTATGAATGAGTAAATTCTAGATCTTTGGAGGTTGATTTAGAAAGAACGGTACTGTTAAATTCTGAGTGTTTTTGTTTCAGTGGGGTGGAGTTAGTAATAGCTTTTCCTTGTCCAATAGGAAGTGGGTAAATTGCCAAACCACTGAGATCACTATTGTTGACTCAGATTCAGGAATAAGATTAGCGTAGGAAAGCTGTCGAGTAACCCTGGAATTGGGGCTGGTTGTGATTCTGTTTGCTCTTGGCTGGTGAGGAGGCTATGAGTTGGTATAGCCAGTGGTCCCAGGATCCTGAATGTGTTGCTAAACCATATACTGCTTTCCATGGGCTGTTTTTAGGGGCCAGGGTTGGAGGAGATATGGTGTTGGGTAGCAACTTGCCCTGTAATAGATGGAGAGCTGTTTTCTCCATGGCTCCTGCAGTGTGAGAGGTGAGGTGCCAGCTTAGAGAAAATTCCAGATCCTCGTTCATGATTCTTAAGCAGATCCAGATTCTTAAGCAGATCCAGATTCTTAAGCAGATATAGCACTAAGGACATATTCAGAGTGAAAAGGAAGTGCTGTATTTTAAGTGGATTCTTAGGGTTGAGCTCTACAGAGGATTTTTAAGTCATTTGCTCCTTCTCTCATCTGGCGGGTGGAGGGAGCTCCTTGGCAGATTTTTTAGAATTTGCCAAAGACCCCTTCTCTGTTCTTATTAGTTATCAGATGTTAATTTTAAAAGGGAGTGGTAGGCCACTTTGTTGCGTTACTCAGGAGGAGAAAGGAAATGGCCATTATGTCAGTGCAGGTGTGTCCCTTCAGCCCTCAGCCCTGTGTGCTTTGTGGTAGAGGCATGAATTTCAGTGCTGTGTATGAGTGTGTTGGGAGTGGGAATCACACATGTCATTAGCACCTGTGGGTTGTTTCTTTTCCCTTTGAAACTATACACACCTGCCCTTCTGCAGCCGTAATTTTAACCTTACCCCATACTTACCATCCTGTTCCTGCTCACCCCACCTCTACCTGCCCCTGTGATTACAACTAATTTTTGGAGCATTCATCGTGTGCCTGACACTTTGAAATGCCGCATACACTTCTCATATAACCTTCCCAGCATGCCCTGAGGTGTAATCCTGGTAACGCTGGGAGACAAGTAATTGAACTGCTCTATGCTACTGTTCTTTAAAACATAGGTAATAAGAGTAGCACAGAATAGTTCAGTTGCTAGTCTGCCGTGGTTATACATCTAGGAAGCACTAGAATCAGGATAACTAGTGAGCCTAAGTTATTGATGAGAAGTCATAGCTCTTGGGTATTTAAAACGATTTTTACTGAGGTGTAATCACAGTAAAATGCATGACTCCAAAGTCTGTATTTTAATAACTTGTTATACACACACAACTGTGTAACCACCCAGATGAAGATATAGAATGTTTCTGTCACTCCAGGAGATACCCTTGTGCCCCTTCTCAGTCACTGCCCATATCTCTTTTCAAAAAAAAAAAAAAAATCACTCTTCTGACTTCTGTTGCCATAGATGAGTTTTGCAAGTATTTGAACATCATAGAAGTGGAGTCACACAGTCACATAATCTTTTGTGTCTGGTCTCTTTCCCTCATCATTATGTCTCTGAGATTCATTCGTGTTGTTGCATTTAGCAGTAGTTGACTCTTTTTTTAAAAAAATTGTTGTATGGTATGCCATTGTTCAAATATACAACAGTTTATCCATTTATCAATGGATATTTATTTGTTGTTGTTTTTGCAATTTTTGGCTATTCTAAATAAAACTGCAGGTATTCCTGAATGCGTCTTTTGGTGGACATATGCACTCATTTCTCTTGAGTATATATGTAGAGGTAGAATTGCTAGGTCATAGGGCAGGTTTATGTTTAGTTCTAGCAGATATTGCCAAAGTAGTTCCATCAACTTATTCTCCCATCAGCAATGTATGAGAGTCCCAGTTACTCTACATTTTTTGCCAGTATTGGTTATTGGTGGCCTTCTAATGCCCTCTATTCAGGAGGGTACTTGTTATATCTCATTGTGGTTTTAATCACATTTCCCTCATAAGTAATCAGTTTGGGCTCTATTTCTTAGCCTTATTGGCCATTTGGATGTCCTCTTTTATGAAGTGCTTATTCAAGTATTTATTGTATTGGGTGGTTCATTTTTTCTTACTCACTTGTAGGCATTCTTTACATATTCTGGATATGATTCTTGCAGGAGATAGATATTACAGATATCTTCTCTCACTCTGGTTTGACTTTTAATTTTTTAAATAAAAGTAATTAAGTAATTAAATTCATCTTTTGATGAGTGTAAGTTCTTCATTTTGGTGAAGTCCAATTTTTCAATATTTTTTCTTTATGATTAGGACTTTTTGTGTGTGTGTGTTTTTTTTTTTTTTTTTAAAACTCATTGCCTTTTCCATCTCTTGAGTATTTTAAGACAGATAAAACATGGAGAACCACTTCTATAGAAAGTAAGCCCCAGTTATTCTGGACGCTATTGAATTCTTGTTTTGGATTAGCTCGTTGCCTAGAGTAGCGTTGTAAGCCCTCATATTTATGAAGCACTTTAGGTTTTTACAGAGCTCTTTATCATTCAATCTCATTTAATCCCGTGCAGGAGCTCACTAAGGTGTTTGCAGAAGTGCATGGCTGATTTTGACACCAGAGGACTTGGGTGGTCAACGTGAGCTCTCTGGGGGCTGCGGTGCCATCACATTTGCCATGGCATTGTGCACAAGAGTTAAGGGTTGGAATGCCTGTGTTCACATCCTGGCTCTATTATCTTGCCAGCTCTGTGATTGTGGACAAGATACTTAACCTCTCTGAGCCTTGGTTTTCTCATCTGCTAAAGGGGAATAATAAGAATATACTTTTCTCATGATGTAGCTGTGAAGAGTGGGTGAATTAATTTATATATAGTGCTTAGCACAGCAACTGGCATATACTGCTGGGTTATAATTATTACTGTTCTTTTATTGTAGAGGGTCTAATAGGCTCACAATTCTTTGTAGAGGTAAAAAGAGCTCTGATATTTACTCCAATTTCTCTTTCATTGTTTTATATGTTCCCTTCCTCATTCCATATTATCCTCCTTCTTTTTTTATTTTGAGACGGAGTCTCGCTCTGTCGCCGGGCTGGAGTGCAGTGGCATGATCTTGGCTCACTGCAGCCTCCGCCTCCAGGGTTCAAGCGATTTTCCTGCGTCAGCCTCCCGAGTAGCTGGGACTACAGGCGTGTGCTACCACGCCCAGCTAATTTTTGTATTTTTTAGTAGAGACAGGGTTTCACTATGTTGGCCAGGATTGTCTGGATCTCTTGACCTCATGGTCCGCCCACCTCGGCCTCCCAGAGTGCTGGGATTGATGTTAGTCACTGCGCCCGGCCTATCCTCCTACTTTTAATCTCTCTCTTCTCTGTCTCCCCTGCCCTGCCCATTTTTTGCTATGAAGAACCACATGCATTTCAAACATGAATTAAATTGACATCCTGTAAGAGAAGGTCTCAAAGTATGTTATTGTATAGGAACTGACATGGAAAGTGGAGGGTCGTTGAGGGTTTTGCTTGTTTTATTTTGTTTTGAGGGATAGTTGTTAGTAGGGACATAAGGAAGGTAAATATGGAAAGAAAGTTATTGTTTTACTCCAGAATAAAGATAGTTCACCCTTTTTATCTTGGTTCTTGGAAATTCACATGCAAGACATGTGAATCCGTCCCCTACCCCACTTCCCCTGTAAAAGGGAACAAGACCACATGTGGAAAAGAACTTGTATTTTGATATTTCTTCTTGGAATGAAAACAAATCCTGTTGACTTTCCTGGTTACCAAGGCCAAGTGGCCCACCCTTCACAGCCTCTGAGGTTGTCGAACTTCCTCTGTGGCTTGGGGTGGAAATCTCACACTGTGTGCCATGAAGTTGATGTAATATATGTGAGCCCCTGAGACCTTGGTATGTAGACAGCTCTTGTGATCTCACTGTTTGCTGGTGAGCCACTAGCAGGAAACGAACTAGAGACATGTTGGCTCCTTGACCTCACTGCAGAAAGGAGGGTAACTTTGCTCTCTAGGGCAGGGGGAACAGGAAGGAAAAGAGTAGGGATGGAGTGGACAGCCCAGGGTGTGGGCCTCAAACTTAACTCTGCATCAAGATCACCTGGGGAGTTGGTTAAAATCCAAGTTCCCAGGCACAGCCCAGTTCAGATTGAGTAGAGTGGGGTTGGGCTGGAATCTCCATGTTAAGGGAATGTCTGATTCTGAAGCAGGTGGTACAGGAGCAGCACCTACAGTAACACTCAAAGACCCAAAACCGGGGACTTGAGAGTTCTGCAATAGACAGTAGCTGCAGAGGCTTTTTGTTTCAAAGCTATTAAGACGTCATACTTGGTCTTTAGAGAAAGGTGGAAGGGTGGAATCAGTTCATTGTGCCCTTAAGCCACAGGGTCAGTTCTGTGGAGCCACCACTGTCAGCAGTCTGCAGATATCCACTGAGTCTGGCACACTGAATGGGCTGATGGTGGGAAGTGGGCACTTGGTTGGGTCTGAGAATGAGAATTTCTGAGAAGAGGAGGGAGAGTCCTGGAAGGTGCTCATGGAGAGAAGAGTTATTCCATCTTCTGAGTCATCTTTGTATTGTGGTGCCAGTCCCAGTGTGACCTTCATGGGAATGACCATCCTCTTGGGATCAGTGTTCCACCATCATCAACACGCCCACTCATCTAGCTGCCCACGCCTCCCACCCACATACAACCCCACTCCCCTTTCTGTCTCTTGCTTGTTTTCTCACTCCCTTCTCTTGCTCGTTTGCATGCTTTCCCTCTGTCTCTCCCGACCCACACGCATTTACACCCTCACACATTCACACCCCTACCCCATGCCCCTTGTATCCTCAACCTGTCTGTATTTACATGCCCACGGCTCTAAATTTTTAAGGGGATGTCAAGGAATGGTTAATGAAAAGAATCAAATGTGACTTTTAAATTATGTTAAACACAAATAGGTTTAGCATATTCATTGGAACTATAGCTATAAGCCAGAAGCAGAGATGATGGGTGGGTGAGAATGACCAGGCTTGGGTGCATATGGGGCCCAGGCTTGTGCTGCTCAGGGTGTTGCTCAGCCTGTGTGGTTTTAATACCATATTGTTGTATGATCATTAGCAGTGTTTGTGTACTCAGACAGGAATCGGACTTTAGTTCTTGCTCAGTGGACCTCTTCCTCCTTTTTAGGCTGTCTCAAATTTTAAAGAGGATGGTTTTAACTAGCAATTCTTAACTTTTTGAGGGTTGCAGTTCTCTTTGAGAATCTGACAGACAATTTGAATTGTTTCTACAGAAAAATCCACATACATTTGAGGGAGAGGAGGAGGTGGTTTGGGGACACTCTGGGATCTATTTTCACCCTAAATGAAGAACTCCTGCTTTAATGGGCATAGAGGGCTTTCAGCCGCTTCTCCCAAGGTCGTTTTTATGGCGCAGTCTCTTTTTCTTGCGGAGTACCATTTGTGATGGGAACTGAACAAAACCCATTTGATATTGTATGCATGTCTTCTGGAGGGCTTGTGCTCAGTTTTAGAGAGCAAGCAGATTTCAGTGAGTGAAATGATCTCATGCATGTAAAGCACTTAGCACCTGACATGATTAAGTATTCATTTTTAAAAAATACTGTGCACATTTAATCATAACTACCAAGATGATGACCACCATAAAACTTCTCCATGTCTGAAGCAGTTTAGAAGCAGTGGACTAGATATTAGGAGACAAGCATGCCTCCAGGTTGGATATTTTCTCCTCTTTTTTTTATCTTGAGTCCAGTAATTCCATTCACTTCCACAAACATTTATTGCATTTCTACCGTGAGTAAAATACTCTGTTAAGCGTTTTGAGGTCTAGAAATGAATAAGATTTCAAGGAATTGAACAACGTCTAAAGGCATCACTTAACTCCTCTACGTCCCTTACCTGTAAAATAGGATCATGTCTTCTGTGTTTCTGCCTCTCTGAGGGAGATGGGCTGACTGAGAGGAATTTGGGCCATCCTTTCTGAGAGTAGAAGGTGGCTTAGTAAAGCCGAGTGTTTTGCCCCTCTTTGTGTTGTTAACCTTAGCAGCCACTGACTCTTTTGAGTGGATGTTTAAGATTTGCCTTCACCAATCTCTCTACATGTGGCACTGGTTTCATATCCATGTCCCTCCTTTCTCTGCAGGCCAGGGGTTATCACCATGCAAGCTTTGTCGGAAGAGGACCGGAGGCTCTGGATGGAAGCCATGGATGGCCGGGAACCTGTAAGTAACAATTCAGGGAAGTAGAGCAAGAATGAAGGCCCTGAGTTGTTTGTTGCTTCCCTAGTGCAGTGATTTTTGCTGCTGTTCTAAAGCCTTGGGTTCTTGAAACCAGTGTACCAGAGGTGGTTTTTTATTCCTAGGTTTATGTTTGTGGATATTGATATTGCTTCTGTATAGATGTAGTTCTTGAGCTTTGGCCTCTCTGTCCTAAGGCATGGCTTCTGCATAGAATTACACCAGAACTCCCATCTTTTATCATTGACTTCTGGTTCAGCCTCCCGTAGTAACTTACCTCCCCTTATAAGCAGCGGGACATTATCAGGATGGATGGAGGGAGGTGAGCCTGGTAATATGATCCCTGCTGCCATTTCAGCGATGCTGGCCTCAGCTGGGTGATGTAATCTTGTAGTTGTTCTGCATCTTGTGACGTGTAAAATCCATAAGAGCCCTGGAATCACTGTAGTCGTCTTATCTTAGTTCCAAGGATCTCAACTCCAGTGTTCAGCAAATCTCAAGGTTGCAGAAATTGTAAGAGTACAGTCTAACTATGTGCCACCAACAAAAGAGAAAAAGAATCTACAATGCCAGAGGGCCAATAATTGATACTTACACAGGTACTGTCCAAAGGGAGGAAATGTGTGCAAGGAAGAAGTAGGCCATGGGCTCCATTGACTATAGAACTCTTTGCGTCAGGCTGGATAATGCCAGCTGATTTGTGTGTGTCTTTCTCAGCTTACCCTGATGAGGTGGTCTGGCAACATAGATTATGTACCTTTCTACTCAGCCATATTTTATACAAACATGGGACGTAGTCAACTAGGCATAAAGAAATAGCTAGTATTGTATGACATTTAATAATATAGAGCAAGATCTCTTAAAGATTTAAATAACTGATGATTTAGGCACAGTTTGCTAAACTATAATTAAGCATTGTTTAATCTTAATTCTTCTCCTGGGCTAAAATATAAGATAGCTCTGATTATCTCTGTATACGTTGTTACCCATAGGAACCCTCAAAACCAGATACACATTTCTACCTTTGAGGCTTTATGGGCACAATAGCTATTTGATGTCAAAGGCCTTTGAAAGAAGCTTCCTAAGTAGGTCTTTCTTTTTGCTAGCATTATCTACCATTTGTTGAGCACATTTTTACATGTTAGGCACAGGACTGAGCACATTACATCTCTTAACCTGTTTATTTCTCTTAGCACTTAATGAAATAAGTGCTGTGATTCCATTTTATAGATAAGTAAACTGAAGCTTAGGGAGGTTAAGTAACTTGCCCCAAGTAGCACAGATAGTAAATGGCTATATTAGTAGGGTACAGGCTAGGTTGCTATTAACAGAGAGACTCTGAAGTACGGTGGCTTATGTAAGATAGATAAGTGTATTTCTCTCTTAGAGCCGAGAAGGGAGGAGTCCATGCCTAGTAGGGTCATTCTGCTATCCTCAGCCCATGGCTTCCCACATTGCTCCAGTCATTGCCATTTTCCAGCCAGAAAATGAGGATGAAAGCATTTCGAAGGACCCAGAAGATGCACATGTCACTTCCATTGGCTCAAACATAATGGTACAGCCATATCTACCTGCAAAGCAGGCTGGGAAACCTAGGCTGTACATAGGCAGTCATGGGCCCTGCCAGGACCCTGGACATGTTATTACTTCAAAGAAGAAGAGGAGAAAGGATACTGTGAATAGTTGGCAGTCTCCATCCTAGTGGCAAAGCTAGAATTTGACCCATGTCTAATCCTAGACATATTTGGTTTTCATCTTTAATGGAGATAAAATTTAAAATTGCCTTCGAAAAATTCTCAGTTCATTTTTACAGTACTTTCACTCACTCCCTTGAATGATTCTTCAACTCATAGGGGAGGAAGTGCCCAGGAAGAACAATCCTGTATGGGATTCTATTCTTGGTATGGGCAAAAAAAAGCCAAATTACAACAACAAAAAAACCCAAACCCACTACTGTCTCTCCCCCTGCCTCCAATAAGCTGGAGTTCTAAAACTGCCTCACCAATTAATTCCATTTTAAGTCTCCCCATCCTCTCTCCCCACCACTTAGATATTTGTTCTCTGTCTGCGTATAATTGGTCTTCTTACTAACCACTTCAGTTTTCCTGTAGATTAACATCTGGCCTCTGCAGATGGAAAGTGTGCTGTTGAAAGAAACATCTTCTTGCTCCAGAATGTACAAATGAAAACAAGTTTAAACACAAAATAATTTTGTTTCTAAACATGATATAAAATTATTTCCTCACAGGAACATATAGCTTGCACTGAAAACCACACTTCTGTGTGCTTTTTAGTTTCCTAAAGAGAGAGATAAATATAGACAAATGATGTCTGTGTAATTGACAGTAATACTAGGCTTAATTTTGTCTCCCATTGCTGAAAGCCTCTAGGGGACATTACTAGAGATATATGTCCAGTAGACAATTAGCAGCTCCAGCTTTAATCACCATCTCCCTAATGAGTTAAATCTGTCCCCGTGGGAGCTTTGGATTTCTCTAGTTAGCTCTTTCTCTAGTCGGTGTTAGTGTCGTTGCCTTATTTCAGGGAGCTGTTATAGTGGCAACTATTTCCTGTTTTATACTTCTATCTCAGTTGTTCTTTGATGGATTATTTGGTGTTGGTGGATTTTTTTTTTTTTTGGAGGGGGTTAATTTTAGTTTCTGTTCTTTTTGTTCTTTCATTGTCCAATAATACCTTAGGATGGTTGGTTGAAAAACAAAGAAAAACTAAATGAGTCCCAAATCAGTTGATTTTGCAACATTTCATTTTTAAATGTTAAATTTAGTTTTAGCATTAAATCATACTTTTTTAATACACAGTCATATCCTAGTCTAAAGAAATGTTGAATGTCTTTATGGTGTCGATGGACATATAATGGAGGAAGAAATTAGAATTGTCTTCCTACAATAAGCATTATGGATTTTATCTACGTAGTAAATTTGAATTATTTTAATTCAAATGTGGGAAACTCAATTCAAACTTGAAGAAAAGCTGGATTTATTGGGTTACATAACTGAAAAATACTGGAGTCTAATAGTCTGTGGCTCATCCGAATCTGGGAACTTACATAATATTTGGAGTTGGTTTCCTCTTTTGTATTGGCTTCATTTTCCAACACGTTCTTTTCAGAGTGGTGAGATGCTTCCTTACTATTCATTCCAAGCTTACATCTTATTATTAAAAACATGGGTCAGTAACCTTTTTCTGTAATGGGCCAGATAGTATTTCAGGCTTTGTGGGCCATGTGGTCGCGATTGCAGCTACTAACTTTGCTGCTGTGGCTAAAAAGCTGCCATGGACAATATGTAAATGAATAGGTATAGCCTTGCTTCAGTAAAACTTTATTATTTACAAAAACAGATGGCTGGCTTGATTTGGGTCATGGGCCATACATAGTTTGTTGATCCCTGATCTGTAAGTCTAGTGGAAAGAGAGCTTTTATGTAATCATTCCAAGAAAGTTCTTTAATTGGATTTTATTGGACTAACTACTTGGTCCAGAGGCTAGGATGGATGAATTGACCAGAACTTACTCATGTGCCCATTGCACTGGAGCTGTATAAATGATGGCAGAAGGTCATCTTCCTCTGAGAGAAAAAGCATTGTTGTATGAGGGAAGGAGGTAGACACTAGTCAAGAAAAGCAGCACAGTTTCTACTTACTCTCAGATGTATGTTCCTTTAAATTTTATGTTCAGAAAACTTCCTCTTTGAAACTTGGCCAAGGGGGGAAATGCCAAGTTTACCGCTAACATCATAATTAGGGTAAAAGACTGAATGCTTTCCCTCTAAGACTAGGAACAAGTTGAGGGTGTTTGCTGTCACCACTCTTACTCAGCAGAGGACTGGAAGTCCTAGTCAGTGCAGTAGGGCAAGAAATTAATATAACAGGCATACAGAGTGGAAAGAAAGGTATACAACTGCCCCCACTTTCAGATAACACAATTGTCTATGTAGAAAATCCCAAGGAACACACACACACACACACACACACACACACACACACACCCCTTCTATAATTAGTAGGTGAGTTCAGCAAGGTCACAGGATACAAGATAGACATATGCACAAAATCAATCATATTTCTGTAGATTAGCCATAATCATATGGTGATCAAAGTCAAAAGTGTAACACCATTGATAGTCAGTCTCCCCAAAAATGAAGTGACTAGGTATAAATCTAATTAAGCATGTAGAGGGCCTGTGTGTTGGAAATTACAAACTGCTGCTGAAAGAAACTAAAGAGGATCTGAGTAAATGGAGAGACATTAATGGGTTGGAAAAATCAACATAGTAAAGATGTCAATTCTCCCCAAAGTGATTATAGGTTTAATGCAATTCCTATTAGAATCACAGCAAGATTTCTTATAGATACAGACAAGCTTGTTCTAAAATTTATATATAAAGGCACAGAAACCAAAATAGATAAAACAATTTTAAAAAAGAAGAATGAATTGGAAGTAGTCTGTCTACCCTATTTTAAGACTTTCTTTTTAGTGACAGTAATCAAGACTGTGGTATTGACAGAGGGATAGACACGTAGATCAATGGAACAGAATAAAGAACCCAGAAATAGACTCACACAAATATGCCCAATTGATTTTTGACAGAGGTGCAAAAGCAGTTCAATGGAGGAAGGATAGTTTTTTTGAGAAATGGTGCTTTTTAGAACTAAACATCCATAGGAAAAAAAAAAAAAGCCTTGACTTAAACCTCATATCTTATACAAAATTTAATTCAGAATGGATGACAGATCTAAATGTAAAATGTAACACTTGAAAACTTTTAGAAGAATGTGTGGAATCTAGGACTAGATGAAGAGTTTTTAGATGCAATGCGGAAAGCATACACAACCCATAAAATAAAAAATGGATAAAATTTTCTTCATCAAAATTAAACGCTTTTGCTTTGTGTGTGAAAGACCCTGGTAAGAGGATGAAAAGGCAGTCTACAGAATGGTAGAAAATATTTGCAAAAACATATATCCGATAAGGGACTTATTTACATCTAGTTCTTTTTTAGATCTAGGATTAAATAAATAAATAAATAAATAAGAACTCTCAAAACTTAACAGCTAAAGAGAAACAGTCCAATTAGAAAAAGGGCAAAAGACACAAGGAGACATTTTACCAAAGAGAATATGGCGAATAAGCACAGGAAAAGATGTTCAATATCATTAGCCATTAGGGAAATGCAATCTAAAACCACTATGAACTATCACCTTCTAGAATGACTAAAATTAAAAGTAGTGAAAATACTGAATGCCGGCAAGGATGCAGAGAAACTGGATCTTCTGTACACTGCTAGCGGGAATGTAAAATGAAACAGCCATGCTGGCAAGTCACTTGGCAGTTTCTAAAACTAAATATTGCTGTTACTCTATGACACAGCAATTGCTCTGGGGCATTTAATCCAGAGAAATGAAAACTGTTCGCACAAAAACCTGTATGCATAAACCTCCCTCATAGCAGCTTTATTCATAATAGCTTGAAACTGGAAGTACTACAGATGTCCTTTAATGGGTGAATGGTTAAACAAACTGGTACATCCATGCAATAGAATACTGTTTGGCAATGGAAAGAAATGAACTATTGGTACACAACAACCGGGTGCATCTTAGGAGCATTATGCTAAATGAAAAAGGCCAGTCTCAAAAAAAAATATACTTTAATTTTGTAACATTTTTGAAGTGACAGTTTTAGAAATGGAGAATGGAATAGTGATATCCAGGGTATACGGACATTGGAAGTAGGAAGCAACTATAAAGGGGGTAGCACAAGCAAGTCCTTCGTGGTGATGGAATAGTTCTGTGTTTTGATCTTGGTGGTTAGTTATATGAAACCATATTAAAGTAGTTATGAGAAACTGCAGCAAAGTATATGTGTATACTTCTGTACAATCCTACATACACACAGATGAACTCATGTCAAAACTGATGGAGTTTGAACAACGAGTATAGTCTAGTTAACAATATTGTCCTAGTGACAATTTTCTGGTTTTGATGCTATGTTATAGTTTTAAAAGATAGTATCATTGGATTATGGGGGGGGAAGTAGGGCAAAAGAGTCACAGGACACTACTATTTTTATAATAGTATGAAATTATAACTTTAAAAAACAACAAAGTTAGCTATTCAGATAGTCAGATAAAGCTTTGAAATGATTCTGCTGGATTTTTTCACTTTCTGTTAAATCTGGGTTGACAAACAATAGGGTCACTGTTGCAACTCCATAAGCTTTTGTTTTACTTTTGTGTGGCCATTGTCTAAGGCTTGGGAACAGATGACTTTTCATATTAAATTGGACACGGAAACCTTAGTTCAGACTGCATAAATACCACAGCTCAGGAAAATTTTAGAGACAGCAGAGTTTCTTTGGCGAGTTTCCAATAACTAAAGTTGTCTCTCCTTTTCTCATTGCATATTGCTGGTAAGCATGTTTGCTAAAAGAAAGTAGAATAGAATTTCTACCAGCCCATCATCATTGCCAACATATACACACCCAACTTGAAGTATTTAATATCCATCTGCTATGGAAAAGATGGCTCAGGAAGCCAGGGGGACTGAGTGATCCACAGCTTCAGGGCTTGCGTAGCCTCTTAAAACTGCATTTCCATATATCCCCTTAGCTGTGATTAGTGGTGTCTTTCTGCAACTGCTTATATCGCCTCCTTATTTTAGATGTATTAGTCCTCCTTCACATTTCAAGGATTCTTTAGTTAAATAAAATATTTCTCCACTTTGAGCTGGTACTTGAATCTCTTTCGACAGCCACAAGTTTTGAAGGTTGGCAGATGCTAGAATTAGGTGGAATTAGATTAAGAAGGTAAGAAACAGATACTTTAGCATCAACAATTGTGTGTAAGTCTGTGTATTAGGAAATCACCACTCTTGTAGGTCAAAAATAGCCAGATATTGGCAATTTCTTATGGCTCCATTCATAGCTGTGGAGCAGGAAGAAGCAAGCCCACACGTAAGTCAATATCATACCCTTATTTATGGAAGAGGGAACACTGCCTAAAAAAGGCTGGTAATTGGTTGATCTCGGATAGATGATTCAGGTCTCTTAGCTTCCAGTTCTGTGCTATTTTTGCGCAACACACAAAAAATTGCTGCTGAATTGTTAGGAAGTCACAGTTGAATGGTATCAACCTTTACTTTTTAAGTAGAGTTACTCTGCTGTGGCTACTGCAGTGGATGAAGGGAAAAGAAGGAAGAGGCTAAGGAAAAACCACTCCTCTAGTAAAAGACAATGTTACTTCCTTCTGCTCACCTCCATTTTAAAGATATCTTCTGTTTTCGTCTTTGTGGACTTTGGGGCTGAACAAAATGTGTCTTCTCTCACCTTTCTCTACCGTGCCCGAGCTCTAACCCCCTAGTCCTTCTAGAACTCCTGGAATAAATGGGCAATTGCATTGCATATGTTCTGCATCTAATATCTGAAAGAGTGAGCTGTGAAAAGTTTTTAAAGGGAAAAGTAAGATTGATTACTGTTAAGATGAGCTCTCAGGATTAGAAGCAGAATGTTATGGTGGTTAAGAATGTGCACTCACACAGCCCAAGTTTAAATCCTACACCACTGCTTATTGGCAGTCTCAAATTGGAAAATGACAGTCTCTCTGAGCAGGTTTCCTCACCTGCAAATTGTGATAATAATAGCCCCTACCTCATAAGAGTGCTTTGTAAGGATCAACCTATATGTAAATGCCTGTACATGGCAAAGTGATCATTTAAAGCTAGTTCTTACTATTGTCTTTTTGGAGAGGAAGATGGATATTGGGATACCTGGGTTCTATTTCTAGCTCTGTTTTTAAATTACTTGATTCACTTAGCTCAAGTCACCTTGTTCCAGTTCACCAGAGTGCAGGGCAGGGACTGCTTTCAATAGTATGGAAAATGTGATTTCGTTTAGCAGTCAGTGTGAACTTTCAGGATATGACTGGAGGAGCAGGAAGTAATCTTTAGCCTCCTTTGCTATGATGCATCCCAGGCCTAGCAGTTCATAATCCTGCTGTATGCTAACCTCAGCTCACCAGTCTGCGGCTGACACTTGCGTTTTCCTTTCTTTGTTAAAATAAGTGATTGAAAGAGTATGGATAGTTAGGAAGGTATGGGGTGAGCTTGCTAGGCTCTAGTGTGACGATGCAGGCCTCAGTCCTTTCTGAGCTTTCTTTTTATTTATTTAATTTTTTTTAACTTTTAGGTTCAGGGGTACATGTGCAGGTTTGTTATGTAGGTAAACTTGTGTCATGGGGTTTTGTTGTACAGATTATTTTGTCACCCAGGTACTAAGCCTAGTACCCAATAATTACTTTTCCTGATCCTCTCCCTCCTCCCGCCCTCCACTGTCAAGTAGGCTCCAGTATGTCCATGTGTTCTCATTTAGCTCCCACTTATAAGTGAGAATATGGGATATCTGGTTTTCTGTTCCTGTGTTAGTTTGCTAAGGATAATGACCTCTAACTCCATCTGCATTCCCCCAAGGGGCATGATCTTATTCTTTTTTTATGGCTGCATAGTATTCCGTGGTGTATATTTACCATATTTTCTTTATCCAGCCTGCTATTGATGGGCATTTAGGTTGATTCCATGCCTTTGCTATTGTGAATAGTGCTGCAGTGAACATATGCATGTATATGTCTTTATGGTTAAAGAATTTGGCCAGGTGCGGTGGCTCATGCCTGTAATCCCAGCACTTTGGGAAGCCGAGGTGGGCAGATAACGAGGTCAGGAGATCGAGACCATCCTGGCTAACACGGTGAAACCTGGTCTCTGCTAAAGATACAAAAATTAGCTGGGCATGGTGGCGGGTGCCTGTAGTCCCAGCTACTCGGGAGGCTGAGGCAGGAGAATGGCATGAACCCAGGAGGCGGAGCTTGCAGTGAGCCGAGATCATGCCACTGCACTCCAGCCTGGGCGACTGAGAGCGACTCCATCTCAAAAAAAAAAAAAAAAAAAAAAAAAAGAATCTATATTCCATTGGGTATATACCCAATGGGATTGCTAGGTCGAATGGTAGTTCTGTTTTAAGTTCTTTGAGGAATCGCATTACTGCTTTCCACAATGGTTGAACTAATTTACACTCCCATCTGCAGTGTAAATTGTGTTCTCTTTTCTCCACAACCTCACTAGCATCTGTTATTTTTTCACTTTTTAGTAATAGCCATTCTGACTGGTATGAGATGGTATCTCATTGTAGTTTTGATTTGTATTTCTCCAGTGATCAGTGATATTGTGAACTTTCTTTTTAATATCACATACTATGAATGGGTGAAGAGTCTGAAAGTGAAATCCCCAGTGTGGTTTCTGTTTCCCCGTCTCCCATGCTCACCCACCCCTGATGGCTAGGAAATTACATTATATGCTTCATATTATTTTGTTTGCGTGTCTTTTCCTCTAACTGAATCAAGAAGCCAGTTGCAAGCTTCATTTTTGTGTCATGTGAGTGCTTTTATTTAGGTGGACTTCATAATAGGTGCATATGATATCACATCAATGCACTGAAGTCTTACATTTAATAATATTCACTTATGTCCTTGTTCTCTTTGGTTAGATTATTCAGAAGAACAATTTCTCATGAAAATTAGGAAATATTTAATTAACCAACCTGAGTTACAAGGTTGGAGAAAAGAGAAAGAGGTCAGTTAAAATTGTTTTATGTTAGAGAGTTGATGAAATTTTCTAAGAAATGGAAATTTTGATAGCCAGAGAATTTTTGCTTGAACTTTATGACTTATATATGTTGGTGGCACTTACTCAGGTCTTAGACATTCTTCTTTCAACATTGAGCAAATATATTTAGATTGTCCAGCAGTCACTTTGATGGGTAGTAAAGATACTAAGATGAGGATCGGTCACATTAACAGAAATTTCTTTTTTTTTTTGCTGTACTTTCCCCATTGCCCAGCACAGTGGCTGGCAGAGTAAGCATTCAGCAAGTATTTGTTAAACAACTAGAGTCAAAACTAAAGGGAAGGGTGGAGGATGACCAAAATTGTTTCTTAGGGAATTGAGTTGCCTTCGTTATCTGAGACCTGAATTCCTTGATTTTATGGTTTATCTTGACACATATTTACTTACTTGTACCAGAATTTAGCTCAGAGATTACATTTTTTGTGCCATGGATACATTTGGCAATCAGGTAAAGCCTTTAGATACTTTCTCAGAATAATGCTTTTACATGTATAAAATAAAATACATGGTTACAAAAGAAAAAATTATATAGAAATATAGTTATCAAAGTATTAAAACATTTATGATACAATAAACATGAAATAAGATATCTGGGCAGGTGTGATAACTTCTGTAAGTGATATTTTGGGCTGTGTGCCTATACAGTAATGCTACATGGATTTCTGCTGGTGACAAAGTCACAAGTACTACTGTGGTGTGTTGCCTGCATTCATATTTGAAGGAAACAATAAATTTAGAAGTTAATGAAAATAAAAAGGTTTTTTGTTCCCACTCTCTAAGTTCATGGACTCCCTGTATCCTCTCTCTAGACCTCACTTCTTCATTTCTTTGCAAATATATTTAGAGACTTTTCCTATGAAGTGCTTAACTCAGCCAGGAATTATACATTGATTAGTGGGACTATTTGATTAATGTCTGTCTGCCTGCTGGATTGTGATTGTGGTGGGTTTTTGTTGTTGTTGTTGTTTTGGAGACAGAGTCTCACTCTGTTGCCCATGCTGGAGTGCAGTGGTAGGATCTCAGCTCACTACAACCTCTGCCTCCCAGGTTCAAGCAATTTTCCTGCCTCAGCCTCTGAGTAGCTGGTATTACAGGCACGTGCCACCACACCTGGCTAATCTTTTGTATTTTTAGGAGAGACGAGGTTTCAACATGTTGGCCAGGCTGGTCTCAAACTCCTGGCCTCAAGTGATCCACCTGCCTTGGCCTCCCAAAGTTCTGGGATTACAGGCGTGAGCCACTGCACCTGTCCTGGATTGTGATCTTGAAGTGATAGGAACACGTGTGTTGTTTTTTTGTTTGTCTTTGGTGGCTTTGGCTCATAGTATCTGGCACAGAGTAAGTGTTCACTAAATATTTGCCAAATCTTTAGATAAACCTAGGGAATATTAAAGTATGGTTGGCTTGGCATGACTTCCTATCTGAGACTGGTTCCTGAAGATTCCCTGCTGTCTTAATCCATTCAGGCTGCTATCACAAAATACTATAAACTGGGTAGTATAGAAATATGTATTTATTTCTTACATTTTTGGAGTCTGGGAAATCCAAGATCAAGGCACCATCAAATTTGGTGTCTAGTTAGGGCCTATTTTCTGATTCATAGATGGCACCTTTTATCTCTGTCCTCACACAGTAGAAGGGCAGGGCAGCTCTCTGGAGCTTCTTTTATGAGGGCACCCATCCCATTCATGAGGGCTCTGCTGTCATGATGTAATCACCCCATAAGGCCCTACTTTCTGTTATCATCACATTAATTATTAGGTTTGCAACACATGAAATTTTTTGGGGGAAGGCACACACATTTAGACCATAATGCCCACCTACCTTTAAGGATATTTAGAAATCCACTGTTCATTATTCTAACTTCTTTATTAATTTATCAGTTCTAAATATAGCACAAAAGCCCCTTTGATTGTCCTTAGCATTTTTTGCAAGCCTCAGATCATTGTTGATTTTATCTTCATACCACTACCTTTATAGGCTTGAGCACCTCTTATTTTAATTTTGATTACATGTACTTCTTTAATCTTTTGCCATTATTTTTGTTTATATTAGCTTAACCTTTGGGGAATAGGATTAGTTGTGAGACTTTTTGAACCTTCTTAATTTGCTTGAATTTTTCATAATGCACGTTAATTTTGTTATTAAACAAAAATCCTACTGGTGGGGGTTCCTGTGAGTCTCATTTATTCTTTACCCATCTAAAGAATGACTTTTTCTTTGTCATTGGCATTAGTTGCAATTATGTAGTCATGCCTGGGTTTGTAGAGCCTCCTATCCTCAGCTCTAATGTGAGGGAGAAGTCCCTCTCTAGAGTTAAAAGTGTAGTGTGATTCCCTCCAGAGCTTCTCCTGTGTGTTTACTCCTATACCTGCACATCTAGAAATAAACCCTTCTGTTGTGTAGCATTTTTGACATAATAATAGCTTTAGTAATAGATTATTAGGCCTTTAGTCTTTTACATTTAGGTTGTTTTCAGCTTTTGATGACATCATTATGAACAACGGCTTGGAAATCCTTGTATGAACTTCACTGTTTACTGTTTTGAACATTTTTCTAGGATACATATCAAGTGGAATTACTAGGTTGAATGGTATGCATATTTAATATTCCAGTAGATATTGCCAATAGATAGCCCCACAAAAAAGCACCAAATTGTGCTCCTTCCAGTCACTTATGAGGGTGCCCATTTTCTCCACACCTTTGCCACTTCTGCATTTGATGAGCCTGTAGGTGTATTTATATGTGTGTGTATCAACCTGAGAGTGGAAAATTGTATCTTGTTTTCATTTGTGTTTCTCAGATTACTAATGAGATTGACAATCTTTTCTCATGTTTATTGGCCGTTTCTATTTATCCTTTTTTATACAAAAATGTATGTAAGATACTTAGAACAGTGTCTGGCACATGATTCATGCCATGCAAAGTAGTAGTATTCCTTGCTTGAGTTTCTGGCCTTGGGATTATACCCATTGTTTTACTCAGTTCTGCTTCTAAAAGCCCAAGGTACAAACCTAAGTTTCGCTTGTGTTCTTTCCTTAACTGATTAGAATTCTCCTGCTTTATCCTGGCTGGTGTATCCTGTTTTCTAGCAGCGCCGCCCCCTCCCCAACCCCATTGCTCAGATTTGGAGCAGTGAGCAACAGAGGGTGTGGCAGCCAAATGTGCACTCCTTACCTCTCACCTGGGCTGTCCTCATTCACCAGGCTGTGTGATTCGACAGGGAACCCACTGATCCTCTGCATCTCTCTGACAACAGCCAGTAACTTGTTGTATTTCCCCCAGTGCTACCAAGTCCTTTCTAACTCCCGAGTAGAAAGTACCCCATCCCATCTCAAGGAGCCACAGGAGCTACCATGTCTAACCAATGCAAGAGTTCTCAGCTTAGAAAAGCTCCCTGAGGGATATGGGTCTCTGCCTGGCTGACGTGTGTGCTCTTTCAGCCTTTCTACCTGTGCTTCTATCTCAGAGAAGAGATGGAAGATGCCTGCCACTCACTATACCTATTCTATTCTAAAGGGCAGTCTCTGTTCTGCCTGCTCTCTTTTTGTTAACGCTACACACAATTTTATATTTTCTGGAAGTTCCTTCCTCCATTTTTGTGGCCTAGGTTAACTACTGCCCAGTCTTCTCTGAGGAGGTTGGTGTGAGGGAGGCTGCAACGTTGAAGGTTTCTATCGCCAGCTGGTTGCTCATTTGATTCAGAATTAAGGCCAAATTAAGAGTTCTCTATTTTGTTTCCTCCATCTGGAAGATGATATTTTGGCAAGTCAAGAATTTATCAGAGGCTTGGTTGTGTGTGTGTGTTTGCATTAGCTCATTAAAAGTTTTTTTTAAACTTTTTATTTTGAAATAATTTCTGACATAAAAATGTTACAAAAATATTACAAAGAATTCCAGAATACTTTCCACCCAGATAACCTAAATGTTAGTGTCTTACATAACACAGTACAATGATCAGACCTGGAAATTAACACTGATACAATATTATTATCTATTTTACAAGTCTTAAATTTTGCCAGTTATCTCACTAATATATATATTTTTCTGGTCCAGTGTCTTTTATCCCAGATCACATATTGCAATTAGTTGTCACATCTCCTCAGTCTCATTTAACCTGGAACAGTTAGAGGCTTGGCTTTTTAAAGGAACATCACCACTAGCTGATGTCCAGATAGTTGAACATCAGGAGAGCATCCTATCTCTGTTCCCATCTTGCAGTGTATCTGGGAACTGTTGTCACTATCCTCCCTTCATCTAGGTAATAATTCATACATTTCCATAATCAAACCACTTAAGTTTCTCTCTCTGCATCTTCTAAAGCCTCTCTGACATATATTCAATCTCAGTTTTGTAGATTTCCTTGTAATACATCTATTGCTTTTGAACATTGTATCTTCTACCCTATCTACTCACATCATATATTCTTCCTTATACAGTTTGTTATCTGTATTGTAGTTGTTGGTTTAAAGACATTTGAGGCCATAATATGATCTTACTAGACATTCCGAGCTGTGACCTCTCACCTCCAGCAACAGCACCAGTTACATTGACCCTCTTTCAGATATTGGGCAGTGATTTGTGGGAGTGGAGATTATGGTTGGATTAGCTTCAATTTTTTTTTTCTTTGTGGGAAATGCAATTTGCAAAAGAAAGTTCTTATAAGAGTGAGACTTTGTTCATTTGAAGAATGATGGAGCTGGCTTTTCTGTCAATTTCTGCAGCTTTTTCTTATTCTCCAAAAACCAGAAAGTGGTAATATTTGTTAGTGATCAAATCAAAGATGATATTTAAAAACACATGTTGACAGGAGGACCTAGAGGCATTATGAGTATTAGAAAGTCTGCAAATTAGGTTGTTTGCTTTGTGGTGAGGTGTGAAACAGGATATGCATTTTTGAAAATGTATCTTTGGATTTGCTGAACTGGGCTCAAATGTGGTCAAATTGAGAGAGCTTATGATGCCAGTTTTACTGCATTCTTTTTAGTTGTGTTCCCCAAAATCCTGCCCCATGACCTTTACCAGAACAAGTAAACACATCCTAAAAACAAAGTTATGTTCTAGTATGGTTTTAAAAGTCTTCCCTTTTGGTTATTTGGAAAATAGTGCAAACGTGCGGTCTAGTGGTTATGGCCAAAGGCAGAGCAAAGGGAGTGCGGCCTTAGCCAGCCCCAGCCAGCTGCCATTGCTCCCACGCTCTGTGTGGTCTTGACCCAATGCCCAGAAAAGCAAGGTTCCCCACTTTCTACCTCTTTATTTTTAAAAGTAAAAAAAAAAAAAAAAAAAAAAAAGAGAGAGAGAGAGATGGGGTGGAGGGAGAAACTGAGCTGAGAGACCTCTCAGGTTAGAAATATGTCCTCTTGCAATTAACCATTGCTAGTTAGTTTTCACTATAAATCTAAAGAGAGCTTTATCTCAGCCAAACTAAGGAAATCATCAACATTCTTGGGGTAAATTGATGTGGACTTTTTGTTTGTTCATTTGGAGGGAGGGAGGGATGGTGGTGCTGCTGCCTAGCATTGAATATACTGGAGTACTTCTTAACTTAATCTCTTCTTATTACTACTTTGCTGAGATGAATGTCATCTTTCTCCTACAGTAGTTGTTGGCTATGCAAGGCATTTTGGATGGATACCAATACCCTTCTTTGGCAATTTCTCTGCCTAGTTCTTACCTCTGTGTGTTGTCATGCCAGGGAGATGTTGACCTGCTGAGGGCAGGGATTGATCCTGTCTGTTATAACCTTAAAATTTTTGTTAGGGTGCTTAGTAGAGTGCTGTGAAACATAATAAGCACCTATTACTCACTGAATTAACTTGGAGGCAATAAATTGAGTGGTTTTCTGTTAACTAGTCTATACTCAAGTTGATTTGTTGAATGTCTTGGGTTTTGTTCATTATTGGGCCACTCTGAATGGAAATCCATGAAGGCGAGGATCTTGACTTTCTTGTTCTTCACTATAATCCCAGAACCTAGAACAGCCCCTGGCCAAGATCGTTGAGTATACTGATTGAGAATCCATGTTCAATAAATATTTATTATTAAACTAGGTGCAGTGGTGTACGCCTGGAATCCCAGCTGCTCGGGAGTGTGAAGCGGGTGGATCACTTGAGCCCAGGAGTTTGAGGCTATAGTGTGCTGTGATTGCACCTGTGAATGGCCACTGCACTCCAGCCTGGGCAACATAATCATACCTTGTGTCTTAAACAAAACATTTTTTTTTGAATGAATGGATTTAAAAAAGAGAACCCAAGAGCATGTTTCCCTTTTCAGACGCGGGCTTTGATGCGGCACTTTAGACGTGGCACTTTCAAGCGATTCAGGATGCCTTTTCCTTTTCTTAGTAATTTTTAGTATATGGCAGAAACCATATACTAAATGTCACACCAGAGAAAGTCTCAGGTCAGAAGGCTTATTAGAGCCCAGGGATCAGGAATTGGTTGGGAAGTTTGTAACACTGTCTCTAGCACCAGCAGTAAAATTAGGATGGGTGTGCATGTGTGTATATATGAATATGTGTGCATATGTGAATATGTATATATATATGAGTATATATGACTATACGTACTTGTGTGTATTAAATATATATATATATAATATGTATTTTAATTTCTTGCCATCTGCTGGCTTTCTTTGAATTTATGAAAAATATATAATTGTGCCCAGAGCTCTGGTTCCTGGTGGTTGTGTTGCCATGTTGTAAAAGCAAGTGTGACCACCAGCATCCCTGTGGCCATGCTGAAGAAGCTACTTATTGATAGTTAACAATTGATTTTAGTCAGCCTTCCATTTCCTGAGACAATTCCTATACTTTCCTTAGCTCTTTTTTTTTTTTAAGAACATTAAAAACAGAGGTTAGAAGGGGATATAAAGCAAGAAAACAAAATAATAATACTTTAAAAATCTTAGGACTTAAAATTGGAGGGAAACATGATTCTGAAATTCAGGCCAGTTTTATTAATTTTGTGTCCATATGGTAAGAGTACATTAAACAGGTCGGGTACGGTGACTCATGCCTATAATCATAGCACTATGGGAGGCCTAGGCGGATGGATCACCTGAGGTCAGGAGTTTGAGACCAGCCTGGACAACATGGTGAAATCCCATCTCTACTAAAAATACAAAAATTAGCCAGGCATGGTGGCGGGTGCCTGTAATCCTAGCTACTTGGGAGACTGAGGCAGGAGAATCGCTTGAACCTGGGGGGCGGAGGTTGCAGTGAGCCAAGACTGCAGCACTTCACTCCAGCCTGGGTGAAAGAGTGAGACTCCGTCTCAAAAAAAAAAAATTGAAGAAAGCACAGAAATGTCCTGCTGAAGTTTTATAGTTGAATTTCCAGAGAGAGAGAGAGAGAGAGAGAGAGAGAGAGAGAGAGAGAGAGAGAGAGAGAGAGGAGAGAGAGAGGAGAGAGAGAGAGAGAGAGAGAGAGTTGAGAATAGTAGCGAGCACTACCGTCCAGTTTTTGTTGCAAAGGATTCAGAGGCCAAGTGATGAATATGTTCCTCTCTATGAACAGGCTCAGGACCCGAGCCATATCACTCACCAGTTCCAGTAAGCCTTCATTTTTGCCACCGTCATCTCTCTAACCCTAAAATCCAGTCATTATGAGTATTGTCCTTTTGCTATTCTTTGGTTGGGGCCAATATTAATGCATCAGAATCAGTGTTTGGAAGTTCAGATCAATTTTACCCAGAAGGTAGGCTGTTTCCTTGGATAGGTATCAGTATTTTTTCTTTGGCTCAAGACTTTTCAGTACAATGTTCTAAACTCCAGCTACCATGTAGTTGACTTTGTCTATTTATTCATCAGAATCAAAGGAGGATTGGTACAAGCAGAGGAAATAGACACAAAGAGCAAGTATGAGGGGCAGAGTGGGAGGGAGGTAGCTGGAATGTGAATGAGCCAACTAATTTGGTGAGCAGGGCTTCTCACTCTAGGATCCATGGATCAATATGGACAGGGGCATAGTGGTCATGTCTGTGAACCCTCTGCAGTGACATACAGGGTGTTGGCATATGGACTTGCTAAGGAGAAAAGTTCATAGCATTTATTAATTTGTCAAAGGGCCCTGTGGCCTACTGCCAATAAATGAAAACTATTGACCAGGTCATTTCATGAGAATAAGTATTTGGAGGAGGTTGCTTTGTTCTTAATATCCAGAAAAGTAATGGCACATTATCTCTCCTGGGCCCACTTGTGAGCTGAAGAGGGCCTTGGAAGGTCTCAGCTGAGTGCATCTTTCTGATGTCTGCCTGCATTTTGATCTTGCCCAGAGATAAAATACAACCTTGTTTCTTTCACAGATGAGTTTATAGAGAGAACAAACTTTTAGGTATGGGTAGGGTGTGTGTGTCTGTGTGTGTAGTGGAGGAGTGAATGGGGAGGGGCAGGACAGGCAGAAAGCTGAAGGCGGAGAGAGAGGGAACCCACATGCATTTGAGGGATGTCTTCAGTCTCATCATGGGGTTTCCATGTTGGATTAAAACTGATTATATTTACTTCATTTTGATTAGTGTATATACTTTCCTTTTTGTGACTGCAACAATTAACAGTTAAACTAGTGGTGGGATTTTTTTTTTTTAAGTTTTTGGGATAGGTTCTAAAAGTTGTACTTGCAAGAAAGAGAAGTAGTATCAATGCTGCATGTTCTTTTTCCTAAACAACTCTATTCATTTCTTTTTCTATTCCTGGTTCACACAAGAAATCCTTAAGGTGATCCTTTTTTTGCTGCATTTATTTTTTGTTTGGTTCCACTATTGTTATCAGAATGTCATGTTTCCTACAGCGACACCCAATTTGAGTTATTGACCCAGAAAGTCAACCTCAAGGTCATAAGAAGTTCTGTGCATCTGCCCTTGTTTTAAACTTATCTTAGGCTGAATTATGATGGATACCTATTTAGATTAGAGAGGGCCCCTCCCAAGTAAATACACAACACAAAGATGACTATATGAGTTATAGAAATAAAGAAAACTGTTCAGGAATGTGGAATGGGTCCCATGGAAGGCTAGCATCTGTCAAGAGAGCCCATCTTGCTTGCAAACCAAGTTACTCCTGTGGTGTGTTTCCTGTGAAGTAGATTCTAGGTTGGTAGATCTTTGAGAAGTGAGAATAAGACCTTTCCCTTTCCCTTTCCCTTCCTCTTTCCCTTTCCCTTCCTCTTTCCCTTTCTCTTTCCCTTTCCCTTTCCCTTTCTCTTTCCCTTTCCCTTTCCCTTCCCCTTCCCCTTCCCCCTCCCCTTCCCTTTCCGAGACAGAGTCTCACTTTGTAGCCCAGGCTGGAGTGCAGTGGTGCGATCTCAGCTCACTGCAACCTCCACCTCCCAGGTTCAAGCGATTCTCCTGCTTCAGCCTCCTGAGCAGCTGAGATTACAGGCATGTACCACCACGCCCAGCAAATTTTTGTGTTTTCAGTAGGGATAGGGTTTCACCATGTTGGCCAGGCTGATCTCCAACTTCTGACCTCAAGTGATCCGCCCGCCTCGACCTCCCAAAGTGCTGGGATTACAGGCATGAGCCACCATACCTGGCCAGACCTTTTCTTAAAATGGTAGTTGTTTTAGGGACCTTTAAGGAAGGCTGGAAATGTAAAAAGAGAAAAGAGGAAGCACCAATATTTATTGCTTATTTAGGCCCTGGTGCCTCTGTGTATTATTTGGAGTAGCAGAAGGAGGATCAGTCTGGGATTTGGGCTGGGGTCTAATCTAGTCAGACTTTAGGCCAGTTAGCTAACTTTCAGGGCTTGATTACTGTCAGGGTGGTAGTATGTCCGTCTTGAGGATCTTATCATCCTTTAAGGGTCCTTCCAGCTCTGAGATGTGAGTCCAGATCTTCTGACTAAATAATCAGCCACAACCTGGCCACTCAGAGTAGAGGAGGGCCCTATCTTAGGGAGTCCCCAGGCTGCTGTGGCTGTTCATTCAGAAAGCTTTTCTGCACCTTCCAGATGGGAGGTGAACAGACCACGAGCGGAATACCTGAGTTGGAGGTATGGCATGTGGATTAGTTTCCTAGAGTTACCATCACAACTTCCACCAACTGGGTGGGTTACAATAACAGAAATGTATTCTCTCAGTATTGGAGGCCAGAAGTCCTGAACCAAGGTGTTGGCAGGGCCATGTTCCCTCCAGGGAAGAATCCTTCCTCACCTCTTCCAGTTTCTGGTTGCTCCATGCATCCCTTGGCTTGTGGCTGTGTCATTTCAGTTTCTGCCTCTATCTTCATGTGACCACTTCTCTTTCGCTGCTCTTCTGTCTCTAGTAAGGACATTTGCCATTGGATTTATGGCCCACTCAGGTAATTCAGGATTATCTTACCTCCAGATCCTTAATTACACTTTTTTTTCCAAATAAGGTCACATTCACAGATTCTGGGGGTGAGGACATGGACCTGTCCTTTTGTGGGCCACCATTCGACCCACTAGAGCAAGGGACTTTTCTTTCTTGGTCTCTGCATTTTATGGGTGTCATATGCCATCTTTGCTGCCAACATTCGGCAGTGCAGTGAAAGATGCCTCTAACTGGGGAGGTTTCTCTTCTGGGAGTGTTGTTTTATTTCTTTTTCTGTTGTCTGAGTCAGAGGTACTCTCATCTGTTTTGGTGTTTGCCTAGAGATGACTTTCTCATTCCCCCTCAACATCCTATGTACCGTAGTGTGTCTGCAAACAGAGGAAAGCCTTGATACCTTGGTGGAGGTGATAGGGTGGAGTGCTGGGGCACTGGTGATAGAAGAGTGCAAAGTTATTTTTAAAAAATGGACCTGACAGTTCTGTGGACCATTTTTTCAGCTATTCAAAGGTACTTATATTTACTCTTTGGGAGATCAGTCATCCCATTACCACTGGCAATTGGGTGTTACTGTATATATTTTTTAGCATCCCAGCTAAAAAATCTTTTCTTTTTTGACAGAGTCTCGCTCTATCACCCAGGCTGGAGTGCAGTGGTGCCATCTCGGCTCACTGCAACCTCCGCCTCCCGGGTTCAAGCAATTCTCTGCCTCAGCCTCCTGAGTAGCTGGGATTACAGGCACCCTCCACTACACCTGGCTAATTTTTTTGTATTTTTAGTAGAGATGGGGTTTCACCATCTTGGCCAGGATGGTCTTGAACTCCTGACCTTGTGATCCTCCCACCTTGGCCTCCCAAAGTGCTGGGATTACAGGCATGAGTCACAGCACCCGGCCCCAACTGTGCTTTTTTGTGTTAAGATGATTGTAGCCACAATGTCATGGAGAGGATATAACTTATAACACCTTGCACTAGCTAGTCCATGTAAGTTGTTCTGTGGTTTAGCTTGACAAAATGAACGCCCACACCAACCAGGATTGTCCTCACTGGATTCCCACTACCGCTCTCATTCTTGACATACAAGGGAAGGTGAGCTGCTCTTCAAAATTTTGAGCCTCTGAAATTTAATTCAGTGAATATTTATTGGGTATAAACTCTGTACCAGCCACTCTATAGGTGCTGAGAGAGTCAACAAGCAAACAGATTGGTCACCTGCACTTATGCCGTAAATAGTTCCCTTTTTCCTTCTCGTGTACCTTTTTCTAGCCCTGTACGGTGCAGTGGTTAGTTATCTTAAACTGAAAAACTTTTCATTTTTAAAACTTTCATGCAAAAAGTCTTTGAGCACTAGATATATACAGATGTGGTCCATCGTAGCTGGAGTCCATTTCTCCTGGGTTTGTAGCTTTCAACAGTCTAGTTCAAGCACCTGCTTGTTTCACCACCTTCTTCCTTTCTAATAGGCTCTTCAAGTCCTGACCCTGGAGAACACTGCCTGTTACGCTGGTTCACTATTTTGGGACTTGCCAAAATTAAGGCAGCCTGTCCTGTATGGACAAGACTGTCCTTTTATTCTTTTTTAATTTAGTGAGGTAAAACTTATGGAGTGCCAACTGACAAGAGACCAACCAAAAGAATTTTACCGTGTCCCCTGTTTTCTTTTAGATGTAGTGACTTGGTATTACCTCTGCCTGAAGGTAGGTCTCTCCACCATCTGCCTGAGATAGGGGCACAGAGCTGTCTCAGTTTGGCACTAAAGAGGACTTCCCACAGAACCTTGGTTGACATCGTCCATTTGGGGTGGGGTGCTAGAACCACACTCTTCAGACTTGGGTCTCTGTTGGTATCTGATCATAATTTTCTTGTCTCCTTTGGACCACCAAGGGACAAGTTTCCCCATTTTAAAATACATGATATATGGCACGCAAGTATGCTGTCTGAGCAAAGGCGTTTTTAAGCGAGAGCTGTACAAATATTATGCGTTCTAACCCCACAGCCCATCTCTGGGAAGGGGCACCCAGACTTTGGGGGCTGTTGTTAAATACCACTAGGCAATCATCAAGATCTGTTTATCTCATTCTTTCCATGAAATATAAGAATGTTAGGCCCCATATATGGGATTTTCCTGAGAATTTTTTGTAATGTTCACTCAATGCAGAGCCCACATCAGGTTATGCTTGCTTTCTCTGCTCCCGTGGTCAGAATTTTATCTGAGCCTACATCTACCCCTTTGGCTTCTCGTAGAGTCCCTTTATTCTTATAATTGAAAATTCCCAAGGCTACCTGTACTCTGTGTTATAAATAAATATGGTTTCTAACAAGTTGATGAATTACACTTCCCACGCAACCTCAACTCTTCTGGAGTCATTCAGTTGGTCCTGTTTTCTCTCCAGCTTTGTTTTCTGTGTCTCTTAAGAACACTCAGGTTCCTTGTTAGTCCACACTCCCTGGCTTCTCATCCAGCATCTCTACACCCTCCCCTCTGGGGATCTTGCCAGTTCCCTCACCCAGATCAGTAACATTTTCAGGTGGCATATTATCTGGCACACAGTAGCATGCAGTACATGTTGTATAAGCATATGAAACTTGACTAGTGTCCAGTGGTGATATGACGTCAACTCAGATGTGTTTCAGGTGTTCTGATGCCCAGCTGACTAGATCTAGCCCTTTGTCCTTATGGAGACACTGCAGTATCTGTCTAAGGGTTTTTCTTTGTTTAGGAATGTGCAGTATACCTTTTACTGAGATATTTGGTGTAGGGCCAGTTCCTGCACTGCTTAAATGTCATTAATTCAAAGGTTTATCATCAATTTAATAATCACTTTTGAGGAGCAAGAGGGAAACATCTCATTAAAGATAAAGAAGGATTATAAAATGCATTCTGGGCTGGGTTCAGTGGCTCACGCCTGTAATCCCAACAGTTTGGGAGGCTGAGGCAGGAGGATCACTTGAGCCCAGCAGTTCAACATAGTGAGACCTGTCTACACACACACACACACACACACACACACACCCCCCATCTCTGCACACACACACATACAAGTTTGGTGTGTTGGCATGTGCCTTACTCTCAGCTACTCCAGAGGCTGAGGTGGGAGGATTGCTTGAGTTCGAGAGGTTGAGGCTGCAGGGGGCCATGATCATTACCACTGCTCTCCAGACTGGGCGACAGAGTGAGACCCTGTCTCAAAAAAAAAATTTTTTTTTAAAGCCCCACAAAACAAAACAAAGAAGATGCATTCTGATTGCAGAAAAAGAGGTGTTTGAGAAACGAGGAAATATGGTACATAGAAATTCCTGGTGATGTGCTGTGATGGGCCTAGAGGACTGAATAGGAAAATTATGTACACAGGAAGTTTTTGATAGGAATGGTATTATCAGAGACCCCTTCAAAAATCCAGTGAATACTGTGGACTCTCTAAGAAATTTGGCACAACACTTATGGGGATTTATGGATCCTCTGAATCTACCCATATCACAAACCTCCCGCCTCAATCATTGTAGAAGAGCATGTCCTTATTTGACACTGTTGGAAAGCTCTCCAAGAAATGACTGAGGAAGAAATTTGTGCTGTTTTCTATCAGGAACCTTGTTTAGATTATTAATACCAAAAAGTTATTTAGGCCTTTAATAGGGAAAATGGAAATAGACAAATGATCGGTTCCAGATGTTAGTCTTGTTGTGGCCTCTTTGGCCAGGGTGCATCTCATGCTGTCTCCATGCATCTCATGCTGTCTCCATGTTGCACTCTCAGAGTGAATCCTTGTGAAGCTTTATGCTTACTTGGCTTTACTCCCTCAGAATGCCAGAATCTTGGCTGCAGCAGTGAGTGGAGTCCAGCCAGCCTGGTATTTCTTTAGAACAATCTCTGGAGGGCTTCTTTTACTTGGGACTCTTAAAGACAACAGGGAATTATCTGAGAATATTCAAAGCCATATTGTGTAATGAAACCAGGCATTGGTATTAAGCATAATTGTGGGCCAAGGCATCCTTGTTTATCTATGTTTTCATTATCTGAGTCCCTGAAGTTATGATTAATCAAAAATATTAACTGATGACTGATCACTAATAAAATTAATCACAGCTCAAATAGCCCTCCCTGCTTGATACTTTGATTTATTTTAGGACATCTTGTCTGTGTCCTGGTCTGTCTCTGAATGACAGATAAATAATCAGAAGCATGCCAGGCACAGTGGCTCATGCCTGTAATCCCAGCACTTTGTGAGGCTGAGATGGGAGGATCACTTGAGCCCAGAAATTCAAGACCAGACTGGACAACACAGCAAGAACTGGTCTCTACTAAAAATTTTAAAAATTAGCCAAGTGTGGTGGTCCATGCCTGTAGTCCCAGCTACTCGGGAAGCTGAGGCGGGAGGATTGCTTGAACCCAGGAGTTCGAGGCTGCAGCGAGCTATGATTGCACCACTCCATTCCAGCCTGGGTGACAGAGAGCCTGTCTCAAACAAAACAAAACAAAATAAAAAAGCAGGGCAAACAGAAATTGTAAATCATTCAAGACATCTGTGACTTTATGAAGTCTATGAACATGGTATTGGAGACTTGTATTAGTCCATTTTTACACTGCTGATAAAGACATAGTTGAGACTGGGCAATTTACAAAAGAAAGAGGTTTAATTGGATTTACAGTTCCACTTGGCTGGGGAAGGCCTCACAATTATGGCGGAGGGTGAAAGGCACTTCTTACATGGTGGTGGCAAGAGAGAATGAGGAGGAAGCAAACGCAGAAACCCCTGATAAACCCATCAGATCTCATGAGACTTACTATCATAAGAATAAGATGGGAAATACCGGCCCTCGTGATTCAATTATCTCCCCCTGGGTCCCTCCCACAACACGTGAGAATTTTGGGACATACAATTCAAGTTGAGATTTGGGTGGAGATACAGCCAAACCATATCAAGACCTCTTGAATTGTGTACGTTGTCATAGACAAAGGAGGAGCTGGCATATTAGAACACTTAATGAAGAGAAAACACAGGAGTTGATGACTTGATGGGCACTTGAAAAGAGTGATTTGAATCAAAAGAATGAGGATGGATTTGGGGAAAATTGATGAGGCTCTCAATTGCTTTTGCAAGAATGATAATCTTTTTGATAGTGCTGTAATAAAGCCAAACTTAAAGGCTATCTTACAGCATTATCATAAAATCTTGTAGAAAAAATTGTATCTCTCATCAGCACTTAGTCTTTGTGATTTCGTACACAGTTGAAATAAGAACATAAATCTTACGTAAATATAAGGTTACCTTATTTTGATTATTATGTTATTTTTCAAAATAAAGTTCCATTTAGCTCTCTGCCTTCCCTCCAAGACCATCATTGGACCATAAGATATTGGTCCTCATGTTAGGGGATTCACTTTGTGGCTCGTCTTTGTACCATTGGTAATAAGACCTTCCTTCCTATACACTACATGTGCATAATAGACAGTAGGTTTGATACAGATTTCTAGATCCTCCTCCCTATGGAGAGTCTCTTACGTAGTTTGATCTAGATTTCCATGCTGCACTGTTTTTATTCTCTGCTACCGTGTGCCAGGAAGCCTCTTCTCGCATTGCAGTGCACACTGCTTTTTATAGAAAGTGCTCCTGCACTCTCTGCCATGACCCAGAGTTCAGCTTAAGTACAGAGAATTTAGCAGTTGAATGGCAAGGAAAACTTCTGCCTATCAAAACACTGCAAACAGCGCTCTCTCTTTTTCTCTCTTACCCCTTCCAGTTCTTCCCACTTTCACGCATTGCGTTTTGCACATGCTCAGGTTCTCAATCTGCAAACGTACTTGAACTGGGCATAAGCCTTTGAGAGATGCTGCAGATAGTTTTTCTAGAGAGATTTTTGTTTCATAATGTTTCAGTTAAGAATGGCATGCAACTTTAACATAACTTGAACACATTTGAAATAACATTTGAAAAAACTGAAAGGACAGATATGAAAAATTTGAACAGAGGCCCCCAAACCTATATGGTCATTTTTGTCAGGGAGCATTTTTTGGGCTTTAAGTCATGTGTTTAGATAAACCATTTCCCTTCCCCCCATTTCTCCTCCCCCTGGTTTGGCACCCAGATTGTGTTTTAAACAAGTTTTAGGATTATGTTAACTCAGCTTTTATGCAAAGATGATCTATGTAAAATGCCTAAATATTTAGTTAATTTCAAGATCGAAAAGCCTCTGAGGTGGTATTGTAACCAGAGCTAAAGATAAATGCACCAATCATATGTTGAATATATTTAAGATTAGTATAAGCAGATTCTGGCCAGGCATAGTGGCTCATGCTTGTAATCCTGACACTTTGGGAGGCCAAGGCAGGGGGATTGCTTGAGTCTTGGAGTTTGAGACCAGCCTGGGCAACATAAGTAGACCCCGTCTTTACAAAATATAAAACAAATTAGCTGGTTGTGGTGGCATGTGCCTGTAGTGCTAGCTACTTGGGAGGCTGAAGCAGGAGATGGCTTGAGCCCAGGAGGTTGAGGCTACAGTGAACTGTGATCGCACCACTGCACTCCAGCCTGAGCTACAGAGCAAGACCCTGTCTTGAAAAACAAAACAGTATAAGTAGATTCCTTTTTCAGCAGCCTTCCTTAACTATTGTGACCTTGAGATACAGGTATGCTAATTAGCTGGGAAAAATGAGTGTCATTAGCAAATTCAACATAGGCCGGGTGCAGTGGCTCATACCTATAATCCCAGAGCTTTGGGAGGCCAGGGCCAGAGGATCACTTGAAGCCAGGAGTTTGAGACCAGCTTGGATGACACAGTGAGACGCTGTCTCTTAAAAAAAAAAAAAAAGAAAAAAAAAAAGAAAGGAAAATATATAGAGGAAAATGTGCATATTTGTTTTTAGTTGTTTTCTAATGTAATAAGGAATTATTAAACTTAGAGACTATCAGAGCTTGAGAAGACCTTAATAGTCATTTTGAGCACTTCTCTCATTTATAGAAAAAAGGCCCAGAGAAAGAAAATTCATTTTTGTGAGTCACACAAGTGGCTGGTAGCACAGTCTGAACCCAGAGCTGCTGGCCCTTAATTTTATGCTCCATTATGTCATGCTATTATGTGGACATTTGTACAGATGATAGAACAAAAGCACATTCATTTATTTTATCATTCTTTGTCAAACTTACTAGACACTCACTTCACCAAGTATATTAGTTTTCTGTCAGTGTAACCAGCCACCACAAAATGATTAGCTTAAAACAACCTCCATTTATGAGCTCATAGTTCTGAAGCTCAGAAATCTGGCATGCTGTGTGTGTGTCCTCTGCTCAGGCTAGAAATCAAGGTGTTGGTTAGCTGTGCTTTCACCTGGACTTGGGGCCCTTTTCCAAACACATGCCTGTGATTGGCAGATTGGGTTTCTTGTGGTTGTAGGACTTGAGTCCACAGATCCTTGCTGGCTGTCAGCCAGGACCCCCTCCCAGCCTCTGGAGGCAGCGCCATGTTCCTCCTCTTGAGGCTCCTCCATGTTCAAGCCAAGGCCAGCATGTTGAATCCACCCTATGCTTCACATCACTCTGACTTCTTTTGCTACCAGCCAGAGAAAACTTCCTGCTTTTAAAGAGCTCATGTGATTCAATTAAGCCCATCTGGATATCTCTGTATTTTAAGGTCTACTGACTTGGGACTTTAATTGTATCTGCAAAACCCCTTCACAGTAGTACCTAGATTAGTGTTTGATTGAATAACCACAGGAGGGAAACCTCAGGGGAGCTATTTTTAGAATTCTGCCAGCCACATCTGACAAGTCTGGTGGCCAAACTTTGGACAAACCCTACCATGTGTGACACTGTTGTGAACCTGGAAATAAAGGTGGGAAAAGGCAACTATATGGGATTGGTCTGTTTTTGTATTCCAAGGGCCCAGTAATAGAAATGGCCTCTAGGCAGCAATGACTATCACAAACCCCATGTGCTTGGTTGAATAGAAAAGACAGAGTCATGGCCTCATGGCCATAGCTGAAGCTGTCTCATCCAAGTAAGACAGCTAGGACAACCTGATACAGCAAGAAGTGTTTGCTGGTAGCAGCAGCAGAAGAAAGTATACTATAAAAGCACAGTGATCTGGGTTTACATACTTCTGTCCTTCCCCTGATGACAGAGCACCAAATAGTAATCATGAGCCTAAATTGACAAAAGAAGTTAAGTTCTATGTACTCAGTCTAAGAGCAGAAAATCTATAAGCAGTTCTCTCTCATCGATGGATTCACTTTCCATAGTTACCTATTAAATTAGCTGCAGTTCACTGCAGTCCCAAAATATTAAATGAAAAATTCCAGAAATAAACAATTCATAAGTTTTTAATTGCACATCATTCTGAGTAGCATGATGAAATCGCCCAGAGCGTGAATCATCCCTTTGTCCAGTGCTGTCTATCCATTAGTCACCTAGTAGCCATCTAGGTTATCAGATCAAACAGCAGATACAGGGTTTAGTACTATCTGAGGTTTCAGGCATCTACTGGCGTCTTGGGAGGTGTCTCTTGTTATGAGGGGAGACTACTGTAATGTGAAAGAAACTCCCATTGAAAAATGGTTTAAAGTTTAGTACCTAAAAAGGCTAAGCTTAATTTATTGAGAAAAGTAGTTCACTTTAGTGGAACCCCAGTGGCTTCTCATTACCTTGAATAAATCCCAGACCTCTGGTGTGATCAGAAAGGCAGCCCCACTGGCCATTTTTCTATGCCCAGCATGCCAAGCTATTTCCCACCTTGGGACTTTTGCTCATGCTGTTCTGCTGGTCTTCAGTGTTCTTCAGTTTTTCACTTGCCTCTTTCCATAGCTCACTCTTTCTTCTTCAGATCTCAACTTATAGGTCACCTTCTCAGAGAGGGCTTTCCTGATTACCTGATTTTATAAAATTACCACTTGCCTCTTCCCCACCTCTAGAAGCTTCTATCAAATCACCTGCTTATCTTCTGTACAGCCTACTATGTTTTCTTGTTTATAATTTTTCTTTCCTTTAGAGTGGCATTCCTTGAATTAGACCTTATCTAACCCACCTTTGTCTCTTCCATGTCTAGATCAGAGCCAGGCACACAGTAGAAAGCCATTGTTTGTTGGAGATTTAAAAAATGGATCCACGCTGGGCACGGTGGCTCATGCCTGTAATCTCAGCACTTTGGGAGGCTGAGGTGGGAGGATTGCTTGAGCCCAGGAGTTCCAGACTAGCCTGGGCAACGTGGTGAAACCCCATCTCTACAAAAAATACAAAAAACTAGCCGGGCATGGTGGTGTGCACCTGCAGTTCCAGCTACGTGGGAAGCTGAGGTGGGAGGATTGATCGAGGTTGGGAGGTGGAGGGTGCATTGAGTTGTGATGGGGCCACTGCACTCTAGCCTGAGTGACAAAACAAGACCCTGTCTCAAAAAAACAAAAGGGGGGTCCAGAGAGTTTAAATGTCCCATTGTCACTAAGGAAAATCATGGCATAATAGGGAGTAGCACTCAGTTTAAGGGAAATATCAGCCTGTCACCTGACCTATGGGTATTACTGGCTATGAATTTGGCAACTGGGATAAGAATGGCTTAATGACTAGCCCTTGTGCAGTTAATCATAGTAAGAGATAAAGTCTATCCTCCTGTGCCCTTGATGTTTTCAGCCATTCTCCCACAAGGAAATATGTTGAAAATATTCAACTTTTAGAATTCTTGTCTTTGTTAAATAAAATTAAATAAATGATCATCTTTTAATGTCCCATTTGAAGTGTTTTTTAGTTCTTCTCACTCTTCATATTTTTCCTGCTTGCAAATTCTCTTTTAAATTTGTTATTTTCATTTTCAGCATCTGTTAGACAAAAATGACGACAGATCCATTTCCTGGTAGAAATTACACATCTTTTGAATGGTGTTCCTAACCCTCAGCATTCCCAGGTTTGTTTAAAATATCACTGACCCTTTGAGATACTGCTGTGTTTGGTACTGAGACTGAGTTAATGAGAAACTTCAAAAGCAAAGCAGGAGAAATGCGAGTGGCGAAAAAATGGACGATGGAATTTTTTCCAAAATAAAACTCTACGCCTGTCTTCTACAGATTATACCAGACATTTCATGCCCTACTGAAATGTAAATGAGGCTTATTTAATTTGGGCAACTCCATGTGAATTTTACCTTGACAAATTTGAAATTGTGCTTTCAGGTTTTTGTTTGTTTTGCCTTTTTTGCATCCTTTAACCTCAGTTCAACTCTCAGCCAGGAGCTGTCTTGAGTAAGCAGCAATTCACTATGTACTCTTTGGGTGGGGCTGCTTTTGGTTTTTAACAAATATGAAAGAATAGGGGAAAATAACAAGAACTGAAAGAGTAGGAAAAGCCAACACCCTTTATGCCCCATTTCTAGATCATTTCATTGTTGAATAATAATATGATAACGGATACAGGGCATCTTTATAGTCTTAATCTTTTCCCAGGTTATAGGCTGCCAACCAGAAATCCACAAGAATTTTCCTTGTTTGACTAACAGGCCTGAATGGTGAAAGGTTTTTTTTTGGTTGTTTACTTGTTTGTTTGTTTTAAATGTCTGGTTGATAAGCTATCTATGTACAAAGCTTTGCTTCTACTTGAGTGTGAGGTAAGTAACCTGAACCCCCAAACAGATGAGCCATGTGAACTGTGGGTAGAACAGAGGGTGGGCACAACTTTTTCCACAATGAGAGGCAGCTTAACTCTTGTTTGTTTTTTTAACTTTTATTTTAAGTTCAGGGGTACATGTGCAGGTTTGTTACCTAGGTAAACTCATGTCATGGGAGTTTGTTATACAGATTATTTTGTCACCCAGGTACTAAGCCTAGTACCCAATAGTTATTTTTTTCCAATCTTCTCCCTTCTCCCACCCTCCACTCTCAAGTAGGCTCCAGTGTCTGTTGTTCCCCTCTGCGTTCATGAGTTCTCATCATTTAGCTCCCACTTGTAAGTGAAAACATGCAGTATTTGTTTTTCTATTTCTGCGTTAGTTTGCTAAGGATAACGACCTCCAGCTCCATCCATCTTCCCACAAAGGGCATAATCTCATTCTTTTTTATGGCTGTGTAGTATTCCATGGTATATATGTATATATATATATATATATATATATATGTGTGTGTGTGTGTGTGTGTGCGCGTGTGTGTGTGTACCACATTTTCTTTAACCTGTCATTGATGGGCATTTAGATTGATTCCGTGACTTTGCTATTGATAATAGTGCTGCAGTGAACATATGTGTGCATGTGCCTTTGTGGTAGAATGATATATATTCTTTTGGGTGTATACCCAGTAATGGGATTGCTGGATCAAATGGTAGTTCTGTTTTTAGCTGTTTGAGGAATTGCCGTACTGCTTTCCACAGTGGTTGAACTAATTTACACTCCCACAATATAAGCATTTTCTTTTCTCCACAACCTTACCAGCATCTCTTATTTTTTTACTTTTTAATATAGGAAGGCTTAACTCTTAATATCTAAACACCGTACTTACAAAACAAATTAGGATTAAAATAACTACATCAAAATTATTACTAAATCTCAGATCTCAGCCTAAATGTCACCTGTGCCTTCTCAGAGAGGTGATTACTCCTGATTACTCTTCTTTATAAAATTAGCACTTTCCCTCTTCCCAACCTCTAGAACCTTCTATCAAATCACCTGCTTATCTTCTGTGCAGCCCACTATGTTTTCTTGTTTATAATTCCTCTCCCTCCTTTAGAATGGCATTCTTTGAATTAGAGGATCTCTGTGCCTATTTTATTAGAATATCTGCAATATTTTTTATAGATCATCAGAAATTTAACAGAGTGGAAAACTGAAAGGTGAAGTGTTCCAAGTCATTAAAGATTAAAAAGTAACCAGAATTCACGAGAAAGCAAAGTTAAGTTATAATGATTTTTTAAATGGACATAAGGATCAATGGGAAATCAAGATAAAGCAAAGCTGAAATTATGGTATTTTGATGGACTTAGTGTCTAGTTTTAAATGTTTTGTTTTGACTGACAGAACTGAAATGCTAGACTGTCTGTTTCTATATAGGATACCTGGCAACTGAAGTAAGACATATGATATTAAAATATAGCCTTTTACCCTGAAGGATATAACAGTTATGTTGAGGAGATGAAGACATAAAAAAGATAAGCATGAAATGTAAGTAGGCTTAATGCAGTTTCCCAAACTTTAGTTTTCTCCCTACCCCGCTTTCAGTTTTGATCATATACCTGTAACATTTGTTCTATTTACTAAATTCTTTTCTTTGATTTGATTCACTTTCTTTATTTACAAAATTTCCTTTTAAAAAAATAAGTGCGTATCCTACTACCTATATCAGTATCACTTGCTGAATAAGGAAACCCTAAAAATAAGTTAAATGGCAACAAAACTATATTGTTAAGTTCTAGCTAGATACTTTGGCTCCTAAAGCCACTGAGCTTATGCCTTGCTTTTCTCTGTTTAAAACACACACACACACACACACACACACACAAAACAACAACAGCAGCAAAAAAAACCGATGTTAAGAACTGTCAAGTCTTGGAGACATGCCAATATCAAGTAGAGACTTCTTTTAGGCTATCTCACCAAGTTTCAAAAAGACTAGGAAGGGAGTATCTTTCTCAGGTCGTGACACACAACCTGACATGCATTTCTGGATCACCTGAAATTATCTCTTGCACGGTAGCCTGTAGGGGCCAGCCTCACAGGGTCGGTGGGCTTCTCCCTGTGTGCGGCGACGAGAGAGTGTAGAAATAAAGACACAAGACTAAGAGATAGAAGAAAAGACAGCTGGGCCCGGGGGACCACTACCACCAATGCGCGGAGACCAGTGGTGGCCCCGAATGTCTGGCTGTGCTGTTATTTATTGGATACAAAGCAAAAGGGGCAGGGTAAAGAGTGTGAGTCATCTCCAATGATAGGTAAGGTCATGTGGGTCACATGTCCACTGGACAAGGGGCCCTTCCCTGCCTGGCAGCCAAGGCAGAGAGGGAGAGGAGACAGAGAGAAAGACAGCTTATGCCATTATTTCTGCATATCAGAGACTTTTAGTACTTTCACTAATTTACTACTGCTATCTAGAAGGCAGAGCCAGGTGTACAGGATGGAACATGAAGGCGGACTAGGGGCATGACCACTTAAGCACAGCATCACAGGGAGACGGTTAGGCCTCCGGATAACTGTGGGCAAGCCTGACTGATGTCAGGCCCTCCACAAGAGGTGGAGGAGCAGAGTCTTCTCTAAACTCCCCCAGGGAAAAGGAGACTCCCTTTCCCGGTCTGCTAAGTAGCGGGTATTGTTCCTTGACACTTTTTGATACCGCTAGACCACGGTCCACCTGGCAACGGGCGTCTTCCCAGACGCTGGCATCACCGCTAGACCAAGGAGCCCTCTGGTGGCCCTGTCCGGGCATAACAGAAGGCTCACACTCTTGTCTTCTGGTCACACCTCACTATGTCCCCTCAGCTCCTATCTCTGTATGGCCTGGTTTTTCCTAGGTTATGATTATAGAGCGAGGATTATTATAATATTGGAATAAAGAGTAATTGCTACAAACTAATGATTAATGATATTCATATATAATCATCTCTAAGATCTACATCTGGTATAACTATTCTTGTCTTATATTTTATTATACTGGAACAGCTCGTGTCCTTGGTCTCTTGCCTCGGCACCTGGGTGGCTTGCCGCCCACAGTAGCCTAGGTGCCATACTTGGGCAATCCAGGCTCAGTAGGATGCTGCCGAGACCTAGCCACAGTGATTTTGTTGGTCTCGTGTACTGGGAGTAGAGGGGAGTTTTTGAAAGTCATCCAGTGTAAATAGTTGGAGCGTTGTGTTTTAAAGGGCCTGTAAAAATTTTTAGTTTAATCTTTAATAGCCGGTTCTAAATAAGCCTTTTGTTTTCTCTCTCCCACTCCTTTTCCCCTTGCATTTTGGGCAGTTTGGTTTCTGTTTTCAGTGGTTTGCTTTGTAGCATGCAGAATGGGAATGATTCTATAAGGTTGGGATGGCAGAGAAAAGAATACAGAAAAGAGTCAAATATTGACACACACACTTCTCTTTCTGTTTGTAAGGTCTCAGCTGAGGAGTCACACATAGGAAAACTCTCCTAATCGCATTTATAACGTACTGTAGGAGAGGGCATGCACACCTACACAGACAGCTCTCAGGTATCTGTATGGATGACTTTTGGCCTATTTGGAATTCCGTGACTAATTTCCTCCTGCTCCCCAATAGGGTTCAACTTTGTATTATTTTTTTTAATTTTCCAGAGTACTTTGACATACCTGATCTCATTTTTTCTACATGCCTTCTGTTGGCCTGTGAAGTGCAATTAAGAAGACAACTATTCTGTAAAAGTATGTGTAAATACTTGGCCTCCTAATTGCAAACAGAATGACTTGGGTTATGCTCAGCATTGTTTCCTTTCATGAGTATGAATAATAAAGTGTTGATTGTAGGTGCATTTAATTGTTAAAACCCTTCAGAACAGCCATATAGCCATGAAAGACTTTGTTGTTTATTTAATAGCTTTTGGTCTAATAATCTCATTGCTGGAAAAATGTATTCCAAGTCTGTAATTGAGAAGAAGAAAGATAAAGATTCTATACAGGAAAATCGTTCATTAATGAGTTATCTTTTTTCAAATGTTTTATTTTACTTTAAGTTCTGGGATACATGTGCAGAACGTGCAGGTTTGTTACATAGGTATACATGTAATGAGTTATCTTTTAAAAGTGTAATAATCTGTGTTTTAGCCAACAGGGCAATAAGTAAACTATGGTATGACAACCCTCTGAATGCTTATACTGCTATTACAACCATAAATACTGAATGCAGAAAAATGCTTAGCCAATAAATGAAAAATATATGAGGATGTATGCATATTATTATCATAACTCTTTGTGTGTATATAGTGCATATTGTACATATGTATATGATACCACACATAGACACACACGCACACTCACACATACGTACAAAAACCCACAGAAGATACAGGAAAATAAAACAGCTGCTGTTAGGATGGCAAATTTTTTTTAAGGTGTTATTCTTAATGTTCTTTTAGTGCTGTAATGTTTTTATTGGAAGTAAGATTCAGGGCAGGGAAAACAGAACGATAAAAATTGACCACATATGTATAAAAACAAGTGCCAGTAAGACAGAGTGAACTCTGGTTGTATAGAGAAGTCAGATATATGTAAATCTTAATAGAGCCATTCAGTGTCAAGCGGTTAGAAGGTGTATGTGGCATCAGTTTAACTTCTGATGGTGTGGTGACCTCCCAGCCTCCGATACCCACCCTAACCTAACCTAGCACCTAGCACAATGCTTGGCTTGTTATTGTCATCACTAACGGATGGATGGAATCAGTGGATGGTTTTCTAAGAACATAAATCCAAATTAGAATTTAAGAGGCCGGGTGCGGTGGCTCACGCCTGTAATCCCAGCACTTTGGGAGGCCGAGGCAGGTGGATCACGAGGTCAGGAGATCGAGACCATCCTGGCTAACATGTTGAAACCCCATCTCTACTAAAAATACATCAGTATTCTATTGATGTGCCAATCTAGGCACTTAGATGATAGAATAATAAGGTAAGATAGGTGGGAAACACTAATTAGAACCAGAAGCATTTAGTTGGGTAAATAGAAGGAAGGAAAGAACCCAGTTTGTTAGAGAACAGAGGATCTGCAAAGCTGGGGAAGTAGCATTCTCTTGGGTATGAAAATAGGAAAGGGTGGTGCACGGATATGAATGATGGCAGCTGGGAGGTGGGTAAACTGATAAAATCAGTGATGAGCAAGAGTTTGCTAGAAGTTCCTGAAGCTTCTGGAGAGGTGGTCCTTGCTACTATTAAAGGCATTGTTCAAAGAAGGGCCAGAAAACCCTTGGATCAGGCTTGTACTCGGAATTGTTTTTAGATGAGTTTCCTTGCTCATAGGTAACAGATCCGGAGCAGCTTTACTTCTTGCTTCTCCTCCTCTTCCTCTTCCTCCTCCTCCTATTCCTCCACCACCATTACCACCACCATCATCATCCCTTTTATTATTAGCTCATTTAATCCTCATAACAACTCTATGAGGTAGGTCGTATTTCCCTCAGTTTACAGTTTTGGAAACTGAGACACAGAGAGATTAAGTATTTTACCTAAATTCACACAGCTAATAAACAGAGATAAAATTTGAACCCAGAGCATCTGGTATGAGAGCCAGTGCTCTTCTCCACTGTTACACTGCACAGTTGCGCCTGGGTAAGCAATGATTATTTCCTTATTAAAAATAAAGACCTATAGCTTCTTAGCCTGTCCTTTCTCAAAAAATTATATTAGGATCTCTGGATTGTTTTTGTATGATATATTTCAAAAAATTTTTAACATACAAATATTAGATATGCTCACTCTCAAAATGCAAATAATATGGAAGTAGTATGAGAATAATTACCCTCATTCCTCCCTTCTAGGGATGACCACAGGTAATTTTTAGTGACTATCTTTTCAGTCCTCTCTGGTTGTGTATATATTTACATGCATAGGATTGCACTTCTTTTGTTATTTTATACATATATCTTTACATACATATGTATTGTGCATATGGATGTACATGTGTTGATGGAATTGTGCTTCACATGTTCTTTTGCTTTTTGTAGTCTTTGTATCATTGTCACTGAGGTCTGGCCATGTTAATGAGTTTAGGTGTATATCACTGGAGCTCTTTGATTTGCCGTTGTGTATCCCTTCCCTGACAAACTGCTGGCACATAATAGATGCTCAACAAATATTTGTTTAATGAATTGTGTTGATTCCATTATCTTATGCCACAATGTTTAAGTAGTCATTTTTTATTTTACTCATTTATTTACTTATTTTCAGACAGGGTCTTACTATGTCACCCAGACTGGAGCGCAGTGGCGCACTCATGGCTCATTGTAGCCTTGACCTCCCAGGCTCAAGTGATCCTCCTGCCTCAGCCTCCCAATTAGCTAGGACCACAGGTGTGCACCACCATACTCAGCTCTTTTTATTATTATTATTATTATTTATAGAGAAGGGGGCTTGCCATGTGGCCCAGGCTTGTCTTGAACTCCTGTGCTCAAGCAATCTGCCCACCTCAGCCTACCAAAGTGCTGGGATAACAGGTATGAGCCACCATGCCTGACCAAGTAGTCATTTTTTAATTGAACGTTTAGTTTGTTTCCTCTTCTCCACTAGTATAAAAAATGCCATTTCCTCATTTCAGGAAGGCTGGCCATTTTGTGATGAGACCTTTATAGTTTGGCAGGCTCTTGGCAGGATGAAGATGAAGCTGTTTTCTCTCCATCTGGCCAGGTATTTGCTGGCTGCCGTTGATCAGTCCCAATGGAGACAGTGACTCTTGGGAAATTATTTCCTCCTACATTAGAGGCCAGATTTAAACAAATAAAGCTTGATTTTATGTTGGCCTGTTCTTTAGAGACTCTTTATCTTTGGTGGGTAGAAGAGCTCCAGTTGGATTATTTGTCTTTTCCATGAATAATGTTCGTTTAACTGAATTAGCAGGGGAAGAGCAATGAAATATTAGAAATGCTTATTGTACCCTTTAGAGTAGTGCTTCTTAACCTTTCTGGAATCTCAGAGCCCTTTTAGAATGGCTCTGGGACTAAGCTGTGGGTCCTCTGCTTAGAGAAGTGCACATGGGTGGTCAGTGTATCACGGCCCCTGAAGATGAGGAGTATGGGTTGAGGACCTCTGTACTTAGGGGAGCTGTTGCCTGTGTTTGCCTTCCCTTCCTGCATAGTCTCTTTGCTCTTTTCCTGTGACAGTGTTTTGGTGACACTGCTCTGGAAACTTCGGTGGCTTGTTGTTGTTGTTGTTCTTGATATTTTTGAGGTTGGGGATGTATGTAAAGAATTAACAAGTGGATTGCATCTTGGTAGGCAGAAAGGAAGAATACAGCATTTTATTTTCTGCCAGTGTGTATAAACAGCCCACACCAGGGACTTTTTGTAGATACTGTTAGTCATGTTAAGCAGATGAACAGGGTGCATATAAAGTGTTTGTTGAACATGAGAGTTGGTTGTAGGAAAATTCCCACTGAGCCCAGTGCTGCACACATATTCAGCACTCGTGAACCAGGCCTTCTGCTAGATTACAGGAATAGAAAGATAATAAATCCCAGTTTCTGCCCTTTAAGGGCTTATGTTCTAGGAGAGGGTAAGGGTCATGAAATGAAATAAATGGAGTAGTTTTATTAGTGAGCCTGGTTTGTTTCCAAAGGCCAGAAACTGGCTCAAGGAAAAAAGAGAATTTTTTGGTTCATGTATCTGAAAATTCCAGAAGTAGCCTTTGACTCTTTCTGTTTTCCTCTCTGTTGGCTTCATCCTTAGGTTACATCTTTGTGTGTGACCCACCAGCCATCCACTTCTGGCGGCTCCAACCTCATATCACCCTTAACAGTCAGCAGTTCTGGCAAGACGACATACTTCTTCCCCTATTGTTCCAATAGAAGTCTTGGAGTTGGGTCACATGCCCATTCCTAAGCCAATCATTGGGGCCAGGAAGAGGGCAGATAGAATATGCTGATTGGCCAGGGTGTAACAGACAGGGGAGCCATCTGGACTGTCATCTGGGGAGGAATGGTTCCCCAAGGGAGAATCAAGGTGTTGTTACCAGAAGTGGGAATGGATGTGGGGCAAGTAGAAACAAGGACCACTACAGCAGTAATCTACTAATAGAAGTTTCTGTAAGATGTGGGTGGACAAGGAAGAGGATGTGACGGTCACTCTAGAAAGGCTTTCTGGAGAAGGCGATGTTTAACCAAGTTTCTAATGAATGAGTCAATGAATCAAAGACTAAAATAGCCATCTTTCAGGACATAGGATTCTTTCATATGAAACTTTTTAAAGTGTGATTGTGTTAGTTTAAATTCTGGTTTCAATCCCATTTTGGTAAAATTTAAGATTCTACAAATTTTTTAGGTGGCATTGGAGGTTTGAGTTTAAGTAAATTTGAAGACTGAGATACAAATTTGAAAATAATTTTTTTTCAGAGATGTCCATTATAATGATACTTAATGTGGTGGGTCTATGTATTTGGTACATATTCTAAGTAGGAGGAAAATAACCGAAGTTATAACTGTTTCTCCTTATCACTGATCATTTGTAAGGGACTATGCTTGGTACAGTACTATAAACCCTTGATTTGTTGGTGGGGCAGAATAACCATGGTTATAAGTAAATAAAACTAGCATGCTTTTGAAGAGAATGAAATTGCAGGAGAAGGAAAGCATCTATATCTTGGAAGGTTCCAGGTGCCTAGAACTTGACAGTAGCCATTAGGAGACTGCTACCCGGTTTCTGGTCAGATGTGTTCTTGTCTCACTGAAGCCCTGGATTAGCTGCTATCTCCTCAGCTGGGGAGGCCCCAGGGTATCACTAATTAGCAGCGCTGCAGGAAGTTTGAGCAAGTTTAATCATATCTTTAAGCGAAGTCTTCTGGTAGTGCTAGACTACTCTTTTCTGTACCTGCTGATTTTTTTTTAGAAACGGAGGCTGATGACACCTTTTGAGTACTTACTGTATACCATTCTTTCTGCCAAAAAAGTCTCGTGTATTGTTTCTTGATCCTATGAAGGTAGACACAATTATCCCTGTTTTGCATTTCAGGAAACCAAAAGCTTAAAGAGGCCATACCCTCAACTTTTTCAATTTAGCACCAAGCTAATCTGAGAGTGCTTGAAGGCTTCTCTGATGAGCCCAGAGAAAGACAAGAGGAAGCTGACATTAAGGATGAGGTTGATTTCATTTCCTATGTGATACACGGAGTTTAAGATACAGTTGTGGGCCAGGCACGGTGGCTCACGCCTATAATCCCAGCATTTTGGGAGGTCGAGGCGGGCAGATCAGTTGAGGTCAGGAGTCCGAGACCAGCCTGGCCAACATGGTGAAACTCCTTCTCTACTAAAAATACAAAAATTAGCTGGGTGTGGTGACACACGCCTGTTATCCCAGCTACTCGGGAGGCTGGGGCAGGAGAATTGCTTGAACCTGCGAGGCGGAGGTTGCAGTGAGCCGAAATTGTGCCACTGCACTCCATCCTGGCTGACAGAGCGAGATTCCATCTAAAAAAAAAAAAAAAGATACAGTTGTGAGGTTTCTTGATGAGGAAGAGCAAGTCAGAAGCAGTGAGGGGTGACTGCTATCTGGCTTTCATCATGGGAAGGCCTGCTCTCCTTCTGATTCCCTTGCCAGGCCATTTAAGATGCTTCTTTGCTCAGAAACCAGTTGCTGTCTGCACATTTTCTTCTAATATTTGAGTGAAAGGAAGTTCATCTGAATAGGGAACTTGGAGCCAACACTAGGGGACTGCCTTAAAAGACTGTTACCTCTTTGAGGGGCCTTTTTTTGTTTTGTTTTTTTAATACAGGCTTAAATTAATCCCAAACCTTTGTATTGTATTCCTTATTTTTAAAAATAACTTTTATTTTGTGTGTTTAAGGCATACAACATGATTGTAAGATACATATATGTAGTAAAGCAGTTACTATAGTGAGACAGATTAACATAGTGATCATCTCACAGTTAACCATTCTCTACCCCCCAAGAACAGCTGTAATCTCATTTAGCAGAAATCCTGAATGCAATACACATTATTAACTGTAGTCTTCCTGTTGTATCTTTAGACTTACTCATCCTATATATTTGCTACGTTGTGTCCTTTGACCTCTACACCTCATCATTTCCTTTCCACTACCCCAAACCTGGTAATCACTATTTTGTTTTCTATCTCTGTAAATTTGACCTTTATTCTTTTTTTTTTCAGATTTTACATATAATTGAGATCATGCAATATTGTTATTATTTTAATTTTTTTCTGTGATGTTTTTAAAATGGTAAATATTTCTGTGTATTGGAAATAAGTTTCTCTAAACAAATTTTTATTTCATTTTATACCATATTTTATTAAATTTTAATTGTTAATAAGGATTGATTTGGGGTTGTTTTAGATTGGTAATTCCCCCTAGTCCAGTTGACTGAGAGTTAACTGCAGGATGAAAATGGACCCTGACAGCTCAGAGTGGGCTAGAACAAATGCCAGAACTACAGGTAAGGGTGTTTGTTGCAGCATTGGTGGAAAAGCTAAGATAGATAGAAGAGATCGTTAAAAAGGCATTGCTCAAAATAGCTTACTAGTATGGGACTGACAATTTCCATTATGTGTATCCATACCGTGGAGTCCTGTGCAGTATTTTCTATGTGATGCAGGTCTGTGTGTCCTTTTAAGAAAAGCACTGTGACAGTAGCGACATCCAAAACTTCTTGAATAATGTGATCTCATTTGAGTAAATAAAAGGATGTTTATGAAGTCTGTGCACATGCTCTTCCTTGTATATAAATAATTTCTAGAGATGATACTCAAAAATCGTTGAAATGTTCGGGGAGCGAGAATAGAGAATTTTAACCTTCCATTTTTAAACTTTTCTGTATAGTTTGATTTTACTCCATGCACAAGTGTTAGTTTTATTTTTAAAATAACAGTCCTAAAAGTAACACTTATTGGTTATGAATGAAAGAGAAATTTCAGTAATAAAACCCAGTTAAGTTCCTTAATTAAAATAAATCCATGGGTGTGGTTTTAGTAGCTAGGTCTGTTACATACCTTAAGACCCAGGACATTTCTTTTCTCTCCCTCCTCCCAGGCTTTATGAAACTATAGTTATTTATTTCATAGATGTTTAAAAGTAGGTCAGCAACACAACCAGAAAAAGACTCTCCGTTGGTTTAGGGGGAGGTGGGTGGGAGGGCGCTAGCAGAGGACATCAGGTTGGCTTCCTTGATCTTCCTCTGCCTTTTTGTGTTTGTTGCTGGTTTCTAACCATTTTCCTCCCTTTTCCCACATACATTTTGAAGATTATTTTAGACTGGGCAGTGCCCTAACATTTTTAGCTTTTGCCTTCTGTATTTTTACAGCATGTTTTTAGAGTCTGTTTATTTTCTTAGTGTCTATTTGATCAGTTCCTTTAAATTTTATATCTAGTGCTTTATTGCTTCATATCCTGCTTGCTTCTGCTATAGTTTAGTGTGCATCTGACTTTGGTCATTCCGTTGCTATCCTGTTCCATTTATCCCTTTTATGTTTGTATTTCAGTTTTTTTTTTTTTAAATATCTGAATAATTCAATGTCTCCAACCCAAATAGCCAGTGAAACTTTTCTCGACCTACCTGGTTACGATGGCTGAAATGATACAAGCAACCATCAGGCAGGAAGGGCTCTGGTTCTCGATGGTGTATTATTGTTCTGACAGCTAAACCCTGGCAGGATGATGCCTACAGGCTCCTAATATGGAGCGCGAATGTTTGGAAATGTTGGAAAATTACAGGCAATGGCCCTCTTTACATGGGCTTTTCATGGGAATAGATGAATTCATATACAAATATTGCTTAATGTTTTATTTTAAGAGGCAGTAACTCTACAAACTGATGAAATGTTTACAACGTGTTTTTTCTGAACATTAACTCATGTAAAGTGTTTGTGGTTCTCATGGCTCCCATCATGGGTGGATGAGGAAGCAGAGCCTCCTCCACATTCAAGCCTTCTGACTGCAGGGCTCCGCTCCCGCCTGAGCTTTTCCTTCCATCCTCGCTTGTCTTCACATCAGTAATACTGAAAGTATTTGGCAAGCTGAGCTTCTAGAAAGTGATACATTTTTGGAAAGATTTTTTCCTCCTCAACTATTTAGCATTGTGAATAGTTTCCCCTTTTGTTCCTTTCGCCCTCTGTCCCTCAGGCCGTGTTATTTTCAAGACCTTCCATTCCATTTTGCTAGCCTCCCTTGTTCCACATCCATACCTCCCTTCTCATACTTTTCATTCCACCTGAAGAGTGGGAAATGGCTTTTTCCATTAATCCTGCCTTGCTTTTCCTGTAAGATCTAGCACCAAACCTCCCTCTTCCCAGAAGTCTTGTCTGACGTGGTACATCCAACTTCAATCGTTTCAAATCTCCATTGGCCCTCCCCTACAGTTCTGAAAGATTCTGTCTTACACATGGGGTGGTCGAGGAGGGGAGGCAGGTTTGTAATGGAAATGATGGTAGACTGAGCAAGGAGATGTAGCATCTGCTTCCCTTGTGCTGCTAAACGGCATGGACTTGGAAAAGCTGCTCACCCCTCCTAGGCCTGTGGTTCTGCAGCTTTAATATAAAAGGGGTAGGACTAGAGAACTGCGTCTACAGTAGTGATTTTCAAATTATGTTTCAAGAATCTTTGGGACTCTACAGTTGCTGAGGTGAAAGAAACCTTTCTCCCAGCTTCTTCCAGAGCTGCCCTGCTTTCATCTTGCTGGTGTACTGGGGTTTCACATTCAATTTTTATCTGTCTGTCTATTTTTGATAAAAGATATTCTGTACTAATAGTTTTAAAACCATCAGATTAAATGACCTGAATGTGGTTATTGTTTCTTACACATAGTTAGCTACTTAATAAATAGTTTTAATTCAACTTAGCTTTGATCATTTAGCAAACTATAAAGATGATCCCTGAAAGTTTAGTCTTAGCTTTGTTCTTTAGATGTTTCTTGTGTGTATCATCTCCCAATCGACAGTCAGTAAACTTCATCATTCCCAGTACCTAAGATTGCAGTGTGTATACTTGTGTATACTTTATTACCCAGCGTCCCTGAGATTACTTAATAAAGGATTTTATAGGATAAAAGTAGCTCCAGTCTTTGTGTCCTGGGTTGCCTGGAGAGTATTAAGAAAACATAATAAAATTGGTTGAGGTGTACCATACATGTATTTATCTTACATGAATTCAACTATAAGCATTCTGCAAATAACAAGAATATAATGTGGCCTCTGAACACCAGTAACTGCTTTGTCTGGTGCTCAGCTGAATAAACCACCGTATGGAGGAAAAACTCTCCGTGGAACTTAGTGACAGGCAGTACAGTACAGTTTAAACAAAGCAAAGTATATTATGCCATATGCCCGGCTTAAGGGCTTTTCACGAGAAATTCTCACTCTATCTGGATTTTGCCTTAAATGTTAGCTGTAGAACCTAACACCCAAGTAAAGATATGGTATCATCATATTCTATTTCACTTCATTGGAAGCTCTTTCCCATGAAGGATTCTGCAGATTTTTAATACATGGTGATGCTTCCATAAAGTACTCCTTTAAAGCATTTGAAATAATCTGTTTGAAATAGGAGTATGAAACCATTTAGAAAGCACCTCTCTAAAGGAAATTAAGTTTATGAAGTGAATAAGTGAACTAATGTCATGCTAGCAGCCTGTGTAGAGGATCTACTGCTTCTGAGGGACAGGGGTTATCGGCTAAAGGAAGGACAGATCTCTTGATCCCTATTTGGCCCTTTTGCTAACCCTGAAAGTAGCCCAAGAGCAAGGCCTCTGAAATGCTAGGACATTTGACCCAATCATTATTACTACATTTTTGTATAGTCTCAATGGAGTCTTTAACATCCATACATAATAGATGTATCCATCCAATATAAATTCAATGAATAAAAGCGCACCTAAGTAAGACTGTGTATTGAAAAATGCAACGTTCATAAGATATCCTGTTGGGAAAAGATATTTTTTTACATGCCAAAAATACAAATTGAGACTTTACTAAACTAGATTGGAAAGACAGTTCTGTAGAGACATCTGGTTCCCTGTAGGTGGAATTTCAACTCTTAAAAGCGAGCATATCAACTTAAATAGTATGTGAACTAGAGAATTTAGATTTTGAACCTGCTGGTTCAAACTTTTCTGTGTTTGCCATCATCCTCAGGTAGGTTCTCCTCATCGTGTCAAAGATAGGCCCTTGGAGACCAGGAGAAGCTCCTGGTCTGTACCCTACCCATTTGCACGCAAGAGTACACCTCTGTGGTAATAGTTCCAGCAAAAGTCCCAGGGCAGGCTCTTTCATTGGCCTGGGCCAGGTTCTGTATTCATCCCTAAAGTGGTCACTGTGACTGAGGCCACTCCTGAGTCATATGCTAGCCCTGGGGTTAGCTCCGCCCAACCACACAGACAGAGCTGAGGGAAGGAGTACACTAAAGGAAAATTGAGAAGTTTTAGTTAGAAAGTGGGGATGGATTCTGGGCTGGCAGAAAGAACAGATGTTCCTCATAATGAGCAATTGCAAGGGCTCATACAAGACAAGTTTCAGAGGGGCTATTGATGGTGTGGGTAAAGAAAATTATATAAAAGTAACACCTCAACCCGCGGTTCTTCCTTGAGATTATGGTTCCTTTTATTTCACAATTTGTGGCATTGCTGGGCCAATAAAGAGAACTTCAAACAGATATTCCACATTCTTTTATTGGCACACAGAGGGCCATCAATTAACCTTATTAAAAAAAAAACAACAGTGGAAGAATCCTGTTTTGAAATCTTGATTTGCTTTAAAAGCACGTAGATGGTTGTTGACAGATTTTTGTTGGTCCTGGGGCTGCCACAGGTCAGCCAGGTGTTTTTTTCCCCCTGCTGGATACGGATCTTTGGACATTTGCCTCCAGTCTTTGCGTTGAACTCAGCAGTTTCCTGGGTGAGGAGGCAACCTTTGTGTGCTCAGCTTCTTCCAAAGCAGCTGTCTCTAGAAGTTGCTAGCCATCTCCTGGTTAAGAAAGAAGATGGAAGGTGGTAGGGAGAGGAAGCAAAAACATTTCACACTGCCTCCCCAAAGACAGATCTGTTATCCTGCCTTGACCACAAAAATTCACGGAGGAAGTCAGTGAGTCAGAGATGCGCCAGGGTGTAAGTTGTCAGCACAGTTCAGCGAGCTCTGGTATCTTGTGTTTCTCTGTTCGTACCACTACTGCTTTCCTTCCTGGCTACATTCACCAGCATGAAGAAACTGGAGCAGCACCTTGAGAGGTTTCATCAGCCCATGGCTGGGATGGTTGACAGATCACTTGCAAAGCCATGGGAAAAGGACCTGGTTCCTCTTGACTCCTCTGACTTATTTTCAGTGATCCGACATCTTGAAAATATTTTCCATTTCACTCCTAGGTTCTTGTAGGCCTTCCCACAATGAGCACATTCAGTCTTAAAAATTTTTTTTCTGCTTTAATTGGCGTGGGGTCGGATCGCTTCTCCTTGGGTCTTAACTGTATTCAGAGGGGCTTAGGGTTTGCCCAAGGCCTCAAAGGCCATGAGTGGTAGGTCATGGTCAAAGCATGTCCTCTTTCCTCAATAGCAGTGTTGGCCTAAATTCATTCTCCACTTCTTCGACTCTCTTTCTCTTGGGTGATGAGGAGGTATGAGATAATGTGTGAGAAATCCTTGGCCATCTTTGGAGTGAGGGGCTCTGTCTATGTACCTGTGTCCCCATCCAGAAAATACATAGCCAGGGTTGGCTGGTGCTGCTCTCATCATTGACATAACCAATCTGAAACTGGAAACCGAAGCACCAGTATAGAATGGTGGCCAAGAGGGTGGTCTGGTTTCAGACAACCTGGGTTGAATTTAGGTCCCATCCCTGACTACTTAGAATAATTTTATGCCCCAGATTCTTACCTGTTAAATGGGGATGATTTTAACACTGACTTCATAGAGTTCTCAGTGCATTTGAATGAGATAATCCATTGAAATCAATTGGCATGATACTTTCCACCTCTTGAACACCCTATAAATGTTATTATTATCTTAATCCTGGAGCTTTATGTCAAGAAAGGAGTTTGCCTTTTTTTTTTTTTTTTTTGTAAAAATTGAAAATTTTCAAGATAAAAAATTGGGGGAAAATATAAAGAAGCATAATGGATGATATAATGGCCAGTCATGTCTCACCAGTCAGCTTCATCAAATCTTGACACTTTACCACATTTATTTTTGAAAAAGGAATTAAAGCATTGCTGATTCATATCCTCTGATAAAGCAATGCTAGGGTAAAGGAAAAAGGAGGCGAAACTGTTTAAAACAAAAGTGACTTAAGACACCTAATGAAATGCAATGTGTGGACTTGGGTTGGGACTTGATTTAACCAAAGCAATTATACAAAGACCTTTTTGAGGCCATTATGGAAATCTCAATGTGGGCTGCCTATCAGATGATATCAAGGAATTATTAATTTTGCTAGGTTTGATAATACCATGGTGAAGATGAAAAAAACGTTATTAGCTTAAAGAAGATAGGAATTTGTAGGAGAGAAGTTTGTCTTTTTAATGTTTCTACTTTCTGCCTCCTTAATAAATAACAGTGTTACCTTGGCAGTTTCATCTGGGCGTTGTTTCTCTCCTCTCTATATCATCCCCCAAGTCTACTGAATTTTGAGGTCCCAGCTGGTGTCAGAGTTTTGCTCTGCAATTGCTTTTTTCTGGCTCAGTCTGTGTGTCCAGTTGGAGTGAGTCTGCTCAGAAAGTGGATTCTTCCACCTTGGGAACCCTGTGCATCCAGAGACTATGGGACATATTCCTTTTGACTCAATGTTTCACTTGGGATCTGGCAAACATAGACGTATCTCTTGAGGGCTAGGAGTGCCACTGATGGGGCCACATTATCAATCCCTGCAGAAGAAAACAGCAGGAACAGGCTGATGGCTTGTGAAATATTTTTCAAATTTCTTCCATACACAATCAAGGAAAAAGGAAAATGCAGAAGTGGAGGCCCCAGCTTCTGTTCTGGCTGTATTGTTTGCCTTCCAGGCAAAGAGAGTATTTGTGTGAGAATTAAGGGAAAGTGTCTCACTGTGAGCCCAATCCCAGAAGGTAATTCCATATGAAGTTTATTCTCTGCAGGCACTGTTGTGGGCGTGCCAGAGGGGAGGGCGGAGTATGGGAGGTGGGCAGACAGCACTTCCTGCCTACTATAAATCCCTGGCCAGCAGCTGGAAACTCCGGAGTGAGGCCTTCAGAGAGGAATGTCACCTGGAGTGGATAATGCTTGTTGTCACTTTCAAGCCAAATTTATAAATATGTGATCACCAACCAGATCAAGATGTAGAACATTTCCAGCATCCCAGAAGGCTCCCTAGTGCACTCAGTCAATACCTTCCTCGCTCCCCTTCTCCCTCCAGGTAACCACTCTTCTGACTTATATTGCCATTGATTAGTTTCCCTGTTCTTGGTGCTTCATGTAAATGGAAACATATACCATCTACTCTTTGTGTGTGGCTCCTTTTATGCAGTATAATACCTGTGAGACTCATCCATGTTTCCATGTAGCAGTAGTTTGTTCTGATTGTTGTAGAAAGCATTTCGTTGTACAGAACATATCACTAATTATTCATTCTTCGATTGAACAATGGATTGTTTGTAAATTTGAGCTATTGTGCATAAAGCCTCTAGGAACCTTTATTTTATTTTATTTTATTTTATTTTATTTTATTTTATTTTATTTTATTTTTGAGATGGAATCTTGCTTAGTTGCCCAGGCTGGAGTGCGGTGGTGCGATCTAGGCTCACTGCAACCTCCGTTTCCTGGGTTTAAGCAATTCTCCTACCTCAGCCTCCTGAGTGGCTGGGATTACAGGTGCCCACCACCACACCCAGCTGATTTTTGCATTTTTAGTAAAGATGGGGTTTCACCATGTTGGCCAGGCTGGTCTCGAACTCCTGACCTCAGGCAATCTGCCTGCCTTGGCCTCCCAAAGTGCTGGGATTACAGGTGTGAGCCACCTCACCCTGTCTGGAATGTTCTTCTACAGGTGTTTTGAGGCCATAAGTACTTATCTCTTGAGTATATTCCTGGGAGTGGGATTGTTGGATCATAAGGGACACAAATCTTTACCTTAGTAAATATTGCCACATAGTCTTGCAAAGAGGTTGTACCCATTTTCATACCCACCAGCAATGTGTGAGGGTTTCAATTGTTCCATGCCCTCACCTATGCTTGGAATTATCCATCTTTTTAGTTGTAACCATTCTAGGGCATGTGTGTATCGTAGTAGTAGTTGTCATTGTCGTTGTAGTGTCACACTTGGTGTTTATTTTCATTTCCTGGGTGAGTAATGATGTTTGGATATCTTTTGAGAAATACCAGTACCATCTTTTGGCCATGTTTTCATTGCAAATGTATCCTTTTTATAAAGGTGATTATGAACATCAAAAGTCATCATGGAAAGAAAAATGCAGATAGAGAGGCTGCATGTGGCAGCAGTATCAGCTGGTTAGTGATAAAGAACATAGGCTTTGCTGCCCGACAGCAGGAGTTCAAGTCCCAACCTTGCTACCCACTAGTATGGTATTAATTCACTTTCTAATCTTATTTCCTAAACCGTAAAATGGGGATAATAACAGTGTCTATCTCACCAGTGTGCTGGGAGGATTCAATGAGACATGCATCCTTAAAATACCTCTCTGTGAAGCAACTTGGGCCACATGAACAGAGCATTAACAACACACAAACACAAAATGTAGTCTAAATGCCCTGGTGGTCTTTCTTGAGCCATGCAGGCACCTTCCTCTGCCTCCCTATATTCAGAAGTGATAAGGCCATGAGCTACCCTCATGATTTGGTTTCCTAAATCTGTAAAGTCTGCTTTATTAGCTAGGGTGCAAGTTAGTATTTGGAACGTTTTTTGAAGCCATGAGTGTGCTCTTGATAGTCATTATTATTATAAGCAGCAGCTTGGCTCCTTTCCTGCAGAGCAGAATTATCTTCAATCAAATGACCTTTCTGTATACTTTCTACTTTAAAGGATTAATTGCGTCTTCCTTCCTGTCTCCCTCTTCACTTCTCCAGAACGCTCAGCCCAAAACCAAACTGGAGTTGCCTTTGTCCCTAAGTGGTGTCGTGGTACCACCACACCCAAAGCCTGGCTCAGAATGAATTCAGCACCCATTCCTTGCTTTTTAAACCTCAAAAGTTCCCGACTCAGTGAAAGGCTTCCATTTTGCTATCCTCTTCTCTGTCTGCATTTTACTCTGTAATTTATTGACATAGAAGAGGCCTCGTGCAGGCTTTCATTGCATTAGTCCACTTGGAAGTCTTTTCTCCAATCCATTTGACCTCAAGCTGCTTTTTTGCTGCTGCTGCATGTAAGCTAGACTGATCCAGCTCACCTTATGCTGCTTTTGAAGGCTGAAAAGCCCTGTGACCAAATGTTTAGCAGGCTGTTCAGACAGTGGACTGATGGTTTGATCTAAGTCCGTTTCCTGCCTTACACACACCTCCCCATCCCCCAAGGCAAAGGTGGAAAACCCAGCAAGTTACATAAGTTGTTGGAGCAGTCCAGATGGCTGGCTGCTAGCCCAGGCAAACTCGCTTTGGAGCACTTGGGGATGCCTGCACTGGCAATGAAACATGGGCTCATTTTTTAATGAGAACAATCATTTTGTTCAGCTGTATGAATCCCAGTAGTGGAGTGAGATCAGGGCTGTGATCCCCTAAACATGGCTGCTGGCTTCCCTCTGGGGCAGGACAGGGGGTGTCTTGTAGTGGGAGGGTGTCTTGTCCTACTGTTTGGACTTTACTAAACAGGAAGGAGCGGGCAGGGCTGCAGAACAGGAATTATACCATTGTACAGCCTGGCAGTCCTGTGGAATTGGCTGAATAGCGGAAGGAAGGAATCTGAAAAGGAAGGGAAGGATCTCACCACCCAGTGTGAGCCAATTCCAGCCTCGCTATTTTATCTGCCCAGTGACTGATCTTAGCCTTTTGTTGTATACCTTTCTTCTTGAGAGGTTTTGAAATGGTATGCATTCCTTAGCTTTGAGGCACCATGTGGCTGCAGTTAGTCAGACTAGCTCCAAATCACAAGCTTGGATTGTTGAACCTGTTTTTTCTGGAGTGGGAGGAAGATGGACCAGAAATTGATGTGAGGCCCTGGGATCTTCAGTCCAGGTGGCCATGGGTATGGCTTACAGGATGGTCATCTCTAGGTCTGACTTTCCCTGTGTGTTGTCCTGATGTGACCAGGAAGCAGCTGTCCAAGTTGCCTGTCCACCTCTGATAGCACATGCAGCCTTGCATCTGGGGTTGGTGGTTATTTCGTGCAGGTGACCTGAGAGCTGCCTGGGATTGCTGTGCTTGCCCAGCCCGCCACAAGGGGTTGCCCTTTGTTGGCTGGTGGTGTGGAGGAGGACAGGTCCCCTGACTGCCGGCTACTCCAGTGCATCTGAAATGGAGACACCTGTATGTCTGTGATCTCTGAGCCTTATCTTCCCTTGCTACCCCACGGTGAATTAGACCTAAAGATGCTATGCTGGTTCGTTGTTTTTTTTTGAGATGGAGTCTCACTCTGTCACCTGACTGGAGTACAGTGGCGCAATCTCTGCTCATTGCAACCTCCACCTCCCGGGTTCAAGCGACCCTCCTGCCTCAGCCTTGTGAGTATCTGGAACTACAGGCATGTGCCACCACACCTGGCTAATTTTGTATTACTAGTAGAGACAGGTTTACACCATGTTGGCCAGGCTGGTCTTGAACTCCTGACCTCAAGTGATCTGCCCTCCTCGGCCTCTCAAAGTGCTGGGATTACAGGCGTGAGCCTCCACGACCAGCCTGGTCCTTTGTTTCTATTGTTTTCAAAATGGTCTGAGAAATAGGAAAAATCCCAAAGTCTATAGAACATAGATATAAAGGTACAGAAAAGAGAATGCAGATTTTCACGCATTTTTACATCGAAAAAATAAACTATATTTTTTGACTGAAAGAATAACATAGAGTAACAAACAGTAGAAAATGTGGAAAATAACTAAAAAGATGAAGAGGAAAATGAATATCACTCATCTTAGAAAACAGTGGTTAATTTATGATATTTGTGTTTTCAACTCTTTTCTATCATTATGTGTTTATATATATCTAGACACACATCTATTCATATATAAACAAAACATGCATCCCTTTCCAGGTATTGTACTTTAAGTAGGATTTTCATTTAATTTTTTATATTTTCTCATGTCTGTCAGTTTAGCAGTGAGTTTTGCTGCAAACAATTGAAAATCCAACAAACAATGGCTTAAAGTAAGTTTTAGGCATTAATATATATGATAGGCCACATGGGACAAATAGGGTGGCTCTGTGAAGCCATTAAAGACCCAGCTTCATTGTGTCTTTTTACTCCTCCTTAGAGTGAGGAGGATCCTTTAGGATGTAGGCTTTTGTCTTCCTTGTAGGCTGCTGCACCTCCTGGCCTCACATCTGTGGTTCAGGCAGGGAGAAGGAAGGCAGGAAGAGGAAGGAGTGGTGTCTATGTCAGCAAAACAAAGGTTTGCCAGAAATCGCCTGTATATATCCACTTATGTCTCATTGACCAGAACTGTGTCATATTCCTAAGAGGAGTGTGTGTTTTCAGCTGGGTAAAATCTTGCTCCCACATATCAAGGGTCTGATTAAGGAAGAAAAGGAAACAGACATTGTACAGTCCATTAGCAGTAGCTGTCACACTTGTTTCTAAATACTATTCTACAACCAGAAGTGTTGAGTGACTTAGAAACTCCTTTGATGAAAGAAGAAATAATATTAAGAAAATTGTGAACACTTTCCTCAGAGAAGTATATAATTTGTAACATTTTGTATATAAGAAACAGATCTGTGCATTCATCTCTCAGTGGGCTGCTATACATGATTCTTTTCTTAGCGTAATGCATAGAAGTAGATTTGCTTGATGAACATATACAGTCACACACCATATAAAGATGTTTCAGTCAATGACAGACCACACATACCACTGTGGTCCCATAAGATTATAATGGAGCTAAAAAATTCCTATCTCTTAGTGCTGTTGTAGCCGTCATATTACTGCAACACATCATTCATGTGTTTGTGGTGATGCTGGTGTAAACAAACCTACCATGCTCTCAGTCATACAAAAGTAGAGCACATGCAATACTTGATAATAAATGACTGTGTTACTAGTTTATGTATTTACTACAGTCTGCTTTTTATTGTTATTTTAAAGTGTACCCCTTCTACTTATTAAAAAAAAAAGCGGTCAGACAGCCTTAAACAAGACCTTCAGGCGGTATTCCAGAAGAATGCATTGTTATCATAGACGACAGCTCTATGTGTGTTACTGCTCCTGAAGACCTTACAGTGGGACAAGATGTGGAGGTGGAAGACAGTGATGTGGATGATCCTGACCCTGTGTAGGCCTAGGCTAATGTTTGTGTTTGCGTCTTGGTTTTTTAACAAAAATAGCTTAAAAAGGAAAATAATAATAATAAATACAAAAAAAACTTGTTGAATAAGGAAAAAATACTTTTGTACAGCTGTACAATGTGTTTGTGTTTTAAGCTAAATGTTATTACAAGAATCAAAAAGTTAAAAAAAATTAAAAAGGTTGTAAAGTTACAGTAAACTAAGGTTAATTTATTATTGAAGAAGAACACTTTAAATAACTTTAGTGTAGCCTAAGTGTACAGTGTTTATAAAGTCTACAGTATTGTGCAGTAATATCTTAGGCCTTCATGTTCACCCACTAATCACTCATTGACTCTCCCAGAGCAACTTCCAGTCCTGTAAGCTCCATTCATGGTAAGCACTTTATACAGGAATACCACTTTTTATCTTTTTTTTTTTAATTTAAGTTCTAGGGTACATGTGCACAACGTGCAGGTTTGTTACATATGTATACATGTGCCATGTTGGTGTGCTGCACCCATTAACTTGTCATTTACATTAGGTATATCTCCTAATGCTATCCCTCCCCCCTCCCCCCCACCCTACAACAGGCCCTGGTGTGTGATGTTCCTCACCCTGTGTCCAAGTGTTCTCATTGTTCAATTCCCACCTATGAGTGAGAACATGCAGTGTTTGGTTTTCTGTCCTTGCGATAGTTTGCTGAGAATGATTGTTTCCAGCTTCATCCATGTCCCTACAAAGGACACCAACTCATCCTTTTTTATGGCTGCATAGTATTCCATGGTGTATATGTGCCACATTTTTTAAATCCAGTCTATCATTGATGGGCATTTGGGTTGGTTCCAAGTCTTTGTTATTGTGAATAGTGCCGCAATAAACATACGTGTGTATGTGTTTTTATAGCAGCATGATTTATAATTCCTTTGGTATATACCCAGTAATGGGATGGCTGGGTCAAATGGTATTTCTAGTTCTAGATCCTTGAGGAATTGCCACACTGTCTTCCACAATAGTTGAACTAGTTTACAGTCCCACCAACAGCGTAAAAGTGTTCCTATTTCTCCACATCCTCTGCAGCACCTGTTGTTTCCTGACTTTTTAATGATCGCCATTCTAACTGGTGTGAGATGGTATCTCATTGTGGTTTTGATTTGCATTTCTCTGATGGCCAGTGATGATGAGCATTTTTTCATGTGTCTGTTGGCTGCATAAATGTCTTCTTTTGAGAAGTGTCTGTTCATATTCTTTGCCCACTTTTTGATGGGGTTGTTTGATTTTTTTCTTGTAAATTTGTTTAAGTTCTTTGTAGATTCTGGATATTAGCCCTTTGTCAGATGGGTAGATTGTAAAAGTTCTCTCCCATTCTGTAGGTTGCCTGCTCACTCTTATGATAGTTCTCTTTTGCTGTGCAGAAGCTCTTTAATTAGATCCCATTTGTCAATTTTGGCTTTTGTTGCTATTGCTTTTGGTGTTTTAGTCATGAAATCCTTGCCCATGCCTATGTCCTGAATGGTATTGGCTAGGTTTTCTTCTAGGGTTTTTATGGATTTAGGTCCAACATTTAAGTCTTTAATCCATCTTGAATTAATGTTTGTATAAGGTGTAAGGAAGGGATCCAGTTTCAGCTTTCTATATATGGCTAGCCAGTTTTCCCAGCACCATTTATTAAATAGGGAATCCTTTCCCCATTGCTTGTTTTTCTCAGGTTTGTCAAAGATCAGATGGTTGTAGATGTGTGGTATTATTTCTGAGGGCTCTGTTCTGTTCAATTGGTCTGTATCTCTGTTTTGGTACCAGTACCATGCTGTTTGGTTACTGTAGCTTTGTGGTATAGTTTGAAATCAGGTAGTGTGATGCCTCAAGCTTTGTTCTTTTGGCTTAGGATTGTTTTGGCAATGCGGCTCTTTTTTGGTTCCATATGAACTTTAGGGTAGTTTTTTCCAATTCTGTGAAGAAAGTCATTGGTGGGGATGGCATTGAATCTGTAAATTACCTTGGGCGGTATGGCCATTTTCACGATATTGATTCTTCCTATCCATGAGCATAGAATGTTCTTCCATTTGTTTGTGTCCTCTTTTATTTCGTTGAGCAGTGGTTTGTAGTTCTCCTTGAAGAGGTCCTTCACGTCCCTTGTAAGTTGGATTCCTAGGTATTTTATTCTCTTTGAAGCAATTGTGAATGGGAGTTCACTCATGATTTGGCTCTCTGTTTGCCTGTTATTGGTGTATAGGAATGCTTGTGATTTTTGCACATTGATTTTGTATCCTGAGACTTTGCTGAAGTTGCTTATCAGCTTAAGGAGATTTTGGGCTGAGAGGATGGGGTTTTCTAAATATACAATCATGTCATCTGCAAACAGGGACAATTTGACTTCCTCTTTTCCTAATTCAATACCTTTTATTTCTTTCTCCTGCCTGATTGCCCTGGCCAGAACTTCCAACACTATGTTGAATAGGAGTGGTGAGAGAGGGCATCCCTGTCTTGTGCCAGTTTTCAAAGGGAATGCTTCCAGTTTTTGCCCATTCAGTATGATATTGGCTGTGGGTTTGTCATAAATAGCTCTTATTATTTTGAGATATGTCCCATCAATACCTAGTTTATTGAGAGTTTTTAGCATGAAGAGCTGTTGAATTTTGTCAAAGGCCTTTTCTGTATCTATTGAGATAATCATGTGGTTTTTGTCTTTGGTTCTGTTTATATGCTGGATTACATTTATTGATTTGTGTGTATTGAACCAGCCTTGCATCCCAGGGATGAAGCCCACTTGATCGTGGTAGATAAGCTTTTTGATGTGCTGCTGGATTCGGTTTGCCAGTATTTTATTGAGGATTTTAGCATTGATATTCATCAGGGATATTGGCCTAAAATACTTTTTTGTATGTGTCTCTGCCAGGCTTTGGTATCAGGATGATGCTGGCCTCATAAAATGAGTTAGGGAGGATTCCCTCTTTTTCTATTGATTGGAATGGTTTCAGAAGGAATGGTACCACCTCCTCTTTGTACCTCTGGTAGAATTTGGCTGTGAATCCGTCTGATCCTGGACGTTTTTTGGTTGGTAGGCTATTATTGCCTCAATTTCAGAGCCTGTTATTGGTCTATTCAGGGATTCAACTTCTTCCTGGTTTAGTCTTGGGAGGGTGTATGTGTCGTGGAATTTATCCATTTCTTCTAGATTTTCTAGTTTATTTGCATAGAGGTGTTTATAGTATTCTCTGATGGTAGTTTGTATTTCTGTGGGATTGGTGGTGATATCCCCTTTATCATTTTTTATTGTTTCTAGTTTATTCTTCTCTCTTTTCTTCTTTATTAGTCTTGCTAGTGGTCTATCAAGTTTTTTGATCTTTTCAAAAAACTAGCTGCTGGATTCATTGATTTTTTGAAGGGTTTTTTGTGTCTCTGTCTCCTCCAGTTCTGCTCTGATCTTAGTTATTTCTTGCCTTCTGCTAGCTTTTGAATGTGTTTGCTTTTGCTTCTCTAGTTCTTTTAATTATGATGTTAGGGTGTCAATTTTAGATCTTTCCTTCTTTCTCTTGTGGGCGTTTAGTGCTATAAGTTTCACTCTACACACAGCTTTAAATGTGTCCCAGAGATTCTGGTATGTTGTGTCTTTGTTCTCATTGGTTTCAAAGAACATCTTTATTTCTGCTTTCATTTCGTTATGTACCCAGTAGTCATTCAGGAGCAGGTTGTTCAGTTTCCCTGTAGTTGAGCGGTTTTGAGTGAGTTTCTTAATCCTGAGTTCTAGTTTGATTGCATTGTGGTCTGAGAGACAGTTTGTTATCATTTCTGTTCTTTTACATTTGCTGAGGAGTGCTTTACTTCCAACTATGTGGTTAATTTTGGAATAAGTGTCGTCTGGTGCTGAGAAGAATGTATATTCTGTTGATTTGGGGTGGAGAATTCTGTAAATGTCTTTTAGGTCTGCTTGGTGCAGAGCTGAGTTCAATTCCTGGATATCCTTTTTAACTTTCTGCCTCGTTGATCTGTCTAATGTTGACAGTGGTGTGTTAAATTCTCCCATTATTATTGTGTGGGAGTGTAAGTCTCTTTGTAGGTCTCTAAGGACTTGCTTTATGAATCTGGTTGCTCCTGTATTGGGTGCATATATATTTAGGATAATTAGCTCTTCTTGTTGAATTGATCCCTTTACCATTATGTAATGGCCTTCTTTGTCTCTTTTGATCTTTGTTGGTTTAAAGTCTGTTTTATCAGAGACTAGGATTGCAACTCCTGCTTTTTTTTGTTTTCCATTTGCTTGGTAGATCTTCCTCCATCCCTTTATTTTGAGCCTATGTGATGGGTCTCCTGAATACAGCACACTGATGGGTCTTGACTCTTTATCCAGTTTGCAAGTCTGTGTCTTTTAATTGGAGCATTTAGCCCATTTACATTTAAGGTTAATATTGTTATGCATGAATTTGATCCTATCATGATGATGTTAGCTGGTTATTTTGCTCGTTAGTTGATACAGTTTCTTCCTAGCATCAATGGTCTTTACAATTTGGCATGTTTTTGCAGTGGCTGGTATTGTTGCTTCCTTCAGGAGCTCTTGTAGGGCAGGCCTGGTGGTGACAAAATCTCTCAGCATTTGCTTGTCTGTAAAAGATTTTATTTCTCCTTCACTTATGAAGCTTAGTTTGGCTGGATATGAAATTCTGGGTTGAAAATTCTTTTCTTTAAGAATGTTGAATATTGGCCCCCACTCTTCTGACTTGTAGAGTTTCTGCCGAGAGATCCGCTGTTAGTCTGACGGGCTTCCCTTTGTGGATAACCCGACCTTTCTCTCTGGCTGCCCTTAGCATTTTTTCCTTCATTTCAGCTTTGGTGAATCTGACAATTATGTGTCTTGGAGTCGCTTTTCTCGAGCAGTATCTTTGTGGCTTTCTCTGTATTTCCTGAATTTGAATGTTGGCCTGCCTTTCTAGGTTGGGGAAGTTCTCCTGGATAATATCCTGCAGAGTGTTTTCCAGCTTGGTTCCATTCTCCCCATCACTTTCAGGTACACCAATCAGATGTAGATTTGGTCTTTTCACATAGTCCCACATTTCTTGGAGGATTTGTTCGTTTCTTTTTACTCTTTTTTCTCTAAACTTCTCTTCTCGCTTCATTTCATTCATTTGATCTTCAATCACTGATACCCTTTCTTCCACTTGATCAAATCGGCTACTGAAGCTTGTGATTGCGTCATGTAGTTCTTGTGCCGTGGTTTTCAGCTCCATCCGGTCATTTAAGGTCTTCTCTACACAGTTTATTCTAGTTAGCTATTTGTCTAATCTTTTTTCAAGGTTTTTAGCTTCTTTGTGATGGGTTCGAGCATCCTCCTTTAACTCAGAGAAGTTTATTCTTACCGATCATCTCAAGCCTTCTTCTCTCAACTTGTCAAAGTCATTCTCCGTCTAGCTTTGTTCCACTGCTGGTGAGGAGCTGCATTCCTTGGGAGGAGAAGAGATGCTCTGATTTTTAGAATTTTCAGCTTTTCTGCTCTGGTTTCTCCCCATCTTTGTGGTTTTATCTACTTTTGGTCTTTGATGATGGTGACGTACAGATGGGGTTTTGGTGTGGATGTCCTTTCTGTTTGTTAGTTTTCCTTCTAACAGTTAGGACTCTCAGCTGCAGGTCTGTTGGGGTTCGCTGGAGGTCCACTCCAGACCCTGTTTGCCTGAGTATCACCAGTGGAGGCTGCAGAACAGCAAATATTGCAGAACAGCAAATGTTGCTTCCTGATCCTTCCTCTGGAAGCTTCATCTCAGAGGGGCATCTGGCTGTATCAGTTGTCAGTCGGCCCCTACTGAGTGGTGTCTCCCAGTTAGGCTACTCGGGGGTCAGGGACCCACTTGAGGAGGCAGTCTGTCCATTCTCAGATCTCAAACTCCGTGTTGGGAGAACCACTACTCTCTTCAAAGCTGTCAGATAGGGATGTTTAAGTCTGCAGAAGTTTCTGCTGCCTTTTTTTCAGCTATTCCCTGCCCCCAGAGGTGGAGTCTACAAAGGCAGGCAGGCATCCTTGTGCTGCGGTGGGCTCCACCCAGTTCGAGCTTCCTGGCCGCTTTGTTTACCTACTCAAGCCTCAGCAAAGGTGGATGCCCCTCCCCCAGCCTTGCTGCCGCCTTGCAGTTCGATCTCAGACTGCTGTGCTAGTGGTGAGCAAGGCTCCGTGGGCGTGGGACCCTCTGAGCCATGTGCAGGATATAATCTCCTGGTGTGCCGTTTGCTAAGACCTTTGGAAAAGCGCAGTATTAGGGTGGGAGTGTCTCGATTTTCCAGGTACCATCTGTCACAGCTTCCCTTGGCCAGGAAAGGGAATTCCCTGTCCCCTTGCACTTCCCAGGTAAGGTGATGCCTTGCCCTGCTTAGGCTCACACTCCATGGGCTGCACCCACTGTCCAACAAGCCCCACTGAGATGAACCCACTACCTCAGCTGGAAATGCCGAAATCACCTGTCTTCTGCGTCACTCACACTGGGAGCTGTAGACTGGAGCTGTTCCTATTTGGCCATCTTGGAACCTCCCCCACTTTTTATCTTTATACCATATTTTTACTGTACGTTTTCTATGTTTAGATATGTTTAGATACAGAAATACTATTGTGTGTCAGTTGCCTACAGTATTCAGTATGGTAACATGCTGTATAGGTTTATCTCCTAGGAACAATAGGCTACACCATATAGCCTAGTTGTGTAGTAGGCTATACCATCTAGGTTTGTGTAAGTGCACTCTATGATGTTTGTAGGGCAACAAAATTGCCTAACAACGCATTTCTCAGAACATATCCCTGTCATTAAGTGAGGCATGACTGTATATTTATCTTTGAAGCTTGCTCTTCATGAAGACTGTGCCAATTTATACTTCCATGAGTTGCATATGGGAATATCCATTTCCCTGAGCCTACATCTATACTAGTTGCTACCAAAGTTTAAGAAAATTCTTAACTTTTTCAAAAAGTAAAACATATTATCATTGTTATAATTAGGACTTTTTTTTGTTTTTGAATATTCCCTATGGTTATTGAATTCTTTTTCTCCTTTTGCAATTAGTTTATCCTTTGTACATTTTTTTTCTTTTGGTGTATTCACCTTTGAGTGTTAATTACTCTTTCTGTATTAAGGCTGTGAGATACTTTATGCATCCTATCTTTGTTTGAATGGATTCCCATAATAAGATAAATATTTACCTGAGATTTGTTTTGGCATCAAGATGTAAGGTGAAGACCAACCTTGATTTTATTCCTCCAAATGATTTTTATTATCTTAACACTATTGAATAATTAACTATTTCACAACTGATTCGAAAGGCTCCAAGATGATTTAAGAAGTGCAGCAGTGATTTTTTATTTATTTATTTTATTTTATTTTTTATTTTTTTTTTTGAGAGGGAGTCTTGCCCTGTCACCTAGGCTGGAGTGCAGTGGCGTAATCTCTGCTCACTGCAACCTCCTGGGTTCACGTCATTCTCCCGCCTCAGCCTCCCAAGTAGCTGGGACTACAGGTACCCGCCACCATGCCCGGCTAATTTTTTGTATATTTAGTAGAGAAGGGGTTTCACCATGTTAGCCAGGATGGTCTCGATCTCCTGACCTCGTGATCCGCCTGCCTCGCCTCCCAAAGTGCTAGCATTACAGGCATGAGTCACCACGCCTGGCCAGTAGTGATTTTTTAAAGCACATAGGGTATGCAAAGATCAGCTGCCATACAGAGACCATATGAATTGTCATCCAAGACATTGTTATTTTCATAGCTGACACTGCTGGGTTCTGTGCCTCGCCTGATGCGGACTGCTTAACCTTCTTGGGGTGAGCACAACTGTAAGTGAGCAATTTAATACTTAAAATGCTGCTAGACAGATGGCAATTTACTCTTTCCATATTTGAAGAGCTTCCTGAGTCCTAAGTTCTTTATTTTTATTTTTATTTTTTTTGAGATGGAGTCTCACTCTTTCGCCCAGGCTGGAGTGCAGTGGCGGGATCTCGGCTCACTGCAACCTCCACCTCCCAGGTTCAAGCAATTCTCCTGCCTCAGCTTCCTGAGTAGCTGGGTTACAGGTGCCCACCACCATGCCCGGGTAATTTTTGTGTGGTTTTTTTTTTTTTTTTTTTTTTGAGACGGAGTCTCGCTCTGTCGCCCAGGCCGGACTGCGGACTGCAGTGGCGCAATCTCGGCTCACTGCAAGCTCCGCTTCCCGGGTTCACGCCATTCTCCTGCCTCAGCCTCCCGAGTAGCTGGGACTACAGGCGCCCGCCACCGCGCCCGGCTAATTTTTTGTATTTTTAGTAGAGATGGGGTTTCACCTTGTTAGCCAGGATGGTCTCGATCTCCTGACCTCATGATCCACCTGCCTCGGCCTCCCAAAGTGCTGGGATTGCAGGTGTGAGCCACCACGCCCGGCCCAATTTTTGTGTTTTTAATAAAGATGGGGTTTCACCATGTTGGCCAGGCTGGTCTCGAATTCCTGACCTCAGGTGATCCACCTACCTTGGCTTCCCAAAGTGCTGGGATTATAGGTGTGAGCCACCATGCCCAGCCCTAAATTCATTTTTAATTACAAACTAGATTGTTGATTTTTTTTCTTTTTTTTGAGACAGGGCCTCGCTCTGTCACCCAGACTGGAGTGCCATGGCATCATGATCACAGCACATTGCAGCCCCAACCTCTTGGGGTCAAGCTATCCTACTGCTTCAGCCTTCCTCCTAAGTAGCTAGGACTACAGGTGCATGCCATCATGCCCAGCTAATTTCTTTTTCTTTTCTTTTCTTTTCTTTTCTTTTTTTAAGTAGAGGCTAGGACTCCTTATGTTGCCCAGATCAGTCTCAAATTCCTGGGCGCATGTGATCCTCCCACCTCACTTCCCAAAGTGCTGGGATTATAGGCAAGAGCCACTTTTTGAAGTTAATGTTAACTGAATCTAAGATGTGCATTGACAACATTTTAGATGGCCTTGGTTCCTCATGTCATTCAACCAGTATTTATTAAATGCCTGCTATGTGCAAGGCCCTCTGGTCTACCAGGATAAATTTGTCACCTTGCATTTCAGAGTGAAAAACATCAGTGTGAGGTGTGAACATAGTGCTATTGAAATAGAACAGATGATTTTAGACTGAGGGAGTTGAAGGCAGCTTCATAGAGGAGCACGTATAGGTAGGGCATTGAAGGATGTTCACGGGCAGAGATGCATAGAAGGGCTTCCTTGGCAAGAAATATGGCAACACAGATTCTTAGAAATCATGGGACAGATGAGGAAACAGCTAGTAGTTGCATGTAGATGGTCATGAGGTTTGGGAAGGGAAAGTAGAAAAGTAAGGTAGGAAATGTTGGGGCCAGCTTATCAGAGGCCTCATGTAGAAATCTGGACATTATGCTGTTAAGGGGTGACGCAACCATAAAGGATTTGAGCAGAAGTGATTTCAGAGCTGTGGCCACATGAAGGGTATGCAGTTTTTGGGAAGGCAGAGAGTAACCATTGTGAAGGCATTCCAAGCAGGAGGTGCTGAACTCCCAGATGGGACTGTTGGGACTGAAGAGAAAGATACAATCATGCTGGAAGCAGAATCCAGTTATTGTCACCTGATTAGATATGGGAGTGAAAAGACAGGACTTAGGACAGATCTTAGGTCTAGCCACTGAGATAAAAGTGATGCCATTAACCAAGATAATGATTATTGGCTGCTGTTTACTGAGCATTTACTCTGTGCCATGCATAGTGCCAGCTGCTCTGCTGCTGCTACCTTCTACTTTATGTGGTATGCTCTCCATTTTATAGATGGGGTAATGAGGCACAGAGAAATGTCACAATGAGAAAATAACAGTTGCTAGATGAAAATAGGTTTGACAAAAACAAACAATGGGGGAAGGATTCCCTATTTAATAAATGGTGTTGGGAAAACTGGCTAGCCATATGGAGAAAACTGAAACTTACACCTTATACAAAAATTAACTCCAGATGGATTAAAGACTTAAACGTAAGACCTAAGACAATAAAAACCCTAGAAGAAAACCTAGGCAACACCATTCAGGACATAGGCATGGGCAAAGACTTCATGACTAAAACACCAAAAACAATTGCAACAAAAAGCAAAATTGGCAAATGGGATCTAATTAAACTAAAGAGCTCCTGCACAGCAAAAGAAACTATCACTAGCGTGAACAGGCAACCTACAGAAAGGGAGAAAATGTTTGCAATCTATCCATCTGACAAAGGGCTAATACCTAGAATCTACAAGGAACTTAAACAAATTTACAAGAAAAAAACAACCCCATCAAAAAGTGGATGAAGGATATGGACACTTTTCAAAAGAAGACAAAATTTATGCTGCCAACAAACATATATAAAAAAAGCTCATCATCACTGGTCATTAGAGAAATGCAAATCAAAACCACAGTGAGATACCATCTCATGCCAGTTAGAATGGCAATCATTAAAAAGTCAGGAAATAACAGATGCCGGAAAGGATGTGGAGAAATAGGAACGCTTTTACACTGTTGGTGGGAGTGTAAATTAGTTCAACCGTTGTGGAAGACAGTGTGGTGATTCTTCAAGGATCTAGAACCAGAAATACCATTTGACCCAGCAATCCCATTACTGGGTGTATATCCAAAGGATTACAAATCATTCTACTATAAAGACACATGCACACATATGTTTATTGAGGCACTATTCACAATAACAAAGACTTGGAACCAATCCAAATGCTCATCAATGATAGACTGGATGAAGAAAATATGGCACATATACACCATGGAATACTATGCAGCCATAAAAAAGAATGCATTCATGTCCTTTGTAGGGACATGGTTGAAGCTGGAAACTATCATTCTCAGCAAAGTAACACAGGAACAGAAAACCAAACACTGCATGTTCTCACTTATAAGTTGTGTTCTCACAACTCCCACTCCCATAAGTGGGAGCTGAACAATGAGAACACATGGGCACAGGGAGGGAACATAACATACCGGGGCCTACTGGGGGGTGGGGAGCAAGTGGAGGGATAGCATTAGGAGAAATACCTAATGTAGGTGACGGGTTGACGGGTGCAGCAAACCGACATGGCACATGTATACCTATGTAACAAACCTGCACTTTCTGCACATGTATCCCAGAACTTAAAGTATAATAAAAAATGAAAATAGGTTTGTGGCTGGGTGCAGTGGCTCACACCTGTAATCCCAGCACTTTGAAAGGCCGAGGTGGGCAGATCACCTGTCAGAAGTTTGAGACCAGCCTGATTAACATGGTGAAACTCTGTCTCTACTAAAAATACACAAAAATTAGCTGGGTTTGGTGGCATGTGCCTGTAATCCCAGCTACTTAGGAGGCTGAGGCAGGAGAATTGCTTGAACCTGGGAGGTGGAGGTTGCAGTGAGCCAAGATCACGCCACTGCACTCCAACCTGGGTGACAGAGCAAGACTCTGTCTTGAAAATTAAAAAAAGAAGAAAATAGGTTTTTGTGTGCATATGTGTGTATGTGTTTCTGTTCAATGGCCTTGCTGTCACCTAACTAAAAGCAAGTACTAATTTAGTGGCTTGTTCACAGGTTTTAAGGTGTTACCCCTCCTATTGTCTTGAGAAACCCTTCTTGGTGGTTGTAGGAAGGATAGGTGCTAGATTTGAGGTTAGGGGAAATTCCTAGATGAAGATGGCCAGCAAACAGTTAGAAATGGAGGTCTGCTCCAAAGAAAACTGGAGGGAGGTTGGGGTTGCAGATTTAGAGGTGGGGCACCATCTGCATGGAGGCATTGTTGCAGCTATGGGAATGGATGAAATTTCTAATTGTGGCTTATAGAAAGAGAGAGAGAGAGATGAGTAAAGAGGTCCAAGGAGGAGCTTAGGGAATTTTTAGAGTAGGCTATGGAACTCTCATAATGTACTGCTGGTGGGAGTCTTAATTAGTACAACCATTCAAAACCTAGTAAAGTTGAATATATACATATCCTACAACAGACTGTTGAAACTACTGAACTCTATTGTAGCACAAAAACAGCTATGGACAAGTAAGTGAATGAGCATAGCTGTTTTCCAAAAAACTTTATATATATGCATTTACATATATTCATATATGTATATTGTATGTGCATGTATATATATATACACACACGTATATATCCTCATTATTCATGGATTCCATATTTGTGAATTCATCTACTCACCAAAATTTATTTGTAACCCTAAAGTCAATACTTGCAGAGTTTTCACAATCATTTGTAGGCATGGGTAGAGTGGTGAAACATTTTGATCATCCACTGTGCATGTTCACTGATGGTGTTGCACAGGCCCTACTCTACCTTCTTGTTTCAGCTGTCATACTGTAAACAAATATCATTTTCCTTTTTCTTTTCTTGAGGGGTTGGTGGGGACAGGGTTTTGCTCTGTCACCCAGGCTGGAGGGCAGTGGCTCCATCATAGCTCATTGCAGCCTCGATCCCTTGGGCTCAAGTGATCCTCCTGCCTCAGCCTCCCAGGTAGCTGGGACTACAGGTGCATGCCACCCATGCCTGGCTGATTTTTTTTTTTTTTTTTTTTTAGTAGAGACAAGGTCTCACCATGTTGCCCAGGCTGGTCTCAAACTCCTGATCCCAAGCAGTCCTCCTGCCTTGCCTCCTGAAGTGCTGGGATTAGAGGTGGGAGATACTGCACCTAGCCCAATAAATGCCCTTTTCACACTCCATTTAGTGCTACTTTTTTTTTTTTTCATTTTGTGGTTTCTTTTGGTGATTTTGCTAAAGTGGTCCCCAGATGTAATGCTGATATCGTGTCTAAGTGAAAGAAGTTTATGATGTGCCTTGTGGCATAATATGAAAATACTTGTGAGATGAACTTTGTTCAAGCATAAATTATAATGCAGATGGATATGAGCTCAGTGAAAACAATTCAGCAGCAGAAATTGAATAAGGTGATGTCTTTGGACAGAAATACACATAAAATAGGATTATATATTGATTGGTTGATGAAAATGGAACCAGAAGCTTGCAGGAACCTAACTGTGTTTCTCCTAGAAGCAATGGTTTAGTGTTTGCTAACTCAGTGTTTGTTGCTGTGTTATAAAATGTAACTCCTGCAAATAACAAAAATTGACTCTATATGTATGTGTGTATATATGCACTTATATAGATTTCATATTTATATTTATGATTGTATTTGTATATTTATATATTCCTTTTATGTTAAGATTAGTACAGGGCAGAGGAACCTGTGGAGAGCTGTGGAGCAGGGCTGAGTAGTAGGGCCAAGGAGAGGTGGACATTTAAAGGACACAGGTGGTCAGCTATATCAAGCACGATAGGAAAGGACCCAGAAGCAGCCTTTGGATTTGTGCGTTCATCTGTCATGCTCTCAAGACAGACATGCCCTAATCTCTCCCATCCTCCACTCTGGGGAGGGGACCCTACTGGGCTTAGTCCACTTGGTTGCCTTGGCTGCTGGCTGTGTTTGTAAATGTATGTTGGTTGCTCAGGTCCGGTGTGCTTTTGTTCTCTCTAAAGAAGAAGCAAGAGAGGCTTGGCTAGGCACTGTGAGCTTTTGATGTGAACATACTAACAACCTGTTTCATCCAGGTCAACTTTAAACCACATTGTTCAGTGAGCATTGTTCAGTGAGCTGTGATCGAGCCACTGCCCTACAGCCTGGGTGACAGAGCAAGACCCTGTTTCCCCACCCCCTAAAAAAAGAACAAAAAAAAAGAAAAAGGAAAAGAACATTTGTTTACAGTATGAGAACTGAAACAAGAAGGCAGAATATGGCCTGTGCAACACGAGACGGTGAGCTAGTCTGATCAGCAGCTTTCCAACCTGCTGTCCCTTTCCTTTCCAGTTCCTACTCCCTCCAACATTTGCAGGACCTTATTCCTAGTCAACTGTCAGCAGATCCCAATTTTGCTGTTTGCTGGTAAGATTTGAGATGTTACCATCCTAATGTATATATGAAATTATTAAAGTGCATAGAGAGCCCTTCAGGACCTAAAGGGGTTCATTCATGATGGTGAAATATTAAAAATTATAGGGACTAAGAGTATGGCATTTCAAAGCTGGTTTGTTTCAGGCCCCCCTTTTGATGCCTTAGGAAATTAAGATACAGAGAGACGAAGAGGTTTGATCCGGGTCCCACAGTAAGGCAGTGACTGATTAGGGCCACTATACTTGTTAGCTCCCAGGGCTCCCTGCCCATTCAAATCATAGCTTATAGATGGCCATGTAGTTAGGTGAGTCCCCTGAAAATTAGCCTCGAGCATATAGATCTTTACAATGCTCAGCACACTTACCTGCTTGTCCTTTTAGCTGAGGGGGTAGGAGGCAGATCTCAGTTTTATTAATATAGTGAGGGTTCCCAAAGGATATATGAATCAATTTTATAATATGAGAACTGTTTTGGGGGAAGGAGAAAGAGGAGAGTGAGGCGGGTTAAGGCTACTTTTTCCTAAATTTGTATTTAAAACCAGTGAGTTTCAAATCTAGGTTATGACTCAGAAGCACCTCTAAATAATGTTTATAAACTAGGCTAACTAGGGGGATTAATTCAAGGTGAATTTTTCTTTCTGGCTGCTGTGGGGGTTAAAAAAATATCAAGGTAGGTTATAAACATAAAATCTAAAACTATAAAGCCTTCAGAAGAAAACATAGGACAAAATCTATGCGATCTGGGATTGGCAAAAGTTATGTAATAGGACATAGAAAGTGATAGCCCTACAAAAACATGAAAAAAAATTGACTTGATTTAAATTAAAAGCTAGTGCTTATCAAAAGACACCATTAAGAAATCAACTGGCAAGCTGTAGAATAAGAGGACATATTCGCAAACCATATATCTGACAAAGGACATATCCAGAATGTATAGAGAACCCATAAAACTCAGTAATAAAAAGAAGAACCTAACTAAAAGACAGAAAAAAGACTTGAAGAAACGCCGGACAAAAGATGGCCCAATACATACATGAAAAAGTATACATCATGGATCATCAGAAAAATGCAGTTTGAGACTATAATAAGATACTGCTACGCATACCCATTAGAACAGCTAAAAGTAGAAGATTGACAACACAATGAAAAGATTGGCAAGTGCTGGTGAGGATGTGAAGCAACCCAAACTCTCATACATTATTGGTGGGGGTGTAAGTAAAATGGCACAACTACTGTCGACAAAGGCTTGGAAGTTTTCTGTTTAATAACAAAAAACTCTACTGTAGAATCCAGCAGTTCCACTCCTAGGTATTTACCTAAGAGAAGTGAAAACACATGTCTTCAAAAAGATTTGTACAAAAACCTTTGGACCAGCTTTATGATAGCTACAGACAGGGAACCACCTAGGTGTCCATCAACAGAGGAATTGATAAAACTATGGTATATTCAAACATTAAATTTCAACTCAGAAGTAAAAAGGACTAAAGGTATTGGTTCACACCACAACATGGATGAATATTAAAAATTTTATGCTGAGTGCAATCCCATTACTGGGTATATACCAAAAGGATTATAAATCATATAAATCATTCTATAAAGACACATGTACACGTATGTTTATTGCAGCACTATTTACAATAGCAAAGACTTGGAACCAATTCAAATGCTCATCAATGATAGGCTGGATAAAGAAAATGGGGCACATATACACCATGGAATACTATGCAGCCATAAAAAAGAATGAGGTCATGTCCTTTGCAGGGACATGGATAAAGCTGGAAGCCATCATTCTCAGCAGACTAACATAGGAACAAAAAACCAAATACTACATGTTCTCACTCATAAGTGGGAGTTGAACAGTGAGAACACATGGACACAGGGAGGGGAACATCACACACCAGGGCCTGTTGGGGGATGGGAGGCAAGGGGAGGGAGAGCATTAGGACAAATACCTAATGCATGCAGGGCTTAAAATCTAGATGATGGGTGGATAGGTGCAGCAAACTAACATGGCACATGTATACCTATGTAACAAACCTGCATGTTCTGCACATGTATCCCAGAACTTAAAAAAAAAAATTTATGCTGAGTGAAACAGAGTAGCTATAAAAGAATATATATGATGTAAGTCTGTTTGTATAGTGATCTAGAATAAGCAAAACTAATTGGGGGTGCAAAACAGAACAGTGGTTGCCAGTGCATGGGGTGTGTGAGGGGTGGGAGTAAGATGGAAGGAGGTCTGAGGGAACTATCTGAGCTGATGTTTCTATCTTGATAGAGGTTTAGCTTACATGGGTATATGAAATTGTCACAATTCATGATTGGCATGCTTAAGAATTATGTATTTTATTGTATGTACATTTTACATTTAAAAATGGACAAATATTGAACTTTAGATGATATGTGTTCTGAAATGTTTAAAAGTGCTGATATCTGCAACTCCTCTTAAAATTTATTAAAAAGCAAGATGGACTGATGGATGATAGAAAGATGGCTAGATATGTGATAAGGCAAATATAGCAAAATATGAACAACTGTAGAATGGAGGTGATGGGTATATGCATGTTTACTGTCTCTTCTTTCATCTTTTCTGTATGTTTGAGAATTTTTATAAGGGTATGTGGATTGGGAGTAAATGTGCTGTTCTGGCTGGCCTAAGTCACACTATTCCTGGAGTCGGAAGTGGAGTGGATTCTGCCTGTGATGGAGGTGGGGGACCCACACAGAGTGCAGAATTCTAGAATCTACAGTTCCATTTTAGAAACCTCATTCTGCTCCTTGGGAGTTGTGGGAGAATACTGAGATTCTCCATGTGATCACAGTGCTGGGGATACCCTTTACTGCCAGCTCAAAGCAACAGAATAAAAGAGTGAATATTCTCAGAATCTCTTGTTGCATGCATACGAGTTGGCATCAAGATTATTTTTGGATTTGGGGTAGGAAACTCAGCTTCGAGTCATAGATCTAGAAATGCAGTCCTCTGAACTGACAGCTGTTTGTGGCAAGGGAAGAAGTCACCTTTCCCTGTGTCTGTGTTGGATAACATAACATTCACCTTCTGCCTCTCCAAGGGGCATTGTGGGGATGAAGGCGATCATGAACGTGCTTTGAGTTTGTCTGACTGCATCAGCCTCGAGTTGCAATGAAGACAGCTATGCATGCCACTGCCCGGAACCTCCTGGAAGAAGGGACTGGAGGTTGAAAGGAGCTGCATAGTGCTGTGACTCACTCTCTGCCCGTTGTTTCTCCTGGGCTGGGACCCACTTGGGCAGCAGAAGAGCCTTATGAGCTCCTACTTTGGTGTGCTGCATACCATCCCGAGGAATTTCTCATATGCAGTTTTCTAAAGCACAAAAGAGCAAGGTTCTCTCTTCTGCTAACAGAGCTGTATAACTATTTCCAAAAACACTGGGTTGGGGGTTGGGGGTTGGGGGTTGGGGAGGGGAGCACATAAAGACATTCTCTGTTTAGTATTTCAGTTTCTTTTGGGAGGATGGGAGGTGGTCTCTCCTCTCACCATGAAAACGGCATGCTGACAGATGAGTGGGTTCACATCCACTTTTTAATGTTGCATCAGCCTGAAGCCAGGAAGTGCTAGAGCCGTAAGACTCCTCACACTGTGACCTGGCCACATCCTACATACATGTCAGCTTGCACGCCATCTACTTAACTGTCATGCACTTGATAGCAAATGAGCTTTTGCCCTTTCTGCTGCCTTTAAAAATTTCCTGAAACACTTTTCTGACTTGTACATTACTTAGATTTCTTTCTTCCTCTTTTGCATCCAGTTTTTGTTTATGTTGGCTGTGACTCCAATCTTCGGTTGAAAGCTAGGGAAGTTGCTTATAAAGGTTTTCAGGATTGCTGAATATGAAATGCAAGGAAATTGCATAACATTGCAGCATTTCCTCCTCTTGTTGCTTGCTTGTTACCCAAAATACAGTAGTTCCTTCTAGAAGCTTGAAGAAATTTGGCAGATCCTACCCTCTGATGGTCTATTGTGGTCTAGAGAGTCAGTGTTATCCTGATTTGAGGTTGAATTTTTCTTAAGGTCAAACAACAAAGCTTCCTGAATTATAACTATGGCAACAGTGTTTATGTAACACACAAATCAAAGTCACGGGGTAGCGGAGGAGAAGCACCCACAACAATCAGTGTTAATAATCCCAGAACAGTTAGCCTGTGCCTAATTCACCAGAACCAAAAACAAGTTAAAATAAATGGCCTACTCCTTCACTGGTTATTGGGGTGTGACCTACCACCTACATGCTCCAGGAGGAGCTGTTTCACCTTTTCTCTTGAAACTATATCAGCTTAATTTGAAATTTCTCACAGAGAACTGCGGTAAGTGCCAGTGACACTCAAAATGTGAAAGCATTGCCATAAGGATAATTTGCTCATCAAGGTCATCATGACCTGCCTCTGACCTGCAGAGAAAGACCCAGACGAAGGAATGCGCATCCTTAAGCCCCTTGTCCTTTAATGAGGAATAATTTCTTGGACACTGAATATATGCAAACATTTAGATGCCGCATAGATCACTTCCCCTAAACCCTGCCCCATAGAAATGTAAAATTAACCTTGATTGGAGATTGGAAATGATAAGAATGAAAAATTTTATTTGGAAGTATTAAATTCTGTAGAATATAGACTGTAGGAGCAGTAAGAGATCAAAGAAACGAGAGATTAAGGTTGTCTGCAGCCATCAAGTAAGTTAGGAAATATTTGTGGAGTAAGGAAAAGGGAAATAACGTTTTTGAGCACCTCCAGTCCCTGTGATAACTATTTTAAATTCTGTTAATACTCTCATAAGTATTATTACTTAGCTCTACTTTGCAATGAGAAAGCAGACTCGGAAATGTTGAATGATTATCTAAGGGCGCATAGTTCAAAAGTGGTAGAACCAGGTGACAAAATAAAAACTTCATCCAGATTAAATTTAAAGGAGTTTAATTGAGCTATGAACAATTTGCGAATTGGGCAGCCCCCAGAATCACCACACATTCAGAGAGACTCCAGGGATGCCTCGTGGTCAGAACAAATTTATAGACAAAAAAAAAAAAAAAAAAAAAGGAAAGTGACGTACGGAAATCAGAAGTAAGGTACAAAAACAACTGGATTGGTTACAGCTTGGTGTTTGCCTTATTTGAACATAGTTTGAACACTCATCAGTGTATAAGTGGTTGAGGTATGGCTGCTGGGATTGGCCAAGACTCAGCTGTTGTTATAGGTAAATTTTCCTAAGTTAGGTTTTCAACCTTGTCTACCTATTAAGTTAGGTTACAGTTAGTCCACAAGGACTCAGATATAGGAGCATGGAGTCCTTCTCAGGCCATATTTAGTTTGCTTTAACACAGACCTTAATGCCAAGTTTCCAAAGCCACAGCATGCTCCATCCACCACTTGACTCAACTTCATCCAAATCCATTTCTCCCTGTTTTGGAATCTGTCCAGGGCCTATACCAGTGAAAGGGTTAGGCTGACAATGATTAAACCCCAAATGCAGCGAAATTAATCAGCCCAGGAATGCCCGGGATGCCTTCTAGACAGAAGGGGGCTTAGGTCTGTGTGTAAGAGGATGCTGGGTCAGCCTCCTGCTTTAGTGGACCATGAAGAGCTCCTGTCAGTCATTTATGTTCGGCTGAAATCTGCCTTCCTGGGGACTCCACCCTGACCTTCATCTCTGTTCAGCACAATAAGATTTCCCCTTTGTCACATCACTGCCCTTTGAGAATCTGAAGACTGGTATTGTGATGTTTTGAAGCCTTCTCTTCTCCAACCAACACTGTGGTTTAGGGAAACACATCTTGCAGAGCAAGTGAGCAGAGCCAGAGGGTGGAGCCAACAAGAACCAGGATATAGCCAATGTCAAGGTCTAGGTGAGAAGGCAAAAACAATCTGACCTTGGGCAATAGAAGAAGAAGTGGGGATGAGGAATAGGTTCAAGACATATGAAAGTAATAGAAGTGATACAACTAGGAACTGATTGGATATGTGAGGTAGAAGGAATGGGAAATTCAAGGATGACAGCACAGTTTCTCGTTCAACTTTGTTGCACATTTTTCTCCTTCACTCTAGAGTTCCCTATAAAGCACAAGTAGGCTTTTCTGTCATGCACTTAAAAAAAAAATTACCACAACCCTTGTCTGTGAGCAACAGAAACACAACTAAAAAATAAAAAGTATGTTATTGATATACTATAGAAAGAGCAGGGATGAGCTTCTGATATGTTAAGATAAAAGGGCTCAAATGATACCATCAGAATCCCATGTCCCTTCATTCATGGCCCTGCATTTCTTTGTTTGACCTTTTCTGCTCAAGGCTTTGCCTGTGTGGTAGCCGAAGTTGGCCTCAAAAGCTTCAGGTATGCATCCTGTTTTCCTAGCAACACAAGGCCTCATTTCCCATAGTTGTAATAAAAAATGAGTGAGTGTCATCGGCTGAGTTTGGCTTGGGCCAATCATATGTGCAGTAGGATGCATAGTCTGGATCACATGCAACAAACCTGAAGATGGAGTTGGGATCAGCCCCACCCAAACCATATGAACTTGCCTTGGCAGGGAGGTGGCTCCCCAAGGAAAATGAGGGTGGTATCCCTGGAAAAAGAGGTGCATGGATGTTGAACAGTAGTATTCACGGGTGTCCAGAGCACTTTTTTCCCCCAATGTTACTGAGGAATAATACTAAGAGATAAGTTGCTTATATCCACAAGGTACAAAGCAACAGGCAATGCTTGAACTAATGGAAAAGAAAGTTTATTTTTCTATTCATCATCATTGTTGTAATCATGTTTTGAACAGCAAGCAGCAGTTTTTATTCACCAGCAAGAACGCTTCCGGGGCTGTTAAAAGACTCTGTCTTTTGGATGGCTGTAGGAGCACAGCCATTTGGTCACTTTTTATTGGGCCATTTTCTAAGAGACTGCCTAGTCTTGAGATGCCTCTGATTGTGTAGGGGAAGGGACTCGGCACCAACAGGTACAGAACCCCTTTCTTAGCCCTTATTTCAGAACTCCCCAGTGGTACCATAGGCTTCAAAACTATTAGAAGCATTCGTTGTCACCTGGTGGATGTAGAGCTAACACACAGGGGTGGAACATAGAAAATAAATGGCTATGTGAGGGATTTTGATAGCCTTGAGTTAAGCCAAATAAGATAAATCTGTATCCTGTTTTCTCTTAGGAAGGCCTGAATTGTCTGTTTCCACTCCCTTGTAAGAAAGATTCATAGAGAATTTGCCAGGTGTTGGGGAGAACAAAGCGGTCACCTGGACACCTGAGCACACATCTAGCTTTCCTTTTCTGTCTGGCCAATGCATTGTCCTCACCAACTCCACCTTTAGTGTTTTTTCTTTTTTTTTTTTTTTTTTTTTTAATTGCAGTTTCTCTCTTATGCTCTCTATTTATCCAATCAGTACTTTCTGAGTGGCTGGCTATGTGCTAGTTACTGAACCCCCTTTATGTATAATTCTACAGGGTAAGAGCAAGGTCTTGACATTGGTTCAGGAATCGGTCTTTGGGAAGTGCCATCAACTATATTTTTATTGGTTTCACATTTGAGGGAGCCTCCCTAAGACAGCAAGTACAACAGTGGTAGCAGTGGAAAGGGAAAGCCTGGCAGAGTATTGTCAGCTGAGAAACAGAAAAGTAGCAACAGCCATCTTATTTTTGCTCCACTGAGCACATTTCACCACTCAGACCATGGTGATGAGAGTCACATTTCTGATGGGAGGAGGAGGAAGAACCAATAGCTGGCTCCCTGGCTCTGACCCCTTGAGTTGAGACACATCCTTATTTACTCCAGGCTATTCATGCTTCAGATTCAAACAATTCCTTCCCAAAAGCTTTTCCAAGTGTGGCCTGTGGCCCATGGGTGAAAAGAGAAGTCCTGATCTAGAAAAATCATGTCCATTCATGGGTGGCATTCCACAGACTAAGGGTGTCTTACAGTAACTTCTCAGGGGTGTTATTAAAAGTTCCTAAGCCTGGGCACAGTGGCTCATGCCTGTAATCCTAGCACTTTGGGAGGCCGAGGCGGGTGGATTGCCTGAGCTCAGGAGTTCGGTGAAACCCCATCTCTACTAAAATACAAAAAATTAGCCAGGTGTGGCCTGTAGTCCCAGCTGCTCAGGAGACAGGTGAATCGCTTGAACCCAGGAGGCAGAAGTTGCAGTGAGCCGAGATCGCACCACTGCACTCCAGCCTGGTTGACAGCAAGACTCTGTCTCCGAAAAAAAAAAAAAAAAAAAAAAGTTCCTAAATTTAGCCTGTATTAGTGTTTGCCGAGCATTCTAATGTGTTCAACTGAGAAATCTGCCACAGAGTCTTTGGCAACCCTGGCCAGTTCTCTCTGTATGTGCTGATAGGTTTTAGGAGGGTTGTTTTTTGGGCATCCTAAAATGTCTCAAGCTGGTTGTGGTTTTTAATTACTGCCACACTTGTATTAATTGGAAGTTTGTAGAATTCCTGTTATGCTTAAATTGGGTGGAAATTTTGTTATTACATAATGGTTGCATTGTTGCCATTTTAATTACTGCTTAGCCTCTTTTGAGTTCTTTGTTAATTGGCAGGCTGTTTTTCCTCTGGAAAGCAGGACTGGGTGGAGAAGTTGTATGAAGTTGTGGCTGAGTACAGACTCTACTGTGCTCTGCCTAAATCGAATCCTGGCTCTGTAATTTGCTAGTATGTAACCTTTGGAAAGTTAATTAACCCATATGATGCTATGAAATAGAGGCAGGTGTAGTACCCCATAGGCTTGAGGATGAAATAAAATCATTCGTTTAAACGCTTAGTATGGTGTTTGGCACATAATTGATAGTGAAAAAGTGGTTGGTGGCAGGTGGCTATTTTTATGTTTGATTGCTGTTTTAAAAAAGATTAAGAACCATTGATTTAAACGTTGACCTTAGATTGTCTCCTTTCCTTTCCCTTCATCTCTTAATTAGTTTCAGTTGGTTATATTACATTGCCAACAAGACCAATGCCACAGGGTCCCTCAAATGACATTTCCCATCCTTAGCCATTTATCCCATAGGGGATACATTTCCATCACCAGAAGAGGCTTTTTGTTTTGTTTTTTTAAACACAAAGTGGGAAGAGAAGGAAGGAGGAAAATGACAGTGATGAAGATGAAAGTTAATCCTTATAGAATGTTCAATAGGCCATAGAATTTACATTCAGTGCTGTGTTGAATATTGTATATCTATGATTCCATTTAATTATTACAACAATCCTAAGTGGTGGAGAGTGTTACTATCCCCCTTTTTCAGATGGCAAGACTGAGGTCTAGGGATGATAACTGATGTGCATGTTAGCCAATAAACAGTAAAGTTGGACTTTGAACCTAAGCAGTAGATTACTACAAATCTGTCGCCACTGACAGACACAATTCAAAAGAGCAAGCTGTTTTGATTCTAGTGATGGTGGACCCACTTTGTCATGCAGAGGAGATGAGATGATATTCGATGGTGTAGAACCAGCCTGTTGTTTTAAGATGTTGACACATTGCCTTATTCAGTGTGTCTCCACATTGGTACATCAGGGGAACAGCCAGGTGGGAGGAGACTTGGAGAAAACCTCAGGGGATCATAGAGTTTGGATGTGCATTTGGGTAAAGATGGTGCAGTTTAGAGAGGAGCATCAGTTTTAAACAAATTTCCTTATGAACCTATTTCCCCAGCATCTTTATTTTGTCCAGATTTTGATCCAAAGTGTGGTATGGCTAAGCTCTAATGCAGCTGTGTGTGAAAGGGAAAAGTTAGATTGTTTTGTCAAATTTTTGCTTTACTTATGTCTTTAATATCTACATTTGAAAAACAAGCCTCTCTGTTTTCTCAGTATGGCTTGGATAATGGTAATAAAGGTACTCATAGAAAAATTCTGGGAATCCAGATGACTCTGTGTATTCTCTGTTAATTCTGTAGGGACATGTAAACTGAACTGGCTCAGCAGTGAACAGAATTTATTGCAAAATCACATCTTGGTGCAGAGGAAGCATATGAAGGCTTTCCTCGCCCTCCTTTGATTTATTAAATTGTACTTTCATTGCAGCTTCTGGGTAAGGACTCAGAATTGCAGTGCCCTGTGATTTGTATCAAAGAGCTACTCTCCCCCCCTGGTGTTTATCGTCAGGATCGAACCCTGTGGTTCAGAGAGAATATGAAGTGTTACTTCTATACTAGATGCCAGCTGGTTGCATGGGTTGGTGGTAAATACTCCAGGCTAGAATCAGAAGGCTGTTCCCAGTTTCATTTTCTTTCTGACTCAGGGCAAGTTCTTCCTTCCGGTGATTCACCTGCCCAGCTGCCCACAACATCTCACCTTTATCATCGTCAGCATCATCATCGTCGTCATTGTCATCATCGTCATCACAATGACTTATTGATCATGTGGTTAGTGGTTAAGTGCTTGGGCTCTGGAGACAGACCGTGGGAGTTCCTGTCTGGACTCTGCCCATTTCCAGCTGTCTGACCTTGGCCATGTGACCTAACTTCTCTAATGCCTCAGTTTTCTCATCTCTGTGAAAGGAATAATTAGGCTGGTATGAGAACCGAATAAGACAATGCACACAGAATGCTTGGCATGATGTCTGGCACATGGCAGGGGTTTTGTCATCATCATCATTATTAATTTCTATCTGTCATAATTATTCTTTAATGATTCTTAGATGGACCGTGATAAGATAAAGTAAACACATGTAATTTCTCTTCTTCAGAAGCATATACTTGAAAATAGATACTTGTTGGCACGGATCTTTAACAAATCTTCATATACAATGGTCAGTAGAAACTAGACTATACCTACATCAAAGTATAGAAACCCAAAGGAGATAATGTTCCCAAGTTTTAGAGTACTCAGATAGAGCTTAGCTTCAGTTGGGTTGTTGAAGGTGCATTAACTGTTTCAGTCTTCTGAGGAGCCACAGATCAGGCATTTAGTGCCCCTTGTCCGCTTGGGTTGCTCCTGGAGAGTTGAGTTCTATTGTATTAAGGTAGATGCTCTCAAGAGGCTTACCTGAAAGCATATAAATTTGAGATTGCTAATCATAAGACAAAGCTATGGTCAAAGTGATCTTTCAGGACATTGCTCTTGCCTCTGAACCTCAGTCTGATGCTAGTGGGCAACTGTGAGATCTGTAGAAGAAGGATAGCCCAGAGCAGACTGACCATTTCTAAAGGGTGAATTGCATGCTCTTTGCTTCTGTCAGTATAGAAGGTATTTATGAACCATAATACCAACCACTGGAGTGACTTGGTAGTGATATACATTTGCCACTGCCTAGAAAGGTAAAAGGGTATTGGAACATCCTTTTAGAGGCAAGATAGAATAGTACACCACTGACCAGCTCTGTGTCCTTAGACAAACTGTGTAACCACTCTGGGTCTCAGGTTCCATATCTCTAAAATGTGAATAATACTAGACCTCATCCATATGGTGGTTGCAAGGATTAGATGTTGCCATGTGTGGTGCTTGGTAAGTGCTAGGTAAACAAAACCATTCCTGCTTAGTGCTGTGACTGAGCCACCATCTGGTTGCTTCCCCACCCTGGGCCTTCTTTGTTGGGCCCTGTAGTCACAAAGTCCTGGTAAGCAGGATTTGTTAGCTTCATTTCAAAACTCATTCTCTTTGGCTCATTAACCCAAACCAGACAGAGATTAACAGCCTGGCCTCAGAGGAGCAGGTGAGTACATGTTTCTGGTGCCTTTGACTCATTGATTATCCTTCTCCAATTCAGGGAATGCTTGGGTGTTCCAGGAAGGGGTCTCCCGAGACCCAGGAAACCTTGAAAGAGAGTAATTTGGCACAAATTCATCTCCTAATGAAGGAGGGCTGGAAGTCCTGCATTTTACTATTCCTTCTGGATTTTGCCAGCTATAAATAGAAGCAAGGTTCCCTTGGATAGAATGTTTGAATTTACTAGGAGAAATGCAGGGATCAAGGATGGCTGAAGAAAAATACTTGCCAAAGTGTGGTCTTCTCTTCTGCACTTCCCTTGCCCAACTTTCCAAGGTTAGTGAATGCCGGTCAGCATGGATTGCTGGTCTTAGCTATTACACTGTGACCCATTTCACTCACAGGTCACAAGGCTCTGCAGGATCGGATTGCTGCCCCTCTGCCCTATCCTTATCTCCTACCCCTCTCTGCATTGCACTGATTGCTAATCACACTGGCCTTCTTCCTTCAAATGCAATGACTTTTCACCTTCCAAGGACCTGTACTTTCTGTTGGCACTAGCCCCCACGTCTTCCCAAGGAGGTACCCCTCATCATTCAGGCCTGGCGCAAACGTCATCTCTTCCGAGAGGCATTTCCTCGCCTAAAGTCCACAATAAACCCCCGCTTTTTTTTTTTTTTTTTTTTTACTTTCTCCAATGTACTTATCAATATTTGAAGTAATCATAAATGTGCATCTGTTTATTTCTGTTTTCTTCAGTAATTGGAAAGTTTTATGAGAGCAGAGATTACAGATGTCTAGTTCATCTGTATCCCCAGCACCTGGAACGTTGCCTGACCATTATAAGCACACAGTAAATATTTGTTAAATACATGGATAAGTAAACGAATTGCAAGCAACATGGGAAATTATTATTTAGGAGGTCTTCAAACTTTTCAAAGCCGCTATGCCCTTCCTCAATAGCCACATGAGTAAAATGGATAAAAGCCAAGGGAGGGGTCATTTGGTCTTAGCTTCTCTCCAACCCCTTTGTTTGTGCAGGTGCTGTGTGGCTCAATTTGGAAACCATGATCTAGCTCAAGTTCATTTATATAGATGATAAAGATGCTGCTGAGGGAGAGTGGGCCACTGTGTTTCCTCTTTTAAGTAGAAATTACACAACCTCTATGTCAGCCTCCACCTAGACTTCGTGGTGACTTTTGCCCTCCCCTCAAATTCCATGAATGTTAAGCATTTCTTTTCTCAGTAGTAGAGTCCAAAGCGCTTGCATTGTGTTGTGCTGTTTCAGTATATTTCTTTGGCACAGTCTCATTTGATGTTCACATCAGCTCTGGCTGAGTTAGTCAGAAAAACCTATCATCGCCCACATTTTATAGATGAAGAAATTAAAGTTCAGCAAGATGAAGTTACCAATGGGGAAGCCCAGGCCAGGATCAAAATCTTTTGACTCCTTATCTCTAGAGCGTTTAGGTATATGCATTGATGCCTTTTCATTCATTAGACAATCCTCTTTAAGTACAGAAACCTGTTCTCTTTATACTCATCTTTCTGACCTTTAATAAGTGGCCTGGTAGCTTTAGTTTTCTTTAGAAAATTAATAATAAAATGGGATGATTTGTTATATTTAGAGCTTGATAATTCAAAGACCTTCTTGGGCGACTCCTTCAGTTTATGGATGAGGCAATAGATGCCCAGAGAGGCTAAGAGACCCAGTGACACAAAGCAGCTGAAGGGCCAAGTGGGACCTCTTGACCAGCCATTCTCCGTCATATTTCTTAAGTGAAAAATCCCTTTCTGGATTTAATGGTTCTTTTCAGAGGTAGTTGCCTTGGTTTCTTTAGGGGTTAAATAAGTGGTTCTCAACTGAGAGTAGCCATTAGAGTCACTGGAGGGATATATTTATATACATACATACATATATATATATATATATATATATTATGATCAGGTTCACCTTATGCCTTTCTATACCTACAGAACCTTAATGACCAAAGAAGGGCTTGGGTTCTATGATTTTTTTTCATTTATTTATTTAAGACGGAGTCTTGCTCTGTTGCCCAGGCTGAAGTGCAGTGGCGTGATCTCGGCTCACTGCAAGCTCGACCTCCTGGGTTCATGCCATTCTCCTGCCTCAGCCTCCCAAGTAGCTGGGACTACAGGCGCCCGCCACCATGCCTGGCTAATTTTTTGTGTTTTTTAGTAGAGACGGAGTTTCACCATGTTAGCCAGGATGGTCTCGATCTCCTGACCTCATGATCCACCCGCCTGGGCCTCCCAAAGTGCTGGGATTCCAGGCATGAGCCACTGTGCCTGGCCGATTTTTTTCTTTTCTAAAGTAGAGGTTTCATCTTGTTTAATTATGACAGCATATCAGAGATGGGCAAACTGTGATCCAAAGACTGAATCCAGCCCACCACCTTCTTTTGTAGAGCCCATAAGCCAAGCATCATATTTACAAACAAATATCTATAATTGACTTTATAAGGAATACTAACTTTGAGTACCAATTAAGCTAAATATCAACCTCTCTTAAAAAAAACTTATTCTTCTGATTAGTAGGCTTGCATTTCAGAAAATCATACTCAAATATTATTAGTTTTTAAATTTTGTCAAAAAATGTATGAAAATTTACTTTCTATCTTGTTGTAGAAGTACCTACATAATGTCATTGATTTTGCCTCTTGGCCCACAAAGCATAAAATGTTAATGTCTGACCCGTTGCAGGAAAAACTTGCTGACCCTTGCAATATGTCATTGTCTCTTTTATATTGGGCATTTTCTTTTTCTTTATTGGGGTACTTTCCCTTTTTGTGATTTACATTATTTAAGGGGTTTCTATGGAAAATATATATTCTCCTTATAACATTCAAATTTCTAGAAGTATGTAGAGTAAAAAGTAACAGTTCCCACTCCCCGGTATTAACAGTCAACAGTTTTTGATGTAAAGGTCCTGACTTTGCCACTAACTAGCTGTGAGACATTAGTTAACCCCTCTAGGCTTCATATTCTCCATCTGTGAAACAGTGATAATAACAGCTCCTGCCCAACAGAATTGTCATGTTGATGATTTCAGATCATTCATGTGAAATGCTTAGCACATTGCCTGGTGCGCAGTTCATGCTTAATGATTTGTAACTAATTTTAATTTTTTTCTCTTTTCTATTTATGTACGCATATACATTTACTTGCTTTCTTAAAAAGAGGGAATTTTTTTTTACACAATAAAGTTGCACAGATGATTCTGATGCACACACACTTAAGAACAGCTAAAGTAAATACTGAGAAGTAGATAATTATTGAATGGGTTCATGTTTGGGAGCCAGAAATTACCTTCCACTTCATGGTGCAAACTAGGGAAAGTGAGGAAGATAATGGTTTTCTACAGTGAACCTATAGGGTGGCATAAAATGCACATAAGTGAATTTTTATTTTTATTTTCCAGGTCTACAACTCGAACAAAGACAGCCAGAGTGAAGGGAGTAAGTACGATGCTTGGGTAACCTTCTACAGCCAGGGTTGGGAGTAGGCTTTGAGAAGTTGCTACTCCAGGTGTGAACCACCAGGCGGTGCTGTGGGCGTGTTGGGTTGGCTCCAGTTCCCGAGTGCAGTGGGACATGCCTCCACCCCAACTTTCCGCCAGTGACTCCAGAGGGACGGTAAGTGAGCCTGGCTGGCAAGGCTGTAGTGTAGTGACACCTTGCATTGAAATAATGGGTCACACTTTACAAAGCATTCTCGTGTACATTATCTCCTTTAATCGTAGGTCTTAAGACTATAGCTCGTCACCACTTAAAAGTTACTTAATACAACAATACTCAACTCCTGGAGAGCCTTATCCTGTGGGAAAGCCAAAGTTGCTGTTGCCTCCAGCACGGTCTCGCTCAAAGGACTGGAGAGGCAATAACTATGTTAGGTGATTTCTTAGTAACTGTTTTCTTTGTGGTCTCTTGTGGGAGGAAAGAATGGAGATGAATTCTATGGTAATATTCCTCTCTAATGGAAGTGTCCCTGGGCAGCCTCTGTAGACTGTAGTGCATTTGCCCTGCTGCTGCCTGTAAGCACTCTGGTTAATCATGATTTCCAAGGGTACCTGTAACCTTGTAAAGGCAATGGGATTAAAATGAACCTGCAACTGGTAGAATGTTTGGGCTGATTATCTCCTTGGTGTATAGGAGAAAAAACAAAATCCTTCCAGGTTGCTGCAAGAGTACAAAGGAAATCCTGTCACCTTGCTTTGTAAAATCCACTTGAGAAAAAATTTAAAGGTTGCCCTACTGTGAATTCCAGTTGTGTTAGGAAAATCAGTAGAACAGTGCCTCTCCATGTGGACCAAAGGATGAAGTTGTTTTTTTGTGAAAGCCATTACAGGACAGAGATTTTTCCCCCCCTTTCTTTCTCTTCAAAATATAATTTTTTACCCAGGAGTTTTGTATGAAATATTAAATAATTTGGAATGCCTGCTGTGGGTAGGTTGAGAGGCCTTTATGAGATGAAAAAAAAATGTTCCCCTCCACCTCCAAAAAAAATAAAATGAGCAAGGGAAAAATTTCAAGTAAATATGCAAGGAAACAAAGAAGTAATTCCACCCTACCCCACCCTTAATTAGGTAAGATTGTTTTAGAACACTTGAAGTCAACTCTGACTAACTGAGGCAAAAACAACAGTAACAATAATGAAGGAATATGTAAGGCTGTATGGTAGCTCATAGTAAGGTCAGAGGAGCTGAAAAGCTAGGCTTGAGAATAGATGAGTTCTGGAGACCTAGGAACCCGGTGAGAAAGGGTCTTCTGGATAATACGACAAAGCTCTAAACTGTTTGTAGTCCTTGCCTCACCTTTCTGAACATTGAGATTTCCAGGCAACAAGTTGGTCTAATTTGGGTCCACCCAGGGAAAAACTGTACATTTTGATTGAGAGTTTCAAGACTGCTGCAAAAAATGGGAACAGAGTAGTTTCCCAGAGGGAAATCAGGGAAGCCATCAGGACCAGAGGGGATGGATGCCAAGCAGGCTACACTAACAGATACTCACACCTGGCCCTGCCTGGGACACATTGCCTCCATAATAAAGGACCCAAGAGTGGTGGGGTGGGGGAGGAGAGGCACGTGAATGGAGACCTCCCCCTACACCAGCCAGAAGTTTACTTTTAACTTGTGACCTTATGAACCTACATCTCTCTACTTGGGATAAATCCCAATAGATTTGAAGGACAACCATGGTTCTAGTGGTGGGCATCCCAACTGGTTCTGACATTTCTTAAGGCATTTCGAGGATATGCTTTGGAATCCTTAAAAAAGTGACCACCCTCTAACTCCCCAATGGCTTATCCTAAAGAAATCATTAGAGTGCAAAGATAGTTTGTACAACAAATAAATTTGTTGGGGCGTTGGTGATAATAGCAAAGAATGAGAGACAATCTAAATACCAAATAGGGAGTTGGCTAAATAAATTAAGGAGTAATACACAGCCTTTAGAAAGAACCAGAGAGGGCTGGATCTATTTGCAGAAATTGTGCTGATAGTTTGTTAATGATTGAAATTTTAAAAAAATTAGGCTATAGAACAACATACATAATAACATGCATTACTTGACCTCCCTCAAGAAAAGAATAAGACAAACAGTTTTATTTTGGAAAATATAAGCAGTTGTGACATTTTGCTTTTTGCACCTCATTATTCACAGAGCAAAGAGAGTTGCTTGCCTTGGGTGTCTAATGATTCTTCAGTCATTACCCTTTCATCTAGCACACAGGAGGTAAAAAGATGGGTTAAAAAAATTGGTCACTTTTGCCAGCACGGTGGCTCACGCCTGTAATCCCAGCACTTTGGGAGGCCGAGGCGGGCGGATCACAAGGTCAGGAGTTAGAGACCAGCCTGGCCAACATGGTGAAACCCTGTCTCTGCTAAAAATACAAAAATTAGCCAGGCATGGTGGCACACGCCTGTAATGCCAGCTACTCAGGAAGCTGAGGCAGGAGAATCGCTTGAACCTGAGAGGCAGAGGTTGCAGTGAGCCAAGATCGTGCTATTGCACTCCATCCTGGGCAATAGACTGAGACTCTGTCTCAAAAAAAAAAAAAAAAAAATTGGCCACTTTTTCAGGAGTCATTTAAATAGGAATTGTTTTTTTAGGGTATTGATTGATTTCTAAGCTGGCAAACCAGTGTGATGGTCTGGTTTAGTGCTTCCTCACCCTTTTTTGAGTTTGGACCCTTTCCCACATGGTACAGGTTCTTAGCTTCCCCTCCTTGGTGGGGTTGTTTTACTGTATCTCTTGATTGCAGTAATTTACAATTTAATGCAAACCCCCCATAAGGCTCATCTACCACAGGTGGCGCTAATGCTCTGGGTCTTGATTGTTCTGCAACACTCCTTCTGTTTATGACACAATCTAAACTCTTTTAAAGATATGAAGCCAATCTGATATGAATTTAAGAGTGAGACACTGCTCTTCTTAACCAGATTCCAAATGTCTAGAGTCCAAATTCCAAATGTCCGGCATTTTCTTTTCTAGGAAATGTTTTGGTGGGAATTTCAATGCAAACATTTTATCAGAGAGCCAGAATGTTCTGAAGGAGCAGTTAACAAAAGGGAATTTCTGAATTCGTTTGCTTTCATCTCGAAGTTTCTCTCAGGGCATACGGTGCCTGTGGAGTATAAGACAGGGCCATAAGTAATGTCTGTCAGCTGCTGGTATTTTCCAAATGACCCAGTTGCCAGGGAGAGGATGGCAGCTGATAAATATATGTACATTTCTTTGCAGAGCCTTTTCTTCTCCTCTTCTCTATGCTCTGTTTGGATCTCAGGTTTAGAGAGATGAATTCATCACACTCCCCTGTTCATGGCACATTATCAGCACAGGTTTCTTGATTCATTCATTCTTTCGTTTCATTTTATTTATTCATCCATTCCCTTTTAGTTCTTTTTTCTAAAATGTGTGTCTTTTATCTTCCTGTGTTCTTGATAAATGGTGTGTGTTAATAAATGGTTCTGGGTCTTGTTTTATTTCTTACTTTGTGCCCTCATCATTGTGTCAGGAGCCATTCGTATTCCTCTGTGTCCTTTTATGCTGTGGCTTCTGATTACTGCATAATTTGTGGTACACAGCACTTTGTATCTGTTTTTGTAGAGATGTACTCCATCTTCTCATGCCTCCAACTCCTCATCAGTACTCACACCACCACAATGGACATCTTTGTACATATCTTCCTGTGTGAGAATTCCTCTGGGATACACCCACCCAAAGCATTGCTGGACAAAGGCTATGCATATACTTAGTTTAAGCACTCTCTTGTATTGTTCTCCAGAGTGGTCGATCCGCAGTCCCACCAACCCTACATGCAAATTTCTCCATTCCTGCCAACTCTCACCAGTATTCAGCTCTCTAATTTTTTGCCAGTCTGATAGGTGTAAAATGATAGTTCATTGTTGTTTTAATTTGCATTTCTCTGGTAATTAATGAATTTGAGCATCTATTCATAGGCCTGTTAGTTTACTGGGTTTCCTCTTCTGTTAATTGCCTATTCATGTCCTTTGCCCATTTTTCTATTTCAGTTACCATCTTTTCTTTTTGATATGTAAAAAGTTCCTACTGATTCTAGATACTAATCCCTTGTTAGATTTAGCCAGTTTAAATATGTTCTCATCTTGTCATCTGTCTGTTAATACGTGGTATCCTTCTTTGACTATAAATCCTTCAAAGCCCTTTTATATATTCAAATCATCTCTTTTTTGCTTTCTTGTTTATGATTTTCAAGTTGTGTTTTGGAGAAGGCCTTTATGACCCATGTCACAAAGATGTGTACCTATGTTTTCTTTTATTGGCTTTATGAGTGTGTCTTGCACATTTAAGTTTCTAATCTAGCTGATTTCCACCACTGTATGAGATGTTCCATGAAGATCCATTCTTATTTTTATCCTTGGGAAGAGTTAGTTTTCCTATCAACATCTACTAAGCTATCCATTCTTCCCTCGATTGATTTGTAGTGCCAGTGTTCTTGCATTTTAGGTTTGCATATTTTAGTTCTGTCTCTGAGCCCTTTATTCAGGTTTTTTGTGTAGCTGTTTTTGTCCCAATACCTCTCTGTTTTTAATAATAACTTTGAGGCAACTCTTAATATCTAGTTATATAAGTCTCCTCTATTTATTCTCCCTTTTGAGGTTTGACTTGGGTATTTATGAGTCTTTATCCTTCTGTATAAATTCTATAATAAGTTTAAGAAGTTTCCCCTAAAATAAAATTTTTCTTTGCGAGTGCATTGAATCATACAGGTTATTTGGAGAAAGTTGACACCTTTGTAATATTAAGTCATGTCTTCCAAGGGTTTTGAATGTCTTTCCATTTATTCAGACCACCAGTGTTTTTTATTAGGATTTTATTTTTCTGCCTAGAGATCGTGTGTGCTCCTGGTCAAGTTAATCCCTAAATACTAAATTTAAAAACCAATATTTTATTTTGCCAGCCCTGCTACCCATGGGGACCCTTCCTGGATTTGCTTCTAGAATGTCAGGAATCTATATCAGTGACACCAGATTCTCTAATTTGTCAAACTCTTACCTAGTAGAGAAGGGAAGGGGAAAAAGGGAGTATTGGTAATAAAGAAGAAGAAAGTATGATATTGTTTCTTCTTAAGCTTTTTTTTTTGAGGAAGTGGTCACTGCCAGTGTCAGTCACCTAGTTATCTGATACTTGTCATTGATTCGTCCCTTTCATTATTACAAAGAACAAGACTTCCCTGGGCAAGAACCATTTCTCCCATCTCACCCGCTGCAGCCCCGTTTGCTGTATCTCTCGATGTCTTTTTGTCTTTTTGCTGTTCCCTACCTTTGGGTACAAGGTAGGGAATATCTTTAGGGAGTTATAAAATTTACTCCCCAAAGACTATGAGAATTGGTTCATTTTTCTTTGTAATGAGTCCAGGTTGGAAGCAGGATGAGAGGCCTGTTCTCAGCTCAGGCTGCTATTGTCCTGCCGTCCCACCTGAGGGAAGGTTAGAAAGCCGAGAACTTGTCAGAGAGAACACACCAGTCCAGTGCAAGGGAGTAAGAGAAGGGCAGGCTCTTACAGTGTGAGTTGGTCTTTTCCAAGTTTGATGTTTTAAATAACAAATGTCACTGCCTACTTAACTCTAAAAAGATTAGCTTGTTTACAAGAATGCTGCCCTCCCACTGTTTCTCCAGCTGCTTGAAGGCTGAAGTCTGACAGATTGAGGCAGAGAGGGCTCAGTCTCCTAATCTTGACTTTATAGTGCCACTTTCCTCAATGTGGGTATTAACTCAGATTCCATAGGTTAATCGGGTTATGTTGAAAGGAATATGCTGAAGTTGCTGCAGGCATGCCTTCTCATGCATGTCAGGACCTGGCTTAACACTGGCCATCTGGCTTTTCAGAATGCCATTTTGTAGTTCACTCCACTTCTCACTCTTGTTCAACATTTTCCTGTTACTCCCACCTGGATCTTGTGCCGGATGAAACTGCAGGAGTCCAGGCTTCCTGTAGCTCTTCCTTCAGTGAATGCCTCTAGAAGTTCTTGGACTCCTGGCCTCACGTGATCCTTCCATCTTGGCCTCCCAAAGTGCTGGGATTATAGGCATGAGCCACCACGCCCAGCCTTCTGGGAGTTCTTAAGGGCAGGTGGCACTGAGATATATGAGTACCGAGAGGTAAGGACACTCATAACTAGAACACACATCTGTCTCTACCTTTAAAGCTCATGTGATCTGCTGTGGAGGTTCAGACCACAGGGGAACAATAGACAGATGGCCCAATTACATCGTGTGGGTGTATGTCATATTCAAACCATCTACAGAAGTACCCAGGGTGCAGACTACATGCCCAGAGCTCATGGATTTGAGAGTGAGCTACACTTGAAAAATGGAAATTTCCTCCCTTCTCTCCTCCCCAGAAGAAGAAAAAATATAACACTTCCTCCTCTTTGCATCCAAGTCCTAGTCCTTTCTTTCCTTGTGGTTTGTTTTTAATCTAGTGCTCTAGTGCTTTTTTTTTTTTTTTTTTTTTTTTGAGATGGAGTCTTGCTCTGTTGCCCAGGCTGGAGTGCAGTGGCATGATCTCCGCTCACTGCAAGCTCCCCCTCCCGGGTTCACGCCATTCTCCTGCCTCAGCCTCCCAAGTAGCTGGGACTACAGGCACCCGCCCTCACGCCCGGCTAATTTTTTTGTAGTTTTTAGTAGAGACAGGGTTTCACCGTGTTAGCCAGGATGGTCTCGATCTGCTGACCTCATGATCCGCCCATCTCGGCCTCCCAAAGTGCTGGGATTACAGGCGTGAGCCACTGCACCTGGCCTAATCTAGTGCTTTTATAAGAATCCTTTATATTTGAATAAAAATGCTGAAGAACCCACTGCAGTTTGCCAATTTGTCATTCACACTGGGAGGTGGGGAGAAGAGCAGTGATTGAAGAAGGAAATATGAACTCATTGTAGAATATTACAGAAATACAGCAAAATGATTTTGAAACATTCAGTCAAAAATCATTGGTAATATTATTCCCAGAGATACTTCCTTCTTGCCTTTTTTAAATGATGTCTTGTATGTATTTTGTCAATGTCAGTATGAATTTTAATTTAACTGGCATTATGTTGAATATGCTTGTTGTATTCTGCTTTAAAAATTACAGACATTTTCTGATGTCATGAAATGTTTAGAAGTATCACCTGTCATGGTTGTTTAATATTCTGTCATTGGACTATATCTTAATTTGTTGAATCATTTATCATTGTTAGACTAATGCTCTTTCCAGGTTTTTGGTATTACAAATAACATTGGCCTATGTTATTCATAATAGCTTCAAAAGTTATTAATTTCATCAGTTATTGGCCTTGTACATCAGCCTTTGTACGTATCTCAGATCATTCTCTTTGGGTAGATTCCGCCACGTGGATTAGAGAGAGGGTTTGCATGGAGGAGTAATGTGTGGCTGGTGTAGAATAGCATCCTGGGTGTAGAACTTTGGACAGGTGGTGCGCCTCTCTAAGCTTCCATTTCCTCTTCTGTAAAATGGGGATAATAATACCCCTGCTTCATAAACTCATTGTAAGAATGAAAGTTCAGCACATTAGTATCTGCACATTAGTTGGTAAGTGCCTAATTACTCTTGGTTATTACTCTTATCATCTGGCCAGGCCAGTTACTCCCACAACAAAAGGAAAAACCCACTGGAAAGGAAAAGCCAGCTGGATTGGTAACACTGCTCTTGAAGGGAGGAAGACAACCTGCTACTGTTTCTCAGTCTTGGTGCTTTATGAGTGTTCATTCATTTAATCCTCGTTACTGTATTTCTCAAAGTGGGGTGTGCACACCACTGGTGGTACACTAGGTCATTTGAGAGAGTATATTTTAAATTACCATCTAGACTTCTGTATTTATTTTGATGTGTATTGTGGGGGAACATAAGTTCTCTGAAATCCCCTGATTTTATTTTGTTTTATTTCATTTATTTTTTTGAGACCCCTGTCACCCAGGCTGGAGTGCAGTGGTGTGATCACGGCTCACTGCAACCTCCGCCTCCTGGGCTCAGGTGATTCTCCTGCCTCAACCTCCCTAGTAGCTGGGATTACAGGTGCCTGCTACCACACCTGGCTAATTTTTTTTATTTTTAGTAGAGATGGGGTTTCACCATGTTGGCCAGGCTGGTCTCGGACTCCTGACCTCAGGTGATCCGCCTGCCTCGGCCTCCCAAAGTGTTGGGATTACAGGCATGAGCCACTGCGCCTGGCCAATCCCCTGATTTTACAAATGTTATTGCTTAGCACAGGGGTCCACTTTTTTTAGTAAAGGGCCAGATAGTAAATATTTTTATTTTTATAGGAGTATTCAACTCCGCTATGGTAGTGTGAAAGCAGTCACAGACAATATGGAAATGAGCAGGTGTGGGTGTTTTCCAGTAAAACTTTGTTTTACAAAACAGGCAATGGTGAATTTGGCCCAGGGACTGTAGTTTATTAACCCTTGGCTTAACACAAGGCTAAGTTTTTAAAATTAGTCTAAATGGGATGGCATGAGGTTTTGAGAGGGAGCATGAAAGTGTCACACGATGGGCTGCCATTTGTACAAATGCTGTTCACAGCAACTGAGTTTCCAAAGGAGCTCACAGGCTTAAAGAGGTCAAGGGAGCACAGTTGAGAAGTAGTGAAGCTCATACTCAAACCCTAGCCTGCCTCATTGCCAGGGTCATTTTTTTCCTGCAACACTTCATATGCTTGAAATCTTTGATCCATTCTGCCATCCTGTTCATATGTGGTCCACCCATGGGGGCTGGAAGGAATTTCATCATCAGACTCCAACATCTAACCCCTCTAGTTCTTTGTGGCTGAGGGGCCATCCCATATTCCTTCTTAGTGCACCACCTCATTAGAGCCCTCAGTGGTTCCTCAAACACCTGTGCACAGTGCTGGGTGCACAAGGGTCACGCATTTCACTGACTGGCTTCCCCAGGGTCAGACCCTTAGTGTGGCCCACCACTCTCCCACAGGGATTTGGCAACACAACATAATGCTTTATATGTTGTTTCTGTACATCCACTCATCCTTCTTTAGGCCGTCATTCAGAGCAAACTCCCTGATGGCGTTTTATTCAGGTTTGCCTTGTTTTATGAGGACAAGATTGAGGACCAGGAGAGGAGATGGGGAGGGACATCATTACCATTGCTCTGTTTCCTATTGTTGTGCCTCTGACTGTACATTTCCTTCATCTCTGTTCCTCAGCCTCCCTTGATCTGTAAAACAGAAAAGGAGATTTAGGCTTGAAAACTGTAGGGAAAGCCTTGATGGGATCGCCTGGGCCACTATTTTTAAAAGACATCTAAAGCCTTCAGCCATTACCAAAAATCCACCGTCTCATGAAAGCAGCAGAGGGCAGAAAAGAGGATTTGTTTTTCTTTTGCTTCTAGTCACCTTTGGCCTTTTGCTGTTAGAACACCCACAGTTGAGAGGCAGGAGGAGGCAGCCACCGGTAACCAGGATCCTTTTGGGATCAGAACCATCCAGAGGCTGCCAGGCCTCTGCTGGTCGGTGGCTTATAAATAGAACATTTCCCCTTTTAAACCTGAGAAGGGTGGAAGGCATTAATGGGCACAGTGGCCTGGCCGCCTATGCACTGGCCCACGAGGCAGTCAGCTGAGTGCAGCATCCCCTCCAGCTTTCTCTCCAGGCCTGCCAGGTCTGAGCTGATAGAGGACAGACACTCTGCCTCCCTCCCTTGCCTGCGTTCCTTCCTGCCCTCCTCCCCACACCCTTTTTCTTTCCCCTTTCTCCTCTCTCCTGTGCATGCAGTTTCCGTGGCCACCACTTTCATCTTCTGAGCCGCAGTCAGGCGAGGTGGTATAATTCTAGCTCTCCCTAGGTGCTGACTTTCTACACCTCACTTTTCATTATGAGTTGCCTGTGCAACACAGTTGCTGTGGTGCATTGAGCTTGAATTACATTTAGTTGAGCTGTAATACCCCAGCTCTAGAATAGCCCTGGCTCGGAGGGCAGGGGGCTGGAGAGAGAAGAAGGGGCAGGAACAGCTTGTTTTTGCAGATATTTTATTATTTGAGTTCCCAGCTATTTTGTTTGATGAGACCCTGGCCCCCAAAGCTATGACTGGTGGTGGTACTCCTTGGACTTGCATGGATAATCAGAAGCCTTTCTGCTTGTCCTAAAAGACACTTGACAAATCTACCCTCTCTCTCAGCTAGCTTTAGACTGGCAGATGCAGCCAGTGTATGCCTCTGCCATGGCCTAATATTCCCCTTTCCCTCAGTGATGTGGGCTCTGTACTGACAGCAGGCTGCAGCCTGAGCAGGTGTGAGCCACCCGTTGCCATCCCAGTTTGGGCTTCAGCCAAGAGACAGTGAGCAGGTCCCTGGCTACATCTTTAACCCCTAAAGCCCAGTGCAAGGGGTTATTGAGACAGAGACTAAAATATTTCCCCCACTGCCACCGAGTACAGGCTTCCAGTTATTGTGGTTAATGTTTATTGAGTACATACTGGGGAGTGGGCAACATGTTCACTGCTTGATATACGTTATGTCATTTGATCCTCCTAAGAACCCTATGAGCTAGATACTATTATTGACCCCATTTACAGATGTGAAAACTGAGACTTCATTCTGAGGGCAAACTTGGTCACTCCCTGCACTGATCAGAGTTGTCAGAGCCTGCAGCTCACAATCGGCATGTAAGATTGAGCAGAGGGTAGAGTAGTGCTTAGAAGTGTTAGCTCTGGAGTATTCCACACGTGGTTTGAAATCCCAGCCTCAAGAATTACTGAGTGTGTGATTTTGAGAAATTAATTTCTCCAAGCCTCAGTTTCTTTGTCTGAAGGTGGGAATAGTTTTAATAATTAAATCTTTGGTTTTTTTGGAAGAATAAATGAGATTAGGATGGACATCCTTTGCTCAATGGTGCCTGGTATTATCGGCAATGATTAAATGTTGCGCTTTATTCTTATTACCAATAATGTCATCATTATCCAAAGCCAGAGCCCGTTTATATAAAAACGTGGCACTGTACAGTCTCTTTAAAGTTCCTCCGGGCATTGCCTTATTTGATTTTCACAACACCTGCATCTTATATGTGAGGGGAATGGGTCAGAGAGGTGAAGTATGCCCAGCTTACACAAGCAGTTTGTGGAGACACCAGGGCTCAAATCTTAGGCCTTTGATTCTGAATGCCCTCTCTTTCCCTGCCCTTCGCTGCCTCAGAGTTTGTTGTGACCAACAAATTGTTCTTAAAGCATTTCGAGGTAAGAAGACAGATAGGTAAAGGCAGGAAAGTGACCTTGATGGGCAGAGGCAGTTGGTTCTCTGTTTGAAACACTTCCACCCTCAGAAAGCTGATGATGATCTCTTTCGGTTGAGAAATCAGTGCAAAACCACCGGGCCTTAAGGCAGAAGGGAATTGAGGCCACTGTGTAATTCATTCTCAGAATGTCCAGATCCCCATGTAGGAGACAAATGGTCCTGATTAAGCTGGTCAGTGTTACTGCAGTGTGCATTAAGCCTTGCTCTTTTGCTGCTATTCTGATTTGGAATTTTAAGGTGGACTAGGAGATTGCAGAAGTAGAAACCCACAAAGAAACACTCCTTCCATCCCAGGCAGATGTATAGTCCTCAGCCTGTGCTGTGCAAGAACCTACGTGCTGTCACCCTGGATGCCTGTCTTTTGCCAAGAATTGGAACACTCTTTAGAACCTCCCCTGACTGTGGCTGAGAGCTGGTAGGTTTATTCCCATCCAGGCAGATTTTTGTTTCTGTTCCTGCTACCTATTTTACTTTACTCTATGTCTCTTTCAGCTTATTTTTCTGTGTGTTTGTTTTCAAGAAACAATGAAAAAAAAATAGATGCCTTTGTATCTGGTAGGCTAGGGAAGAAAAGTCTGACTAGCAGTATTCTTGCTTTGAGGTCAGGGTATGAATGAGATCTCTGTCAAACCTGTTTGTCTCATGCTTCCCACTGCAGGGGCCTGAACTCTAGAAGGTACCAATATATGCAGCCACCTGTCACTATTCAAGGCTCCTGGAATGTGGAGACTTTTGGCCTGTCGGCTCCTTGTGTTTTCAGCTGGTGAAAACATGGATTGTATTTATTCTTTCAGGACATATTTATTGAGATTAGTCATGAACAGGGCAGATTGTCTCTGCTCTCATGGAGCATATACAATGAAAAGAAATTGACAACAAAGAGTAAGCAAGTAGATAAAGGTATAATTTCTGGTAGAGATGAGTATTCTGCAAAAATAAGGGCTGGTGGATAGAGGATAAGGGAGAAGGGAGTGATTTTAGATACCTGGAGCAGGAAAGGTCTCTCTAAAGAGGTGACATTTGAGAAGAAATCTGAACAAAGGGAGGGAGGGAAGCGTGTCAGGAGTGGGTAGATGAGTGTTATTGATGGAGTGACCAACATGTGCAGAGGCCCTGAGGTGACGTGAGCTACTTGTGTTCTAGGAATATCAGGAAGAACAGTGGTGCCCGGATGGGAGGAGGCCCTGGGGGTGAGTGGTCAGGTAGGCTGGGGCTAGACCATGTGGGGCCAGGAGATAAGACTGCATTCTTAGTGTGAAGAGAAGTCACTGGAGAGTTGTGATCAGGTGCATGACATGAGCTGATGTATGTTTTTAAAAGATGACTCTGGCTGCTGGTGGGGAATAAACCGTAGTGGGGTGGGTGGGGGTGGGGGGTGGGGGCAAAATTGAAGCAGCTGGGAGACTGCTGCAGGCAGTCCAGGCAAAGGATGATGGCAGCTTGGATCAAGGTATTAGCAATGGATATGGTGAAGAGTAGTTAGATTCTGGATACGGTTTTAAGTTATTAGTGACAGGATTGGTTAATGGATTGGATGTGGTGTGTGAATTGGATATAGGGTGTGAGAGAAAGCAAAGATCAAGGATGATGTTACTGGAACAGAATATCTTACAGGTAGAATATGGTCCTCTCCCATCTCATTCTTTCAGCCAGGTTGAACATAGTGCATGTTTGGGGACACATTAGGACTTGAGCTCCCCAATTTATTATTTCTGTCACCTTCATGATTTTTTGTGTTTTTTTTTTTTTTGAGATGGAGTCTTACCCTGTCACCCAGGCTAGAATGCAGTGGTACAATCTTGGCTCACTGCTACCTTTACCTTCCTGGTTCAAGTGATTATCGTGCCTCAGCCTCCCAAGTAGCTGGTATTACAGGCACCTGCCACCATGCCTAGCTAATTTTTTTTTCTTTTTTTTTTTTTTTAGTAGAGACAGGATTTCATCATGTTGGCCAGGTTGGTCTCGAATTCCTGACCTCAAGTGATCCACCTGCCTCGGCCTCCCAAAGTGCTGGGATTCTGGGTATGAGCCACTGCACCTGGCTGACTTTTTAAATATATACATATACTACTTTTATTATTAATTTGCTTACTGGTTTTAAACCAATTCATCCATTTTTTACCTCAGTTTATTTAAAAAAGAAATATATTTTGCTATGTGTGATAAATCAGTAGATTTCTAATATTCATTAAAATAAAAGTATAACTGAGAAATGTTTGTGAACCTCTTGGAATCATCCCATATGCCAAAGTGGAACAATCCAGCATTCCATATTAAGATGCATAGCACTGGCAAATAGTTGTTGTCCAGCAGGGAATGTGGTATAGATACTGGCAATTGACTAAATTAAGTCATTTTTGTTTGTTTTTGGTGGTAATAATCTTAATTGCTTAGTATATAGTACAGTGTTTTTCCAAGTGGGGTTCTCGCATGTACTGATGCATAATTGCCGGGAGAGGGCCCAGAATCTGCATTTCTACAAGTGCACTCTTGTTCACTGGAGTTGAGAGCCGCTACTGGAATAGAAATGGTAGGATCCACAGAACCTGATCCACAGCCCCCAGTTCCTTTCTGACTGTCTCTAGCAGAAAGCAAAGAGTAGAAGAGGATGAGCCCAAGAGTCAGACTGAGTTAAATAAAATCTTGGTTCCACTACTCACTGATGCTATAATCTTACAGAAATTCCTTAACCTGACTGAGCGTAGGTTTCCTATCTACAAAATACGGATGATGATGATGATGATGATGATGATAAGAAAATGATGCACCTAACTGTGTAGCTCAGAGCAATGTAGTCTGTGCTCAGTAAGTGTTAGCCACGGTTATCATTGCTGTTGTTACCACTTAACGTGAGTCTGGCTTTCCTCATCATAAAAACTTAGCAGAGATATTGGGAAAATCAAATAAACTATAGTTTATTAATTTATTTTATAAACTGTAATGTATTATCCCTCATTACACTCATTAGTGTGAAAACACAGTAGTTATGAGTAAGAAGAGTAGCAAGACTTACCCTATGGGGTTATCATAAAGATAACATGAACTTGAATATGAAAAGTATTTCATCAACTGGAAGATTTCATTCAAATATTAGGATATAGTAACATTCTAATATTGGTAATACTAGGTAATATTGGTCATGATCATGTATTGAATACCAAGTAAATCCCAGTTGCTATACATTTCATTTGACCCTCGTAGCATCCTGTTGAGTTATCCCCATTATACAAGCGAGGAAGGTGAGCCTCAAAAAGGTGAAGCTAAGGTCATATCCAGCCAGAGGTAGCTGAGGCAGGGTTCTAATCCAGGTCTGTCTGGCTTTATAGCTCATTCAGTTTCCACTACCTACAATTCTGTCTGTGTGACTTTAGTTAATATTAAAGTTAGTTCACATTCCCTGAACATACCAGCCAGGGGGCAGAGAATAGTCTGGTGTAGGGATGGTGCATGGGGGTCCCTGGAGTGCTGATCTGGGATTAAAAATTGGCTGTGGGTAACCTCCACAATAGAGAATGCACACCCAGATAATTAAGAACCAGTTGGCCACCTTTCCTGGGCCCCACTGAAGCTTCTGAGAGCTGCTATCATGAGGACAGCTTTCCAGGGGCCACAGCCCAGGGAGCCCTGGCAACCCTGGGGCTTCACATGATTAGGGGAAAACAGGCAAGCCCTTCTAGTCTTCCCTCTGTGTGTGTGAAAATTGGAAATTATTCTTCAGGTGGAATTTATGTTCATTTCAATGTGGGTGGTTTTCTCAATGGCTTTTAAGGGTGTTGAAATTGATTAAATTCAGAATGAGGGAGGCCAACCAGGCTCTATAAAGAGCAAATCACATTGGAAAATTGCATAAATTTCTGTGGTGAGAACATGCCCCTGAAGTGGCCTGCTCACAGCAACTCGACAATTTCCTGTATCCATCCATCCATCCATGTTAGAAATCCTTTACTTCTCAGTTTTTTTTTTTTTTTTTTTTTTTTTTTTTTGAGGCAGGCTCTCACTCTGTTGCTCAGGCTGCAGTGCAGTGGCATGATCATAGCCCATTGTAACCTCAACCTCGTGGGCTCAAGCCATCATCCTGCCTCAGCTTCTTGAGTAGCTAGGGCCACAGGTTCACACCACCATGCCCAGCAAATTTTTTTTTAACCTTTTTGTAGAGATGAGGTTTCACCATGTTGCCCAGGTTGGTCTCAAACCCCTGGCTTCAGGCGATCTTCTCGCCTCATCCTCCCAAAGTGCTGAGATTACAGTTGAGAGCCAGGGTGCTCAACCTCAATCCTCTTGTTTTTATGCATAACCTACAGTGCTTCCAGCAAATTCCATTTCTCCCACAAAAAAGGTTTGGTTTGTTTTTTTCTTTTTAATCAAAGGAGAATTGACTAAATTTCCTGGGGAAAAAATTCAGACTAGGAAAAACTTGTTGAATACCAGCTTTAGGGACAGTAACCCTTTCTAGTTCATGTTGAGGCTAATTCAGTAGATTAGCTCCTCTCCTTTGGATGAGGATTTCCCTCCCCAGGGTTTGGTTAGAATTCCAGGGATGCAGGCATGGGGTCGTTTGGGGGCATGTCCTAGTGTGCTGTTTTTATAGACTATATATATGTGTCCATCAGTCAACTTATAGTATGGAAAGTTTTCTTCTATTCAAATTGGGCGATTTGGCCACTTCTTGCCAAATTTCTTGGTTTTCTGAATACTGAAGGTTGGAGTTGAGCAACTGCAGGTCAGTGATTTTCAGAAGAGGGGCTCTTGAGCCTGAGGAATCAGGTCTCACGGGTAGCATGATGGTCTAGCGGAGAATACTTGTGTTTTCCAGGGGCTCTCTTGACCCTCAGGCCTCAGGCCCCTCTTGACCCTCATTTAGATGGCCGAGTTAGTGTAATATGGAGAAGCCCTCCTCTCAGCCCCAGCTTCACACCACATGCAGCTCAATGATGATAATGCCTTGATGGACAAAATGCAGGAGGTCTAAAAGTGTCCAGGAAAACCTAAATTTGCTTTTGTCTCCTATGTTTCATGGCTTAGCTTGTGCCACTTTTGTTCTTCCTTTTTCTTGGGCCCATTCTTGGGCTTCGCTGCTAGGTGGCATGCCTGTATTGATACAGGAAGGAAGGAAGTGGTTAGATCAGCCTATTCATTTCTTTATTTAACCTTTATATCATCACAAAAAAAATGAGAAAGTGGAGGACCAAAAGGTTAAAAGAACTCATCTACTCTCAGAGGGTTTATATCAGTTGAAATTGAAAGGTCATTTTGACACACTGCCCCTCGGCAACTCTCTCTACCATTCATTCACTAATTTACCTATTCACGTATCCAAAATGAAAAATGACACGTGCATGCACACACTTCCAATTCATATCCATTGCTATAGTTGATGGTGAAAGATAGAGCTGTAGTAGCCAGTGAAGTAAATATACCTGGACCATTGCCCTCATGAATAAGTATTCTAGTTTGGTAGACATTTTTCACAGAATCACACATATCAGTGTAAACTTGCAGTGGTGCATCATAGTCTGAAAGAAAGGTTGATGGTCCTGTATCTGAGTGCACAATGGGGGCTTTAACCTAGGTGGGAACGTCTGAGTGAGTTTCTTGAGGAAAGGACACTTGAGGGTAATGTGAGTTGGGAGCCAAAGGCTCCCGTGCGAAATCCACAGTCTGTGCTGGGGAGAAAGCATGGTTAGTTGAATGTTCTTGAAAGACAGCCAGTGTGGCTAGGTGCTCAGAGCTGGCACAGTGGCCCCTGAAGAAGCTGGAGGGCCAGGCAGGGCCCCGTCACACACAGCTTTGTGAGCAAGTAAGGATTGGGGTTATTCTCCCAAGGGCAGCAAGGTGCTGCAGGGAGGTGATATGCTCTGATTTTGTCAAGACCATAGGGGCTGCAATGCAGAGGGCAGACAGGAACAAGAAGAATAAGAAGACCAGCCAGGAGGTTAATGCAGTCATCCTGGCAACAGATGATTGAGGTAGGGACCAGGATGGTGATGATGATGATGAAGAAATTGGACAAAATTGAGAGGCATTAGAAGAGACAATTGAGGGACTTGGTGATAATTTGGAATGGGAGGTAAGAAGTGGTGCCAAGGGTGATACTTGTGATTTTGTTATAATTTTCCGACCACCTACACACCTCTTTTTTTTTTTTTTTTAATAGCTGGGAGGAGCCAGTGAAAAGTATCTCAGATGAGGTCCCAGAAGCTTCAGGACATGGCGTTGACCTTATGGTTGTATAGCAGTGGCAGTTATGCTAAAATCCATGTCTGTCTCCCTGGCCCACCAACCTCCTCCTTTTATTTATTTTTATTTTTTGAGACAGTCTTGCCCAGGCTGGAGTGCAGTGGTGCAGTCTCGGCTTACTGCAGTCTCTGCCTCTTGGGTTCAAGCGATTCAAGCCTCCTCCTTTTAGATAAGAAAATCATTTGATTGTACCTTAGAGTTGTTCTTTTAATCCTTTTGCAGTAAGACAGCTAGTCTCTGGATGTAACCTGCCTCCAGCCTCCCGGGGTTCATATCCTAGGCATGATAGCCCAAGGCATCCTCTTCCCACGTCTGTGGTTTTCCCTAAGATTCTTCAAGGTTACTGAGCATAAACCCACCTCTCCTGTGTTCACGTGTTCTCTAGAGAACTTTGAGAAAATCGACTTTGCTACCCTAGCATGCTGCTTTCTCTGAAAGGAGACAAAGCAACAAGGCTTCAAAAGTTGAAATGAAAGTTAAGAGGATGGCACATTTCTAACCTGGGAGGCCAACCTGGATATTTGGTGCAAGCTCTGCCAGCATTCATGATGAGACAACTGTTTGGGCTGCCTCGTGTGTACACTGAGCAGAGCTGAACCTGAGGCTGAGGGAGGGAAGTAAACCAGCCGAAGCCTCAACTGCAGGATGGTGGATGTTGGCCCTGGGAGACACAGGTCCTGCGACAACTCATCACAAGTCAAATTAAGGGACTAATGCAAGCCTAGTAGATATTTAATGAGAGATTATTGCTGGAGATTATAGGGATACAGAAATTGCTAATAAATCCCTGACCTTTTCTGAGCCTTGGCTCAGTGAAAGAGCTGAATCACCTGCTTGAGGGGATTAAGGACAGCCGCCTCCATCTGGCGAGCCACTCAGACTTTTTCTGTCGTTAGCAAACGCAGCTTGGTGGTGATAGTGTTCTAAACCTTTTAGTGGGAATTTGCTTTTCAGACTAGGAGATCTCAATTAACTTAGATTATATCCCTACTGGGCAGAGATTAGGACTAATGATCTGGTTATGTGTGCACTGTAGTCCCTATCACATTATGGTACTTGGTCCATGATAAATAATAAAACCGTTGTTAATTATTAGTAATCTAATCAGCAGGAAACTCAAGTTGATGAGAGTGGAAATCAAGCTCTTTGTGTGTGTGCATGCATGCACATGTGTGTGTGTGAAAAAGAAGAGACAAAGAGAGATGGGGGTCCCCAGGCAGTGGGCAATGTGATAATTTACACTAGTTCCAGTTTAGAGGTTTAGAGCAGTGGTTGATAACCTGTATTTCTTGAATTCCTTGTTGGAGAAACAGTTGTTTGAAAGAGATTCCATTTCTTAACACAGTGTTATCTGTTTATAGGCTGTAAATAATTATCATCAATATGCAATTTTAATACATTAGAGGCTAACAGAGTTATCTTGAGCTCATAATGTTTGACTTTGCAATATGTAAATATCGTATCCATTTGAACTTAGACAACTAAGATAAACTGAGAAATACTGGATTACACATGTCATATGTAAGACCTTTATGTGTAACATCTGTGTAAGACTTAATTCCAAGAAAAGGAGTTTGCTGGTTTCAAACAAATTGGAGAATCTCTAACGCTGGGAAAACCAAAGGAGGAACATTTACTCAGATTGAATGTGGAGGTTTTGCTTTGCCATTTACCAAAAGAAGTAATTGTAGTAGTGGGTAAAATTTTGATTATTTTCTGGATGTATTTGGAAGCGTCCATTTTATTCTTTTCCAGTAAATATTACTTACCTAGAAAAGGATGCACTTCCTACAGTGCCACACACACAAAAAAAGGTTCAATGACTGATTTGCCTCTAGAGGGTTATGTCCACTAATTGGGCTGATGGCTTTACATGCATGTATCTTCTGACCACTGGGGTCATCACTGTCAGATGCTAGGTTCTTTTCAATTTTTCAAAACTTTTATCGATGTTCAGAGGGTAAAGAAATAGCCTTTGTCTAGGGCAGAAGTTCGTCAATGCCTAGAATAAGACCATGTTCACAAGCCTACTCTTGAAACATCCTAGTTCAGAATCAATGTCTGCAGCTCCCCGTAGCACTGTGTAAAATGGCAATTTTTTCTCTCCCAGACTTCTTTGATTCTCATTGCTATGAAAAGATGATCTTAAGCACCTCTCAAAAGAAGAACTAAAAGGCTTCACCTGACTATTGAATCGTAGTTATAAACATTTTGGGAAACTCCTTTAGCACAAAACGTAATTCCCCGTCTGACAAATGCTTTCCAGTAGGCTCTATTGTGACTACTGTATAAAGGAATGAAAATCCTCCCTGCACATGAAAAGATTCCCAACATTATTAGTCATTAGGGAAATACAAGTCAAAACCACAATGAGATACCTCTTGACACCCACTAGGATGGCTATAATAAAAAAGACAATAACAAATGTTGGCAAGGATTAGGAGAAATTGGAACCCTCGTACATTGCGGGTAGGAATGAAAACTGGTGCAGCTGCTTAGAAAACAGTTTGGCAATTCCTCAAAAAGTTAAGCACGGTGTCATTCTGTGACCCAGCGATGCCACTCCTAGGTGTATACTCAAAAGAAATGAAAATACCAGTTCACACAGAGACTTGTACACAGATGTTCATAGTAACATTATTCACAACAGCCAAAAAGTGGAAATGGCCCAAATATCTATCAGCCGATGAATGGATAAATAAAATGTGATATATCTGGACCGTGGAATATTATTTAACCATAAAAATAAGTGAAGTACTGATGCTACAACATGGCTAGGGCTTGAAAACATTATGTTAAGTAAAAGGAGCTAGACATAAAAGACCGCATCGTGTATGATTCCCATTTATGTGAGGTGTTCACAATAGGCAAATCCATAGAAAAGGAATTCTTCCCACAGCTGGGGGAAGGGAAGACATGGCTAATGTGTATGGGTTTTTGGGGTAGGGAGGAGGGCAAAAATGTTCTGGAGTTAGATAATAGTGATTAATACACAGCTTTGTAAATACTCTAGAAATTGCTGAATTGTATAGTTAAAATGGGTAAACTTATGGTATATGAAGTATATACCAAGAAAGCTGTTATTTAAAAAAAAAAAATTCCTCCCCTGGATTCCAACAGGTATTTGGCCTCTGTATTATAGGTTGTTATTAAATTTGAAAAATGCCTGCCGCATGAGTTGAGTTTTATTTGGAAGAATTATTTTAATTGGGCTTTCAGCCTGTAATCAGAATCTTGAGATGCCATAATTTGCAGAGCAAATACTTTATTTATACTGGGAAAAACAAGGGATTGGGTTAATAGGCTCCTTACCATTTTAAGGGAATAAAAAGAATGGTTTGTATAGCAAGTAATCTCCAGGGAGAAAAACATTGTTTTTCTGTTTCTTTTCTGGTACTTTACTTACTATCCTAGAGGCTGAGTGTGTTTGTAATAAGCATCACTAAGCAATAAGTATGTATGTAAGTATAGGAACTATTAATATTTCAGTTTGGGAAGAGTTGTTTTAGGAATTAGCATTCCTTTTTAGTTTGATTTTGGGAATTCTTGGTGATTAAAAAATGTTTTAAAATCTTCAGCACAATTCACAATTGCAGAAACGTGGAACCAGCCCAAATGCCTATCAGTCAACAAGTGGATAAAGAAACTTTGGTGTATATATATGATGGATTACTACTGAGCTATAAAAAGGAATGATTAATGGCATTTGCTGCTACCTGGATGAGACTGGAGACTATTATTCTAAGTGAAGTAACTCAGGAATGGAAAACCAAACATTGTATGTTCTCACTCATAAGTGGGAGCTAAGCTATGAGGATGCGAAGGCACAAGAATGACACAATGGACTTTGGGGACGTGGGGGAAAGGATGGGAAGGGGGTGAGGGATAAAAGCCTACAAATAGGGTGCTGTGTATACTGCTTGGGTGATAGGTGCATGAAAATCTCACAAGTCACCACTAAGGAACTTATCCATGTAGGCCAGGTGCGGTGGCTCACGCCTGTAATCCCAGCATTTTGGGAGGCCGAGGCGGGTAGATCACCTGAGGTCAGGAGTTGAAGACCAGCCTGGCCAACATGGTGAAACTCTGTCTCTACTAAAAATACAAAACTTAGCCAGATGTGGTGGTGGGTGCCTGTAATCCCAGCTACTAGAGAAGCTGAGGCAGGAGACTCGCTTGAACCCAGGAGGCGAAGGTTGCAGTGAGCCAAGATCATGCCACTGCACTCCAGCTTGAGCGACAGAGTAAGACCTTGTCTCAAAAAAAAAAAAAAAAAAAAAAAGAAGAACTTACCCATGTAACCAAACACCACCTGTTCTCCAATAACCTATGGAAATAAAAAAATAAAATGTTCATTTTATCTAAGTTTACCCATATACGCTAAGAATTAAAGAAAGATTCAGTTTGGATTAGATCCAAGGTGAGTTCAGGTTCTGCTCACTTCTCAAATATTACAAGTTTATTACTTTCCCTGAGATGACCGCAAATCATCTATAAATACTTGCTTTTCTACTTTCTGCCATTTTCTTTTCCACTCTGACCATTAAGTGGTAGAATGCCTTGTCCACTGTCCTAAGAAGGTCAAAGATGAACCCATTCTTAAAGATTATCACCGGGTAACCAAAACATGGGGGTGAATTTTAGGGAATTTCCAGCCTTGTTGTCAGGTTAGAAGTTTCCAGCCTTGTGTGGTTCTCTGCTGTGGAAGAAGTTGCTGCTGTTGATCATTTATTTTCTGGGTGAGAATCCTGTCACCACTTGCTCATTTCCCCCTAGAGGATGGCCCCACTGCCTTCATGCTGCTTCCTTTGGTAGTGTCTTTGTTCTTGGCTCTTTTAATTTTCCTCTGAATCATTTTTCTTCTTTTATTCTTTGTTCTATTTTTCCTTTCTTCTAGTCACCTGAGCAGGATTATACTTAACTCAGGGACACGTTTAAGGCAGTTTGATGGTATGGGCTCTAGAGCAAGTCTCCATGTATTGGCTCTGCATCTTTGGTCAAGATACTTAGTTTTACCAAGCCTCAGTTTCTTCATCTGTAATATGGGCTAGTGATAATGTCAACCTGGAGGACTTACTGAGATCAAGTGAGAAAATCTATTTTAAGCACTTACCCAACATTTATAGACCACTTAATTTGTGCTTTTTGAAGGAGACCGCAATTAGTTCTACAGCTTCTGTTAATAGCAGAGCAATGTAAAGGTACCTGTCACCTTATGCTGCAGTTTCTTCACCTGTAAATTGAAGATAATTTTACAGGTTACTACAGCTTGAGGTTACTATGAGAACTAAATGAGATACTACATGCAAAGCACTTAAAACCATACCTAGCATATGGAAAGCTCTCAATCAATGCCAGCTATTATTATTATTATTATGTTATTCCTGTACTGTTATTGGGAAAAACTAAAAGGATATGTGACCACAGCATGCGATTGATTCATCCTGGTTTGGTTAAGCCCTATCCTGAGGTTGATTTCCATGGCTAGCAACTTGACTGTCCTTCTCTTGCTCTTTCAGCTGCGCAGTTGGACAGCATTGGCTTCAGCATAATCAGGAAATGCATCCATGCTGTGGAAACCAGAGGTAAAGTAGTTTAACAGATGGCATTGTTCTCATAGAAGGTCACGCATCTGGTGAGGAGTCAGACCTGCTACCTGCTGTTTCCTGACTTTAAGTGACTCATTAGCTCCCCAAGTGCCATTGTCAGTGGATTTCCACAAGTCTTGTTGGTCTCAAGCAGGAGGTCCTAACTGATTTTGTGTCACCAACTTCTTTGGCTGATCAGAAGAATGTGTTAAATATCTAAAATACGTATGATTATAGAAACCAGTTACTGAAATTCGATTTTTAAAATATTAAAAAACACAGGGTATCATGATATATGTGTTTCTTTGTTAACACTTTATAAGTGATAGTGGTGGGTCTGATAACTGACATAATTTGGGAGCAGTGATATTTCAAGATATCCATAATAATTGTAATGTGTTATGAAAATATCTGTGATTTCTGACCAAGTTGCAGGTACCGCTAATGCTCCTGTAATTTGTTGCTTACATCCATAAAGGAAGGAAATGCTTAATGTCAGTTATAGGTTAGTGAAGATAAAGATGTAATTGTTTTCCTGTCTAAGTTCACAGACACCCTAAATTTTCTCTGGCAGACATCTTGGGGTCTGTGAACCCAAGATGCTCTGGGGAGCTAGTCCCTGGGGACCACCCAGGTAGAGAAAAGGGGTCAGGCCCATGTTCACACTGATCTTTCCCAGGTCTGTGGGAGCAGGACATTAAGATCAAGGAGGCTGGTTCATCCTGATGGTCTCCATCCCTTCTTCAGAGACAGCCACAAAGGAGATTCCTCAGTCCCAGCAGTTTGAAGCTTTGAGTTTGCTGGTCTGTTGTACCGCTGAGAAAAGCTATTAACCATCTTTCCACTGGATTTGATTTGAACCGTTGTCAGAGATGTGAATCTTATTTACTCACAGCCTCTCAGCCTACCAGCCCTTTTTAAGTAGTGGAAAGAAATTCTCTCTTTTAAAGCAGGATTCATAACTTGCCAGTTGAGAAATATACACTTTTTTTTCCATAAGGACTGTGAGGCATTAAGTAGAGGGAAGAGAGAGAATTTAAAAACCTACCCTTATGTATACTGTCAAAAGATATTTTTTCCAAAACAGTTGTAATGTATGGAAACATTTTTTAAAATGTTCAGTTATTTCCCCTGTACCTCTCTTAAATAAAGAATTAAGGCATCTTGTAAAGGTATGTAAGATATATCCAGAGAATATAAAGTAGAAGTAGGTGACATTTCTGGGAATTGGTCTTGAGGAAATAAGGATATGGGCCAGATTGAGCCATAAGGATGTTTACACCGTGGTGATGTTAAGGTACAAAATCAGAAACGGGCCAAATGTCTCAAAAATGGGTTAAATCAACAGTGGTACATCTGTGTAGTAAAAAACTGTGAATCACTGACAATGCAATGGAAATACATTTTTTGACATACGGCCTTTTTTTTTTTTTTTTTTTTTTTTTTTTTTGAGACAGAGTCTCTTTCTGTCCCCAGGCTGGAGTGCAGTAATGCAGTCTCGGTTCACTGCAAACTCCAACTCCCTGGTTCAAGGGATTCTTCTGCCTCAGCCTCCTGAGTAGCTGGGATTACGGGCACACACCACCACGTCCAGCTAATTTTTGTATTTTTAATAGAGATGGGGTTTCACCATGTTGGCCAGGATGGTCTCGATCTCCTGATCTTGTGATCCACCCACCTCGGTCTCCCAAAGTGCTGGGATTACAGACATATGGCATTTTAAAAATTATTTATAATACGTGAAAAATGCAAGTTACAAAGCAGCTGCTCAGTATGAGCCCGTTCTGGGAGCAGTGGGGAGAGGAGTGGTCATATTGCACAGGTTTCATTGTGTTCTCAGTGGCTGTCTGCTGATTTTTACTGTTTCCCTTTGACTCATCTATTTACCTTAACTGTAGTTTCTAAGTTTTTTTGAAGTGTTCATTACTAAGGTAATTTTTCTTTTTTCTTTTTCTTTGGAGGGGACAGAGTCTTGCTCTGTTGCTTAGGCTGGAGTGCAGTGGCTCAATCTCTACTCACTGCAACCTTGGCCTCACAGGTTCAAGCGATTCTCCTACCTCAGCCTCCTGAGTAACTGGCATTACAGGCGCCTGCCACCATGCCCAGCTAATTTTTGTACTTTTAGTAGAGATGGTTTTACCACATTGGCCAGGCTGGTCTTCAACTCCTGACCTCAAGTGATCTGCCCACCTTGGCCTCCCCAAAGTGCTGGGATTACAGGCATGAGCCACTGTGCACGGTCTAACTTTCAACAGGAGTTTTAATTTTTTTTTTTAAATTTAAAAGAAAAGACCGAGAATAAAATGTACAGAGTTTAAAGGTAGAGGCACAAAAATGGAGCCAAAAGCGAGTCTAAAAAAAAAAAATCTCTTTCCCCAGTAAAGTTCATATACTTGCTTGAGCTGGGCCACCTATTCGTCTCTCAGTCTTCAGCAGCCAAAATCAAGAGAGAAACCTAATCATTTAAAACTGTTCACAGAGTCTGTAGTAAATGCAAACTGGTAGCTCAGGAGGACAACTTTTTCTGATGTAAAACTACAAAATAAATACAATAAGTAGGAGAAGAAGAGGTGTACAAGTTCCTCTTCCCCCTCTAAAATGAAAATGGAAATGATGTATTTTAACTTCTACGAAAGTCTTCATTGAGCACAAAGAAGAAATAAGGACAGTATGAGTTAGGTGCCATTTTAGCGTAAATAGTTGAAAAAAGTGGGTATCTCCCGATTGCAGTGTGTGTATGTGCATACGTATTTATGGTGATCAGAGATGAACAGACTTCCCATACTCTCTGGGATTTGACAATTGTCCAGTGGGAGGTGGGATTGTGTAAAGTCCCGGGAAAGCACAAGGATAGAAGAAGTAGAGACACTTAAGACTTTTCAAGCCCACAAGCTGACATGTTACTGAATCAAGTTTCTGCCACTGAGTAACTTGGGACCCATCACTTAGTTTTTGAAGTTTTTGACCAGGGACTCCTAGTCCGTGAATCATGCAGAATGATGTACATGATTTTACAGGTCCTTTTTAGCTGTAAAATTCTATCATTCCAGACCACTTCTTTTTATTCATTAGTTCCATGTCTACATAGGTCTTGTTGAAAGTACTGCAGAATTGGTCCTTTCCTGAGTTTCTTTTGGAAGATTGTGTTTTGGCCCCCAAGTATTTTATACTGGCCTTGATGGAGTATAATCTCGTGTTTTGTTTATTATCATGTACCATATACTGATCCAGGGACTGAGGATGTAATGGTGAACAGGACACAATTACTGTTTACATTCTATTGAGAATGTAACAGAAAAAACAAGTAAATAATCAAATAACAAACATAATTTCAGATATTGTTAACTGCTATAAAGAAAGAAAACAGGGTAAGGGAATGACCAGTAATGTTGATTGTGGATTGCATTAGATTGAAGCGGTTGCATTTAAGCTGAGATCTGAATGATGAAAAGCTCTGGGAGAAGAGCAGTCCAGGTAGAGGAAACAGCTGGAGCAAAGGCTATGAGGTGGGGCCATGAGCTTGGCATGTTGAGGTGACAGGAAGGCCAGTGTGTGGAGCAGAATGCATGTGGTCAATGATGCAATCAGAGGTAGTCAGTGCTCGATAGTATAGGCCTTATAGGCCATTGTAAGTAGTTTTGATTATGGTCTAAGTGCAATGGGAAGCTATTGGAGGGTTTTAAGAGAAGAGGTGATATGAACTAATTTGCACTTTAGACAGTTCACTTTGGCTACTGGTTGAAGAATGGACATCAGAGGAATAAAATAGGAAGCTGGAGCTCTATTACTTGAGAGGGGTCAGATATGATGGGCCTGGAACTAATAGGAGAAAAATCATTTCAAGTCACCTGGTCTAAATTGCCTTCTTTTGTAAATGGTACAGTGGTGATCTAATCCATGTATTTAAATGAACAGAAACACTGCAGTGGATTAGTTTTTGATTTTTTGTTTAGATGTTTAATTTAAAAGTAAACCCTTACTAGTCTAATTGTACAGTTCCTTGGGTTGAAATAAAGGTGGTCTTTTTTGATAAAGAATATTTGTATTATAAATGAATGGATCTTCTAATTTCTCAGTCTTGGCTAACATTCCTTAAAATTAAAAACATTCTTACACCTCCGTATTTTCATTTTTTGTGTAAAAATAGATTATAAAGTGTCTTTTTCTGTTGTATGAATTTTTAATGTCATTTTTGGCATTTTAATTTTAAAAATTGGTTAAATATGACATATTTAAAAGTGTACATTTTGCATCTTTTAGAACTCTTCAGATGCTGCCTTTGGCAAGAGAAAGGAAAGCTTCTTTCGCCGCTGATGACTGAACTAACATGAGGGCTGAAGTGTGCAGCACATCCGTGAAATCCTAGACAGCTGTACCAAATCCCACTCGTTTGCTAAGAGCTGAGCTGAGTGACAGGGGACTTTAATTAGAGCAGCTTTTAGGAGGACTGAGAAAATGAAAAAAAAAAAAAAAAAAAGTGCATTTGGCTGGATTGGCCTGACTTGTGTTCTGACGTGCCTCTAATTAAATCATCACTGTTTCTTTCCTCAGGGATCAACGAGCAAGGGCTGTATCGAATTGTGGGTGTCAACTCCAGAGTGCAGAAGTTGCTGAGTGTCCTGATGGGTGAGTGCCGCAGTGGCTCTGCTAGGCAGGTCCCTGGATGGGGGGCCCACTCTGAAAAGTCACCAGGTCTGTGAGTAGATACAGCCTGTGGCAAAGGAATCGGGGTGTCCGTGAGCTGTCACCTAGAAGTCATCTGCCCCATCGGTCAGTTGTCATGGCTTCAGACACTGCTGGGAAAGGTTCTGAGTAGGACTGGACAAAATAAAAAATGCCAGGGCCCAGACACCACACCCTCTCTGTCTGTAGGCTCAGTGCTCTGGTCCAAGTGGCACTCAGTCACTCATGTGACCACCACACCCTACTCTGTCTTTAATAGCTTATGACTCCCTCCGTTCTCTTTTGGGACAGGTATTTAGTGGGACACACCCAATGCCCAAGGAAAGGCATCATTCTGGGCTCCAGAGGACCTCAGAGTTCATGTTCCTGATACTGAGCAGGTGTCATGTAACTCTCAGATAAAATATATATAACCAGAGAAATCTTCTGATCCTCTTTGCTTCTAGATTTCAACCGAATACCTGTCACTTGAGCAGCAGAACCTCCTTTGCCACTGGCTGATATAAATACAAAGCAGTGTCTCCAAATGTGCAGTATTTGAATCAAAAGCCCATGAGTCCATGAGCCAAATTTGCTTAGGCTGCAGATTTCCTGTATTTTTAGATATGAGTGCAGCCAGCCTCCATGAATCACATGGACCTAAATGGCAAACAGATCAGGTTTCACAGAGGCTGTTATTCCTCCCCATGGAAGCCCTGGCTTGTAGAGAGGGACTATCACTTGGGGTACGCAGCTCAGTGTTTTGGACAGGGACAGTTCTTGTGTTAGTATTTGTAATTTCTTTTGCCATCCCACTTTCTGAAAATAGCTTTCTTGTGTAAAGAAATCTCTTCTCTCATGTTGGCCAGAATGACTGTCTTCACCTCTTTTTGAGAGAGTCATTCACTTCTTGTAGCCAAAACCCTATTGTATTGCTAGTTAGAGTGAGATCTGTTGTTTAAAACTATGATTATTTGCGAGGTACTCTAGCAACGAGTATCTGGGTTTTTTTTGGTTAAGATTTGAAATATGGTTAGTTTTTGTAAAAATTAAACTTTTCATTTTGAGATAATTGTAGATTTACATTCGGTTGTAAGAAATAATATAGAGATCCTGTGTACCACTTACTCAGTCTCCTCTAAAGGTAACATCTTGCAAAACACAATTTTAATATCACAACCAAAATATTGGCATTAATTTAGTCAAGATGCAGAACACTTCCATCACTAAAAGGATTCCTTGTGATGTTGTACAAGCACATACCTCACTTCCCACCTTGCACCCTGTGCCTAACCCCTGGCGATCAGCAATCTGTTCTCTATTTCTATAATTTTGTCATTTCAAGATTATTATTTAAATGGAATTATACAATACAGAACCTTTTGGGATTGGCATTGTTTTTCAATCAGTGTAATTTTCTCAAGATTTATTTTTGCTGTTCCATGTATTAATAGTTCTTTTTTATTGCTGAGTAATATTCCATTGTATGGATGTACTGCACTTTGTCGAACCATTCATTTATTGAAGGGCACCTGAGTTGTTTCCAGTTTGGGGCAATTATGATAAAGCTTCTATAAATTTTCATATATAGTTTCTGTGTGAGCATATATTTGTTCCTCTGGGATAAATGTCCGAGTGTGCAAATTGCTGGGTTGTATGGCGATAGGGTCAATTTTTGAGAATTTCTAATATAAGGAAGAATTAAGAGTCTAATAGGTGTCAATCCTTAGTTTTTCATTTCTGACCAGAGCTGCAAACATTTGTGGGGTGTCTGCTGCTTAGAACAGATGTCAGGTGCTAGAGATTAAATTTTAGAAAGAGCTGTTCCTTTTCTGTAAGGAGTCCTGATAGGGTGAAATATGTGTGTATATGAAAGCTGTAATGTAAAGTATGATATTCATGCTTAATCTGTGCTGGGTCTAGAAGATTGAGTAGTGTAGTGAAGGAGAGAGTAGAAGAATAATTCCAATTCATGAAGTATTCTGAACAAAGGGTCTATGGTGGCTACAGCAAAGGGTATTGATTCTATGATTATTATTTTAATATTTCTGAAAGACTTAACTTGAGGCTGGGACAGGAGAGTTTTAAAGCTGAATAGCTAAGGTGGTCTTTTTTGTTGAGGAACTTGAATACTGAGCCAAGGTGTTTGGGGTTTTTTCTATAGGAAGTAAGAAACTATTAAAAGTTCTCAATAGTGGGATTATATCCATTATAATGCTTTTGCACACAAAAGTGTCAAGAAGACAATTCAGAATAGTTTACAAGGAAAAAAAAAGCATCTATTTGCTCATATAACTGGTAAATCCAAGACAGAAGCATGGCAGAGTCAGGGATGCCAATGATGTCTTTACTTTTGCTAGATCCTTTGCCCCTTCCTTCTTCTGGCTTCTCATGTTCTCTGACCTCTTCTGGGCTTGGTGTGGCTTTGTTCTCTGTGGGAGTGTCCCAGACAGGTTCAGCCTCTGCAGTCCTTGGAGCCTGTGGTCACTGAGAAGAAAGTGCCTTTCTTGACCATGTTGGCAGAAGGCTCCAGCGAGGACTTTGCTTGGTCAGTATGGGGCCATTCACATGATTCGTTTCTCAATCTCAGACCAGTCACATGGCCCATGGCAGATGGCCTGGATCCTGTGCGTATGTTGGGGGATGTGGGGGATGGGGTGGACAGTTGGGGTGGGGACGGGGTTAGTCCCTGAAACCCAGTGGACTGAGCAGGATTATTGATAGGAAGATGGAGAAGTGCTTTCCTGAAATAATGGCTGCTGTTAGCTTTTTTAAAAAAGTATATCTAATACAGATGTAACAATATCAGATTCTAGCATTAGGAGCATATTGTTGGCTCCAATTTGGAGCATGTGTTTGATTATGGAAAGACATGGAGGAGGAAGTTGGTTGTAATAGATCAGGCAAGGCAAACCCTATCAAAGACTGAACTAAATAGGTGCTCTGAAGTCAGGAAAAAAGGACACACTCATAGTGAGTATACAGAGAGAATCAACAGGACTTTTAACCAACTTGATATGGGGGAACAGAAGGGGCAGAGAGATTTCAAAGATGACAGATTATTATGTAAGATGACACTAATGAAAAGAAATATGACATTTTAGACTGGTTTGCTAATCTAAAAAAGAAGCACTTTAGCTCAGTTGTGTTAAGCAAAAGAGTGGTTATGAAAGGATCTTGTTTTTATCACTTTTCTTAGTGGCCTTCACACAAGATATTTGTCTTGTTCTCTTCCTTGATTTTCCTGGGGATAGAGAAAATAATCATGAACATTTGAGAAATGTCATGAAAAAGTAATAACTAGCAGCTGAAAGTCACGAGGGCAGCTGCCTCTGCCAGGAGGACATTACAGACAGACTGGAATCTAATCTGAGATCCAACCAGAGCTGCAAGATGACCACAGTGTAACATCTAATTGAAAGTTGAGAATGATATCCATGATTCTCCCTACGAGTTAAATAAGTTTGAATCTCTCAATTACGGAATCACCAGGGCTCTAGACCCCTTTGAAGGGGGAGCTTCATCTTCTCTTTTGTGAACATGCCCACAACTTCATCAATTCTTGGTACTGGTAGTGTCTGGGCTAGCCAAGAGTATAAAATAAACATGGCACCTGTGCTCCAAAACCTTCCCCTGAGATGGCTGGGCCGAGTGAACCTTTCATTAACTATTTCTTTATTATACATTCATTGGATGCTTATTATGTGCCAGGTACTGTGTAAGATTTGGTTTATCTGTCCAAGGCTCTCAAAAGTGGAGTAGTATGTTTTGGTTATGGAAAATATGGCTGGTCAGGTGCGGTGGCTCATGCCTATAATCCCAGCCCTTTGGGAGGCCGAGGCAGGTGGATCACCTGAGGTCAGGAGGTCGAGAGCAGCCAGGCCAACATGGTGAAACCCCATCTCTACTGAAAATACAAAAATTAGGCTGGGTGTGGTGGCTCACACCTGTAATCCCAGCACTTTGGGAGGTCAAGGTGAGCGATCACCTGAAGTCAGGAGTTCGAGACCAGCCTCGCCAAATAGTGAAACCCTTTCTCTACTAAAAATACAAAAAAATTAGTCAGGTGTGGTGGTGCACACCTGTAATCCCAGCTACTTGGGAGGCTGAGGCAGGAGAACTGCTTGAACCCGGGAGGCGGAGGTTGCAGTGAGCCAGGACTGCGTCATTGCACTCCAGCCTGGGCAACAAGAACGAAACTCCATCCCCAAAAATAAAAAATACAAAAATTAGCCGGGTGTGGTGGTGTGCACCTATAGCCCTGCTACTCAGGAGGCTGAGGCAGGAGAATCCCTTGAACCCAGGAAGCGGAGGTTGCAGTGAGCCAAGATCACACCACTGAACTCCAGCCTGAATGACAGAGCAAGACTCAGTCTCAAAAAAAAAGGCTGAGAATTAAGCAAAACCAGAGACTTTTTTTGAATTACTTCGAGTTTATTTTTTTGTACTCTTAATACATTGGAGGACTTTGGGTTGGAAGAGGAATATGAGAGCCAGTGCTTTGAGAATGTCTTCTTTGTACTGATCAGGATTCCTTAAGAAAGCTTGCTAAAATTCCTCATAGCAAGTGCAGTGTGGCTTTGTACTAGTGTCCTACCAAGAGCTACCCTTGATCCCTTCCTCCTAGCAACAGAAGTCATTAGTCTTTAGAGAGTGAAAAGGACTCTCAAAGACTTGCAGATTCCTAGAAATAGAATGCCTTCTGTGTGTCTGGGGGTTTTCCCCCCTGAATATTAAGTAAAGATAAATCTTTCCAAATTTTAGCCCAACTTTTTTATCTATACTATTTAATATGTAAATCAGCTATATACTTGTTCAGTGTATGTCTATCTCTCTTCCTGTCTCTCCGTACATATTTTAAATAAATTTTTTCCTGATGAAAAGTTATGAGTGGTCATTGTGAAAATTTGGAGGAATACAAAAAGTAGAAGAAAATAACAGTTCTATATACTAGAGTTAACCTTTATTAACTGTTTTGTCATATGACATCAAAATGTTATATTATTACCTGTTAAATTTAGTATAGTATAGTATACTAAAACAGTATGTTTACAAAATTGAACTCACTGTGCAGATATTACAGGTTTTATTCATGTAACACTATAGAGTGTCTATTGTCACATGTCATTCAAGTTCTTCTAGAGTGTGATTTTCTCAGGCACATATTGCACAGATGCTCTATAACTTTTTAATCAGTCCCCTGTTCTTGGATACATGGGCTAATTGCAATTCTTCATCATTCTAGAAAGCACTCAGGTAAATATCCCCATAGAGGCAGGACAGAGGGTAAACATCCCCATTGAGGCAGCAGAGACTAAGAGCATGCATTTTGAGATTAGACAAGTTACAGTTCCACCGCTTATTTCTTTCACTTAGACAAATGATTCACACTGGTCTAGTCATCTATTTCTGCATCTGTAATAATGGCTCCTGCCTCCATAGTAATGTGAGGATGGAATGAAAAGATGCTTGTGGGTTGCTGAGTCCAGAGCCTTCACATGTTAAATATAAAATGTTAGCTGTTATAATTTTTATATGCATCTCTAATTATTTCCTCAGGACTTATTTTAAGATGTTGAATTGCTGGGTCAAGGTATGTACGTGTTTTCAAGGCTCTTAAATGATATTCCCAAGTGTGTAGTTAGCAAAGTCTGAGGGAGACTATGCTACACCCCACATCTTTGCCATGCTGTGTATTACTGTTTTGCATATAAATTATTAACATTTTTAAATGTATCTTTTTAAATTTAATTTTGCATTTCTGTAATTTTGGGTGAGGTTAGACTGTTTACATATTTATTGCTGATTTATACTACTTTTGTTGAATTGCCTATTTGTATTCTTAGCCTATTTTTCTATTGGTATGTTCTTCTTTTTCTTAAAAAAATTTTTTTTGTTTTATTTTTATTATTATTATTATTCCGCTCTGTTGCCCAGGCTGGAGTGCAGTGGCTAAGTGTTGGCTCACTGCAGTGGCTAAGTGTTGCAGTGAGGTAGGAACCTCCTACCTCCCAGGTTCCAGTGATTCTCATGCTTCAGCCTCCTGAGTAGCTGGGATTATAGGTGCATGCCCCCACACCAGGCTAACTTTTGTATCTTTTTAGTAGAGTCAAGGTTTCACCATGTTGGCCAGGCTAGTCTTGGACTCCTGACCTCAAGTGATCCACCCACCTTGGCCTCCCAAAGTGCTGGGATTATAAGGCGTGAGCCACCGCACCTGGCAGTGTGTTCCTCTTTTGATTACAAGACCTTTTTAGATCTATAGACTATATTTTCAATATGTTTTGTAAGATTATTATTTGTCTTAAACTTTATGGTGCATTTGTTTTTGTTGTCTTATGACTATTTTATTGAGATGGGGTCTCACTCTTTCACCCACGCTGGAATGCAGTGGCATTATATTGGCTCACTGCAACCTCCACCTCCTAGGTTCAAGTGATTTTTGTGCCTCAGCTACCTGAGTAGTTGGGACTACAGGTGTGCACCACCATGCCCAGCTAATTTTTGTATTTTTAGTAGAGACGGGGTTTCATCATGTTGCCCAGGCTGGTCTCAAACTCTTAAGCTCAAGAGATCTGCCCACCTTGGCCTCCCAAAGTGCTGGAATTACAGGTGTGAGCCACCATGACTGGCCTATTTTAAATTTTTATGATGTCCAGTCTGTTATCTTTTTTCTAAACGAATTATGCCATAGAAGACCTTCCCCAGGCCAGGTGCAGTGGCTCACACCTGTAATCCCAGCACTTTGGGAGGCCGAGGAGGGCGGATCACAAGGTCAGGAGTTCGAGACCAGCTTGGCCAACATGGTGAAACCCCATCTCTACTAAAAATACAAAAATTAGCCAGGCGTGGTGGTGCACATCTGTAGTCCCAGCTACTCAGGAGGCTGAGGCAGGAGAATCGCTTGAACGTGGGAGGTGGAGGTTGCAGTGAGCTGAGTCGTGCCATTGCACTCCAGCCTGGGTAACAGAATGAGACTCCATCTCAAAAAAGAAAAAAAAAAAAAAAAACCTTACCCAATCTAGAATGACAAAAACCTTAATTTTCCTTAAAATCTGTCATGCAAAGTGGAAACTCTTCTTTTTCCTCTAATACTTATCCACTTGACCAGTATCCATATAATGAGTCATCTTACCCCTTTCCACTACTTTTATATATCACCATGTAATCATTCTTTTATACATATTGGGGGCCACTGAAGGAGTTTTTATACATATTTTTCTAAAGACAAACAAATCTCTTTACTGTATGTTTTTCTGTAATTCTCAATCTTTTAAACACACCAACATTTTTCACCTTTTTAATGCTTAATTTTTCTCCTGATTCTTTATATTCTAGCAAAAATTCTCAAACTTGTCCTCCATCTCAGTATTACTCATTTAAAATTGTTGGGTTGATTGTGATTATTATTTTGCTGTTTATAATGCAGATTTTAACTTTTTGTAATGGATTTTCCAATGTCTTTATTATCTTTACTTATTTAAATCCTTTTATTTCTACTTTTCAGGTATAATCTTTATTATTTCAGTCTGCTACTTGTTTTATTTTGTTGTCTTGGTTCCTGGCATCCATATTTTTAGGATTTTACTTATATGACAGAGCTGGTGTTTTCTGAATTATTTTTCAGAGTGCTTTGGTCTCTGTATTTTTTGCCAACAAATATTTTATAGGATTTTTTATCTTCTGTTTAATCAAACCTTTGCTTTTAAGCTCACTGTGGATAGATTCTCCTTGTTCTGCTATTTTCCTGATTCCTGTTAGAATCATTATCTTACCTGATGATTGGAGGGGTATTGTACATAATTTGAGCCAACTTTCTGGTATTCTTAAAGCTTTCATTTAGTGAACCTATAAGCCTGCATTGATTTTTCCTGGTTTTGGTATTTGGTCATGGTCCTGGGAGAAGCCGGATTTACTCCTGGATAATCTGAAGCATGCTGTGGTTCTTCCCTTATGACTCTCATGTTTCTTCTACGGCTCTCCTTCTGATTCACTTGCCTTGATATAAGAGGACCCCCCTCCACTTCTGCTCTGTAGTCTGATTTCATTGCCTGGATTATAATCTTATGACAGCTCTGGGTGCCCCAGAAAGTAGCCCCCAAAAGTGTGTTTGCTGGAGTGGGGTTGGGGGGTTGCAGCATGGCCTTTCCCCCACACCCCTGGGTGGCTTGGGCTATGTTGTTGGTGGGCAGAGGGCCACCACCTATCACATTGTTTCCCCAGCTGGATTTTCCTCAGGCCTTCATCTAAGCTTTGCCTAGTGGATATCCTGGTGGCAGGAGAATGTTGACTGAGAGCCTAATTTTCTGTGCTGTTAAAAATTTGTGTCCCTTTTTTGTGTGTTTTTACCATGATGATAAAGGACTGCAAATTCAGCATCACTGTTTTTCTCGTCCTGTAACCTTTTTTGTTCTTCTTCTTCTTTTTTTTTTTTTAAACCACATTTAAAGCAAACTTAGTAAAACAGAGAACACAATGAAGGTATTATACAGCAGTGCTGTAAAGCACGGAATTATAGTAGCATGCTTCACCCACTTACCGCCGATCCAGCCATGAACTATCCTTCCTTACTCTGGGACCTTGAATGTCTGCATTTCTTTTTTTATGCCCCTTATTTCCCATACCTTTTCACAGAGTGGCATAAATAAAAGCAATCAATGACTTCTTTCTGAAGAAATCAAAATGCTTTATGATGATTTCTAAGACCTAAAGGCTTACATAGGATTAAGTGGAAACAGCCCAGACTTTGAAGACTGGAGCCTACTGGAGTAGGGGAACCATGAGAAGAGCAAATGTCCAATTTTGTCTACCAGTGAAGGGTAGCAGACAAAAGATGACAGGACCAGAAGATGATAGACTACTTGGATAGAGGATTGATCATTCTGGGAGCTAGCAATACGGCTACTAATCACAATCCTGAGTCCCCAAAGAAGAAACACAGAGATGGAAGCTCACCTCCTCTGCTCCAGCCACCATCACCTTTGCCTGTTGGGATGCTTCAGGCAGGCTCTCCTAAGACTGGGTCTTGAGCCAGTAAGAGCTTTTGGATCTCAAAACAGAAGGGACTGTTAGAGATAGGAAATGCACATAAAAAGCTGGCATTAGCAGTTGCCTCTACCTTTTCATGTATATCTGTTTTTTTTTCTTTGAATTCTTAACATGTGCGTGTATTACTTTCTCACTTAAAGAGAGAAAAAGATTAATTTGCATACACTATAATGTGTTATTAGGAAATTCAAGAGTACATAGGTAACTTTCCTAATAATTTCCTCCAAAATATCCTTCATTTTGTCTGCAACACAGTAATAGACTAGATGGCCCTTGGGACTGATCCAAGTGTGACATTTCTAAGACGTTCTCCGCTTATAACCACTGCTTCCAGTCTGTGTCTTCTGATTTTCTGAATTCATGTGATAGTAGGTTCAGGAGGAAATAACATTCATTCTGCTTTCCCCACATGATGCCTTTTGTACATTGGATTGCTCCTCTAGTTTAGATCTGTTTTACTAAGCAGCAGTGGTCAAGGGACATGGTGGAGAGAAGTGTACTGAGTTCTAAAGAAGAGTGTAAATGACGTCTCTGTGGCATATTCAGATGCCATCAGGAAGCTTTTGTAAGTGAGGGGAGCATCAGGAGGGAGGTGTGGAAATCAGCAGCACTTTCTGAAAATGGTGTAGCTTGGGAGGCTGTATTCAACTTAGCTTGGATTTTAAATGAATTAAAATGGATGTGCTCAAGTTATGAGCCTTGCCTCATCAGTGCTATAAAAAGCCCTTTAGCCGGGCTGTAATTTGACTCTCCTCTCTAATGTTACGCAATATTCCTATGGTTACAGAGCCCGAATAAGTGGAAGCTAATCATTAGTTTGCTAAATGTGGTTCATGCAACAGTTCACAACTCCCAGACTTGCCAACTGCTGCTTGTTCAGTTTCATGTTCACTCTTCTTGGGTAGAAGTTGGTTTCTTCTTTAGAAAAATGTACAGTAACATTTGTCTCACATCCAGGAACCATGCAGGATGGCAGCTCTCCACGTGTCTTAGGATGGGGAGGGAAAGAGGTCATGCAAAGCAGAGGTTTTTGATACATACTCTTCTGCAGGAAAAAGCCATTCAGGGAGTGCAAGATGGCAAAGACACAAATTAAAGTGGCAGACATTTTGGATACTGGGAAAATCACATTTTGTGAACTTTTCAGAAATTTGCTGTGATAGAACTCTATGGAATTTACTGTTCTGTAGCCCCAGAAATAAAATTATGCTCTTGGGCCAGGCGCGGTGGCTCATGCCTGTAATCCCAGCACTTTAGGAGGCCGAGGCGGGCGGATCTCGAGGTCAGGAGTTCAAGACCAGCCTGGCCAATATGGTGAAACCCCATTTCTACTAAAAATACAAAAATTAGCTGGGCATGGTGGCACATGCCTGTAATCCCAGCTACTTGGGAGGCTGAGGCAGGAGAATCGCTTGAACCCAGGAGGTGGAGGTTGCAGTGAGCCAAGACTGCGCCACTGCACTCCAGCCTGGTGACAGAGTGAGACTCTGTCTGAAAAAAAAAAAGAAAAAAAAATTATGCTCTTTAGGTTTTTCCTTGTTTGTTTCATGTGACAGGAAAGACTTCATTTTATTGCTCAGTGTCACCTGCAAACATCATACAGGTACTGTGCCTTTGAGAGCCACATGTTTCTGAGCTGGGGACCCTTTCCTCTCTCATAACCCAGTATGTGTCAGGGGAACACACGGAGAGCAGTAGATACCAGCTGGATTTGTGCCCCTACCTGGTGATGATAGGCTAAATCCTGAAGCCATTCATGAGTATTTGGCCTCTTTCTATTTGGATGAAAGTGGTTTCTTTCCCAGGAAATAGAAAATGTCTTCTGCCCACCTCTGACTTATTTTTTTTCCAGCTGAAAGGCTGTTGGTCCTGCAGGAGGAACAGCTTTCTTCATTGATGTCCCAGAATTATTCTTGGAGACTCTTCAGAAAGATGCAGTCTGGTGGCTGCCTCCCTTTACCTGGTGCATCATTTAGATCTCTTTGCATTGTAAAAAGACGGAAATCCTGACCTCACCTGGCTTAAGGGGAAAAAGGAATTTACTGGCTCATATGATAAGAAGGAGAGGCAAATACAAGGGTTCAGGATCCACCATTTCTGCTTATCTTGTCTCTGGGTTGTCGGACTTTCAGGCTCTGTGTGGTGGCACCTGGCAGTTACATAACCTCCTAGTGCAAGCCCAGCAAACAGCAAATATCTGTTCGTGAGTCCTGGAGAGTTACTCTGATTGGGCAGGCTTAGGTCTTGGGCCATCCCTCATCCAGGCACTGAGTCCAGAGAGTTGATATACTTTTGGCCAGTCTGTCCTGAATCTCATTCTCCACCCCTGGAAAAAGTAAGAAAAGGGTTGCTCTCCAACTCAAAATGAGGTGCTATGCAGAAAAAAAAAGGACTGGGAGCTGGTGGCAAAGAACTAGTCTTTAGCCAGTATGAGGGAGCTGGATTCTCCCTCCTGTGCACTGAAAAAGACTCTGTGACCCTCCCACCAGTATGTGTATGACCTGGCCTGCCTCACCAGGGACAGGATGGGGATCTGTGAAGCAATTACACTCCCCAACCTCTGCCTCTTCTTCTCACCTCCTTGTGTGCTACTCAGGAAGATTATAAGAATTATCTCTCCTGTTCTTTTATCATACATGCTTGTTTAAAATATACTGATTTGTTTAAAAGTCCATGCAAGAAGAGACAAAAGAAATTGTCAGAGCTGATATGGTGGTTCTCATTGCACATTTGAGCTTAAAGCAATTTTTTTAAAAATACAAAAGTAATGGAATAAAATCATACCACAGTCCACCACTTTAACCCAACCACTAATTTAGAGTATTTCCTTTCAGCCTTGTTCATATAAAAAGTTCATAGAAAAAGTTTCTCATAGACATATCTTGTTTTTTTTTATTTGACATTATATAATGCAGGCATTTTCCATGTTGCTTTACAGTCATCGTTGTCATATAAATCGGCGAGGTAATATTCCATCAGGTAGACATACGGTAATTCACTTAATCATTCTTCTATCGTTGGACATTTAGGTTGTCTCCTTTTTTTGTTGTTTTTTCTGCTTTTGCAAAGAAGAGTGTGTGCTGAACGTTTCTGGGGTCTGTAACTTTTCTCGTGCCTTATCTTATTTTCTGAGGATAGACTGTGAGAAATGAGATTACTGGTTCAAAGGGTATAAACGTTTTTAAGACTTTGATACATATTACCAAATTGCTTCTCAAAACTCTTGCATTTGTCTCTCCTGCTGCCAGCAGGATAGGAGAGGATCAGTTTCACTGCATTCTTGCCAGCAAGAGATATTGGAATTTTTAGACATTTTCCTAATTTAATAGGTAAAAAAAATACTTGTCATTTTTGTTTTACTTTGCATTTCTCTAGTTACTAGCAAGATTGGATGCCTTTATGTGTGCTTATTTATTAGTTCCATTTTATGCTGTGCTTTATGTATTGTCTTTTCTTCATTTTAGACCCCAAGACTGCTTCTGAGACAGAAACAGATATCTGTGCTGAATGGGAGATAAAGACCATCACTAGTGCTCTGAAGACCTACCTAAGGTAGGGACTTTCCATTTGCAAGGCAGAGTGCCAGCTAGTTATCATGCAATCAGGAAGAAAGCAGTTTTATTTTCAGACTCCGGAGAGCTGTCGGGTGGGTGTTTGAGATGTGGAAACAGCTTCTGTGTGGGTGCGTTTAGCTCAGCTGGTCAAACCAATCGTAAATCATCCATAGTTGATGGGTTGCCTTTGTGCAGTGACACCCTGAGTGATTTAGGAAACTTTGTTCTATATGAGAAGTATTGTGATAATTAGCCATGAACAGAACCTAAAATGGGGTCTTCCCCGAAGTCCCTGAATAATCTGTTAAGAACACAAGGAATCATGAATCATCTTCTGTTAAGAATGCATGATTACATACCTCATGTATTTTGATAGTTTCATACTTTACACAGAGTACATTGCTGACAATGGTTCTTAAAAATGAGAACTTAATGGAACTCCTTTTTGACTCCTTCCCTTACACTGGACAATATTATTTCTCTGCAGAGACTATTTTCCTTGTATCATTTATATATGATACTACTGTACCCTCTCTATGCCTCCTTTCATTATTAAAGGTTGGGTTATTGACCAGCTGCCTGCATCTTAGTTTCATGAATAGACCAAAATATTTATGCTGGACTTGAAGGACAGGAATACCATAGTTCTTACCAAAAAAGGTGGGACCTAGTCTTAAAAGGAGAGGGGAATGGTCATCAGAAATAGCATAAGTCTCTGTGCAGATTTTTTGAAGATGGAATTGGCTGGAAAGCAAAGGAAGGAGGCCACAGAAAAGGAATTGCTGATGTAGATTTTATTGGCTATTGGGTAATTAGAGTCAAGAGTAAGATATAATGTAAGTGTTAACTAAAACTAGGAGTCGAATTAAGGGACCCAATGAGAATAAAATCTGAGCCAAGAATAATGTATAGTCCTATTGAGAAGTTTCTTATTTGAACTATCAGGAAAAAACCCTCAAGTTTATGGTTAAACATACTCATACCCCAGCAGGTAAAATTTGTTTATATCATACCTAATGTTAGGGGTTCTAGCATTCTGGAGCAATACTCCATAGTGAATTCACCACCACAACACCTACAAAAATCTTTTATAGTGTTTCTAGATGAATTGATTCTAACAACAAGCCGCTGGGAAGATCAAGACTTGCAAATATGTAGTTAGTTGCCTGTTTCTCAGACACATCTTAAAATGCTGTTGTTGATAGATGAGTCACTGACTGAAAAGGAAATCTCTTAGTTTGTGTTAGACTCTTGCATTAGCACTATTTTAGTGTTGACAATGAAACATAGTTGTGTCTATTCATTTAAGAAAGAGAGAGAATAAACATTTTGGGTGAAATCTCAGAACGCTTGCAATAGGGAAACTACATTGTTATTGTTTCCCTGTGATCTTTGTCTTCGAGAAATGTATTACAGTTTGTCAGTCTCTAGGCTGCTATTTAGAGAGAATATGATTATTCTTATTATTAAGCTGACTAGCCTATCTCCTTTTCCTCCAGAATGCTTCCAGGACCACTCATGATGTACCAGTTTCAAAGAAGTTTCATCAAAGCAGCAAGTAAGTCTTTTTTGTCTCAGTTTTAAGGGGAAGAGAATAGATTTTTCTATTTCAAAGAAGAGTCAGTATCCCAAAATAAATATTACCTAACCCTTCGTATTCTGCACATAAACTGGCCACATAACATACTCATGAGATTCTAACACGGAATAAAAAGGAAACAAATAGGGATTGCTAAGGGCCTTTCTACCACATTGAATTTACAGCAGAGGACAGAAACTTCAGAAGTCTTTTTTTTTTTTTTTTTTTTTTTTGAGGGGAGGAGGATGTTGGAGGGATAGAGAAAAACAAGTTTGCCTTTCTAGTTTTGATTATTGGAGTTCTAACTTCTTAGGTTTTTTCCAGCCTTTGAGTAGCATTTTGCAGAATGAATCAGACATTGCACATTACCTAAATTGAGCATTGGAAATGTTTCCCTGAATATGACACCATTTATATAACTTCACAGTCCTCTTTTCCATTATGTCTTCCATTTACAGCTTCTGATCATTCTTCAACTACATCATCCAGGTCCTGGTGTCATATTACTGGTATTAAAATACATAGGGATTAGGTGCAAGCTACTCTAAGTATACTGGAATCTCTGGCTACATGGGTCAGGCCTCTTGTAAAGGGGCAGAAAGATTCTCTATCAGATTTAAATCCAGCATGAATCTTCACAGTATTATTATGTCGATAACTTGTGTCTCTCCCGGGTTCCTTTCAGCCTTTAGAATTTATTTACTCTGGTAGCTACTACTGGCCTAATTTAGTAGTACCTAATGTTCTGGTGTCCTTATCTACTCATAGTTGTCCCCTTAAAACAGGAAGGAGAAAGCCAGGAGCGAAGATGGTGTTTATGTCATTTCTTTCTAGAGAAATTACAAACCCATAGCAACCATTCTCTACTTAAACCTCACATCAGTTCTATAAATAGGTGTGATGAGTACCATCAGTCTATTTGCCAGAGTAACAAAGCCACTTACCTTGGTTCAACCAAGAGAATGTGACAAGCCATGATTTAGGTTACAAGTTGGCAGAAAGACTTGAATATTTTATCTGCCATTTCTTTCTTTCTAGCAGGCTGGTTGTCATATGTGACTTGAGGATACTGGACATTTCCTTTGATATCTTTGATGCTGTCTCAAGGTGTTATTTTGATATTTGAAACCCTTGCAATGTTGTTCATGTAAGATTTGTTTATCACTTTACAAGTGCATAAAGTTCCTTACTTCCTTGAAATGAAGTCTTCCCTCTAGGGAGCCAGCTACTCCTGAGTTTGTTCTCAGGAGCAGCTCTGGGTGTGCAGTTGACTGGCTCCATTTCATCACATCATCATCTTGGCTTTGATTTTTTGATGACAATTTTTTTGGCAACCCTGTTCCAGAAAGCACCATTAAAAGGACTTCCAGATCTAGTCATGCTGGCCACGCAGTATGCACACAAGACAGGATTGTAAATCTTTGAGAAATCCTTGGGCTGTTAGTGCTCATCCTTTGGTTTCCCTTAATTTTTCAACCTTAAAGTTGTTTAGCTGTGACACTGATAAGATATTACCTCCCTCCTTCCTTTGCAGAACTGGAGAACCAGGAGTCTCGGGTCTCTGAAATCCACAGCCTTGTTCATCGGCTCCCAGAGAAAAATCGGCAGATGTTACAGCTGCTCATGAACCACTTGGCAAAGTAGGTTTAAGACCAATTACTAGCCTTTTTCTTACCCCTGAAAGTTCTTATCTTAGCAGTGAAGCTGGTCTCAGTTCTGCTTTTGTTTCTCTCTCCCACTATTGCATCAGGTATGCTGGAGGCTTAGGAAAGAAATGTGTGAAATGTTCATTGCAGTGGAGAACAGCAGCAAATGCCAGATGGCCTTCCCAGAGGATGCTGGGGAAGTGCTCATGCAACCAGGCCACCAAGCAGAGTTTTCAGGGGGATTTTACCTATGGTGATCAAGGGCAAATTGGAGTGTGTTGTCCATGATACCAGGTCACCACACAGAATTTTGTGGGATTATATGTTCTTATGCTCATCAAGAACAAACAAAAATATGTTGTGGGTTTACAGAATTTGGGTTTTTAGTAAAGAGGACTGGATTCTAGAGCTGACTCTGTTATTAACCTGCTGCTTAACCAGCCCTGAACAAACTGCTGAACTTTCTATTCCTTAGTTTCCCCATCTGTCTAATATGGATAATAGACTCCCCTTTTTCTACAAGGATCATTGATTTTTGAAGTTACATGCATTAAAGCCTTTGAAGAAGTATAAAGAATAAAGGAATTATTTTTGGCAAATACTCACTTGTCCTCTGAGATAATCAAAGCATTCAGTAGGGACCTGATTTTCTTGGAATGGTTTTGAATATTTGTGTATTTACTGTTCCTTGACCCTTTCACAAATGGCATTGCTGACTTCCCGTGCTGCATTCATCACTACTTGTGTGTGTGTTCTAACCTTCCGTTGACTTTGATGGTATGTTCTTGATTGCAGACTGGAGCACAAGAAAAGAATGAGAGCATAACAGTTAACCTAAATTATTAAACCCTACATTCTATTGAACTGATGTGTTATAAATTTGGCCCTTATAGTCCATACTTTGCTATGCCATTAGGGTATTTCTTGGGGATAAGTTGATATTCTTCTGAGGGAGATTGTAATGGTTAGTTTTCATCTTTCTGTCAAGCACTTGATATTGCCTTTGGGAAAAAGAGTGATATATATCATGAAGATTTCCACCATTTCCTCATTTCCATCAAGAAGCCAAGAGTGTCTTGTGTGTTATTGGGAAGGAATTCGGCAAAGCCACAGTTGCTCCATTATTGACCAACTTTTTTTCTTGGCTTTCCATATCAGAGCTGCTTGTTCAGGAGTACTTAGGAAGAATAGCAGATAACATGCAAGTTTACAGGAGAATGCCCTAAAGGTGTCAAAGAATCCCGATGAAGCATGTTTAAAATAATGGGAACTGGGCTTTAAAAAGTAACTCCAGATGCTCTGAGATGACAGTTGAGTACCAGTTCCACACAACCTAGAGTCAGGCGTTTGTTAAGCAGAGAAGCTGGTTTAGATCTTAGTTGCAAAACTTTGCACACTTGAAGGACAAACACCAAGACATAGAAGGTTCCAGGTGCACCCTCCAGCCTAGCATGTGTGGGGATGCTCATGACTGCTTCATGGCCATCGGGTCTGAAAGAGGCCTTCAGGCCTGCAGAGAGCAGCTGGAGAAGGGTTAGGAACCATCTGAAAGCCATGGGCCTTTTCAAGCTGTGCAGTTGGAAGGAGAGCTTAACTGAACTGAGAGAGACCAAAAGTGAAGGGTGACCCAGCAGAGCCAGTGTTGCGTTTTTCCTACTTTTAAATTTCCTTTAGGATTGTTAGGATTCTTTAAAGAAGAAGAAAAAAGGATTTAAAAAACAAAACCAAACCCTTAAGGTAGATCTTGAACAGTTGAACTTGTTCATCTCCTGGTTGGATGACTCACTTTCTCCTCCTTTTCCCACCCTTTCCCCCTCCAGTCCCATTACATTCAGTCCATCCTTGTTACTAACCTAAGAGTTGTAAACTGGAATTTGCAAATCACAGTTGTGACCTTGACACATTTTTGTTTTTTTGGCCTTCTAACCAATTTAAGGCAATTTTATTTTTGGAGTTGTTTACTTCATAGCATTTCTTGATCATTGTCTTATCTGTGAAACTTGAGAATGATTTTCTGTGGTTTTATGGCATGTTTTGATCATTTAATTATCAAGAAATCTACCTGTAGACAAGCTCTCATGCTGTAATGTGAGTTGGTTAGAGCTAGTATTAGACTATAGCGGACTCAAATTCTTAGCGTGCTGTGTTCTTGTCTCTCGAGCCTCTATATTTAAAATGTCCCTGTGGAGAAGGATATGAATGAGCAGTGTTGAATCCAGTAAAGAGTATTTATTTAGGTCTGAAAAAATTCTTTGGCATCCAGAGGAGTTCTAAGATTCCACTTAAACTTTATATTCTCATTTACAGCACTGTCCTTATTTTAAAATCAAGCAGTAAGGGAAAGTTAACTTGGGACAAGAGGTTTGTCTGATTCCAGTTTTCTCAGGTTTAGACTTACCCTAGGCTATGCCTGAGCTATTGTTCCTCTGGGCTACTTACTTAATGGTCAGCTTCCTTCCTAAGTTTTGGTTTCAGGGCTGATTCTGCTGGAAAACTGGTGTTTACTTCTCTTATTACTTACTGTTTGCCTTGTGCATCTCAGAATTCTGGTTCAAAGGCAAGCATTTTGTATTGTATATTTTTTAAAGTACTCTTTTGAAACATTTTCCAAAACTGATTTCCCTTAGCCACAGAGGGAGATTTAAGGCATTTTATATTTAATCCCAGCTAAAAATTCATTCAGAGGGGAAAAAAAGTATTGGGTGGGGGGAAGGATAAAAACTCCAAACCTCTAAAGCAAATGATTACCAGGGTACATCCAAATCACAGAGATGTTGGATTTGTTTCAGACCTCAGAGGGAACATAAAAATTATAGGCAACCATGCACATATTTTTGTAGTTTCAGCTTAAATCTACTATGATAATTAGATGTTTTCTGTTTGGATCTTGGAATCTAGTATACAGTCTGGAGTCATGTGCCTCAAAGCATGGTTAGAATAACCCGGGGCGCTTGTTTACATTGACATTTCTGGGCTCTGTGGGTCTACTCAGTCAGGCTCGCTGCCTGGGAATCTGCATTTCTGATTTATTTTGCAGGTAATTATTATGTGAACAGTGATCTAAGAACCACTGGCCCAGAGAATGGGCCATATGCAAGGATTTTCTAGGACAGAGAAAAATGATATTGAGAGGAATATGGATTGGGATGTAGGCGAATATTAGAATTAGAAAGAAGAAGCTCAAAGCAGTGAGTTCAAAAGGGAGATTTTATTGTCGTGATTAAATTAGCTTTTAAAAATCCAGTTTTGACTTTCCAAGTCTTTGCAATTTGACTTTGTGTTGAGTTTTCAACAAATGTTTTTGTTTTAAAATCATGCAAAAGGCATTTTTACTTTTGCGTGATTTAGTTTTGCATGATTTACTTTTGCAAGAAAAAAATCATTCCCAGATAGCTGTGGATCCTTGTGCCAATTTTTCTACCTCTTTGAGCCTCAGTTTTCTTTCTCTTCCAATTGTATAATTCTGTTATTTTTATCAGGTGGAGCAGGACACGAGAAAAGTATCCCACTCTTATAATCATAGAGGAAATAAGAGTAGATGAGTAATAAAGACTAATTTCATGGTAATTTCCTAATGTTTACATATTATGACTCCAAGTATGTTGTATATCCCCACACATACCATTCGTAGTGGCTCATTGTAGATTTATTACCGTGTATGCAGTGAGGAAGGATTTCAAAGAACTCTTCATACATCAGGAGTAGATATTAAAAATACCTTTTCACAGCTGGTTTTCCCAAAATACTTATTGAGAAACAAACCTGAGTCTTTTTCCTTTTTTGGAGCAACTGTTCCTTTGTTGCAGGGGCATTGGAGAGGCAGAGCACTGTCTTGCTTCCCCAGAGAGATATGGTATCATTTAGGATGCTTTGAGCTGCAAGAAACAGAAAATCCAATTGAAAATGGCTTAAACAATAAGGAGATCTGTTGTGTCATGACACAGAATCTGTCCTGAGAGTTGGTTAGTTTCTCAGCTCATGAAGGACTCAGGTTATTTTCATGTTCCTGCTCAGCCAGCGTCTTGTGTTGGCTAGCTCCTCGCAGAGTCCCAGCATACTTTATTGTGTCCTTGCATGTTAGTGCTTGTCCAGAAGCAGAAAAGGCATTATTTCTTCTCTGAGTCCCTTTTTAAGGGCTAGGATGATACTTTTCCCAGACATCTTCCAGCACACTTTATGTCACATCTCATTGGTCCAGAGCAGTCATTGAGGACCACCATGATTATTTTCCACCCAACAAGATTTATCTGAGCCACTTGTGGGAGGATTGGATATCAGAATAAAGGCAGAGCTTTGACAGAATAAAGACAGCCCACGGTGTCTACAGCAAGTAGTCTTGGTAAATCACATTCAACAGAGAGTATTAAGTCTATTGCATGGTGTGCTAACACAATCAAGATATATAGGACAAAAAAGACCAATTTTTGTAGGAGAGATGAGTACATCTGCAGTGTGGGCACATAGGCACTAAATTATAAGATTTTAGCTGGTGGGAGGTAAGAGAGGGTAATGAAGAGGGCAAAATTGACTTTACTCCATTGCCTCTTGCTGATTCCCTATGTGTTCTTTTCATTACCCAATTGTCTAATGTTTATTTTGATCATCTGTTATATGTTGTGACTTTCCAAAATGGACAAAATTCTGTAGATCACTGGGATTATAAAGGAATATTGTGGGGAAAATGCTTGGCATACAAGTGAGACCTTATCAAAATATGTAGACTCTGTTGGCAGAATTATCAAGAATTAAGCATGTTGTAGCTTGGGTTTTTTTTTTTTTTTTTTTGGTTCCTGTGACTTGAGTCTGAGTACTTCCAGGCATCTCTGCAAATCAAAAAGGGATGTATTCATATTTCTTTAATGATCTAGAAACAGTGAATTGGGTTCATATACAAATGCTTGTGGTTATAAAAAAAAGTCTTGCCAGGCATTGGCACCAAGGAGGATGAGCCCTAGTGGTTCAGTAGCATTCCTTGAAGTTCTTAAGAAGGGTTCAAAATAAAAGAAAGTGAACATTAATACTTAACATAAGCACATTTTAGATACTCTAATATTCCCTCTTTTTCCATCCCAAATCTAGAAGATAAGATTTAACTTACCAATGAGCTGTTAAACATGAGAAGTGCTAGTTATTCATTTGCCATCAAGACTAGTCCAAATAAAATAGCCGTAGAATTTTACAAAACACATTTAAAGAAAACAGTATGTTGTGATGATGGCTTAGATGGAAAGCTCCTGTGAGTTTCTCTGGCTGCCTTCCCTCAGCCATACACCCTGGCTCCGGAACCTTTGTTCTCTCTAGTAACCACTGAACACCGCAGTGCTGCCAGTGCAGGATTGCTTGGCCGCTGGGCCACTGGTGGTATGGCCTGATACCCCCACGCAGCCACATTGACCCCATTCTCCAGTCCTATCGGGCTTTTCCCTCACTGACTCCCACCGGGAACTCAGAGTTCTAGTGATTTTAACCCTTTTCTATCTCTTGAATCTGTCTACTTTTCTCTGTCTCCATCAGTACTCCTGTAGTCCAAGCTGCCATTGTGTCTTTCCCACGCTGCTTGCGAAGGCCTCCTCCCTATTGCTCTGGCTGGTGGAGCTCTGGCTCCTCTCCAGTCCACAGAGTGCATGTTGTGCTTCCAGGGAACTTTGAAAACTGCAAATCTCAGCATGTGATTCCCCTGCTTAAAAAAACTTCAAAGGCAGCTTCCCCATTGCTCTTAAGATAAAACCCTGGAAATGGCCTCCAAAGCCCTGTCTGGACCAGACGTTTTTGGAATTTGCAGTTTCATCTTGTGTCTGTTTCTCATGATCACCATCCTGTTCCTACTGCATGGCACACAATAGACGCTCATGAATATTTGTTGGGCAAATGCATGAAGAGTCTCTTGACCGCTTCTCAAATACCCACCTCCCTGCTCCATCCTTTTACCTTTTGCAATTCATTTTCTCCTGTCTGGAATGGCCCCTCCCCAGCCTCTGCCTGCCAAAGGCTACCTCATTCTTCTAGCTTCAGCTCAAATGTCAATGTCACTGCCAACAAGAATCCTTCCTGCCACAAGTGCCCTCTTGCTTTCCTGAGCTCCCACAGCCTTTGCTTGTTCGTCTCTTTTAGCATGTATCACATTCCACCTGGTGGGACAGTTTGCCCAGGTATGTATCTCTCCCTCCTGTGACATCTTAAGCTCTCAGGGGATGGGCAGTCTGTCTCCCTTGTCTTTGTTTCTTACCTAGAAGTTACAAACGAAGCCCATGGCCAGAGCAGCCCACACATGTGTTTGGTGGTGGTGGTATCCTACACATTACTGTTTTGAAACTTTGAACAGGTTTCCAACATCTTTAAAGGGGGCGATTTTACTTGAAAAATTCGTATCTCACCACTGACAATTGGCTGGAGCTGAGTAGAAGCCACACCCTATCCCCCAGGGTGTGCCTTCTCCAGTTTGCCTTAGTTCCTAACAGTCCCTGTTGTCTCTTGCTCCCGGCCTACTTCATTCAGGTCTCCTACCTGCCTGGCCGTGTTGTAGGCATTTGGGTTTTCAATCCTTGCCTACCTATTGGCTTATGCCAAAAGAGGAGCTCGATGTTTGGTGAATCACATAAATGAGCAAGCAGAAATGGGCTAAGGGAGTTACTTCCTTGACTGGCTCTTTTTTTTTTTTTTTCTCCTGGAAGATTTATTATTTCTGATAGATGGGAGGTCCATGAAAGAAGTGAGTGATACCGCTTCCTGGCCTATTTATGGGTATGGGGCAGGAAGAAGAGTGCATTTTTTTTAAGACTAAGAATGGGATTCTCAAAGGACCTTCTCCAGCTATTTTTGGCAGAGTCAAAGGAAAATCTATTTAAAGGGACATTGCACAGAGCACAACGACATATTTTAAAGCAAACAGACAACTTAGCACTTTAAATTAATGGAAATGGAAAGGAAGAAATCAGAGCTCAACATTATTTAGCCTCACCGCCAGACCTTTGCTTACTTTCAACCCAAGAATTTGTCTGTTCTGTGGCTTTGTAGCCTTTAGAGATAGGAGAGAGAAAGATATCAGTTCAGTTTAAATTTTTTGCCTTAAAAAACCCAACAACATTTCTGAATTCAAGGAACTAAATCTTTCACATCACATGTAACGCCCATTCTGAAAGGGGAAATGCTTGACTTCAAGCTGTTAATGTTCAGCAGTCTTAGAGCTCCTTTGATTTGGGTCTCTTGTTTGTTTTGAGTTGTTCCACTTATGTTTGGATTTATTTTCTCAATAAATTTCCTGTTTTCTGATTCATCTCTTCCTTTTCTGAGTCCATGGAATCCCCTCCCAAATTAAGGGAGGAGTGGGAGGAAGACACTCTGTTTTTCTTACTTGGTGCCGCCTTTAATTTTGGGAGTATTATAAAAGTGAGAGAGTATCAGCAAACATGAACATGACTCAGTTTCTTCCTTGCTAATCCTAGCAGAGCTTAGATTTCTTATACATTGGCCTTGGGAGCGTGTTCTTCATGAAATGCCTCTCTTTTTGGCTGAGTGGTGGTGGATAAATTGATTCGCTCACACTGTTTTGGGCACTGGAGTCCTCTCTTGCTGCATCCTCTTTGAATTGCATCATGAGTGTTATCTGCGATACTTATGTTCTTACATTGACTGGTTACTCACCAGCTCTTCAGAACAATTGTGGCTGAAACGTGGCAGCTGGCAGACTTCTACGTATATGAAGTTAATCCATGGGGCATAAGAGCACAGTGGTGAAGAGAGAACATTCTGTAGCCAAACTGCCTGATTTTGATCTCATCTCTTATGTAACCTTGCATGTGAATTATTTCTCTCTGCCTGAGTTTCCTAATCTGAAAAAGATGATAATAATTGTATCAGAAAGTTTTAACTTCGCACATCAGGTTTTCTTGGCTTCTCCTGTTTGTATTGCAGCCACCACTGAGATGACCACTTCTGTGTGGGCTCCGCTGCCCTTCCTGCAAGTGCAGCCTGGTAGCCTGGAGCCTCATGCCTGCGTTTCTTACCTCCCACCCTAGGGAGGCATGACACAAAATGGCATTCACACACGGATACGCTGGGACAAGGGGAAGTTAAAAAACTCTGAGGGGAAAACCTTTGGCCAGTGGGAGAAGGGAGCTGAGTATCTCAGAAGCAATTGTTCAACAGCCTCTTTGAAGATGGTCTCAAGAGATTGAGCAATTGTGTTAGTGCTTGAACCAGGTGGGGTCTAGCTTCTCTTCTCCGCCTCATTCCCCCAAGAATCCCCTGGTAAAGTAGTGTCAGGTAAGCCTTTATGTACAGTCATGCGCCACATAACAACGTGTCTATCAACGATGAACCACATATATGACAGTGGTCCCTTAAGATTATATCATGTTTTTACTCTATAGTTTCTATGTTTAGCTATGTTTAGATGCACAAGTACTTCCCATTGTGTCACAGTTGCCTACAGTGTTCAGTACAAACATGCTGTGTGGGTTTGTAGCCGAGGAGCAATAGGCTATACCACAGAGCCTAGGTGTGCAGCAGGCTCGACCATCTATCTGGGTTTGTGCAAATGCACTCTATGATGTTCACACAGCAATGAAATTGCCTAATGACATATTTCTCAGCATATCTCCATTGTTAAGCGATGCGTGACTATACTTCAAGTCTCTTCTTTCTGGAAAACCTAAAGTAATACAGTAATAGTGCCCACCCTTTTAGAGTTGTGCAGATTAAATTAATCTACACAAAGTTCTTAGAAGAGTGCCTGGCACATAATACACCTTCCATAAATGTTAATTTCTACAATCTGTTGGAGAAATCCGGGAACGGGAGAAAGAAGATGATAGAGCTGGTTTTAGGGTATGGGAAATTGGGGCAGTTGTTGAAACCAAAATAAGTCATTCTTGCTGACTAGATGGGGCTTTCTTCATAGTTTTGTTATTGGCAAGCAAAACCCTGAGGGCTGGATGCTGAAAACATAGCACACACAGCTCTTGTCCACTTGGGAGATTTCTGTGTGTGCATGTGTTTATTTTTGCCTTGCTTGTGTTTGCTTAGCAGTTTGTGTGCATTTGGCCCAAAGGGCTGAGCATCTCTCCCTTCCTAGCAGAAGATGAGCCAGCACAGGGGCAGCTGGGAGAAAGAGCTGTTCATATCTGGTTTCAGGTCCTACCTTATTGCAAGTCTCACACTTCCCTGTGAATATCAGGGCTCTTCGTGATTCAAATGCTCTGTGGGGTGGTGCACCTGTTTGAAGGAACAAGCCACGTAGGGCTGATTTCCATGGAGGTTACCTCCCCCTCCCCCTCCTCTGCCCCTCCCCCTCCCGCTTCTGCTTCTTGGTGTCGCAAGGCTGATTTCATCTCCGATGCAGCTGTCTTTGCTAGAGTTTAATAACTCTTAATTTCCTGGAGGGGGATGGCGCGTTATATCATGAAGACTCATCTTTGTCTGCGTGGTCTGGAAATTTCCACTCATCTTTGTGATCTTTGAGATGTTTCCCTTTGTGGGGGAGTCTGACTTTCCTTCTGTTTTACTCAGTTTGACTGCCCTCTCAGATGTCATTCCCAGATTAAACATGACCATCCACTGTGAAAACGGCCCTCTTGACCTTCCAGTTTCCCCCTGGGAGCAGTCTTCACATGGATTTCCTTTCCCGAGTTACTGAAATCTGTATTGAAGTATTAATCTATACTCTAAAGAAGGTCATGCCTATATTCAGCTTCATTCTGTTTTGGTAGATATTTTTTCACTTTTGCAGTTTCAGTCCAAGAAAGGGCTTGAACAAAAGTTCAGGGGGTTTGAATTTTGGTATCAGTCTTTTCTGCTTCCACACATACACAGGAAAGTTTTTCTTCCAGCAGTTTAGCATCCTGATTTATTTCGTGTTTCCAATTTGGTATTATAAGTCACTATTCTTGATTCTCTTCAGTAGGCGGTAAAGGAACACAAAATGTTGGGTCTTGTTGGTGTATTGCAAGCAGGTCTTGCTATGTACTTGGAGATGCCTAGAATTGGGTAGAATAGGGTCACTATTTTATTAAAGTCAGATATTCCATGAGAAAATGGGGCACCCTAGGCCTCAAAAATCAGTTTGTATATTAGTTCTTTGGCTGTAAGCAACAGATGTCAACTGTGGTTAATTTAAAACATAAAAACAGGGTCCAAGAGCAGTGGCTCATGCCTGTAATTCCAGCACTTGGGGAGGCCAAAGCAGGCAGATCACTTGAGGCCGGGAGTTCGAGACCAGCCTGGCCAACATGGTGAAACCCCATCTCTACTAAAAATACAAAAATTACCTGGGTGTGGTGGCATTTGCCTGTAGTCCCAGCTACTTGGGAGGCTGAGGTACGAGAATCGCTTGAGCCCAGGGAGGCAGAGGTTGCAGTGAGCCAAGACCATGCCACTACACTTCAGCCTGGGTGAGAGAGCAACACCTTGTCTCAAGAAATAAAATAAAAAATAAAAGGAATAAAATTTATTGAAAGGCTCCTGGGTCAATCACGTAATGGAAAGTAGAATTGAACCATCAGACATCGCAAAGCAACCTCAAGGGCGCTTGTGGTACCTGGCATCCTACTACATTTCTCTAGGCCATTTCTTCTCTTCTAGATGATCATCTCAGATGTTGCTTTTCATTCCACAGAGAAAATAGATACAATCAGAAGAGAACTTCTGCAAGCTACCACCACAATATCCACACCTGTGCCTATGTTTCTGCCATCTCTCCTGTGCGACAGGGGAACCCAGTGCTCCTACCTAAAGGCATTCCCTTTCCTGGGACACTAGAGCCGATTGACTCCCCGTTGGATCTGTAAGGACTTGGGTGCTTGAGTAGTTTCTCCCTCTTTCTTCTACGCCATTAACTTTTCTGTCTCTACTAAATCTTTCCCATCAGCACATAAGCATGTTGTAATTTATGCAATCCTTTGAAACATGAGAAAGGAAAAAGCAACAACTACAAAGAATCTTTCTCAATCCCATATCCCCTTTTAGGTACTATCCCATTTTTCTGTGCTTTTCCCAGAAGAACTCAAATAGTTGTCTGTGCTTGCTGTTCCCAAATCCTCTCTTCCCACTCATTCTTTCTTGAACCTCAGGCTTTTTATGCACACTAGTCCACTGAAATGCCTCATTATCAGTATTGCTGATGACCTCATGTTGCTGAATCAATTTCAGTGTTCCCTTCCTTAATTGCTCTGAAGGATTTAACACAGATTCCCACTCTCTCCTCCTTGATAAGCTTTCTTCACTTGGCTTCCAGGACACCATACTCTCCTGGTTTTCCTCCTGCCTCCTTGACTTCTGCTTCTCAGTCCTGTTTGCTATGCCCCAGGACTCTGTCCTTCAGGCCTCAGACCTCATCTCCCCTCCTGCCATCCTCTCTCCTTCCCAATGAGGTCTTCCTCGATTGTTTTAAGATTGCAGTCTCCAGCTCCTTCACTCCCTACCTACTAGAATTGCTTAATTTTTTCCCATAACCATGTCAGTATCTAATATACTATATATTTGATTTGTTTACTCGTTGTTTTCTTCTCCCCGAAATGTAAGCTCCACGAGGTTGGCAATTGCTGTCTGCTCTACACTACTGTATCCTTAGCAACTAGATCAGTGCCTGCACTGCTCAATAAATATTTGTTGAATAAGTGAATGAGTGGAAAATATCCAGGTAACTCATGGGTAGCCCTTTTCAAGCACTACCTTTATGATGTCTCAGTTCCAACTACCTTTGTCCCCTTGTGAATCTGCTGCAGGTTAACATTCCTAGTAAAAAGAGTTATAATGGTCTCTCCTGGGTAAGGTCCCCACATCTGTACTAAGGCGGTAGTTGGGGACTCACCTGTCTTTCTTGATAGGACCACATGTAATGGGAGAAAGACATCCAACTGGAAATTTTCCAAGGAAAAATTGGATGCCATCATTCAAAAGATGCCAAACAAGTAAAAATGTCAGCTGTTTATAGGAGTTGTGCTTGCTGAAATTCAGTTTTTTGCCTTAGAGAATTCCTGTTTTATATTAGAAGTTTCAGGTCTTGTTACAAATTTTAACTCTGTGATGGATCTTGTAAGTGCCTCAATAGCCCTATTATGCATCATTATGTGGAAGATAAGACCATCATCATAATAAATACAAAACAGCAAACAGCATTCAGATATTTTCCTAATACTTGGTTACACAGCTTGGTTCCCCAGAAGCCTGATTCTGTTTTTTTGGGAGCTAGCACTTCCCAAAGGCCTGGGCTCCCTTCACAGCATGTCTTCAGATGTCCCCTGGGCCCAGAATTGTCTCCAGTGGTGTTTGGTGGAGTGCCGATGGTAGCTTCTTGGTTCACCAGTCCTCAGAATCCAGCACATTTAAACCTGTTTTTTTTAAGTCACCAGGCAAATGTGGGGGGGTTCCCATGTCAAATATGTCTCTCAGGCTAGGTGGTTAGTCAGGTTTTCTTGTTCTCTGTATTAAAAGATAATCTTGCCATTTTGCTACTTTAAGAACTACATTTCCCTTCATAATAGAACTGCCACTTAAACTGCTTTGCATGCTACCTAGTTATGAGCTTCCCTTCCAAATGTTGTCTGTCCTACAAGGTCATTCTCCCCAGCCCTAACCAGATTGTTAATGAAGCAAAGAACACTGGCAAACATGTAGATTATCCCTTCTTTGTTATGTTATTAATATATAGTGACTCTTGACATAAATAGGCACATACCTACGCATAAATTTAACTAAGACGATTGAAAACTTCTACAAGAGAAACTACAAAACACTGATGACAGAAATTGAAGAGAATACAAACAAATGGAAAGACACCCCATGCTCATGGATCAGAAAAATTTATATTGTTAACAGGACAGCACTACCCAAAGCAATCTACAGATTCAGTGCAATCCCTATCGAAATACCAAGGACAGGCCAGGTGAAGGGGCTTATGCCTATAATCCCAGCACTTTGGGAGGCCGAGATGGATGGATCACCTGAGGTCAGGAGTTCCAGACCGGCCTGGCTAATATGGTGAAGCTCCATTTCTACTAAAAATACAAAAATTAGCCGGGCATGGTGGTGTGCACCTGTAGTCCCAGCTACTCTTGGGAGGCTGAGGCAGGAGAATCACTTAAACTGGGGACGCGGAGGTTGCAGTGAGCCAAGATTGTGCCACTGCACTCCAGCCTGGGTGACAGATCTTGACACTATCGCAGAAAAAAAAACAACAAAAAAACAGGGACATTCTTCACAAACATAGAAATAAAAAGTCCTAAAACTTATATGGGACCACAAAAGACCGTGAATAGCAAAAGCAGTCCTAAGAAAGAACAAAGCTAGTGGTATCACACTACCCAACCTCAAAATATACTACAAAGCTGTAGTAACCAAAGCGGCATGGTACTGGCATAAAAGCAGGCCTATAGACCAATGGAACAGAATAGAGAACCCCTAAATTAATCTGAATAGCAAAAGCAGTCCTGAGAAAGAACAAAGCTAGAGGTATCACACTACCTGACCTCAAAATATACTACGAAGCTGTAGTAACCAAAGCAGCATGGTACTGGCATAAAAGCAGGCCCATAGACCAATGGAACAGAATAGAGAATCCATAAATGAATCTACACATCTCCAGCCAGTTTATTTTTGACAAAGGTGCCAAGAATACTTACTGGGGAAAGGATAATCTCTTCAATAAATGGTACTGGGAAAACTGGATAATCCACATGCAGAAGAATGAAGGTAGACCACCACCTCTCACTCTGTACAAAAATCAACTCAAAATGGATCAAAGTCCTCAATGTAGGACCCAAAACAATGAAACTACTAGAAGAAAACACAGGGGAAATGCTTCAGGACATTTTTCTGGGAAAAGATTTTATGAATAAGACCTTAAAAGCACAGTCAGTAGAAGCAAAAATAAATGTGGCCCAGGAGTGGTGGCTCATGCCTGTAATCCCAGCACTTTGGGAGGCTGAGGCGGGCAGATTGCCTGAGGTCAGAGGTTCGAGACCAGTCTGGCCAACATGGTGAAACCCCATCTCTACTACAAAAAAATTAGCCAGGCGTGGTGGCATGCGCCTGTAATCCCCAGCCACTTGGGAGGCTGAGGCAGGGGAATTGCTTGAACCAGGGAGGGGGAGGTTGCAGTGAGCTGAGATTGCTCCACTGCACTCCAGCCTGGGCAACAGAACGAGACTCCATCTCAAAAAACAAACAAACAAACAAAAATTTGATGTCAAAGTCCCATTGTTAAAAGTCTTTTACACAACAAAGAAAACAATAGAATGAAAAGAACACCTACAGAATGGGAGAAAATGTTTGCAAACTACTTATCTGATCTATTATATACAAGGAACTCAAACATCTCAACAGGAAAAAAAAAAATCCCAATACAAAATGGGCAAGTGATCTGAACAGGTATTTCTCAAAAGAAGACAGATGGCCTGCAAATATATGAAAACATGTTCAATGTCACTAATCATCAGGGAAATGAAAATTAAAACCACAGTGAGGTATCATCTCTAGGATGACTATTATCAGAAAGGCAAAAAAATAAATGCTGGAGAGAATGGGGAGAAAAGGGAGGTCTTATACACTATTGGTGGGAATGTTTTCCATAGTACAGCCACTGTGGAAAGCAGTATGGAGGTTTCTTTAAAAACTGAAAATACAACAACATGATCCAGCAGTCCCACTACTGGAAACTATTCCAAAGGAAAGGAAATCATTACATTGAAGAGACATCTGCACACTAATGTTTCTTGCACCACTATTCATGATAACCAAAATATGGTACCAACCTATGTGTCCAGCAGCAGATGAATGGATAATATGTGGCATGTGTATATACACAATGGAATACTATTCAGCCATAAGAAAGAATGAAATCCTGTCATTTGCAGCAACATGGATGGAACTGAAGAACATTATACTAAGTGAAGAAACAAAGTTAAATACTGCATATTCTCACTCATGTGGAAACTAAAAAAGGTCGATCTCATAGAAGTAAAAAGTAGAAGAGAATACATAGAAGTAAAAAGTGAAAAAAGAAGTTACTAGAGACTGGTAAGAGTAGGGGAAAGGGAGGATAGGGAAGGATTTGTTAAAGATACAAAATTACAGCTAGATAGGAGAAATATAGTCTAGTATTTTATACTACTCTAGGATGACTATAAATAGTTTCAAACAGCCAGTAGGAGGATGTTGAACATTAACAATGAATGTTTGAGGTGATGCATTTGCTGATTACCCTGGTCTGATCACCATACATTATGTGTAGCAGAACATCACTATGTACCCCATGAATATGTACAATTATAATTTGTCCATTAAAAAAATAAAATTTAAAGAAGAAATTGTTTTAGTAATAGTTAAATCTGATCTTAGCTGAAACTTAAGGCAAACCTTTTACAAATATCTTGGTGCTTTTTGCTCCTTCTAATTTAGTTCCTCCTTAGGTGATGAGGGGAATCCAACTGAATTCCTAATAAACTAATCCATAAAGGACCCAGAATAGTGCCTCATTTTTTAAAAAAGTTTAAAGGTAAGTTCCAAAGCAAAAATTGTAAGTTACATGCCAGTAACTTTGGCATGTAAGGAGGCTGTCCTTGTATCCCTGTGTTCTTTGGGATTTGACAGCTTGTTGAAAACTATACTCTCTAGTGTTATTGATAAAGTTGGGAGCATCTCTGATTAAGCTGGCTCAGACTGAGCCAGACTGAGGTAAAGGAATGGGTCAGCCCAGCTGGCATCATTCATTTTGCCATGTATTAATATATTAAGTAATTGCTATGGAAAAGGCACTGACTTATCTATGAGGCTAATTATTTATTTCCCTATTGGCGGTAGGGGAGAGCATTGGCCCAGCAGGCAAGAGGTTCTAATCCTGGTTTTTACTAACTCTTTTTATGTATGATCTTAGGCTAATGTACCAGGCCTTCAGTTTCTTCATCTACAAAATGAAAGGGATTACTTTTGTATTTAAAAAGTATGTACACACACTGCAGTCAAGGAAAACTGTCTAGAAGGGTAGCCATCAGTATCTTAACTTGGGTTTTCTTCTCCTGGCTTCTTTATTTTTGAATTTTTATGAAATAACTGTGTGTGCTATTTAAAAAGTTGTAATTATTTTTTAATGAGAGGAGCAGACTCTGTGACTCTGAGCTCCCGTTAACTTCGAAGACATCTATGATTTTATACAGCAGGACTGGGTAGGACAGGACAGTCAATCCTTGGTTATTCGGAAACAGAATCCCTTTTGTCTGCTTTTGCTCCCTGACTTTTGTCTGCTTTTTGCTCATTTGCATTTTTACTGGAGAGTAGGCAGCAGAGAGAAAGAATACATTTTAGCAATGTAGAAATGGTGGTAAAACTTTTTATCTTAAAAAGGTTTTTGTGGATTTTTTTTCATTTTAACTAGTATTGCTAATGACTTTTAAGTACACCAATTTTTTTTCTGACTTCCTTAGACATTAATTAGTTAATTAGTGACCTTTCCTGTTATATAGAACTGGTTTAAAATAAAAGAAAAATAATAATAACAAACTGTATTATTTTGTGTGTGTGTTTCTGCATTGTTTTTGTCCTACTTACAGGTACTGTAAGGATCCACTGACTTTTCGTCCATTATAGAACTTTCTCTTCTCTTTTACTTCTCCTTCATCTATTTCAGTCTGTCTGGTATCCTGGCCTTTTTCCATTAATCTCTCTGCCCAGGTCTGCTAGAGAAGGGGTTGGAACACTCCATTGCTGGTTCTTGTATGACCTATAAGCTAATAATTTTTCTTAACATTTTAAAATAATTGAGAAAAAAATGCAAAGAAGAGTAATACTTCATGACACATGAACATTATATGAAAGTCAGATCTCAGTGTTCATAAAGTTTTATTGGAACAGAGCCATGCTCATTTATTTATGTGTTACCTATGGCAGCCTTCGAGCTAGGATGGCAGGTTGAGAAGTTGCAAGAGAACCACATGGCCTGTAAAAGCTAAATATTTACTCTCTGGTCCTTTAGAGAAGGTCTGCCAGAACTCCTATACTTGAGATTCCTTTTCCATTGGATGTCTCAGACCTAAGACATGTTTGGACTTGCTAACTCATTCAGCAGCTGTTATATCACATGCCTACAGCATGCCAGACACACTGCTAGACACAGGTATCCAAAGATGGACATGACACCTTCTCTGTTAGGAGGGAGGAGCTCACAGCCTAGAGGGTAGCATGGGCCTGTCCACAGGTGAACTACACTCCAGCTCTGTGTGCTGGTGCCAAGGTGTGAGATAGGTGCTGGGGAAACTCAGGAGGAGGACTGTGACTGCCTGGGAGGTGGGAAGAGAAGTGGGTTATCATTAGATAATGGATAGCAAAGGCTAGATAGCCTAAAGCTGCATGTTTTCTGTGCTGGTTACTTTTTAATTATAACTCTAGAATTGTTCCATTAAAGTTAATTGTTACCTAGAACAAGAGTTGTCATAATTTTAACAAGTGTGCCTTTAACATTTCAATTGCACATTAAAAATATTCCTCTATTATAGGGTCAACATTTTACAGAGCTATGTAAGTAAATATTATGTATAGTGATTTTAGTTTCTTATCAAAATATAAATATAAATATATATAAATATAATTTTATTAAAAATATGTATAAATTTATTTTAACAGTTGCTATTGGCAAAGGGGAATAGACTTTTAGGTCAAAATAGCAATTTTCATTTGCTTTTAAGTTTTTGAGTTTTTAAAAAAATGTTTCTCAGAACATTTAACAAAGGCTTAACTATATACCATAGTAGGGACGTTTGGTTTTTGTATAAAAAGGAGATCACTGGGCCTCACTCAAGATTTCCTGAATTATAATGGTGGGGATAGGCATGACATGCAGGGATTTCTATTTTTAATAAACTCCCAAGTGATTTCTATTTACACTAAAGTTTGGGAACTACTGCTAAGGACAATATTGATTAAATGTGCATTTTTAAAATTGTTATTAACTTTTTAATAGTTATGTTTTTGTTTTTGAGGCAAGGCCTTGCTCTGTCACCCAGGCTGGAGTGCAGTGGCGTGATCTGAGCTAACTACAACCTCTGCCTCCCGGGCTCCAGAGATCCTCCCACCTCAGCCTTCCAAGTAGCTGGGACTACAGGAGCACGCCACCAGGCCCAGCTAATTTTTGTATTTTTTGTAGAGATGGGGTTTTACCATGTTGCCCAGGCTAGTTTTGAACTCCTGGGCTCAAACAGTCCACCCACCTCATCCTTCCAGAGTGCTGGGATTATAGGCATGAGCCACTGTGCCTGGCCTTGTTTTTGTTTTTGTTTTGAAACAAGCTCTCACTCTGTCACCCAGGCTGGAATACAGTGGCACAATTACAGGTTGCTGCAGCCTGGACCTCCTGGGCTAAGGTGATCCTTACCCTCCCAAGTAACTAGGACTACAGGTGTGCGCCACCAGACCTGGCTAATTTTTTTTTTTTTTTTTTTTTGAAAAGCCAGTCTCATTATGTTGCCCAGGCTGGTCTCGAACTCCTGGCCTCAAACTATCCTCCCACCTCAGCCTCTCAAAATGCTGGGACTACAAGAATGAGCCCCCATGCTCAAGCTTTTCTGTCATCTCTGTCAGCCCCTGAAGTATACTGCACTTTTTAAAATTCTCTAAGACAATGTAAAGGAATCCTGATTGTCCAAAATGTGCACAGTCTCCCTCTTCTCCCTTTTTTTATTTTGAAATAGAGCAAAATGCACAAAAAATAATTTGGAGCATACATACTTGTATGTTTTGCTATAATCTTTCATGTATATATTTATATGTGTGGGCATATTTATATAACAGCTAACATTTGTCAGTTTGTTCCTTATCCCCAAATGTTAACATTGGCATCCTCTTTTGGCACACCCTGTTCAGTTCCCTTTGCTCTCCAGTGGAAAGCATTAACATGAATTTTAGCATATACCCTTTTGAACTATGTTTTGATACTTTAAAAGGGATTATTTTGTGTGTCCAAATATAGACGTCTGGTATTTGTATATGTGTTGTAATTTTCATAAATGCTATCAGGGTATACTCTAATTTTTCAGCTTGGGGTTTTCATTCAATTTTATTTTTTTGAGGTAAAAACTAGTTCATCTCTTTAAATGCTGTGTAAATATGCCACACGTTATTTATCCCTTTCCTCGTATTCCTAAGTGCACTGATAGGTGCTTAGAGTTGTTTCTAAAGTTTTTAACATTATAAGCAATGCTGCAGTGAACATCCTTGCAAACATCCTTTTGCACATGTGTGAGTTTTAGTAAGATGCATACCTACCTAGGAATGGAATTGCATAGTTTTTCTAGATAGTGCCACATTATTCTCTGTCATGACTGAATTGGCTTATATGCCTGATAGACTTTTCATTTTGGATCGATGGCTAGATATGGATACAGAATACTTCAGATGGCACTTAATGTGTCCCAGGCGGTGCTCTAAGTTCTGTGAATGCCTCAGGTATGTGGGCGCCAGTATTTCCCATTTACCATGAACTGTAAAAGAGTGGAGCAGGTTAGCTAAGCTACAGGTCTTGGAGTGGAGGCTGGTGGAATTGTGTTCCAGGCCAAGAATTGGAACAGCTTGGCTGAAGACCTGGAATATCAGGGAAGAAAAAGAACCCAGGAACTGAAGGATTAAATATCTTCATAGGATTACAGATGGGCTGATGTTGAACCACCCAGAGAGATCTGACATAGAAAACCCCAGCACCGGTTCTTCTCATTGTCCTCACTGGGGCTTTGGCAGGTCCTGCTTATGATAAAATGCAAAGGCTCTTAACCCTCTGCCACAAGCCTCCCTAAAAAGGGCTCTACCACCTCAGAAGCCAAGCAGCAGCAGACAGAACTCATAAAAGGCTCACCGTAGATGACTAGGACTAGGGCTCCTGGCTTAAGCAGGTCACCGTGGCTATGGGGTGCCACCATTTCTGGCTTGCACAGATGACAGGGCGCTGCCAGCGTCTTTGTGGAAAGTCTCTCTTGAGGATGGGTCTGAAATGTCTGACTGTTGTGAGCAATTTCTAAAAGTAAACTGTGCAATCAAAGAGAAGTCTGTCTTTCTGACCTTGGGTCTGCATAGCTATTCGGACCACCTAGAGGGTTCGAAGGCCAAGAGTAGGGTGGGGCTGTAGCTGTTGGTGCCTAGGCTCTTCTTTTCTGGGATGCAGACTGAGCATATCTCCCCTCCCCCAACCCTGGTTTCCAGGAATCTCCTTAAGCCCCTGATTGCCTCTCACCTTTGCTGCCAGCCTCTAAAGGCCAGTTCATCTCTGCATGCCCTCTCCTATATTCTACCACCATTGAAATGAACAAACTATTGTATTTTCTCACCTTCTGTGAGTGGACAGGAAGAAGGGAGGGAGGAAGCTAGCAGGCTAGTCAACCAAGAAAGAAAAACCTTAACAAAGTTTAGGTTCCTGCATTACCCAGCCAATCATGTTACGCTAACTCAATAAAAAATGAAGTTTCATTGCAGGGAAAGTAAGTCAGGACACCAAAATGATGTGTTAGCAGGGCTGGGCCTAGGGCGAGGCAGAAGAGACACCTGGGTGCAAAATTGAAGGAGGCAATAACCTGCAACCATCCCGAGAGTGAGTGAGGGCCTCTTTAAATGTGGCCTGGGTGTGTCTCCTGTCTAACTCTAGTCCTGCCCCTGCTGGATTTCAATTCGGATTTTGGTTTTTTATTTTGGTCAGTATCCAGACCTGAGTGTGTCCGTTTTATTCCCTCGGCTGTGGACACTGATGGACCGTGCTAGAGAAGAGATTGATTCAGTCTGCTTTTAGTTTGCCATCTCAGACTACATCTGGAATTTTATAGCAGTTGGGCGGGGTGGGGGAGGTTTTCAGATAATAGTATTTTGTTTCAGAGAAAACTTTTCAGGAATGTGTCTTGCTGGTAAGCAGAGACAATTGACAATTGCTTCTCTCCTATTAACATCAATAATTTAAACCTGTCCTAGAACTTAAATTATAATTGAGGCAAGAGGCAGATATTCAGACATATTCATTGAAAGCTGGCCTGTGTCCAACTGTGGTGAAATAAGACAGGTGGGTTTGATTGGCCTAAGAGGTGGAAAAATCAACTTTAGAGACTTTCTTAGCATCTGAGCTCTTTGGGTTCTTAAATACTTTCTTGATGGCTGACTGGTGAAACCGGTGGTTATGGTAGCATCACTAAACATACATGGCATTTTTATTTCAAGAAACCAAACTTCCAGACATGCACCTGATATCTTGATTGTGCTCTGCAAATGCAGAGTAATTTCCAGCTGGATCAGTAAAGGATAATATTGGCTGTGGGAAAAGTGCTAGGATTATTACTTTATCTTATCATGTGTTTAACTTTTCCTTTGTTTTCACATAACTAGTCTGCAGAAGGCCTGTCTCTCCCTCCTTTAACTTGTGCTCTCTTGGGAGTGCTTACAAGCTTTGTCATGTCTGAGTGCAAAGTCAGTTTGGAAATGGTAGAGGGATGGGAGGGCACAAAGGATCTATAGAGTTGGGCAACCAAACAAGTTAGGTGGAGGAAGCCTATGAAACATTATTTTTCTCAGACATCTACTGTGAAGTAAGCGCTTTCTCCTTTGGAGACTGCTAGAGCAGAAACCTCCCCATTTTTCTCCTTCTCTGTTTCCAGCGTCCTCTATGTGTCTATAAACACCTTTGCTACCAGGCTACGATTCTTTGGTCTTTGTAGTCGGCACGGGAGAAAGGCAGGCAGGGAGATCACCCAGGAAGCTCCCTTTGCCTTTTCAGAGTTAACGGTGCTGTGCAGCTGATTTGATTATTACATTTAACTGAAAAAACCTGCAGGGTGTGCCAGACACGGGACAACCAGCCTGGTATTGTCGGCCCCATACAAACCCTTCTCACTGTCAGACCGGATTAAACGAACATGTTTTTAAATATATTTACCTTGTTCAGGTCTTGGAGCAAGCACTTGCTTCATCTCAATGACTCCTTGGGATATTGTTATGTGTACATTGGACCTATTTTACCTGTGGACTCGTTTCCCTATAGCCTTAGCATGGTAACATTGGTGGAAATTGATCCAGTGGTGCAGCGTGCCTAGGGAAAGTGAGCTTGTTTGACAGAAGCTTTGCAGGGCCTAGGGAGAATCTAGAGATAGATGAGATGCAGGATTCTCCTGGTGCCCAAAGCCTAGGCTCATGTTGCCTCACATGGTCTTCTCCCTCTTTAAAAGACCAAGCCAGCTGTCACATAGCTCCAGAGCATCTGGATGGGGAGGATATACTGGGGAGCCTCAGGAGTATGACCTACCTCTGGATAGTGGGGGACCTTACACTATTCAAACACAAGTTCAGATGGCCATTCTAGTAGGTGAGTCCTGGTCACTCTTTTGCCTATAAGATGGGAGCTGACCTTTATATGTAGGACTGCTAGGAGCCTTTCACTTATTCATTCTTCAAATATGGGGATGCCTATTATATACCAAGTGCTATTCTAGGCATGGGGATATAGCAGTGCCCAAGACAGAGTCCCTGCTGTCTTAGAGCTTAAAGTTAAATTGAGGCAAGATGCAGATATTTGCACATATTCATTGAGTACCTACTCCGGATTTACGACCTGTGAATACAGTGGTAAATTTTTTTAAAAAATAGAAGTATAGACTAAATCCATTATAAAGATAATTTCAGGTGGTGGTAAGTGCCCTCAGGTAAGAGTAAGCCCAAGTATTGAGGATGGACAAGGAGCTGTGTTAGGCCAAGTGGTCAGGGAAGGCTCTCTGAGGAGGTAGCATTTAAGCCATGACCTGAATGAAGTGAGAGAGCAAAGCCCTGTGAAGAGGTAGAGGAAGGTTCCTCCAGGAAGAGGGAACAGCAAGTGCAAAAACCCTGGGAAAGGCACCTGCTTGGTGTGGAAACACCCTGGGCGTGGTCACGGAACAGTAAGATCTGTGTGGTACAAGCTGAGTTTGCAGAGCTAAGCAGGGGCCAGATGAAGTGGTAGCTTGGGGACCTCAGGAAGAAGTTTGAATTCTGTTCTAATTGTAATGGGGAGCCACTGGAGGGTTCTGAGGGTGTGAATGGCACAATCTGTGGTGAGGGTGTTTCTTTTCCCAAGGACACCCAGTTGCTCTATGGCAAATGAGCTGAACAGGAGCTAGTGTGGTGTTGGGGAGGCTGAAGCAGTAGTGCAGATGAAAGACACTGGGGCCTGGACTAGGGTAGTAGTGGTGGAAATGCTGAACAGTGGGCACATTTGGGATATATTTTTAAAGATAAGGCCAACAGGATTAACCAATGAGCTAGATGTGATATGTGTAGGGAAGGGGGATAAAGGATGACTCCTGGGTTTTTGGCCTTCACTGGGGGAGAAACGGAGGTCTTGTCTTGTTTTATTGTTGTGGTGGAGTGGGTGGGTGTTGGGGTAAAGACACCAAAAGTTCTACTGAGAGCTCTCAGCATACAGATTATTCTTTCTTGTATATCAACCACAGGACTGATGAGATCACTGAGGGCAGGTCTGTGGATAGAGGAGGAGAGGAGCCAGGACAGAGTCCTGGGGCTCTACAGCATTTAGAAGTGGGAAGAGGAGGGTCTGGCAGTGAAGATGGGAAGGAACAGCCTGGGATCAGAGCAGAGCCTTTGGCTGTATTCTAGTCAGGACTCACACCATAGAGAATAAAATAAAATCAAACTCTGGAAGACTAAGCACGCTGTTTGGGGAATATATTACTTGGTTGCTTTAAGACAATGACCTATGTTTTCCATTGATGTAATTGGAAATGGCACAGTTTTGAAGAGTGGAAGTCCTGGAGTCAAACAGACCTGAGTTCAAATTCCATTTATAGCACTTACCAGCTGGGGGACCTCCAGAAAATTACCTACCATCCGAAGACGGTGAAAACAGAGGTGTCCTTGTTTATAAAATGGGAAGAATAATAGGATCCATCTCAGAGTCAGTGTTGTCAAGATTGAGTTGATGCATGCAAAGTGCATATCCAGTTTCTGGCATGGAGTAAGGGCTTAAAAATGGTAGCTTTTGCTGGGAGCAGTGGCTCACGCCTGTAATCCCAGCACTCTGGGAGGCCGAGGCCGGCGGATCACAAGGTCAGGAGTTCGAGACCATCCTGCCGAACACAGTGAAACCCCGTCTCTACTAAAAATACAAAAAAATTAGCCGGGCGTGGTGGTGGGTGTAGTCCCAGCTACTCGGGAGGCTGAGGCAGAAGAATGGCATGAACCCGGGAGGTGGAGCTTGCAGTGAGCCGAGATCGCGCCACTGCGCTCCAGCCTGGGTAACAGAGGGAGACTCCATCTCAAAAAAAAAAAAAAAAAAAAAAAAATGGTAGCTTTTGTCTGAGTAACTCTTTCTCTGGATCTGTTGCTGGGGACGTTTGAGAGTTTGGAATACTGTATTTTCTACTTTGCATTTTTGGGTCTTGCTTTGCTATTTATAACTTCTGTTTAGTATCTGTTGCTGGCTCTTAGCATAGTGATAATGCCGTGATTGCTTCAGCCTTGACACTTGTCCCACCCCCCAAGACAATAATTATGTCACCCTGGAGGTGTTAGGAAAAATTCTTCTAGGATGAATGAATTGAGCATTCTCTCTGGACTGTCACAAAAATATGGAGTTGTGTTTACTGTTCCCATCCAGAAAGAAATGCTCTCATCACTATCTGTCCCTGCTCAGAAGTCATGAGGAATAACAATTTATGCCCAAGAATTTATGAGGAACATAAAAAATAATAAAATTAGTTTGAATTTGTTGAAAACCTGTTATATGTCAGGTGCTTTAGATATCTGGTATCTACTATCATTGCAGAAGTCCCCAAAAGCAAAAATTGGGATTTTTAATTTACAGAGGAGAACACTGAGATTCAAAGTTACATACCTTGCCCAAAGTCACACTGCTACCAAGTTTCAAAGTCAAGAATTGTATTCATGTTTCTGGCTGAGTCTTGAGCCTATTTTGTTCTCACTATACTGTAGCCGCACATAAGCGTAATTACAGATCTGAAACCAAGAAGATGGGAGTTGTATATAGCTCACTTTAGACATACCTCTCCTTCTAAAGTATTTTATTTCTCTTTGAATTTCATAAAATAAGATTATTCATTTTCAAATCACAAAAGCCTAACTGATGTTTTCCCATGGCTTCTGTTTAAAAGAGTTTTCCTTTTCTACAGAACGTCACGGGTTTTTGAGTTTAAAAATGAAGGGAAGAGGTTGATGTAGCTCATTTTTATTTTGGTATTCATAGCTAAATATCATATTCTTTAAGCAAAGATTGTCACTGTAGAGTGACATTTTGCATTTTGCTGGACCATATCGATGAGTTAGAGCTACCAAGAATCTCAGCCGAGTATAATACAGCAGTCGAAGGCAGTCTCTATGTATCTTGGGGAAGCTAGAGCTGGAGACTTTTTCTTCGTCTTCTTCCTTTTTCTTTTTCCCATTAGTCACAGGTGTCATTGTTTCCTAGCTATGAGCTAGTTTACATTATTAGGCCACGGATCACTTCCTCTGGAAACTGGTTTACCATGCAGATATGATCCTAAAATTCCGGCTGTATTTCTGCTCAAGCATACATCGCAGTAACCGGCCTAATGATCAGTTTTACTCCTGCCAAATTTATCTTTGTCTCGTTTTCTCCCCCTTTGCTCCACTCAGGCATACCTTGTGAGATGAGAGAGCAAGTCTTATGTCTCTTAATATCTCCAGCATCCATTCTGTTGACCACATCATAAGAGCACAGTAAATATTTTTTGAGTGGAGAAGAATTTCCTGTTTAAGCTTTTTTACTTCTTTTTGTTGTTGTTTGGAGACAGAGTTTCGCTCTTTTTGCCCAGGCTGAAGTGCAGGGACACAATCTTGGCTCAATGCAATCTCCGCCTCCTGGGTTCAAGCGATGCTCCTGCCTCAGCCTTCCAAGTAGCTGTGATTACAGGCACCTGCCACTACACCCGGCTAATTTTTGCATTTTTAGTAGAGATAGGGTTTCACCATGTTGCCCAGGCTGGTCTCAAACTCCTGAACTCAGGTGATCCATCCACCTCTGCCTCCCAAAATGCTGGGATTATAGGCATGAGCCACTGCACCCAGCTGCTTTTTTATTTCTTAACTCCGATTCAATATATCTTTCTCCCATCTTATATCTCAGACTTATCCCTCTAATAAGAAAACCTTGAGATACTTCATTTGCAAAGGTTGAGTTTCAAGTCATTATATTACGTGTCATAAAAATTAAGGCATGATTTTAGAGCAAACAGTGTTCTTCAAGATAAGAGGAGACACTCTTTAGTTCTTTCCACTTTAAAGCATCTGCAGGCTCTCGCCGTCCACGTCATTGACTTTTATATGATGCCACCAGCTCATCCGGATGCATTCAAAGTGTGGTCAAAACTATAATTGAGTGGGAATTTAACAACCTTCAAAAGACTCTGCCTTAATGACCCGACTGTAGGGGACAGATTAATTTTCAGTAAGATTTGGGATCATAACTGTGGTCACAGTATTCCCTGCCATTAAAACTTAATCCTAGTTTAAAAAATTAAAAAATAAGTTTTTCACTATATGCTATTAAAATAGAAAAAAGAGAACAAGAACCAGACAGATTTAGCTGTCTGTGCCCAGCCATGAGCTCTAGATTCTCATCACTCTGTGCTGATTGATTGGCAATGGCTCATAGAAATGAATTTGGAATGCATGGAAAAGCTGCTCACCCTCTTTTTGTTCCCTTGAGCGGAATGCATGGGGTGCTTATGGGAAATCTGGCAGAAGAGCAGGGGAAGGTTTATGGCCTGAGTTTCCACAGATTTGGAGGGAGGCGTGTTTTTAACCAAAAGGGAGCCCTGCCCTTTTTACTGCCCTACTTACAGGGAACTCTGCCCTCTCCAGCGTGGCATACAAAGACATCTTGTGATCTGGACACTGCTTCCTCTCCAGCCTCGCCTGTCTCCACTCCATGCCAAAGGCTCGCTGCTTTGGGAATAACCAGCTGCTTGTAGGGCACACAGTCACACCTCTTTGCCTTTGCTTATGCCAACATCTCCGTTAGAAATACTTTCTCCGCTGGGCGCGGTGGCTCATGCCTATAATCCCCACACTTTGGTGAGGCCGAGGTGGAAAGATCACGTGGTCAGGAGATGGAGACCATCCTGGCCAACGTGGTGAAACTCCGTCTCTACTAAAAATACAAAAATTAGCTGGGCGTGGTGGCGCGTGCCTGTAATCCCAGCTACTCAGGATGCTGAGGCAGGAAAATTGCTTGAACCAGGGAGACGGAGGTTACAGTGAGCCGAGATCGCGCCACTGCACTCCAGCCTGGGCAACAGAGCAAGACTCCATCTCAAAAAAAAAAAAAAAAAAAAAAAGAAACGCTTTCTGCACGGGTAGAGTTTCCTCTCCCTCACCCCATGCGTTGTGCGAATTGTGGTCCCGGCCCCGGAAACTCTTGATTCGCTTGTTTTTCTTCCTCTCTGTTAGAGGACAAGCTTCTTGATGATAGGCCCCAGTGTCTATCACATCATTTGTCCCACTCGGCCTGGCCTGCAGTAGGTGCTTCATAGAACATCCTCTGGTGGCAGATAGTAGGGGAGACATTCACCAGTTAGTCTCATATACATATGTGATGAAAAACAGAGGCAGAGCATAGGGTCTCTAATTTGGGGATAGGGGAGGTGGGTAATGTAAAGAAATTGAGAAATTAGTTGAGAAAAAAGAGGGGGACAAGAGGGAAGAGAGTTCCAGTTAATGGCATGTGTGAAGGCAAGCAGTGTCACAGGAGTACAGAGAGGAAAAGGTCAAGGTACAGATTAGCTTAGGAGAACGCGACAGAGGCAATAATGTAACTGCATATGATGATGAATTTTTAAGCCAGATAATTAGTCTGAGTTTTATAACTAGGCAGGCAACACTGAAAGTCAGAGCTGACTCTATTCATGCTGTCCCTGTCCCAGACTTTGAGGATAGCGGCAGCAGATGCAGAGCGCTCCACAGCATTGGTTCAGTTAAACCAAGTGTTTATCCATCTGGTTGGATTTGAGTGAGTGCCAAAAGTTAGCTGAGGATTCCCAGCCCTGAAGTGGCTGTGGGTACGAGGAAGGAAACAAACCTCCTTAACCGAAAGAATGTCCTGAATTTCAAACTCATTGGAAACCATCTTGGTTGCTCAGATTGTCTTACTTTTTAAAAAATGGTTTCTTATAATATTTAAATAGTTTTAGCTACATTTTCCCTATTATGCAAGGAAAGGTTTGACTTCCTAAGGCTGATAGATTTCCCATTAATAATTTTTTTCACAAAGAAACAAGGCAAAACCCTTGTTTTTATCCTAGTCTTTGACTGTCAGAGCTGGCCTTTCAGGGTTCCTTATGGTATCTGCTAATGGTGGCTTCTATCACCTGTAAAAGAACAGGAGTTGATCAGATCTTGTCATCAGATATGATGATAAGAAAAATGTTGGAAGAATGTTTTTCTCTCCAGAGTATCTGGAAAAAGAATTATTCCAGATGGCTATATTAAGTTGCATATAGCCATTCAAGGAACTAGAAAACTTCCAGTCCCCTCTGGCATTACTAAAATGACACAAACCCATTGTTGATCATTTTTCTAGAATTTTGACTGTGGGGGAAATAAACTTGGGCCTCCATCTTTATTTTTAGAGTCTTATACAAGCAACTTTTGCCAGCACACTTGGTTGGGTTCCTGAAGAGATGAGAAAGTAAGAAGTTGCTTCAACGAGCCATAAATTGGGAAATAAACTTGGGACTCCATCTTTATTTTTAGTGTATCATGTAAGCAAGTTTTGCCAGCATACTTGTTTGGGTCCCTGAATAGATGAGAAAGTAAGAAATGACTTCAAGGAGCCATAAATTCTAATCCTGGGTTCCTTTCACCTTGGACATTCTAGTCTGAAGAGTGAAATGCTCACTGCTCTAGGGTTTATTAGCTGGAGATTGAGCCAGTCTGCCTTGTATTAGTCAAGATGTTTTCTGTCTTTCTTAGCACTTAAGGCTGCTGGTGAGATGCTTTGGCTATAAATTTTCTTGTCCAGCCTAAGTCCACATCTTGAGTCTTCCCTCTCGCTCAGGGGTCTTATTACTACAGAACTAACTTTAGTTGATATGGAGGGGGGCCACTGGACATGACTGGTTCTTCCAGCACTCAGATATCCATGAATGTCTGCAGCCACATTAAAGTTTTGGATCCTCCCCGCCTACCCCCTACCTCCACTGTCTCAAATATTTATTGATATCGCCCATTTGGTGCAGCTCCCGCAATTCAGTCTGCTGAGTTTTACGAGCTTGCTAGATCATGTTCCAAAAAGATTCCCAAGCACTAAAGTGTTTGCCAGGGTCCTTGGCATTGTGACTCATGTGTGTTATCAGGGGCCTCAAATATACTATGCCTTAAGATTTGTGCAGAATTCAGAGTGTAGTCACTACCTCTTTAGAGTCCAGACTTCTCTGCTAATGAGGACCTGCTGAGGCATCAAGACATTAAATATGATTCCTTACATGCATTCAAATTAAGGTGTTGTAAGCCTCCCCTGTTTTCTCACACTGTGGGAAGCCAGAGCTGTTGCCACTTGTGCTATAAGAACTTGGTTCTTTCATTGGAATTAAAGGAATTTGCCCTTCAGCAACTATAAAAGGATGAGTATCTAACTGTTGTGTTTGTTTGGAAAGCAGTTTAGTGCCAGACAGGCATGCCTAATAGAGTTCAGGAGACTGCAGTCCCTCCTAACCCTTTTGTTTACTCATGGCCAAATTTAGTATATGCCAGCCCCTAACATCTGGCACTGTGCTCCCCATACCCTCTCCATTGCAGCCATAGTAGCCTTCGAGTTCTTCAGACATGCTCTCCTCCTCTGACCCTAGGGCTTTTGTCTGTTACCTATGCCAGAATACTCCTCCTCATCTAATTAACCCTGGCCCATTCTTTTTTTTTTTTTTTTTTTTTTTTTTGAGACGGAGTTTTGCTCTTGTTGCCCAGGCTGGAGTGCAATGGTGCGATCTCGGCTCACCGTCCACAACCTCCGCCTCCCAGGTTCAAGTGATTCTTCTGCCTCAGCCTCCCGAGTAGCTGGGATTACAGGCATGTGCCACCACGCCTGGCTAATTTTGTATTTTTAGTAGAGACGGGGTTTCTCCATGTTGGTCAGGCTGGTCTCGAACTCCTGACCTCAGGTGATACACCCGCCTCGGCCTCCCAAAGTGCTGGGATTACAGGCATGAGCCACCACGCCTGGCCTATCCTGGCCCATTCTTTAGAAGAGTGAGTCCTTCTCAAACATGAATCACCTGGGAAGCTTGTTAAAATGCAGGTTCTTCATTAGGGCTGGAAGGGTCCTGGGATGTGGCACTTCTAAAAGGTCTCACATAAAGCTGGTGCTACTGTTCCTCACGGAATCCTTCCCTAGTCTTCAGTTAAGTCAAAAGTTCCCCATTTTATGTGCTTCTGAGATTATATATCTGTCCTTCATAGGGCATTCTTCACAATTGCATATTTCCTTTTACTTGTGCCATTTTCTGATTAATGTTCATCATTTACACTAAACTGTAAGCCCTATGTGTGCAGTGACCACCTGTGATCTTTGCTCACGCTTTTGTTTTCAGAACTTGTTATAGTGGGACATATACGGTTGTACTATATATGTACTAGGATATACAGGTGAGTAGATGATGGTTGTATTGGCTGTTGACAGAATGGTTAAATATATTGTTCTGAGATGCCATGATGATCATAAAACTCAGGGGTTTGGACCAAATTGTTAAAAAAAAAAAGTGGTTATGTCTTTATTATTTTCAAGGTAAGGACCTCCTATAACATTTAAATTTCATGTGAAGCAGAAAGAACCCAAGATAATCTGAGACTGAAAAAAACTCATGATAATGCTGTAAATAAAGTTTCGGTGCCGCAAAAGGAATAGCACTCGAATATAAAATTTTCTTTATAATTCTCAGCAAGGCAAGTTACTTCTATAGAAGGCTGCGACCTTACAGATGGAGCAGCGGTGAGCGCACACTTTGGCAAGGGAGGGGAAGGGGTTTTTATCCCTGACATATGTGATCCCTGCCGCTGTGTCGTTCCCCTATTGGCTAGGGTTAGACTGTACAAGCTAAACAAATTCCGATTGGCTAATTTAAAGAGAGTGACGGGGTGAGTGGTTTGGCGGGAAAAATGGTTATGACAGAGCAGATAATCGGAATGAGTCAGGGGGTAGCAGGTAATGGGAATGAGTCAGGGTGGAGCAGGTAATTGGAATGAGTTAGGGTGGAGTAGGTAATCGGAATGAGTCAGGGTGGAGCAGGTAATTGAAAAAGGTTGCTTTACGAGGAAGTTAAGTTTAAAAGTAGAAGGCAAATAATTGAACATACTGACGTACTGATTCTTTGAAAATAAATTTAAAACTTATATCTAACAATCCCTCCTCTTGCATTTCCTTACAGCTTTCTTTTTAAACTTTTTAACGTGTCTTGGCTTAGTTGTTTTGCTGGATTTTCCAAAAGAAGAAGCTTCTCTGGATAAGGTGGAGGATAGTTAAGGGAGGTTTTAGTAAGTGCCATTTTTATGAGCCTCTGCACCAACCCACGGATGCATAGTGTGACACAGCACCCGACAAGAATAAGTACACCCATTATGGCTGCGAGGGAAGTAAGAATTGAGGCTATTATTCTTTTCCATTTACCGAACTACTTTCTATTCATGCTGTAAAGGGGTCATTTACCCCTGAGTTGTTGGCTAACTCATTGGACAGAGCAGTCAGACCTTGTAATGCCTTTGTTATACTTCCATCAGGGGTGGTGGTGTTTTGGGATGAAGGTACAACACTGAGTTTTAATCACGATACAAACTCTTCCTCTTTTTGCTACTATCATGTCTAAGGCTATCCTGTTTTCCCAAGCCATCTGGCTAGTGGCCCCTAATTGCTTAGCTATTCCTTTAACAACATCTCTAGTGTAGTTAGTAAATCACTGTTGGTTGTAATAGATCTAGTTTATCCAATCTACATTTTTATTAATTTTCACTCACCAAAATATTGACTCAAATTCTGCAGCTATTTTATTTCGGGCTTGAAATTGTTCTGGTATTCCCCATGGGACTCTAATTGTGTCTAAATAGACGTAAGAGTTGAAAGACCCATAAGGGCCTTCTCTCGCTTCACGATGTCTTATTTTTTTCTTTTTCTGGTTGATGAAATGCCAGGGTGAAAGGGATAGCCAATTGGACTAAAGCATAAGTGCCACTCCAGTTATTCGGCAGAGTGTCCAGTAAAGGTCCACCACAATACCACCACACATCCGTTTGGGGATGAACAAGGGCTGACTGATTGATGAGCTCTTGAAAATTCTTAAGCTCACTGCATCCTTTCAGGTCTCCAAGGAACACTAAGTTTCCTCCCTGTCGTGAACTTAGTGTTGGGAGACGGAAGCTGGATGGCCCTTGGGGGCTGACCCGCAGGGTGCCGGACTTCGGGATATAGCAGAGAGAGAGCGTGGCATGACTTGTTACTCCAGGCTGTAGAATCCTGGGAAAGAGCTACCATGCAGCCCATGCCCGGTTGACTGGAGGACCACCCTAGTGGAAAGGGGACAGTCTGGGCCTCTGGCCTGCTGTGCGCACAAGCATAACAATTGCTTTTGTTTAACGTGTGAATGGAATATTTGATCCATTCCAACCAGGCATTTGCATCTTGGTATCCTGTCTTAATTGCCAAAGTTTGTTTTAAGTCTTTAACTTCTACGATAGCTATCTCAGTCGTGTCATTAGATGGAGAAGGAGCAATTGTTCCCTTGTGAGAAGTTTTGGAAGAAGGCTTAGAGGAAGGTGCAGGTGGCGGGGGATCAAAGAAACGCATTTCAAATAATCTAATAGGGTCTGTCCCTGAAACCTCAGCCCCCATAGAAGAAGGGAACTGGCTTAGAAAAGGGGGAGAACTTGAGGGTTTGAGATAATAACCTGTGTAGAATTACACTGGGTTAGCTGATGGGGGAGGGCTGTCCCTCTAGTAAAATGAATGTATGGTTTTAGGAAATTGCAAAAACCTGTTGGCAATTCATTCTTGCTCTTTAGTGGTCCGCAGAACATTGGACCAACTACATCATAAAAGCTTTACATTGGGGAGCAAGACTCCTGGTTGATACTGGGGTCTTTATCGAAATCTCCCCAGATTAAATGGTCCCAATTCACTAATGCCCAGTCTTAGGAGACTCAGGAGGGACAGAGGTACTTTTCTGAAGTAGAGAGCTGTCTTTGACTTGGTCAGTCCCCACAGGGTATAACAAGACAAGCATTAAATGCAATAGTTTGAGGCAAAATTGACTTGGTTATGTTAATAACTAGATGGTCAGCAATAGAGCGAGTAAAGAAAAAAGAGTAATAGAATAGATGAATGAAAGTTAAATTTCTTAGCTTTAGTTTGGTAGGGTTTTCCCCTGGGACTATGGCCCACGACTCTGGAGGGGGCGGCGCTTTCTTGACTCGGGTGTGATGAGTCCATCCGCTTTCCGCTGTATGAACAGCAGTCTCAGTGGTTAGCAGCACAAGGTAGGGTCCTTCCCAGGCTGGCTTGAGTTTTCCTTCTTTCCACCCTTTGATGAGAACATGATCCTCAGGCTGGTGCTATTTACCAGAAATTCTAGGGTTGGTACCTGTGCTAAAAGACTTAGTTTTGCGGGAAAGGAAAGTGGAAGATAAACCAAGTATATAATTTCTAAGAAACTGATCTTTTGTTTTAAATGTGGGGACATCAGCAGTGGACTTTATAGTCCTTGGTACCTTTTTACTGAGAAATTTCCTTTAGCACCTATTTTTATTAGTTTCTAGACCAAAGAAAGCCAAACACCATTTTATATTTGACAGTGCTTCCTGTATGACTTTTATACCAGATAAACTAAATTTCACCTTTATATTAATGTGTTATTAATGTTAAACTCAATTTTAATTAAACCTTGTTGACATAGTTATCCAATTTTAACATCTGACCATAAGGTAAGATTTTTATAGACTCTTTTTAACCTTTTATAATTTTTGTTAAAGAGCAGGTTAGTGCTTTAAGAAAGACCTGTTGTGCTTTTATTTTAATATCCAGTTCACGGAAAAACTGGATACCACTTTAACTTTAGCCAATATGTTTACACACGGAATTTCCTTTACAATGAATGTTTCAAAACTTGCTTAAACCTTTAAAACAAAATATATATTTTTAACCTTTTAATGTAGGTAGAAATCCACATTCTTATGCCTCCTTATAATCCTTTTACCAAAGTTTTATTTTACTTTCCTTATACACCTTGCACATAAACTGTTTCTTCAATAGTTTTACATTCAGGAGGCCTAATTACTTTTAAATTATACAATATTTCTTGCATAAATTCCCTTTTATAACTTTTTTTCATGACTTTTACAGACAATTCTTCGACATGCCTCAACTTTCTGACTTGTTGCAAACATCCCTTTGTTTTTTTTTTTGTTTTTTTTTTTTTGAGATGGAGTCTCCCTCTCGCCCAGGCTGGAGTGCAGTGGCACGATCTCGGCTCACTGCAAGCTCCGCCTCCCAGGTTCACGCCATTCTCCTGCCTCGGCCTCCTGAGCAGCTGGGACTACAGGCACCCGCTACCATGCCTGGCTAATTTTATTGTATTTTTAGTAGAGACAGGGTTTCACCATGTTAGCCAGGATGGTCTCGATCTCCTGACCTCGTGATCCGCCCACCTCGGCCTCCCAAAGTGCTGGGATTACAGGCGTGAGCCACTGCACCCGGCCACATCCCGTTCTTTAAACAACCAGTTAATTTATTTTAGGATAAGAATTCACCATATAACATTCCTTTTTACATAAATTCTCCCCCCCCCACCTTTTTTTTTCTCAAAAATGATAACCATGCTTTTCCAAAGTGAACTTCCTTCACGTAGGTGGACTAGACTGTCTAAGGCCACAAGATTAGAAGTTAGGATAATACATGTTACACTGTTAACTTTTAGCAAACTTTACTTTTGTTGAAAACCTTTTAAGTTTGGGATTTCAATTATTCTTTGCTATTAATAAGACCTCGTTCAGTCCATATTAACTTAGAATTGGTATAGATGGCTCTTTCCTGATTCAGTAAGCACTTTAAGGCTTGACTGAGTGCAAACAGCTCCCACGTCTGAGCAGACCAATTATTAGGCAATTTTCCTAACTCTGCTTCTTCAAGAGTTTCCTTATCACTTACTGAATACCCACTGTGTCTTTTTCCCTCAATCACCGGGGAGGAACCATCTATCGTCCTGTCCTGAAGGGAGTTCCTCCTAGGTCTGCTCGGACCTTTGTATGGTAATTAAGATTTAGATCCCCTGTTAGGAAACCTGCTGGGTTAAGGGAATTTTTAGTGGTTAATGTTAAATCATCTTTTTCTAACAGAATAGCTTTATATGTTAAGGTTCTTGAGTCACTAAGCTACCTTTTTGCTTTTTTTTTTTTTGGACTTAGGGTAGTTCTGATCTGATGAGGTGTGCTCACAATGAGGTTTCCTCTAAAAGTCTTTTTAGACTTTCTGCTTTCTTCTGTTAGCAAAGCAGTTGCCGCTACAGGTTGAATGCATTTGGGCCATCTGCGGGTTACTAGGTTAAAGATTTTTGATAGGAAGGCTACTGGTTGTCAGTGGCCTCAGTGCTTTCGGGCCTTGTTTACACTGACAACAAGGTGGTATTGGAGTGTTATAGGGTCAGGAGAAGACCTTCAATTATCAATTATAGGTTTTAAATTTACCCTGGATTTTAAAGGAATAGGGTACACTGTTTTCTCTTTACTATTTCTATCTCTCTCTCTTTCTTTCTCTCTTTGACTTTCTGTCTCTTTCTCTCTTTGACTCCCTCTTTGTGTCTCTCTTTCTCTCTCTCTGCCTCACTCTTTCTCTCTGTCTTTGACTCCATCTTTGTCTCCTCCTCTCTCTCTCTGCCTCTTTCTCTCTTTCTTTCCTCTCTCTCTCTCTTTCCCCCTTTCTCCTCTCTGCTAGTCTTTCCCTGCCTCTGCCAACCACTTATGCTACTGTTCTCCCCTCTCCTTCCCCTTCCCCTAGGGGAGGGACCAGCGGGAGTGGAGCTACTCTTTCTTCCTCTGAGAAGAAAGGAAAGGGGGGTTCTGAATATTTTTCTTACTACCAGAGATTTTTGTGAGGTTCAACCCCACACCATGGGGATTTCTCACCTCTTTTAGAGGTTCAACTCCCACTTCATGGGGATTACTCGCCTCTTTTTGAGGTTCAACGCACCCCATGGGGATTTCTCACCTCTTGTTGAAGTTCAACGCCCCCCCATGGGGATTTCTCCCCTGTTTTTGAGATTCAGCTCCCACCTCCTCATGGGGACTTCTCACCTCTTTTTAACCTCCAAGACATCCCGACTAAGGAATACTTCACCACCACTCCCCCGCCCCCGCGGCTTTCTTTCCCTAATCCCGACTAAGGAATGCTTTACCGCCCCTGCGGTTTCTTTCTCCTTAGTATGTCCTAACCAAGGAATGCTTTGCTGCGTGGTGTCTTTTTCCTTAGTCCGGACCACCAAGGAAATACCTTACTGCCTCCCGTGGCATCTCCTTCCTTGGTCTGTGCACAGAGTCGTTGCCACAGTATGTGAGGATCCTTTAAGCTAGGTTGCTGGTCAGTTTCTTTTTTCCCTCGCGTTGCTGAGAGCTCAGGTTATTCCTCGCACTGGGTGGGTCTTGATTTCTCACCCCTGAGGCTGCCACAAGGGGGTGGGGTGCACCTCCTCACGAAAGAGAACCAGAGACCGCCCCCAGAGGGGAACGTAATCCCAGAGCAGCCCCTAATTGTTATATGTAAAGTTTCAGTGCCACAAAAGGAATAGCACTTGAATATAAAATTTTCTTTTTAATTCTCAGCAAGGCATGGTACCTCTGTATAGAAGGATGTGCCCTTACAGATGGAACAATGGTGAGCACACACTTGGACAAGGGAGGGGAAAGCCTTCTTATCCCTGACACGTGTGGCCCCTGCTGCTATGTCATTCCCCTATTGGCTAGGGTTAGACAGCACAGGCTAAACTAATTCCAATTGGCTAATTTAAAGAGAGTGATGGGGTGAGTGGTTTGGGGGGAAAATGGCTATGACAGAGCAGGTAATCAGAATGAGTCAGGGTGGAGCAGGTAATGGGAATGAGTCGGGGTGGAGCAGGTAATCGGAATGAGTCAGGGTGGAGTAGGTAATCAAAAAAGGTTGCTTTAAGAGGAAGTTAAGTTTAAAAGTAGAAGGCAAAGAATTGAACATACTGACATACTGATTATTTGAAAAGAAATTTAGAATTTATATCTAACAATAAATAGACTCATGTCTCTTGGTTTTAATTCTGTGAAAGGAAATTGTACCATATCACCTGGACTTTTGACTTATGGGTTCTAAGATAATATATTCTTACATATATACATTCATTTTAGATATATTCATATATTCATTATATATTACTATATAATATATATGTATAAAAACATATATACACAGTCACATACAATTTTTTTATTGAGGTGAAATTCACTTAACATAAATTAGCCATTTTAAAGTATACAATTCAATGGGATTTAGTACATTGACAGTATTATGCAACCATTCCCTCTAAGTCAAAACATTTTCATCACTCCCAAATGAAACCCTGTTCAAGATACTATATTCTTAACTCAGCAGTTCTAAACCTTTTTGTCTCAGCACCTCTTTACGCTCTTAAAATTTATTAAGGACTTCAACAGCCTTTGTCTATGTGGATTCTATCTGTTTATGTTTTACAGTATTGGAAATTAAAACTAAAACAATTTTAAAGCTTTATTTATGAATTTATTAAATGACATTTTACATTTTTGTAAATCTCCTTAATGTCTGACTTAATGGAAGATGACTGGATAAATCATATCTTCTTTTTTTCTCAGGCTGGAGTGTTGTGCTGCAATCTTGGCTCACTGCAACCTCCACCTCCCAGCTGGGTTCAAGCAGTTGTCATGCCTCAGCCTCCTGGGTAGCAGGGATTACAGGCACCCGCCACCATGCCCAGCTAATTTTTGTATTTTTGGTAGAGATGGGGTTTCACCATGTTGGCCAGGCTGTCTCAAACTCCTGACCTCAGGTGATCCACCTGCCTCAGCCTCCCAAAGTGCTGGGATTATAGGCATGAGCCACTGCTCCAGGCCTCATATCTTCTTCTTCACTCAATCTATTGTCATACAAAAATCAGTCCTAGCATATGCATATAGTCGGAAAAGGAAGAAATATTTTTAGTAGCCTTTTCAGATAATTTTGGATATTCTTTTTTTAAAACTCTACCAACATTCAACAAGTGGTAATTTTTTAAAAAAATTATTACAATGTGAAAAAATAAAATCATGTTAGTGAATTGTTCACATGCAGTTACATTAAGATCTATTGACCTACCTTGTACTTTGAGTGGATCTTTTACTTATGCATGATTTTTTCTTAGCCTACATTGCTCATTTAGAAAATATTAGTAAACTGCGTTATGCAGATCTTCCAATGCAAACATATTACATCATATAACATCAAAAAATTACATTTGTTAATATCACCACTTATTTTAAAAAGTCATTAAATATTGGGAAGTTGTCATGCTCGTGGTGCAGATCCAGATTTTCTAAAATTATGACGTTTTCTTGAAAGCATAAATTTTATCATTGCAACAAATATTACTGTTTTCCTTAAAGTAGACACTCACTTGGTTCATTTCTGAGAAAGTGTCTGCCAAATACCCAAGTGTCAGTAACCATATTTTGTCTGTCAGTTATTCTTTTACGTTTACATGGTGTTTCATGAAAAAAGAGGTTCAGCTTGCAACTCAGTCGCACAACTGCTTTCCCTCAAGTCAACTTCAGTATGCAGCAGAGGTGCTTTATGCACCTTTCCTCCTTCGTTATTATATAAAAGGTGTGCTAAAGGGTCAGGATTAAATAAAATTAATAATTTTGCTCATTTATCAAGTAAAGCTAGGCTTTTTTTTTTTTTAATCTGTGAGTGTGTAGCAGTGAAGAATACAATGACTATTGGTATAACTTGGTACCACTGTCTAGATTCATGCGAAGCATCACAGTTCAACTTATCTTTTTTTTGCATCTCATGGAACCCCTGAAGGGTGTTGGAAACCTCCCCGTAGTTAATGGACCAACAGAGAACCACTGTCCTAAAGAAAATAAAAATCACAAAATAGCTTTGTATGGCCTAGAGAACATAATATCCTCATTCTAGCCACCTCTTAAAAGAAGCATGTCTGGGCCGGGTGCGGTGGCTCACGCCTGTAATCCCAGCACTTTGGGAGGCCAAGGCAGATGGATCACATGTATCTCCATTTTCTGGACTCAAATACAGACCATGCGCGGTGGCTCATGCGTGTAATCACAGCTCTTTGGGAGACCAATGCGGGAGGATCTTTTAAGGTCAGGAGTTTGAGACCAGCCTGGCCGACATGGCGAAACCCCGTCTCTACTAAAAATACAAAAATTAGCTGGGCATGGTGGTGCGTGCCTGTAATCTGGGGTGGGGCAGGGGAGGCGGCTGAGGCAGGAGGACCGCTTGAACCTGGGACGTGGAGGTTGCAGTGAGCCGAGATTGTACCACTGTACTCTGCACTCCAGCCTGGGCAACAGAGAGAGACTCCGTCTCAAAAAAAAGAAAAAAAAAAAAAAAAAAAAAAAGAGCATATCTGACTGTAAAGTACAAATCAGAGGGAAATTCCCTGTGAGTACATTCAGGTAACTTTACCTAATTCTATAGAAGTCGTCATTTACCTTCCTGAGAATTTGACAAATTCTGTTGAAGCAGAGCTAATGTGAAAATTGCCTTATGCAATGGCCGGGCGCGGTGGCTCACGCCTGTAATCCCAGCACTTTGGGAGGTCGAGGCGGGTGGATCATGAGGTCAAGAGATTGAGACCACCCTGGCTAACACGGTGAAACCCCGTCTCTACTAAAAATACAAAAAAAATTAGCTGGATGTGGTGGCAGGCACCTTTAGTCCCAGCTACTCGGGAGGCTGAGGCAGGAGAATGGCATGAACCTGGGAGGCGGAGCTTGCAGTGAGCCAAGATTGCGCCACTGCATGCCAGCCTGGGTGACAGAACGAGACTCCAACTCAAAAAAAAAAAAAAAAGAAAATTACCCCACGCAACCTACTGATGTCTAAGATTTTTTAATTCAGATGTCTCTGACATATTTCATTTGGTGACAACGTTCAGTGGGACATATTTTGTATTGGTTGTAAAAGTCTGGAGGTTTTTTTAATGAATTATTTGTAGAATTCCAATTTTTAAAAAGTTGTAGTTCTGCCTTGGAATCTTCTCAGAATTCCATACAGTTTTTACTATACAGAAGAACTCTTCCTTTATAATAGCGCTGCCTCAATTTTGTTCTACTTGAGAACCTAATTAAATAATTTGGAGTTTCAAGCTTAGAATTCTCATTTTAAGCCTCCTTTAAATTCTTGTTCTACAGCTGTGCTTGACATATTTGACCATAAGTTCTAATGTTAGGGTTCAGACCATGTATTCTTCTTTAATATTTACATTGGATAGCATAACTGTTAAATGGTATTTTAAAAAGCCAATTCCTTCTAAGCATACAATTCCGCAATGTCATTTTAACAATAACGTAGGTGATTTTTTTAATTTTTAAATTAAATTTTGTTATATTTTGTACAAGTATGTTACTCTTAATGGTGAATTCAAGTTTGACTTAAAACCAGTTCTTGGGAATAATTAGTATGGGAAGTTTAATTGACAGTAAGGTCAGCATGAAACAACAGATTGATCAATCTACCCTCAAAAGCTAGTGTAATTTTAATCTACATTAGCTGAATTATTTTATCTAGAAAAGAGAAAGACCAATTCTTTATAATATTATCAACAGTGGGTAGACATGATAGGAAAACAATATTCAGCCCATAATATTGCAAAGAGAAAAAAACATGAAGATTGGACTTGAATCATGGATCTGTTCTTTCTTAGCTAGGTGACAACCTTGCTAAGTATTCAATTCCTCCGAGCCTCAGTTTTTTCATCTTTCAAATTGGAGTAATAACTTCTCCCTCATAGAAAATGAATTTAATAGTATAACACATATTAAGAAATTAACACATTGCCTTAAACTTGATGAACATTCAATAAATAGGGTTAGTGTTAAAGTATAACTTTAAAAATATTTTTTAAACATGACTTTGTGAAAGTATAGTATAGAATAAACACGTCAAAGGTCTATGAGGCTACCAGTAGAAATAGAAAGTGGCTTCAAAAGAGGACAGCAGAGGCTTGTTTATATGTCCAATGAAAGACACAATGCTGAAAAAAGGTCACAAAGTTTGATTTAAAACTGGTTAATGTTCTGTAGGGCAATAAAACCTCAACTTTTGAGATTATCTTTTCTGCTGGACAGAAGTTATTTGCATCTCTACCAGACAAAAATAATTTGCAAACATACCAATTTTAACTTAGTTTGATATCTATCTTTGCAGAAGCTGAGTCTTCATTCATAGTAAATAGCGTAAGTTAAGCAAAACTTACATATCCCTAAAAAATTATATTCCCAGAAAGTAAGGACCTAAGCTGACAACATAGCTGCCCTGGGCAGGTGGGGGGCACAGGTAGAGGAATATAGAATTGCCAGTGTTGGTTAACTTGGATTTCAAAACCATGTGAGAATGAGGGTGAGACATGGGGACCACTTGTGGGGTGGAAGAAGTTGGAACTGAGACCCTACCTTAATCAGGGATCCTTGACAGGCCTCACCATCATTGAAAGGATGGACGAGATAAAAAATCTACTTTCTAGCACAGGGATTCAATAGGGAATTTATTTTTCTATCTCAGCCTGGCATCTGTAAGGAAATTTGTAACCACATTCAAATTCATTTTCGCAGTGTCACTCAGTGATACCTCTTGTATACTCACTCTGTGTGCACTTAACCTGTGTTATTTAGGATTTCCATAAGTGAAGTTCCTCTGCTGATAAGTCCAAAATTATAAACACACAAGGAAGTAACCCACCATTAGCTAGAGTGGTGGCAATAGCGGGAAGCAATGTGGGGGAATATCAAAACCCAAGAACTTCAAGAATAAAATCATAATAGAAAAATTCCATTGAGACCATAAAATAGTTATGTTTCAAAAATAAAAACAATAATAAGGGATTAAAACCAAAAGAACAGGCATATTTGAAAGAACCAACTAGAAGGTACAGAAATTTTTAAATATTGTTGAAATTAAAAACATAGCTGATGCAATAAATATCAGACTAACCAAAGTAGATGCAAGACTGAGCAAACAGGAAAATAACTTCAGACAATTTGCCAGAATGCAGTCCAGGGAAATAATGAAATAGAAAACACTTGAAGATACATGAAAGGCAGTATGAGAAGGTCCAAAATATGGCTATGGGAGCTCCAGGTGAGACTAGAGCAAATGGGAAGAGGTCATATTTGAAGAGAATGGCTGAGAATTTTCTAAAATTGAGAGACGTGAAATATCAGGTTCAGTATCACAGCCACTTCTGAAAAGAAAAATAAAGGTAAATAAGTCCACACAAATACTCATCCTAGAGAAGCTGCAGAATACTTCTTGTATACACAAAGGGAAAATCCATAAAGAACAACCCTTGAATAATAAATAAGAGCCAAACAGCCATGGCCTACATTGTGTGGGAAATAGCGAAGGAACATCCAGTCACTAGCCTTATCCTTGGCACCATAAATCCTGGTAACACTAGCAAGTTAAATGATGCAGACTTTCTTCTCTGCTGTGAAAGTAGTTTTACACCAACATCCCGTAGATGTGGGATTTACAACTGGACATTGTTTCTTGTACTTACGGTATCACCTCTGATTTTCAGCTTAATCACCTCCCATGGTGTGAATTTGGGAAGCGTAGCTTCCTTTCTTCCAGTTTTAGGTTTTGGACATAAAACCCAGGTAGTCACTGCTTGGCAGTCTCCTTAGGGACTCTGCTGGCTTTGTGGGCAGGAAATGAAGTCTGTTTACCTTAGGCATGCACTTGATTTTCATAAGGTGCTCCTTTGCTTCTCCTTTCTAGTATGAATGGGTACATGTATCTCCATTTTCTGGACTCAAATAGAGGCCATGCACGGTGGCTCATGCCTGTAATCCCAGCTCTTTGGGAGGCCAATGCGGGAGGATCACTTAAGGTCAAGAGTTCGCGACCAGCCTGGCCAACATGGCGAAACCCTGTCTCTACTAAAAAAATTGAAAAACTAGCTGAGTGTGGTGACGTGTGCCTGTAATCTCAGCTACCTGGGAGGCTGAAGCAGGAGAATGGCTTGAACCTGGGAGGCGGAGGTTGCAGTGAACAAACATTGTGTCACTACACTCCAGCCTGGGCAACAAAGCAAGACTCTATCTCAAAAAACAAACAAACAAACAAAAAACCAAAGAGTTCTGAAGCCATTCTTCACTTGAGAAGCATCACTGAGAATGCGTCATATGCCAGAACACCTCTCTCTTGGATCATTGCAAGAGAGTTAGGAAGGAATGAGAATGAGTCTGGCAGGAAGGATGCATTTTTAGAGATGAGGGCAAAACAGAAAATTACTCTGGTTCGAGTGTGTCATTTCTCTTTCTCATAATTTTTTGTTTCACTTTCAGTGCTGGGGACCAACAGGTCTCTTGATGTAGGGTTGTGGCCCCATACACCTTCTATTTCTGCTCAGGGAGTGGGCCTTAAATGTGTCTTTCCTGGGCCTTCATACAGTCCTCACTCTTTCCTTTGGTTTTTATTAACAAAAGGTGATTGTTTTCTTAGCTCTTTGGGGGTGACTCCTTCTCATCAGGTGTCACCATTTCTGATTTTTTTCCCTCTCCTTTCCTTAACATCCAACCAGGCAGTGCTTTGGTGTTTGTCAGATATAATGCTCTTCAGGTAATATCTTTCTTTAATTACTTTTCCCTTCTTTTTTTTTTTTAATTTCCCTGAAACAGACACACACACTGTTGCCTTGAACAATTGCTTCCTACCTCCCTCTCTCTGGGAACTGGATTAATTTTTTTGTCATTGCTTAATGGAAATGTCGACATTTCAATTTCTGCTGCATGTTCTACACAAAATTTAACTGGACAAGATAGGGAGAGAAGCTGGAGAAGGGAAAGTTCGTCATATGACATAAAAGCTTTTTTTTTTTTTTTCTTCCATAATGGCTTAGAGTGTGCCTTCCTTAAAAAGGGGGAAGCAGCTACTATGGCAACAGGTTCTATTTTCCTTAGGGGCTGTGGTGGCGCTGATAGAACTGGAGTCTGGAGAACATGAAACAATAGCCAGGAGCCCCAGGAGCCTGCAGCATGTTTTTTTTGTAGTAATTACTAGCCTTTTCCATGATTCAAAACTATGTGGTAAGTGGAACTGGGTAGGTTGGTGGTGGTTTTGTTTCTGAGTGATATAGACAGCAGGACCGTGAGTAAGGGACCCTCTCTACATCTCACAGAGAACCCGTACAGTGCGCGCCTGGCTGGGGAGACTGCTCTGCTCCAGCCCAGATATCCCTCCCTCTTCTCTTCACTTCCTGCCTTCCAGGCCTGGGGCTCCCTCCTGATAAACTTCAGTCTGTTCCACTAGCAAGTACCAGAGTGTGAGTCTCCCCTGGCAGGTCTTCCTAGAAATGCCACCTCCATTTCTTTCAGAGGTTTCCCTTCATTAAAGACCTCAGTGTCGGCCCCAAACATGCAGAAAAGGGGTGCTTGTTTGACTCTCCTAGAACAAGTTCTTATCAGAGGCAATCTTTTTCCTCCCCTAACTCAGAATGCTGATCCTCATAAAGCTTGAGCAACAGTGCTTGGTTCTGCTAATCACTGCTGGACCCATGCCGGTCACACAATTAAAAGTTGGCGTTTGGGACTTTGTGGCCTGGTTACACCCCTGTGCCTGTTGCGTCGCCCATCCGGGCTCTAGGGAGACAGAGACTCTTTCATTGCACAGCTCATGAAATACCAGAGGAGAAAGCTTGCTTTCTTACCAAAGCATTCTTCACTAATAACGTTCTCTGCATATACTCCAATCCTGCCTCTTTGAAACTTCTGTTTAAATTAGTTCTCCTCCTCCTTCTCCTTATCATTGTGCTTTGTACAGCCCTTGATAATTTTCAGTACTTTTTTCACCTCCCTTGCTTGCTTTGTCCTTACAGCATCCCAGTGCCTCTATGAAATAGACCAGGGAAGAGGCAGCACAATCCATTTTTGGTCTCTGTGGTAGCCACAAACGTTTATATAATGCCTCCCAAGTGCCATGGTGGAGTCTGGTGGAGTCTGCCCAGCTTCACAGGGGGGATCTGACATCTCCCAACTATTTTTCTTCCCCATGAAAATTTGTGAAAGATATATGGATTATAAACACAAGGATACCTTAATAGGTGTAGAGCTTTATTAAATTTTTAAAATGTAGAACTAAGGTGCCATCCTTGCCTGGTATGTCGTCTTCTTTACCTGTTCTTTTGATTTGCTTTGCTGCAGACTAATTGTGCCTGGGACCTTAAAAGTCACTGGATCAGTAGACATGGGAAAAAGTTCAATATCATTACTCTTCAAAGAAATGAAACTTTTAAAAGTCAGGAAACAACAGATGCTGGAGAGGATGTGGAGAAATAGGAACGATTTTACACTGTTGGTGGGAGTGTAAATTAGTTCAACCATTGTGGAAGACAGTGTGGCAATTCTTCAAGGATCCAGAGCTAGAAATACCATCTGACCCAGCAATCCCATTACTGGGTATATACCCAAAGGATTATAAATCATTCTACTGTAAAGACACATGCACACGTATGTTTATTGCAGCACTGTTCACAATAGCAAAGACTTGGAACCAACCCAAATGCCCATGAATGTTAGACTGGATAAAAAAAAAAATGTGGCACATATACACCATGGAATACTATGAAGCCATAAAAAAGAATAAGTTCATGTCCTTTGCAGGGACATGGATGAAGCTGGAAACCATTCTCAGCAAACTAAGAGAAGGAACAGAAAACCAAACACTGCATGTTCTCACTCGTAAGTGGGAGTTGAACAGTGAGAACATATGGGCACAGGGAGGGGCACAGCATACACCGGGACCTAACAGGGGGTAGGGGGAAGAGGAGGATAACCTTGGGAGAAATACCTAATGTAGATGACGGGTTGATGGGTGCAGCAAACGACCATGGCACATGTATACCTATGTAACCAGCACATTCTGCACGTGTATCCCAGAACTTAAAGTATAATAAAAATATATATATATACACACAATGGAATATTATTCAACCTTAGAAAAGGAGATCCTGCTATTTGTTACAACATGGATAGACCTAGAGAAAAAAAAAAAGAGAGAAATGAAACTTAAGATAAAAGCTTTCAAAATAGCAATACCTTATTTTGGTGCTAGTGAAAGCACCAAAAGGAAAAATAAAGGTCCTAGGGAAATGGGCATATTAAAATTTTCTAGGTGGGAATGTAAATTGACATAGATCTCATGGGTGACAGTTTGGTAATATCTATTAAAAATATTTATGCTGGCTAGGCACAGTGACTCACGCCTGTAATCCCAGCACTCTGGGAAGCCGAAGCAGGTGGATCATTTGAGGTCAGGAGTTTGAGACCAGCCTGACCAACATGGTGAAACCCCATCTCTACTAAAAATACAAAAATTACCCTGCAGGTAGTGGCACGCACCTGTAATCCCAGCTACCTGGGAGACAGAGGCAGGAGAATCGCTTGAGCCTGGGAGGCTGAGGTTGCAGTGAGCCGAGATCACACCACTGCACTCCAGTCTGGGCGAGAGAGTGAGAACCTGTCTCAAAAAAACAAAACAAAACAAAAAAAGTATGCCCTTTCATCCAGAAATTCTATTTCTATGAATTTATTCTAGGGAAAGAAAGATATATGCACATATTTGTGTACATAGAGATTCACTGCAATATTAGTGGAAACAATAAAATATTGGAAACAATCTGACTGTCCAATAACGGGAGATTTCTAAATTATCGAATACCCATACAGTGAAACACTGTGCCACCATAACAATGTTGAGTGAGACAATGAATGGTACTTGAAAAGTTCATAGTAATGCAGTAAAAAACAAGTTATAAAACTAGGTGTCTGCAGTATGATTCCAACTTGATTTGAAATATGAGTGTGTGTGTGTCTGAAAAAAACATGGAATGTGACACGTATACCTTAAAACATTGAATAACATTTAGTTATTTCTGGATGGTAGAATCACTGGTGATTTTTATTTTCTTTGTGCTTTGTATCAGTTATTCCACAGTAAATACTTTCATTTATCAGAAAATAAAAGAGAAAACATGTATCTTTTTTTCCCCCTAACGATAGCACTGAAAGAAAGAGTAAAGGGTAAGCTATTTAAAAATAGGCCTAATCGGCTGGGTGTGGTGGCTCATGCCTATAATCCCAGCACTTTGGGAGGCCAAGGTGGGCGGATCACCTGAGGTCGGGAGTTTGAGACCAGCTTGACCAACATGGAGAAACCCTGTCTCTACTAAAAATACAAAAAATTAGCTAGGCATGGTGGCACATGATTGTAATCCTAGCTACTCAGGAGGCTGAGGCAGGAGAATCGCTTGAACCCGGGAGGCGGAGGTTGTGTGAGCCAAGATTGCGCCATTGCACTCCAGCCTGGGCAACAAGAGCGAAGCTCCATCTCAAAAATAAATAAATAAATAAATAAATAAATAAATAAATAAATAAATATAAAAATAGGTCTAACCTAAAGACCAAACTGACATTAGCTAATGTCATTACATGATTCTGTCTTAACGAAGATAGAAGCATTTTATTGCGTAAGTTTTCTTCTGTGTGTGGGAATCATATGTGGGTGTATATATGTTTAAGGGGTATGCATCCGGGTAGACGTTTGTGTGTGGACATGTGTGTACAGGTATATAAGTACATGTGTCATAGCCTTGGTACAGGTCTCATAGCCTTGCAGCACTGTGTTCCTGGCGGGAGTGGCATCTGTCTGCATGTCTGAAAATGCCACGTGTGCATTCTGCTGATCACCAAGGTTCGTGGCTGTAGGCATCCTCTCTTCAGTGCGTCAGAAGTCTGAAGAACATGTAGCTGCACCGGGGCGTTATGGGAAAGTAACGTGTAGGATTTATTAACTCATTTCTTGAAGCCACTCACTGTTTGTTTTTAAGTACCAATTTTTATTTTCCATTGCCAAATAGAGAAGAGACTTTTTTTGGTGAGTACAAGTATGAGTGATTTTTTTTTTTGGTCATTTTTATAATGAACTATTTGAATCCTGACTTTTCGCAGAGTAGCAGGACTCCCTGAACTGTGTTTCTTCCTCTCCCCACAAGTTTACCAAGCCCAAAGGGTCTTTTTAAAGGGTGACTTTTTCTTTTGTTGTTTGTCTTGTTTCCCACCCTTACTTAATGATTACTTAGCTCTTTATATAATCCAGCTAAATGCTGGTACATAGCAACAGGATTGTGGTGTGGCTTTCTCCTTGATGTAAATTTCTGGAAGATGGCCTTCTGTATGGAAGACTGAGCAGTGGGATCTATTAGTGACATGTTTTTGGGAGGAGCTGCTTCCTAAATGGGTTGAGGCTGCAGAGATGGGCAGGAGGAGCAGCCAGAAGCCACAGGGTGTTCGCATCATTGTGCGGGTAACCACATGGTGGCAACGATTGCACAGCTTCCAGTTGTACTTAGCAGCTGTTGACACAGACTTCAGAATTCCCATGGAAAAGGAAGTGAACTCCTTTGGAATACAATGCATTGGGCTTTTTTTTTTTTTTTTTTTTTTTTGAGGTGATGTCTCAATCTGTCACCCAGGCTAGAGTGCAGTGGTGCAACGTCAGCTCATGGCAACCTCCGCCTCCCGGGTTCAGGCGATTCTCCTGCCTCAGCCTCCCGAGTAGCTGGGACTACAGGCACGTGGCACCACGCCCAGCTAATTTTTGTATTTTTAGTAGAGACAGGGTTTCTCCATGTTGGTCAGGCTGCTCTCGAACTCCTGACCTCAGGTGATCCACCCACCTCGGCCTTCCAAAGTGCTGGGATTACAGGCATGAGCCACTGCACCCAGCCTGGGCTTCATTTTAAAGCGGTCTCAGGCAGGCATTGCTGATGCTTGTGGTTGAAGATACAACTTATTATTGCCTAGGTGTATGAGGGTGTGATTTGTTGTCTGCCTCTAGGCTGTAGACTTCTGGACTGCACTGTTTGATTAATGGGCTCAGCTCACAGGTCTCTTCCCTAGAGAGGCCTTCCTGGCCTACCTAAGTTGGTCCTCTTAGGTTTTGTCATATACCTCTGTTTGATTTCTTCATGGCACTTCTGTAATCTGACATTTTTACTGATGTATCTGTGTGTTATTTGCCGTCGGAATGAAAGCAGGGATCTTGTCAGTCTCGTTCACTTCTTTATCCCAGTGCCCAGAAGGGTGCATGGCATCTCATAGGTGTTCAGTCGGTATTGGGTGTGAGCATACTTGGTGTGTTTAGGAACAGACAGAAGGCCAGGGTAGTTAGAGCTCTGTGAATAAGAGCATGGTGGTATGACATGAGGTTGGAGGGGTCAGTAGGCAGGGGCTGGATCGTATAGGCCACGATGAGGTGTTTAGATTTGCTCAAGGATCTGGTATTCATTAAGTGGTTTCATCTCTGTAGATTTATATACTCTCCAGATTGGTCTGCTAAAGTCAGTTACTGATGGCTTTTCTGCTGGGAATTGTGCATCATTCTGTCCTTGAAGTGCCACTGTAGCCTACACTGTATTTCTCCCCCTATCTCAGCTGCCATCAGCTTGGCCTTCTTCACCCACCTTTTCTGTTGAGCCAGGCAAAGCAAGATGACAGCAACTAAGATGTCAGGCTGTGATGCCTGCACAATAGAAAGCATTTTAGAACTTTGTCATTAAACACTTTGACTTCCCCTTTGAAAAATATCTGTTTAGGTTTGGGCTTTGTGAGTGACTCTTGCTGAGAGTGTGAATGTTGGGTGGATCAGGGACCCAGATCTCGACTTCACTCTGAATCGTTCGGTGTCTTTGTTACCAGACACGATCTGCTCTTCTCTGCCTAATGATAGTTGGTTTGCTCACCTTGGATCTCTGGTTTCTGTTGTCAACCCTGTATTTTAAAATTTGCTTTCATGGTAGCAGAATTCAATGAGTTTCCAGCTTTGTGCCACCTTTGAGGAGGATAAATCAGGTTTTGCTTTGCATGTGTTGAAGTAAGAACTTTATTGGCTTCATTCCCTGACAAATCTATTTTTGTGATTAAGGCAATAAATATAACAGAAGGGTTTGTGTGTTCACTCTAATCCTCACATGTACCACTATATATAAACACTGTTATTTTGTATGGATGAATAAATAAGAGGAACTGTTGTATCCCTTAGGCTTGAACTTACATTGAAATTTTAGGAGATAATGATTTAGTGCAGCAAGGAGCTAGGAGGTGTTGCCACAGAGTTTCAGGAGGAGAGGGATATAAAGGTGTAATCAATTCAGATTGTTTCTAACTTTTATGGATTGTGAAGATTTGTATTCCTTTTTCAGTGGATTCCATTCATTAGCGTTAGACATGTAAACATATGGAATGTGGATGTACTATACCAGTAATTTTCATGGATGTTAGAGCTCTAGGATGTTTTTCACCTTTTACCGTATGAATTGACCTCCAGAACTTTCCCATGGGGTCTCAGCTCTTGTACATGAAGAGCATAAACTTTTCTGGACACCATACATTACTGTTTTTTTTCTGTCTTCTAATCAAATATCCAAACATAATCTAAAAGTACCGTGACAGGACATATAGGTTTGTCAATTCCAGTCACTTTGGTAGACTGGCCCTTGAAATAAAGCTAACGTTTTCAACTTCAGCCTCCCAGTGTTTTTTCAGACTTATGGCAGGGAATGTAATTTTCTGTTTGCTTTTTGGGGTGAAAGTACATTCCATTTCAAAAATATGCCAGTCACATGAGTTATTTCCCTCATTTAAAAAATCCCCACAAAAGGAGATAGGTTACCTAGGGTGGGTATTTCATGAGTGTATGCTTCTTTATCAGTCTGTCCATCTCTCTGTAACATTTCCCATGAACCCTTCTGTGGATTTGGAATCTTAGTCCTTCCAGAAAGGATTATGGTCATGTCCATAGAAGCTGCAATGAGATTTACATCTCTTGGGAAGTGACAAGCTCTCAGCGCAAGCTCTCAGCGCTGGGTCCCAGAGCCACTGTTCCTGTTGGAGCTAAGCCACATGGCTAAGGGCCAGTCCCTTAACCTTTGATTTAGCTCCTTTTGTCCCTGTCCTTTCATCTGTAAAATGGTGCTAGTAATGTGGATCTGGTTTCAGAAGACTGCTGTTTATTTTAACTAATTAAAGATTGTTACAATGGTGAAATTCAATGGACTCTACAAATATTAATATTGGTGCTGATCATGGGTGGCTATTAGCTGGGTAGCAGGTAACTCGCACCTAGAAGCTCTTACCTGCTCTACGCCCCAGTTCAGGTTTGGCTAAGATTCTGTTCTTCCACCAGGCTTCCCAGTAGAGGTCTCCAGCACAATGACCAAGAGGAAAATGGGCAACAACTGCAGAAACCTATGAGGTTAACACAGATATATAGGCGCAAAGGCACAGGGCCTGACACATTTTAATTAAATATGAACAGTACTGTAATCTGGTTTGTACATGTCTTGAATTCTCTTATTGGGTTTTATGCTAGCTTGTAAAGTTCTTATCTCTTTTTGGTTTTTGTTTGTTTTTGTTTTTGTATTTTTTTTTTTAGACAGCGTCTTGCTCTCACCCAGGCTGGAGTGCAGTGGTGCGATCTCAGCTCACTGCAACCTCCATCTCCTGGGTTCAAGCCATTCTTCTGCCTCAGCTTCCCGAGTAGCTGGGACTACAGGCACACCACATTTTGTATTTTTAGTAGAGATGGGGTTTTGCCATGTTGGCCAGGCTGGTCTCAAACTCCTGGCCTCAAATGATCTGCCCACCTGAGCCTCCCAAAATGCTGGGATTACAGGTGCAAGCCGCCACACCCGGCCATATCTCTCTCTCTTTGAATGTTAAGCAACCTATGGAATTTCAGCATTTAGGTCTTAGTTGAGACCTTTCCGAGTCTACAGAGAGGATGACTAATACTGTTACCCCTCTGATCAGAATTTTCTAATTGCTTTTCATCTCACTCAGTCAAGAACAAAGCTTTTACAGTGGCCTGCAAAGTTTTCCAGGATTTGCCACCCTCAAGTCCATTATGTCTCTGACTTTTCCTGATACTTGCCCTCTTGCTCTCTGGGCTCCAGGTACACTGGCATTACCAGCATGCCACCCAGGTACTTACCCCGAGGTGTTTGTACCTGCTGTTTCCTCTGCCTGTAGCTCCCTTCCCAGATGTCCTCATGGCTTGGCAAGACATGCCTTCTCCATGAGATGTCCTTGACCACCAGTCTAAAGCTACAAACATTTCCTCTATACTCCCCATCCCTTTCATGCTGGCTGTTTCATCATAGCACCATATATTTTCTTTGCTTATCGCCTGTCCTACTCCAAAAGAATGTAAGCTTCTCTAAGGCAGGAAACTGGAGGAGTCTGTCTTGTTCACCAGTATATCTCCAGCACTTAAAGCAGTCCCTGGCACACAAGGGGTGCTAAAAAATAGTTGGTAATTGAAAAATAGATGTTGCAGTTTTGGCCTTTGTGCTGGGTCACCTTGCACTTTCTTCGTTGGGTAGAAAGTCCCAAAGCAATGTCTCCATGGCTTGCTTGACTTTGGGACAATGTTAGCTTAAAGGTAGTAGGTTGTGTGGTTGAAGGAAATGTCAGTAACAACAGGAACCGGCATTTGCAGCACTTGGTAACACCAGACTGGCATACACATGTGCAACTTTTAAACCTCCTCTATTTACCCTCTGGCATCTTTTTCTAGATGTGAGAACTAATCAATAAATCAATGATAATGAATGTGGAAGCATTTTATAAACTATAAAATGCTTTGCAAATGTTAATTACATTGGACTTTAGAATGAATTGTTATGTAATTTAAAATAGTTAAGTAATTTTCCAGGAAGAAAGGCTTTCTGAGTCAGCTTCTCTGCACGTCTTTTTATATGTGAATGCTGCTCTTCCCCATCTGCACCCTGTGGACTGGGACCAAGAATACAGCTACTAGCTGAAGCCTAAACTGTCCAGGATGAGATAGGTGAAAGCTAATCAGTTAACCCCTGGATCTAAGGAATGTGTTTTCCCTGTGCATGAGACTTCTCAAATCCCAGGTAGCTGAGACAATGTAGGGCAAATAAAATGCAGGTTGGCCTATTTAATCTCTAAATGACTAATTTTGGAAAACTAGGCAGCTTACAGCAAAAGTATCATTCTTCTTGGGTTCTAGTAATTCCCATGACCCAGATTAGTTTATTTACCAGTAGAGAAGCTTAGAGATTTTATACTGTTGGTGGACATAGATGACCCTAATATTCTTGTTTGCTTTCAAATTATCCTTGTAAAAATAATCAGGTTCTTCTTTGACCCATGATCTCCTTAAGGTTAGGCCATGTAGAAAAGAAGAGAAGCAAATGAGATAAAATAACAGGATATGTATTGTATCTCTCCCTCTGTCTGTCAGTCTCTCTCTCTCTCTGCCTCATACTAGAGCATTTAAGAGCAGTAGATTTGAAATCAGACTGCAGACTTTTTGGTCTCAAATTCTAGATATGTGACCTTAGACAGATTTCTGAATTTGTCTGAGCTCCAGCCTCTCCATTTGGGATATTAATGGAATTTCCCTCCTAGGGTTATTTTAAAGATCACATGAGATAATTGAGGGAGTGGTTATCCCTGGCTCACAGTAAGTTCTCAGCTCATGTTAGTTGCTGTTACTGTTGATGGAAATCCTAGTAATAATAAAAGACAGGCAGGAAATAAAGGAATTTCAGAAATGGATAAAGAAAAGGAGAGATAGGAGACACTGTCTTAGAGAGCTATTAAATGTACTGAAAGGATCCTGGTATAGTAGTGTGAGCTCATGCTATATTATACAATGCATATTAGGTAATGCATGTAATAATTATTAGACCTCGTAAATATTTTTTTGGCTGTTATACCTTCCAGATTGTCCAGGGAGAGACGCCTAGTGCATTATATGCTGTCTGTGTCAGGATGAGCTGCTGTGGCCAACCACGTCCCCCAACTGCCCCCAGCTTGGCAAAGGCTCTAAGACAGCAGTAGGTGACGTGTTTAACCCAGGTACCTAGTGCAGCTGAGCCTTGACACACTTAGAAGAAGGTGGCCTCCCACAGCATCCATGTGTTCCTTTGTTTTCCATTCAACACATGATACGCAAACTGCTAGGCACTGGCGTGTGGCAGTGAGGGAGGCTGATGACATACCTGTCCTCTTGGAGCTCTGCTAAGTAGGGGAGACAGAAAATGTCAATTCCATGAATGGTGGTATATTTATAATTCAGTAAGTACCAGAAAAGAGAATTGAAGAATTAGAATTATAGTAAGGGACCTGACCTAGAGTGAGGTGTCCAGAAAGACCACTTTGAGGAAGAGTGGCAAGGAGGACAGAGCCAAGTCAAGAGGGAGAGGGGCTACAGAGTGGCCCAGGAATGGGGATCAGCATTAGGAAGGAAGGAACTGAGGCCCAAAGAAAATTTTAGCTCAGAGGTGGGAGAGTACAGGGACTGGGTAGAGGAGGGCCTTGAGAGGTCAGCTGGATCCTGTAGGTCCTTTGCCAAGGGTTTTCTTTAAGAAAATATATTTTTGTTGTTACTGTAAAATACATATAATGTAAACTTTACTACCTTGACTATTTTTAAGTGTACAGTTCAGTGGTGGTGTATAGTCACCAACACCATCCATCTCCATAACTAATCTTGTAAAACCGAAGCTCTGTATCCATTAAACAAAAGCTCCCGATTCCCCTTTCATCTGGCCCCTGGCAACCATCTTTCTACTTTTCAACTCTGTGAATTTGACTACTTTAAGTACCTCATATCAGTAGAATCATACAACATTTGTCTGTCTGTGACTGGCTTATGTCACCTAACACAATATCCCCAAGATTCATCCATGTCATAGTATATGCTAGAATTCCCTTCCTGTTTAAGGCTGAATAATACTATATTGTTTGTACGTAACACATTTTGCTTATCTGTTCATCCATCAGTAGACATTTGGGTTGCTTCTGCATTTTAACTATTGTGAATAATACTACAATAAAAATGGGTGTACAAATACTTCTTTGAGATCCCATTTTCAATTATTTTACACATATACCCAGAAGTGAAATTGCTGGATCAATGGTAATTCTGAGTCTAATTTTTTGAGGAGCTACCATACTGGATGCTAAAGAGTTTCAACTTGAAATTTAGAACAGTCAGAAGCCTTTGGTAGATTTTAAATAGGGAATGGAGTTGAATTAGAGAAGATGAGTGGAAATAGAGCTAGTTACACCCTCAGATTTTAGAATACCTCTGCGTTAGATTGCAAGCTATATGCAAAGAGGTATCTTGTCTTTTTTTAAGACAAATCCTTTTTCCTTTTCTCTAAACAATTTTCAGTACCAAGTGGGCCTCTGTTAGTGGAGGTTAAAGTGGACCTAAGTAATACTGAGCAGTACTTAACATCTCAGCAGCCTTCTTTACCCATCTGAAATGTAGCCATGTGTTTCCCCAGAAGCAGAGAACACTTTGCTAGTTATTCACAGAGCTTTGACATCCTTGAATGAAAGCAGTACAGCCTGGATGAATGCATATATGGCCATAATTATCTCCTTTTTGGACTACAGAACCCATTTTGGCTATTTTTCCCTCCTTTTTAAAATTTCTCCTCCTCTCTCAATCTTACAGGGCTCACTCTTTCATTATTAGGAACCGGCTCTGACTGTGCCAGCCAGCTATAAATGGAATGCCATCATATTTAAGGGTAGTTCATCATTTTCATAGTTTTGTCAAGTGTGCAGCCATTTTCCGCTGCAAGAAAGAGGAAGAAACAGTGTTTAGTCCAGTATCACTCCCACAGGCATAAATGCTCTTTCTCTCTTTTGTTTTTACTTCTTCCAATTTAGTGATTTGTGAAGTGAATGAGGGAGAGGCCCTCTTTTTCCTATTATAACCACTGATTTTTCCCCTACGGTGACTTCATTTTGGGTTGAATTTTCTGAGGAAGAAGAATGCCTTTTTAGCGTAGGTTGGACTTGCCCTGGTGGTGTGGGAGCAGGAGAGAGCTGGGGTTGGGAGTATGGACTCTGCAGACTTCATTCCCCTCCTGACTTTGCCCGTCGTTAGCTGTGTAACCTCGAGCCAATTACTTACCTTCTCAGTGCTTCTCTTTCCTCATTTGTAAAGTGGTAGTGACAGTGGTACCTGCCTGCCTCAAAGGGTTCTCCTGTTAGGAGACACTGTGTAGAAGTACCCACCATAAGCATTCAATTAATTATTTCAGGCTTCCTGTCTGGCTTCTCACTAGATAACCATTCCCAGGAAGATGTTAAATGTGTTTGGTGAGCCAGGCCTCAGTCAGTACACAGAACGATGTATCTGACACCCTCATTCTGGTGCCACCATTGGGGCAGTCCTGCAAGCTGTGTTCATGGCCCTGACGGGTGTTCTCGACAGAGGCCTCCTCAGCGCTGTTTGGAGCAGTCCTGCCTCACCGAGTCCAGGTAGTATTCAGGCAACACAGAGTCTGACTTGGTAGAAAACATGCAGTGAGTGGCAGTGAGGATTCCCCCCGCCATCCTCTGTTATATACTAAGGATAGATTTAAGGCTGGTGAAAAGAACCAAATTAACAGCCCTGGAAACTAAACTTGTCTGGTTAGCCACAAAAAAGTGTTGTTCCAGCAGCTTCATTTCCAGCTAATCCTCTTCAGCCCTAGAGCTTGGAGCTTCTCTGAGAGGGTAGTAGAGAGAAGGGTGATATTGACTGCAGCTTAGTTACCCACCCACTTACCTATAATACTTTCAGAATTGGTCATCTCAGGCCTACCCCAGCACCTGCCTGTGTTCTGCAGAAGATGCATTCCAAGGTCATGATCCAGCCCCTAGTCCTAAGGTATTTGTGAACAGGGGAGCAGCTGGTGTAGAAATGTCCCATGGGATTGACCGTGACGTATCTCTTAGAGGAAAAAGCTTGGTATGGCCTCCAATGGTCAGTGGAGTGCTCAGAACTGTTCTTTGTAGGGTGGTGGGCTTTGTATGGTGGGGGAGAACTTGCTGGGCAGGCTAGGGGCATGATGTTGTTGGTGTCATGAAGGCAGAGTGAGTTTGGTGGCTTTGCTTTGGCTCCATGTGAGGCTCTCAGCCTGTTGTGCCAGAAGTACTTATAGGGAAGTGATAGAAAATAAGTACTATAGCCAGGTGTAGTGGCTTATGCCTGTAATTCCAGCACTTTGGGAGGCTGAGGCAGGTGGATCACCTGAGGTCAGGAGTTCGAGAGGAGCCTGGCCAATATGATGAAACCCCGTCTCTGCTAAAAATACAAAAGTTAGCCAGGCATGGTGGTATGCACCTGTAATCCCAGCTACTCCGGAGGCTGAGGTGGGAGAATTGCTTGAACCCAGGAGGCGGAGGTTGCAGTGAGCCAAGATCACGCCATTGCACTCCAGCCTGCACGACAAGAGTGAAACTTAATCTCAAAAACAACAACAACAACAAAAAACGAAAGAAAGAAAAGACGTACTATTATGATTTGGGGTTTTCTATAGATTCAAAGTATTTCATATTTTTTTTTTACACCAAAGAATGAAAAGAGGAGAAATACAAATAGGTAGGGTACAGAAGTCTTTGAAACATAAGTGGAGAAGATGCAACCTCTTGCCCCAAGCAGAAGCAGGCCACTAGGGGTTCCTGGGCAGGATACCAAGCGAAACTACCAACTAACAGTGTGGCTTTAAATTGGCAGTTGCTGCTACTGCTACCACTTTCATCAGCACTACCTCGACAGCCACCATGACAAGAGCAGATGTCATTTATTAAGCCATTATTTCATGCTAAGGGATTTACTTGCAGAATCATACTTAATCAGCCTTTCAAGTTTACAAGCTACAAGCTACATATTATTGCTCCCATTTTATATGTGAGGAAACAGGTTTAGAGAGGCCAGGTGACTTGCCTGCTGCCATCCAGCTGTTAATGTCTGTCTTATTCCAACTACTGTGCTATGATCTCCCTTAGCTTTATTGTCCAAATTTGCAAATTGGAGAGAATATTTGCACTTTATACCTCTATAGCAGTATTTCTCAAATAGTAGTTCACGGCATATAAGTGGCTCATGAAAACAATTTATTGGATAAAAATAGAATCGACAGGATAAGATGGGAATAGAAATATCAGAGTGTGTCATACTTACTATTCCTGAAAACTTTTGTTTCTGATATAGTGTGGGGGTGTGTGCCTGTCTGTTTATGTATGTGTGTATTGCTTGGTAAAATATACTTCCTACCTTGGGTCATTGTCAGAAAGTTTGAGCGCTACTATTATAGAGTTATTATATAGGTCAGATAAATGTAAAAAGTTGTTGTAGAGCTTTTTTAAAAAGTCTAAAATGCTCTGTAAGCCTAAGTTCCTGTTTAATATTGGAAGGTGAAGCAAACAAGGAAGGGATGGTGGATAAGTGGGATGAGCTGTTGCTCCACCCATCCAACCCATGGTACATTGTGAATCTGTCACTACATTGTATCCAGTGGAGCCAGTACTCCTCTTTGACATTTTTCAACATAACACTCTAGGCCTCAAGATGAAACTTATCTCCAAACCCTACAATAAGCTTATGTATTGTTGGAATACTTTAGGACCAGTCTGGTGTTTTAAAGTACTGCTTAGCACTTATAGAGCTCTGGCTCTCATTTAAACTCTAGGAAAACAGATGTGATCCCTATGACAGCCTGGGGGTCTCTGCCTTACAAGCCCTACAAGGGTTGGCTACTGCTATTCCCATCATAATGCTCCCTCTGCCACCATCCCCACCACCATCTTTATCTGGAAGTGATTTACCTCCTTCTGCCTCTCAAAGGACATCAGACCAAAACAGAGTCTCCATCTATTTCCTCTTAAAGCAAAGGTGGCAAGAGGCCCCTCTGCCAAGGCCATTTTCATGGAACATGCTCTTTCCTCATTGAATCCAGTTCATGCGGGAACTGCCTGAAACATGGGGTACCTATACCTCCCTACCCCCAACAACTGCCCTGAAGTCATGCCCCTCGGGAGATCCACTGCTTCTCAGTGGATGCAGCCATTCTGATGATCACAGAAGAAACTGGATCTCTCCCAAGTGAATATCACATGCAAAACTGTTTCTCTGCAGCAGCCAAAGGAAGCCTGTAGAATTGGCAGTTCTTTCAAAAGACGCCACAGCAGAGTAGTCCACGTGGATGTAGGGATCTGAAAAGCATGTGTCAAAGACTCCTTCACTGCAACATGAAGTGTACAAGAAGCTTCTCTGTGTAGATTTTAAGTCAAGACTCAACATGACATTCTGAGCCATGTGAGGAGGAACTCAGACAGCTCAATTTGACAAAAGAGCAGGTTCTCTGTGTTTTATAGACCTTGCTAATGAACGAGTCCCGTGGCCTCTGCTGGACCGGCTCCGCAGTGCTCTGCCAGCCTGTTTCCCATGCATCTGTAAATTCATCGAGCTATAATGGATGGCTGGTGCCTGCAGAGGCTGACGTCTAGGCCTTTCTGTCCGGGATACATAGAGATCTCAAGCCATTAATAATTCATTCTGGAGTAATGAACATAGCTGTACCAAGTTGTGAGCAGTAATAATCAAGTGATGGATCAATTTATTACTTCAGTGTGCCGAAAGATAATGGTCATTAATAATGAAAGGTGTAACTCTTCCCACCCAAAAAAAAGTTTCCTAAGACTTAGATCAATGTGTCTTTTAAGTTCTAAAATAACATGGATCATTAAAAGGGAAATGAATTATGCTGGGTAACCTCAAGCTTATTTATATTCAGAGTTGCTAATCCAGAATTAATATACCTTTTTTCCAAATGCCTTTGGGCACTGGGGCCTGCAAATCAGAGTAATTATTACTCATTAATTAAGTCTAAGAAATGGAACATAGCTGAAGACTTTGATAAGGGAGGTTGGGATAGTTGAGATACATTCCCCAAAAATCATTTGAAGTTTAATGAGTAAGTAGCTGGGTTGGGAATAATTGTTTTAGGCCTACTCAGAAACTCTCCTCATCTTTTATTGCCTTAGTGAAAGCTCATTGTGCACCTCCTGTGCCAAGCAGTGTGCTTAGCACTGGTGCTACCAAATAAAATACCATACTTCCTCTTCTCAGGCCTTGGTAGGGATGACAACACTGTGTAATAAATGCAGGAGCAGGCCAACACTTCTGCCTTCACTGGGTATAGAGGATTGGAGAAAGGTGAAAGGAAAGTACAGAAAGGAATGGGCCATTTGAGCTGAGCCTTGCATATTAACAGTTTGCCAAGCAAAGAAAGCAGCAGAAGAACATTTCAGGCAGAGGAATGATATGGACAAAGGCAGAGAGGTGTGGAAGTGGAATGAGAGTGAAAAGTGAATTAGTATGATAATTACCACATATCCCATGCATTCTCACATTTAATCTGTACAACATTCACATGAAGTAGGTATGTTATTCACCCAACTTCTTCTTTTTTTTGAAGATGAGGAACCCAAAGCTTAGAAAGATTGAGTCACTCTGCCCAGACACCCAGAGCTGGGAGGTGGCACAGGCAGGCCTAGTGGTGATTTGAGGAAAGGTATGCTGTTTTATAAGAGTTCAGTCTTTGTGTTAAAAATAGTCGGGCAGGCCAGGCACAGTGGCTCACGCCTATAATTCCAGCACTTTGGGAGGCCAAGCTGGGAGAATCACTTGAGACCAGGAGTTCAAGACCAGCCTAGGCAACATAGCAAGACTCTGTCTCTACGGAAAAATTTAAAAACTAGCCAGGTGTGGTGGCGCATGCCTGTAGTCCTAGCTACTCAGGAGGCTGAGGCAGAAAGCTCTCTTGAGCCCAGGAGTGTGAGGGTGCAGTGATCTATGATCATGCCACTGCACTCCAGCCTGGATGACAGAGAAAGGCCTTGATCACACACCGGGGACTGTTGTGGGGTGGGGAGAGGGGGGAGGGATAGCATTAGGAGATACACCTAATGCTAAATGACGAGTTAATGGGTGCAGCACACCAGCATGGCACATGTATACATATGTAACAAACCTGCACATTGTGCACATGTACCCTAAAACTTAAAAGTATAATAATAAAAAAAAAAAAAGAAAGAAGAAAGAAAAACAGTGGGGCCCACTACAGGTTTACAGTCGTCATTATCAGAACAATTAAACAATAAAAGCACTGCTAAACATTCACATGTGCCATGCCATTGTGTTCTCCCCAGGGGAGGTGTGAGAGCTGAGTTTTAGGTGGAACTGCTGATAGCAGGGAGGATAAAGCTGAAATTAGAGGTTCTTGGGTCAGGAACCCTAGTTAGGAGGCTGTTACTTTAGTCAGATGTAGTGTGGAGAAGCCTGACGGGGAAAAATGATCATCATCCAAACCGTGTATTTTTATATTGGTCTACAATTTGAAGGTACTTTCATAAAAAAATAGCTTGTTGATTCACTTGCACACGGGACTTTTGTGACAAGAGGCTAAGTTTAATGACTTAGCTCTTTTGGGAGGGGAAGTATAAGGACATAGAATTTCCTTGCCACACAGAGGAGCTGATGTTGAAAGTAGTGATGTTAAAAGCAGCTTGTAAATATGCATACTTGCTGATTGACTGAGGCACAGAACCGAAGTCTCTCCCCCTTGCCAGGTCAGAATTTGACCATCTGCATTAACTTTGTCAAACTGGAAATGTGATGTAATTCTGGGTAGAATGGAAAACATAAGTAAAACCAGGAGACTCAGCAAGAACTAAGAAAATGTTTGTAAAATATTCTTTATGTGGACCAGAAACAGGCCACTCTCCCTGCTGCAGGTGTTGCTTAGCAATCAAAAAGCAAATCCTCTTTCTAACTGGGCTGTGCCACAGTTAAAGTTTCATAAACCTAACCATGCTCTGCCCACCTTTAGAGGAGGAAGTTAAACTCAGCCCTAAAAAAATTATAGAAAAGTACACATCTGCTAATAAAATTGGTTGATATGGTATTTCAATAAAGGCTCAGTTTAAAAACCAGCGCTTAAGGCAGTATAATCTCTTTTCTTCCTTAAAAAAAAAAAAAGTGGACCAGAGAAACAGTGAGAAACACTGCAGGCATTTATAGAATTGTGTGAAAAAATACTCCATATAAATAGCACTAAATGCTAGGGAGGTAGGTCTGTGCAAACTGCCTATCTCTACCCAATTTGTCTCTAGTTTCAAGTTAGTAATGAATAGCTTCCTTCTTGTAACAGGTGATTTAGGGAAGCTCTTGATATTGTCTCAACAAAACTGAATGGCATTAACTTTTAACTTATTTGTTGCCAAGTAGATGATTTATATGTTTTTATACATGGGGCCAGCAAGTGAACAATCGAGTTTTATAGCTAGGTCCTGGTGGCCTGGGTATGGAGTTCAGATACATCTTTTGAGTAGTTGTTTATTCAAAAATATGCCTACGTCTTTAGCAAATTACTCACAGGGTCAGCGACTGTTGACCCTGTGTGTTTGTTAGACTTTGAGTGTAAGTGACAATATAAACACAGCCATATAGATGAATATACACTAGTGCATTTTTATTTCTGTTTATGCCCTGTTTCACTTAATGTGAGCCATATGTTTAATCTGATCGGCCTTTAATACTTTACATCTAAAGTGCTGAATTTCCTTACTTGGTTTTAAATATCCAGATCTGCCCATTTAAAAAATTATGTCTATTTAATGCTTATGTTTGCAAATGTATTAAAGCCATCAAGAGGTTTTACATTTGCCATGGAGAAAAATGCTAACGATTGCAGTTTAAGCAGCTGCCAAGTACATAAATTGTAATTAAGAGGGATTAGCAGTTACCTGGACTTGCAAAACAGGGATTCAGATGTTCAAAGGTTAGTAATTTGGCAGATAGTTGCTTTGGTTGGTTGGTTGTTCTAGGCAAAATGGAAATGATAAAGCGTGTCATATCCTGAAATAGCAAAATAGCCTGGATGCTGAAGATTTCTGAAATGTGGTAGATTTTCTGACTCCTGTGGCATCTGACGATGACCCAAGTTCTGGCTCCTACAGATGAGGAGTCTATAAATAGGAAGATAGGAAGGATACAGGGTGGTTGGTATCTCTGTGTACACGATTTGTCTCATTGGTACCTTTTCTTTTCCTTCCTCCCAGTGTTGCTAACAACCACAAGCAGAATTTGATGACGGTGGCAAACCTTGGTGTGGTGTTTGGACCCACTCTGCTGAGGCCTCAGGAAGAAACAGTAGCAGCCATCATGGACATCAAATTTCAGAACATTGTCATTGAGATCCTAATAGAAAACCACGAAAAGGTAATATGTAATTGATCACTTGCAGTGAAGAATGTACCTGGGGGGAAGCTGCATTGGAATTGACCTTCAGAGTTGGCTCAGATTTGCATTGCTAATCACTCTTACACTGTCATGACGATGAAGTTGCTGGTGGTGGTAGTGATGGTGGTGATGATAATGTAAGGTTGGTGGTAAAGGTGTCAACCGTGGTAGTTACAATGACAACAGCCATGGTTATGGTGGTGGCAGTGGTGGGTAAAATTGATTGAGCATTATGTGCCAGGAACTGTGTTAAATACTTTATATGTATATTGTTATTTTATCCTCACAACAATTCAATGAAGGAAGTACTCTTATGAACCTCATTTTGGAAACATGCTTTGCCCATTTCTTACTTGATTGTTTTCTTATGAATTTATGAGTTTTTTAAATTTTAGGGATATTAAACTTTCTTCATTTGTGTTGCAAATATTTTGACCTATAGTTTGTCTTTCAGTTTTATAAATGGTGTTGTATTTTTTGTACCGTTTGTGTGCGCGTGTCTTTATGGTCTGTCTTTTCTTTTGGGGAATTGGGGTTCCTAGTCTTTCTTTCGAAGGTTTTCCTCATCCCCCAATTTGAAGAATATTAACGCAGAGCTGCCCTTGTAAAACTGGGGAGGGGACATAAAGCTGCAGTCCTCTCACCCACTTCATTGCTCTTATGAGCAAATCCATATGAAGCTTCTCAGAACTTGTGCAGGGTTCCCTAAAGCACCATTTGGCAGCAACAAATCTGGAATCTAATAAAAAATGCTGTTTCTCTTAAATAAAAACTTTGCCTAGAATGGCAAATTAATCATGCACAATAAATCCAGAATCTGACCATGCCTCACCACGTACACTGATAATGTTGTAAGCCACCACTACCTCTTGTCTGACTTTTTACAAGAGCCTCCTAATTTGTTTCTTTCTTGTACCCTTGGCCTGACAATTCTGATACCAGCCACCAGAATGAGATTTTTTTTAATGTTAAGCCAGATGGTATCAGTTTTCTCCTAAGAATTATCCAGTGGCTTCCCATTTCATACATTTGCCCACATAGTCTCTGTCCTTTTACTGTTACTACCTGATCTCGTCTCCTGCATCTCTCCTATAGCCATCTTGTTTCTGCCTTGCTGTTTCTTGGACACCACAGGCACATTCCTACTTCAAGGCCTTCGCAGTTGCTGTTCCCAGTGGTTGGAACACTGTTCTTCCATAAAACCACATGGCATACTTCTCCCTTCCTTCAAGTGTACTAAGTGAAGCCTACCTAGATCTCTCTGTTTAAAATTATAATCCCAACTTCCTGCATTCCCTTTTCCTTTTATTCCACTTAGTCTGTTTTCATATCAAAAGACAAAATCACAACAAGTTTAGTTTAAAGATGTTAATTGACTTTTATTTGCGATTCTAGAATTGGGCAACACCTCATTCTGTAAAATAGAATGAATATTCCAGGAGCTGAGCAGAGGAGGTTGGCTTTATAGACAGAAAAGGGCTAAAGAAGAGAACAAAAAGCAGATTAATTGTTTTGAAGTTACTTTCCTTGTAAAAGTTAAAGCAGAGGGGACTTCCTTCAGTGCTGACTAAAACTGGCCTGTTTGGGGATTTGCCTGTTATCTCTCCCCTCATTTATTGGAAGGTCAGACAAACAACTTATTTTTGGCTTGATGGCATAGAACTTCAGCAGAAGTAACTGCATTTTGATTTGGTCTCTTGAGCCTAGGGCAGGAGCTCAGTCCAAACCAGTGGCCTCCTATCAATTTTATTTAACACATAGGACTTCACAAATTATAGGGCATGTAATAAAATTTACTTACTGATTAGATCCATTGGCTTTCTGACCTCTTCAAGCATGTGTGCTTCAGGAAAGCAGGGACGTTGTGTTTTGTTCCTCAGTAGGCACTAGTACATTGGTTTTGGGTGAATGTGACAGCCAGCCTCCAAAATGGCTCCCAGTGATCCTGTCCACCAGTGTTCATTCCCTTGTGTAGCCCCCTCCACCTCTGAATAGAGCTAGCCTATGTGATCAATAGAATATTGCCAAAGTCATGGTATTTGACTTCTGAGAACAGAACATGTACATTACTCTGGGAAGGTCATCCTTCATATTCATAGGGTTTGTCGTCTTTGTGAGAGCAATTGGAATAAGCCATCTTGACTCCTTTTTCACTGTAGCTTCAGGCCTAGCCTGGTATGAAGTAAGGAGATGCTCCCTCAGTCTTTTTTGGAAGTCTGTGGTGTTCAACTCACAGCAATTCTAAGCATCCGTGGCTGTGCTCTGGCCTCTGGCTTTCTGGAGATAACACTTTGTATAAACTCCCTGCCAATAGAACTTAACTTTAACCATCAAATCCAGAGCAATTTTATGTCCTCAGAAGGATGTTGTCGGAGACTTACTCTTTAAAATCCACAATGTTGGCCAGGCACAGTGGTTCACACCCGTAATCCCAGTGTTTTGGGAGGCTAAGGTGGGAGGATCATTTGAAGCCAAGAGTTTGAAACCAGCCTGGGCAAAATAGCAAGACCCCCATCTCTACAAAAAATAAAAATGAAAAATCAGCTGGATATGGTGGCACATGCCTAAAGCCCTAGCTATGGGAGGCTGAGGTGGGAGGATCACTTGAGCCCAGGAGTTCAAGGTTACAGTGAGCTATGATTGCACCACTGCACTCCAACCTGGGTGACAGTGAGATCCTGCATCTAAAATAAATAAATAAAATGTTTTAGAACATAAAACTTCATAGTATTTAAGGTCTTAGTTAATACTTACCAACCATTTCCTTAGACTTGGCTTTAATTTTCTGTAATAGAAACACACACACACACACACAAACACACAATGTCTAGGGGTGACTCTTCTTCTGTCTAGTCTTAGTGTCAAAAGTTAGACAAAATCCTGAAACCCTATTTGAAGAAATGCTTTCCAGCAGCACCTTTTCATGTGAAACAAGTTTGCTTGAAACAAGCCCTACTACAGGGCTAAAGTATATACCCCCCATAGCGACTAGCACAGTATTCTCTCATGTTGTTAACATCTTATATAAGGTATTTACTTTGTGCTTCGGAATAATCATTAGGAGGGCTCTAGGAATAAATGGAACATAGCACTGAAAAGAAGGTGTGGAAACCTAGGCATCTAGCCATTGGAGCCACTCCATTGACGGAGAGACGAAGAGAGCCATGAGATGTTTTAATTTTCTATTGCTATATAGCAAATCATCTCCAAACCTAGTGACTTAAAATAGCAATTATTTTATTACTCTCAATTCTGTGAGTCAGAAATTTGAGAAGGGCTTATGTGTGCCCCTTGTGGTATCAGCTGGGTTGGTTTGACTGGGACTGGAGGGTCCAAGGTGGCCTCACTCCACACAGCTGGGACTTTGGTACTAGGTGTTGACCAGAATGCCTTGATCCTCTGCCACAAGACCCCCCTCTTTCCAGGTGCTGTCCCATCATTCAGGAGTCCAGCCCCAAGTTCCAAGAGGGCAAACACAGAAGCAGCAAGGGCTGTTAAGGCTTAGGCCTGGAGCAAAGTATCATTTCTGTCACATTCTGTTGGCCAAAGCAAGTCACAAGTCCAGCCAGATTCAAGGCAGGGGGAGCTAGATGCCACCTCTGGGTGGGAGGAGCAGTGTGTGCACACAGGCGTGGGAGGATTGTTGACCGTTATCTCTGCAGGGGATCTATGGTACCCAGCAAGTTTGCATTTAGTTCCCTTTAGGAATGACTCTGCTTTCTTATCAGTGGTTTGTGCTGAGCATGGGTAGCAACCCAGTGTTTTTATGGAGAGTGCTTTTCCGCCTCCTCTCTGCATTGCCATTTTTTATTCAACCAGGAGCCTCAGGCATCTGGTGGTAGTGACAATTTCAGCCCTTAAATGCCCTTTGTGAGCCTTGGTATGGAGAACCAACTCATAAATATCTAAAATTGGAAAAACATTTTTAAGATTGGCATTAAAGAAAAAGGAAAGAGAAGTGGGTAATTCAGTTTCTTTAACCTGGTAAAACACCTCTTTTTCAATAGAAGGTAAGAGACCTCTGTGTTCTAACTAGCTAAGGCATACAATCTTTTCTCTCTTTGCCTACCTGTCTTTCTGTTGTTTTCCAAGGGTTAACATTAGACATTCAGCTGAGGGTTAATAGTGAACATGATCTCCTTTATTTTGTCACTCACACCCACACATCCTCAAGATAGTACCTGCAAGTCTAGAAACACCCTCTCCCCCCAACCCAGAGAATCCATCTATATCTTCCTCCTGGGAGCCATAGTGATGTGTTTCACACACAACTTGTGTTTGGTCAGATAGAGTGCACTAACGACATGCTTACCCTGTCACAATGGTCCAGAACTTCTGTCCTCCACCTCTCTCACGGACCTGGGAGGGAAGCAGTGTTTGGCACAATTCTGGGAAATAAATATCCTAGATTAGGAGGAGACAGAGAGGAAAACAGCTAGGAGATATGATATTATGTTTGGGGGCTCATGGAAATTTTTCTTTTTCCATGTTGGTAATACATACTGATTGTTTACTCAATTAAAATTAATGAATCCTTTAAATGAATACAGTCCAGAAATAATAATGATGATAGTAATAGCTAACTTTTACTTACAGCTTATTGTTTACAAGATATTGTGCTAAGCAGCTTTATATCCATCATTCAATTTTCACAGCAACCCTATAAAATTGATATTTTTAGCTCTGTTTTTACAAATTATAAGCCTGAAGTGCAGACACTTTAAGAAGCAGCTGATTAGGAGAGGAACAGGGGTTGAACTTAGTACTACTCTCAGAACCCAAGCTATTAAAATCTACTCTAGTTAATCTCTTTTCAGTGCAGTAAGCATTTTATTGAATATCTACCATTAGCCAAAGATAAGTAAAATAGGTCCTTCATTTTTCAAGGCACTCCCATTTTATCAAGATAGAACTAACTATAATACAGTGTGCTAAATGACCTCCAGTAAGATGAATAAAGTGTTATGGCATCACTGAGGATAAATAATTTAATTCTACTGGCATTGGGCTCTGACAGATCAATGGAAGTTTTCTAGGCAGAGAAAGAGTAGAGATAGGAGGGACAGCCACTCAGAGGAGCAGCATTAATCAAGTTGTTTGTATTAAAATGGCATGGTTGTGAAAGACTGTGGGTTGTTAGCAAGTAGTGGGTGATGATGCCAGAGAGTTGGATTCAGTCCATTTGCTAAGGGTCCTGAAAACTATAGGAAAAGGTTTTGAACTGACTTCTGAAAACTGGGAGCTCTCAGAAGTTTCCAAGTGGAGGCTAAAATGATTATGTCAGCACTTTAGAAAGACATCCTTGGAAGCTGAACCAAATAGTACTTTGATTGCTGACATCAAAATCACACATTAAACAAATAACACAATAGAGTTAACCATACTGTTCTAAACTTGCAGCTCAGATAGTGTCACCTTTGACCTACAGGCTTTGCTTGGAGGTTAGAGAGAGATTCTTAATTTGTTTCTTTTTGCCAGACTTCCTAAGGGGAAATACTAGCTCATAGCATCATTTCCTATTAGTGACTCCTTACCGTGGACTCTCCTTGAATTATATGAGAACTAAAGAGTAGATTTGATGGTGTAGCTCTTTTTAGCTACAGTCAAGTTTCTGAGTTGAAAGCTCAGATGGCAAAGATTTTGGCTCTTCCCACGCTATGTTAAGGTAGCAGTCAGTTATGCAAAATTACCATTTCCGTATGAACAGAATCTTTTCTCCAAACTCACACCTTATCACACTGAGTCTTAAAACATAAAGTAGGCAAAAACTTAAGGTTATGGTTAAAGCAACCAATATTTTTATGCTTCCAGCTAAGATTTTCAAACAAAATATTGAATGCTGTCATGGTCCAAGATCTCAAAGCCCAGAAATTATATTTATTACAAGGTTTTCCCTTTACTTAGTGTTTTAAACGCTTACTTGCTAATGACTATGACAATTTTAGATGTTTAAGAAGGACAACCATATCAAGAAAACAAACTGCTTGCTTTTCATAGTTTTGGTTCAACATGAAATTTCAGGCTACTTAGTGTATGTGTGTGTGTGTCCCCTTGCTATTAAATTCCAACACATAATAGTAGGATTGCACTTGTTCTGTAACAATCCATGCTGTGTCTTGTGGCTGTGGCACTCGAAACGGTTTCTGTACATGGAGCAGGATATGTGTGTGTTCATGTGTTATGTACCACAGGCTTTTGCCAGCATTGCCTCTTTTGATGCCTATTAATGTTTGACAAAATAAGTTATAATAATTCCTTCCCTAGTCCATCAGTTAGCTTTGGAAGAGGTGGGAGTGTTGATCATTGAGCTGTTAATTCTCAGAAATCCCCAAAGATCGGTGCCCCTTTTTAATGTGTTAACTTTCAACCTCAGATGTCAAGGAGAGGAGCTAGCAATCATGGATGACCCCCACTTAACACCTGGACTAAGCACTAAATCCTAAGCAACCTCGCATTCCCAATAAAATGCTAGTGACTTACAATGTAGTTAGCTCAATTTGAGTTGATTTGGGCCACCAATCTGCCTTGATCTGCTTTTACCAAAATATTGGTGACATTGAAATCCATTGGACTAGTTCTGGACTTTGTGCACAAAATGTACATTAGTTAATATAGTTGGTTTGGCAACTGACAGGTGTTTAGAAGTCGCATTTTATTTCTTTGATATTTCAAACAGTTGTTGATATGCAAAATTAATAAAAAGGTATGACTGGATGCTTCACTATGTTGAAATAGTCATTGGTACTCTTGCCTGCTCAGGAAGCTAATCTTGTCCTGTGGTCATGGCTTTTGTAATTTGTTCATCAATTTTTATTTTTAAATTTTTTGTTGACTTCCCTTCCAATGGTTCTTGCTTGTACTCTTTTTGTTCCTCTCCTTGTTAGGGTTCAGAAGCAAGCTAGATTTACTTGGGTGTTGAGCTAGAATGCTTCTGCCACAGGGCTATTTTCTTTTTTTAGTGACAAGTGCTGTGTAAGATACTCTTCATTAATGTGATAAGGTAGGTTGTGCATTTGAACACATATATTCCCCCCAATAAATCCCAGATAAACCAATAATTGTTTGAATTGTGAAGCTCCTTTAATATTACTCAAATAAAGGTGGAGATTGTTGTTGTATTTTAATCTATCCATCTTTGTCAGCAAAGAGAACAGGAAATAGAATCTTTCTGGAGATATGGAAAATCACAGCTCTCCATGGATTACCCAAGCTGTCTATATATACCCTCAGTTACTAATGTAATTGGTTCCTTTTGAGAGATTTTTAATACAACTACCCAAACTACTTTCTAAATTGTTGATCCCTCTGCCAAAATGCTGATATCAACAGGACATAGGACTTCCAACTGTCCTTAAAAAACCTCTGCAGTTACAGCCTCTGAATTTGGCTTCTTAACAGTTACAATACATAAGCCCTGCTAAGACTTGCCTGGCTTCCACTGTGAAGGTGCTGGGTTTATGGCTTCTCTGAGAGCACCACGCAGTCCTCGGTCCCATTGTCTGTCATGAGAAGGAGTGAGCTGTGCTCAACTGTTGTAGGTCTACTTTCCTAATGCGTCAAACAAACCAATCCCACATTACTAGGGACCCTGGTACATTTGTGTCTCGAGAAAATGCTCAGTCTCATTTCTCGTATAAACCTTTCTGTTTTGCTTTGTAATCCCCAGGCCTCTGCTGTTGATTTATTGTCTCAGAGCTACTTTGCAGTTGTAGACTAGGAGCTCTTCGTCATGACCTAATTTCCCTCCCATAAAAATCACAGCACATAATAAAGAGTACACCACACACATTACAGGGAGACTCCTAATCCTTTTAAATTGCAGGCGCATGTGACAGATGGGATTGAAGAAGGTCTAAAAATGTGTATGTGACATGGATAAGAACAGATTCCACAAGTGTCAATGCTCTGCAATGTCAAGATGGGCCAGAGGGGGAATCAGTGAAATTTAAATTTTGTAGACAGTGCAAGGGAATAAGAACAGGAAATTCTGTCATTGCTGTAAACAGTTAAGATCAATGTTTTGCAAAGAACAGTAATTATATTTACACTTATAAATTAAATCCTCATGTCCTGACTGCAAATAATCCATTGTTGAATCTCCAGTTATTTCCCTTCTTGTGTGTCTCCTTTTTTATTGACTACAGTAATATCTTTTGAACACTGAATGTCAAACTGTATTAGGCGTGTCAGTCCTCACCACAGTCCTGGGACTTTTTACAGATAAGGTCTCTGAAGGTCAGAGAGTTACATAATTTGCCCAAGGTCACAGCGCTAGTAAGTGACTAAAATCAGATCCGCCAGACTCCAAAACTTATGTCTTCCCATTTTGTCCTCTGTCTCTCAAATTAATAGTAGCTATAAAGACCACAAGTGCTTAAGACCCAGACAGTCAAGCCATCTAGGTCCCAGTCCAGCTGCACTCCTTATCTATGTGACCTTGGACAAATCAGTGAATCTCAAGGAGTCTCAGTTTTCTCATCTCAAGAGGGCAAGAATAATAGTACCTCCCTTACATGGTTATTGTGAGTAAAATAATCCATGTAGATAATCCATGTAAATAACTGAGCATGATAAGTGCTCAAATTCTGTTTTTATTGTCATTTATACCACCACCATCTCATGCCTACTCTTTGCCACATACTGCACTGAGCATTTTATGTGCATTGTCTTTTCAGTAGCTCTGCAAGGCAGGTATTAGATCCTTGCTTGCACAAGGGAAACAGACTCAGAAGGGTTAATTATCTTGACTGAGATTACATAGCTAGTAGGTAGCAAAGTCAGGATTTGAACCCTACTCTGTCTAGCTCCAAAGCCTGTTTGCTTTGTACCTGTATGATGATCTTAAGTTCCTTTCCTGTATTTGATGTGATGATATGGCAGTGATGTCAGCGTCAGTGATGGTGAGGTCCGTGTAGCTGTAGGTGTTGCTGCCCACTGAATGAGAAGCAGAACCAAGATCAGCCCAGGTTTGTCTGACTGCAGAGGCCAAACCATCCCTGACCACTGTGACTTGCAGCTTAAGGCGAAACAGTAGCTTGGTATTTATGGATCTGCTAATTCCACTTACAGGAAGCTTGAAATTGGGGATACTTAGAAGAGTTACCCAGAGTTATATTTTTGTTTTACAATTTTATTCCCCAATAGCTTCCAGAAGGCTTACAGTCTTCCTTACTTTTATCTCTAAGACATTCCTGACTAAGTCGGAATTACTTTGTGAGTTTGGACAGTATTAACAGGGCACTTGGGGCAGAAAATAAATCTCCCCCTTTTGTGTTAATTTGGAAAGTCTCTGTGAAATGAGTAGATTGTTCCAGCCACATGGTAGAGCTCCATAAATCCATGGCTCATAGGTTATATGAGCTCCTGCTTCCGTCATTCAGCAGGGTTGTTTGCACAGTGATTCTTCTCTACAGACTGAAGAAAACTTCATTTGATTCTCTTGAAATCATCCCTTCCAAAATGAAATAGGATTGGAATAACCAACAAAGTTGTGAATAATTCAGATTCTCATTAGAATCCCAACTCGAGCCTTTAGCATAGAGGCAAACCCGTGGCCAGACAGTCAGCAGGCTTTAAACAATTTGCATGTGTTCAAGTGTCAGAGTTAAATAAACAACAGTCACTTGGGGAATGATTTTCCAGAGTCATTAATGAAAGTTTGTGTCGTCTGCCCTGACTTGATCTAATTTGCAAAAGCACCCTGTACCTTGGAAGAATGTGTAATAGTAATTATGATAATCACATGTCTGGCACTGGACATTTTGCAGTGTGCTTCCTTGCACATTATCTCATTTGATCCTGAGAATAGCCCTATCAGCGGTCTTCAGGAGCCTGGTCCTGGCTCACAATGAGACCCAGGGAACTGACCCTTGGGACTATGGCTCTTGCCCATGGCAAAAATCTCCTTGTAGAGCTGATTCTCTTATGCTTGAATAACTTAATTATTTTAGAGGAAACAGCTGATGAGCAGAGTGAACTTCTCCCTTGTTTGTTACCATGTCTCTTCCTGCTCTGCTGTATATAAATATTGTCTTGGAAGCAATTTTTCACGCATCTGTCTAAAGCCATGGTCCTTCCTCACCAGTTACTCTTTTTTGTTTCTCCAGCATTTACTACAGTTCTCAGGAAATAGTAAAAGCTCACATTTTTGTTGACAGTTGAAATTGAAGTCCATGTTATTTTTGCTCCCATTGTAATTGGGTAAGGGTCTCATTTTCAGTAACTCATTAGAAAAAAAAGAGACAAAATTTGGAGGCCAGAGGCAAAGCAGGATGAGAGGGAAAATAATGAGAACCAGGCCTATCGCTAACTCTGAATTCATTTTCAAATGCTCTTAGCTAGGGATTGCTGAAGGTGCTGTAACTGAGGCCAGAGGCAGAAAGGTACTAGAAGACACTGTTAGGTTGAAACACATCCTTGTATGTTTGGGACACCAGCTTTTGTAGTGAAGATTGCCTGGAGATTAGCCAAATGAATGGCTGCTGCAGCCCTGGGACTTCACTCCTGGTCACTCTCCTGCTTAGCTGTGTGGCATTGTAAGATAGTCATCCAACTTGCTATGCTGTTGGCCTCCAGCTTAGAGATGCATCATGGGATGCATCTGCCTAGCATAGTGCCTGGTAGGTGCAAAACTCATACATAGTAGCCATTTTTAAATGTCAATGATAATGGTACACAGTGAGGTTGTCACCAGGGGATGGCCAAAATAAACAGTAGGGAGAAAGCTTCTTAGAGGTTGCAGTCCTTGAGCTTTTCTTTCTATTATAGAGGCTCAGTAAGAGACTAGAGATGTTTATAGCACTGGTAAACTTGTTTTTTGGGGTTCCAGCTGCTCGGGAAGTTAGGAGTTTTTTCTTGCTTTTACTTGGTTTCCTTCTCTTCTTATTCCCTTGCCCCAGTTGAACTCAGCTACGTGTAGTGATTCAGTTTATCTTGTTGAAAATTTTCAGTCCTCTAGGGAAGATATGATACTGCTGTTTTCAGACAGCTGTGTTTCGGAGTGAGACTGATTTAACCAGCTGGCTGGCATCATTGGAGCCCGAGGACCCGCCAACCCATGGAGAGCAGCTGTTTGGGCTGAAATTCTCATAATTCTTATGATTTTGTTTCCTACACATCGGCTTTTGAGTTCTGTTTTTAAATGCACACAGAAAAGGAGAGAGGACCATGAGAAAGACTGATGTGTCTAGGGCCACTCATGGGTGAAAGGTGGCCCTAGACACATCAGAGACTGTTAGGAAGGAGAAAACTCAGGAGGGAGGAGACCAACTTCAAAGAATAAGAGATGGTAATGAGTGGATCCATAAATTTTGATTTTTCAATATATAGTGGGGGTGTTATGCAGCCATTAAGAATCATGTCTGAAGATTTTTTTAATGAATGAGGAAATACTGTATAATGTTAGATGAAATTATATGATACAAACAGAATAAAGAATATAATTTCAATGATGAAAAGTGTGTGTTAACATTAACTGGAATAATTCATACAAAGCATTTAACTTAGTGCCTGGTGTGGCAAGGACTCAGTAAACCATAGCTACAGGAGGGCAGACTCTCTAACCACAGAACGTGTTTGCCTCCTTCACTGTTAGACCCATAGTGCCTACTATAAAAGAGATGCTTAAAAGGTGTGTGTTGATTGAATGAATGAGCATCAGTATTATTGTATCCATTTAAAAAGGAATCTGGGGTAAAAAAAAAAAAAAAAACTGTTATCTTCTGAAATTGTATCTACAATTGTGGCTACTGAACCTCCCTGAGCCTTAGTTCTTCATTATAAAATGCTGAGGACATTACCTGTTGCTCAGGATTGCTGAGAACTGAGTGAGCTACATGAAAAGTACACAGTGTGACGACTGGTACCTAAGGGAGTCTGCAATAAGTGGTGGCTACTATAATCATGGTAAGCACCATATAAGTATTAGCTATTATAATTATTAAAGTCTGCCATACTTTTATCTGTAGAAATAAAGATGAGAGTTGTCATGATTTCTATCATTTTCTTCTCATTTTTTAGCATGAACTTTTAGAAGAATAAAAGCCCCTCCTCCAAAAAAAAAGCTTATAAATAAATAAAACCTAAATGCTAACAGTGGTTATCTCTAGGTGGTAAAATCGGGATAATTTTTTGTTTTCTTCTTGAGACTTTTCTGCATTTTTCAAATTGTCCATAGTACGTGTGTGGGTGTGTGTGTGTTACTTTTATCAAGATAAACGAGGAAAAGCTCAGCATCACAGATAACACGGAGCTGCTGAACTAGAAAAGGATGCTGCAGCTGAGGACAATTGATGAGGATTGGGAAATGGTGCCCTGCCCTGGGACCCTTTGTGAAATGTTATTTAAATACATGTTTCACAGTTTAAGAAAGTTGTGAAGTAATTGTTAAGAACTTAGAACCAATGGAGAAAAATAAAGGAATTTTTGATTCATTGGTTCTGGACAAAGGTAGTCAAAAAACTTCAAGTGCTGTTAACAGACAGTGGCTTCTATTGAGCACAGCTGCTTTCTTTTTCCCTGGAGAGAACAATAAAAAGACGCTTAGTGGAAATTGTGGCAGAAGAGGTTAGAAATGGAAGTGGGTGGTTATCAAACTCTGGGATAAGCTTCCAAACAAGAATGTTTAATGCCATTTCCTAGAAAAGTTTAAAATGAAGTCTTGAACAACTGCCAGTGGTCTTCTCGGATCTTTTCTTGCTAATTCCAAGACACTGCCAAGCTTTCCGTTGTACTGCTTCAGGCCTGTTTTCTTCCCAGTCCACAGATGTGAGTAACCTTGTTGTGAAACTTCGTTTGCAGATATTTAACACCGTGCCCGATATGCCTCTCACCAATGCCCAGCTGCACCTGTCTCGGAAGAAGAGCAGTGACTCCAAGCCCCCGTCCTGCAGCGAGAGGCCCCTGACGCTCTTCCACACCGTTCAGTCAACAGAGAAACGTGAGTCTTTGCTGCATAGGGCCAGCGTGGCATTCAGGGACATCCCATGCTACCTGCACGGCTCAGGGTGGACACTTCCAGCTTTTCTCTGTGTGCTACTGGCTTTTTGTGTCCTTGAAGACTGTATCATTGTGCCCTCCCAAGTGCCTTTGCTGAGTAACCCTGATAGGACAGGAAGCAATATTATTGAGAATGAAAGAGAAGGGCTGCCATTGAGGATTCTCTTTCCAGATCACCTGTGGACAAACAGCTGAGTCTCTTTTCCTCCTGCTCCTACACAATAAGAGCTGAGCTCAGGCACTGCTTCTTAAGCTCCCCTTTTGTTAGCAATTCCCATAGATCCAGTGTCCTTTCCTTTTCTCGGTTGTAATGAAATACCCATTAGTGTGAGTCACATGCCCTACTAGAATGTGACTCTGTGAGGGTGGGACCTTGTACGGCTTGATCTTTTACTCCACCTTTCATGGTGCCTGGCATGGAGTCGACACCTAAAAATATTTGAAATTCATTAGTGAATTAATTAGGGAACAATACCTTACTTGTTCCAAATACCAGTGTGTTATCACCACAATTATATCACATCCGTTTTTCATCTCAGGATTTCTGAGTTCTTTGCAATGATCAGGTACTGACCCCTAAAATATACAGTATTGTTTCAGCCTTTGCTCTAAGAGAGCCTCCATTTGCTCATCTGTAAAATAGGGATAATAGGACCCACTCATAGGAAGTTATGCGAATTAAATGAAATTATGCATTTCAGCATCTGGCATAAGGCCTGGGACATGGCAAGGGCCAATTACTGAGAGCAGCTACTACCATTATTGGTTACCGTTTAATCACACACAGATAACCAAGGATGGTTCATTCATGCAGCTGACGTTTACACGACACCTACCAGGGACTGGGAATATAAGCATGGGACCTTGGCTTTAAGGAGTTCAAAACTGAGTAAGGAAGGTAGACAAGTGACTACAAATGTGAGTCAGCATCACAGCTGCTTCATTAGAGATATACACATTGAGAGAGGTAGCAGAACACAGTGGTTAAACACACTCTGGCCCCAGGTCGTCTGGGTGTGATTCTGCCTCTGCTGCTCATCAGCAGTGAGTGGCTTGGGAAGTTACCTAATATCTCAGGGCCCCATTCTCCTTTTCTGCAAAATAGGGTTGATGCTTTCTATTTCATGGGGTTGTTCTGAGGATTAAGGCCCTTCAAATGTTGCCAGGAGCAGAGTCAGTGCTCAGTAAATGCTGGGTGGTAATGGCACAGGTATTGCCATCATCATCATTATTATAACTCGTTTCTGTGAGGTACAGTAAAGGGACAGAGGCAGGACAGTGAGCTACTTTGCCTTGAAGAGGAGAGGCTTCATATCTGGATTGGTATCTTTCTTTTTGTCACCAAAAAGGTGCTTATTTAATCCCCTTGTATTTCTAAAGTAGTGGCCTTCCTTACCATAACTTCTAAAAGCAAACCTTCCCCATCCCAAAACCCTTACTGCACTTCAAGATGTCATTGAATCTCATCATGTGGCTGTACCTTGGTATATTTAGCATCATTCGGGTTGTTTCAAATATTTTGCTTTTATAAGTAAAGCTACTATTAACATCCTTGTAACTAAATCTGCTCTTTTTTCATGAACATTTCTTTAGATAAATTCTTAGAATAATTTCTAGGTCAACAGATATACAACGTTTCAGGACTTTGACCCTGTCCTGGGATTGGCTTTCCTTCTAACAGTAGCCTGTGTTCCTTTTAAATATCTGGCTGGGGTCATTCTCACTGTGGTCTGCACGTGGCCTGGGCCCCTGCGAGTGTACCAGGGAACACTTGGAACAGAACTGGCCTCACTCACACCTGCTGAATGAATGAGGCATCAGGCTATGGGGTAATGTGCTTCTCAGGTTTCCAGGACAGCCACGGTCACCTAATGTTTTGTACTTATCAGTGTACGGTGTAGATTAGGAGAGGCTAGACAGTATTGGTAAATTCCCTAAGCTTAAAATAGTGCTGGGTATGTGGTTAGAATGAAGCAGAAGCAGCTTTGGAATAGGCTTTAAAGCATTCTCTGGGAGCTCATAAGAATGAAGATGGAGATCAGGAGAAAATCAGCTAGATCTTTGTCCAAGATTAATTTTATCACACAAGGCAGAGGATGAAAGTTAAGGATGTGTGAAAGCAGGTCTGTCTCAGCTGCAGAGCAAGCTGCTCTGTCCATGTCTGCAGATGGTAGACAGGGGATGCAAAAGGAGAAGACAGTGAACAATAGGGCCTTTCTCTAAATGTTAGGAAATGCTCCCTGGAAACATGACCGGAGCATACAGATATGCTCAGATATTTGTAGGGAGCCTAACTTTCCCTCCTTTCTCAGAGAATAAACATTTTAACTGCAAGTCTGTGTGTTCTTTAACTGCAATTTATATGGGTGTCTGTGTGTATATATTGGTTTGTTTTAGAGACCCCTTTTTTTCTGCGAAGCTAGCATACTATCCAAACCGGCATGGAAGGCACCCTGTGGGGGGGCAGTGGGAGAGTTGACTGGGGAAGACTGAGCTAGGAGCTGGAAGGTTCTGCTGGGACCTGCTCCCTCCCAGGTTGTAATCCAGCCACCCGTCACTGTCGGGTGAGCAGATGATAATGCACTGTGAAGTTTTCACACACTTCACCTTTCTCTTTGTCTGGTCTATGGACAAAGACAGAAAACTTTATCCTAGCACTTTGCTGAATTTACTGTTTGGCATTAAAGTACAGGTAACGATTATGCAAATGTAATAATTTGTGAAAAAAGGTATATATTTCCATATAACAGTGATTTCAGTTTGAGGCCTCCTGACACACCTAGCTCAGTGCTTCCCAAATGCCAGTCATGTACATAACCCCTCATTCACCATTTGTGCCACAGCCACATAGCTCATGCACTGTGACTTATTTAATATACTTCTTTAAGTTAACCTTAAAGCAACTCACTTCTTTCCCTGGCTTCATCCTGATACATAAGACCTCTAAGAACACGACTTCAATGGTCTCACTGTATTATTCTCTAATATATGTTAAAATAAACATGTAACCATTAAGATGGAAAGTGGTCATCCATATCCCACCTTAGAATTATTTTGTGTCCCACTTGTGGAATGCATATCACTGTTTGGAATCCACAAACTGGCTTTTAATTTTGACTGACTTCCATCCTTCCTCTTAATTTAAGTATAGAAACTCAAGTTCCTTTCCTCCACTCAACTAGAATTGGGTTCAGATATTGTCAGTGGGCTGTGGACACTTGCCGTTCATGTCAGTTTCCTGCTGTGCCCTTTCAGTTCATAGTGACACCTGTCCTGGTTTGATGCGACCTTACCTTTCTTCAGGTTCTTGCCACAGAGCAGATACCTGGTTGGAGGGATATGCTGTGAGGGCACACATGCACCCATAGGCACATGCACATGCGCACTCCCGCATACCTCTCCTCTACCTTCACACTTGCCCTGCGATCATTTTCAGAACCTCATTTCTTTTGATAAGTCTGTCCACCTGATCCCTTTTGAGTCCAGTCATTCTCCTTTTTCTCTTCATTGATGCACTTGCAAGTTAATGTTTATTTGGCATTCCATTTGTCAGTCCTCTCTCCAGTCCGCAGTTGAAATGCTTAGTGGGGTTGAGGCTTCCAGAGTAGCTCACTTAGGTATTTCCCTCAAAGAGACTCCAGGTGCTGTTGGCAGCATACATTTTTCTCCCAGCCTCTCTGCAGTGTCCTTACTCTGTGCAAAAGTTGGAGCCCACTGTTTGCTCTTAGAGGTGAATCTTGGCCTTGGATTGTCATTTGCCTCTTCCTTCCCAGAGAAGAAGCTCCTCAGGCTCAGGCCTCTGCCTTTGCACCTGCACTTCAGGCTCATGGTCTGGGATATTAGAATATGCTCATAGATGTGTGTCTTATTTGCCAGAAGGGGTTTTTCCTACAGTGTGAGTAGACCAGTTGTGTGCCCAGGTCCCTGCCTGCGACTCTCTCTCTTTAATCTATGGGTATTAGTATAGTCTTCTCTAGGTGGTTTTGTGTTTTGTTTTGTTTTGTTTTCCTTTTCCTAAACGTAAAGCTGTGGTCTATTCTCAGAATGAGGAGCTTGATGGTTTCTCATGCTCTGTGCTGGGCAGGGACTTAGGTCAGTTATAAGACAGCAAGTCGCTCCTCATATCATAGGCAATGTGTGATGGAAATGGGGCTAGGAGTGAAATGGGAGCAGCCTCTGAGATGAAAACTTTGTGGACAAGAGGAAAGGGAATGATGGGGAAATGCAGGATTTAGAAAGCATCGTAGCAACAAATACAAACCATCAGGAAACCACTGAATATTTTAGTGAGGAAGGAGCTAGATATCAAAGTTATCTGTAGACAGTCAAGGAAGGTTTTCTGAAAGGAAGAGTTTTGAGAAAGATACAAAATGATATGAAGGGTCCCATTCTGGCCCAATAGATAGGAACGGTGGTCTGTGATGGGAGAGTCTCTCTGTGAGTAGCAGTGGGCAGCTCTTGTCTGTAGAACTGCGGAGAGAACTGTAGAAAGGTGATTTAGCCAAACTGAACCTGGAAGACGTTTTCCCTAGAAATTGATTTTTTTCTTGTCTGTGTTTAATATCTATGACTATATAACTTACCAGGTGGTTTCTTGTGTTGGACATTGTGCACCACAACAGCCCAACTAATCTTTAAAATTATATGACACAGGTACTGTCCCTGTTTTACAGTCGAAAGGAAATAAAATTTACATTAAATAGTGTACGCTCAGGGTTACACGGCAACAACGTAGATTTGAACCCTGTCATTCTACCTCAAAGTGACACTGTTAACCAGTCGTTATTTTGCTTTCAAATTGTGGGATGGTTCCCCAGGAGATGCATTCTTTTAGGGTTAGCTGTTGTGACCTAGTCCGCGAACTCTTCCTTATCTCCAAGGGAAAATGTTTCCAGTTCCACTTAAGAACCTGGAGTTCAAAGTTTCATTCAGCTGGGCATCTGCCGGTAAAATGCTGAGGGGCTGGGGTGGAAGTACAAATGGATACATTTGGTAAAGAACTTTCAGGCCAAACTAAATTTGAACCTCATCTAATAATAACAATAAAAATAAAAATAATTATAGCTCTACTTATGTGCCTACTAACCTCATTATCTCGTGTCATCCCCACAATTGATGATAATCCTGTGAGGTAGGTTCTTATATCCACATTTTACAGACAAGTAAACTGAGGTCAAGAGGTTAAGCAGTTACACTGTCAGCAAATGGCAGAGAAGGGATTTGTACCCAGGTAGTCTTCTAGTCTTCCTTCCCTATACTTTGTTATCTCCAAAAGGGTACCTTTGTCAGTTCTTGAGCTACAGAAGTGAAAACCTTGCTAGCCTGAGTTACAGAAGCAATGAAAACCATCTGTTCCAGCTTCCAGGGCTACATGGGGGCAGTTGAACCATATTGAATGGGTACCTCAATGTGCGTCCTGGCAGGCTGCAGCCACGTGACAGTCTCCCCTCCAAATCTAGCACCAACTACACAGAGAGCGATATGTGTTGAATGGTAGCTTTAATATGCTCGGCCAAGCCACTCACGCTCATTTGCGATCACCTTCGAACAGATGGAACGAGGTTTTTCAACTGTGCTCCCAGATGAATGGCAGCAAAGGAGATTACTCTTTAATCTCCAAGTTTCCACACAGATACACCATCCAGCAGAGACTGTACTGGTACATCTAGGTGAAAGGTACTGACACACACGCTGTGCTTTTTCTGGACGACTGTAGAAGGGGGAGCCAGAAGGATTGAAGGGAGCCAGCAACAAGGTCTTGTACCTTATAGATTTCTTCCAAGGGTTTGCAAAGTGACACTTAGGATTTATTCTGTCCCAAATTTTTAGCATTTATACCAAGATGTTGAAATGCGTTTCTTGGAACAGTGGTTCATAGACTTGAGTGTGCATTTGAATCTTGTAGGGAGCTTGTTAAAAATACAGATGCTTGGTCTCCTACCCAGGATATTCTGAGTCAGGAGGTCTTGGCTGGGGCTCAAGCATCTATATTTTTAAAGCACCCTAGTGATACTGATGCTAACTCAATTTAGAGAAGTACTGGCTTGGGAAGGTGGGGACAGTCAGGGTGGCTTGTCTTCTGTCATTAGCAGAACATCTCTTTGAATCACTGTTGGAGTTTGGAGCACCCTGGCATGGTGGTTGAAAGTGGAGGCTCTGCAGTCAGACTGAGATGTTTTAATGTCATCTCTATCACCTACCACTCTGAGACCTGGAGTACGTTACTTTCCTTTTCTGAGCCTCCATTTTCTCATCTGTAAAATCTATCACTAATAATAGCTTCCTTGGAGGGTAATTGCCATGATTAAGTGAGCCAGTATATATAAAGTACTTGACATTGGGCCTAGACCATAGTAAGCACCTAATAAATGTTAGCTACAATTATGATGATTATCATCACGCTGTAGTTGTATCTTACAACTGACTAAGGAAATATCCTTCCCTTTGGAGCCTGCAGATTCCAAAAGAGAGGCCCATATGTGAGGGAAATGCAGATTCCCCCCGGCCCCTGAGACAGCCTGTCTGAGGCTTGAGTGCAAAAACATCAGCAGCCTAGGACACATTGTACAGTGTCGGTGGGGGTGGGGGTGGGGGCAGGAGTGGATTCTTGGGCCTTGTTTTACATGGATCATGTTAACTAGCTGCTGAGATTATAGCTCTGAATAATTTTTTTAGTTCCGTTAATTCATCCTAGACCCTCTCCCAGACAGGCCCAGTGAGAGGTTGAGAATTCAGCTTATATATTTCTCATGTGTGTCTTCCTTGTTGAAAAATGACTGGGAATTCATACTATTCAAAGGCTTACGTAATGCCTTTCTCTGAGCAGTCAAAGCTGTAGCATGTGCCCTTTCTCAGGTTGCCTTTGCAGATCCCGGGTGCCCTGGGCACACCTGTTTGCTTTGGCAGATGACATGTTTATTCACATGGATTCCTGTTGTCACACGGGCTGCAGAAGGTGTGTAATGTGTTTCTTGGGTTAACTATGTGTAATTACTACACGTGACTGAAAACCACGTTGATAATGTGGCTATTAAAAAATGATGCTGTGGAAAGCTGGTGGCAGGAAAAAAGTTCCAGCTAGACCCATTAAATGAAAACAAGCCATTCTAGGCGCATACTTTTGGCACTATCACCAAGTGAACAAAGCAGATACCATTAAGTATGATGTGAGTCTGCTTCGTTAAAAAAGTACATGTCTGTGTGTGTGTATATGTATATATTCCTCTGTGTAGCAGATCGATTGGACATTTACACACCAAAATGAATACAACTGGAGCGTGGCCCATACGGGATATCTGTGTGCAGATGCAAATGCTTTTCTAGACTTTCTAAATTGGAGAGAAATGCATATTTCTTATATATTCACTTGGTTTTAAGTTATTAAAAACAAAACTCCCTAATTGCACCTTTCATGTACTATCTCAAACCCATTTTGCTGTGAGTCATGGTATAAAAGTAGGTGTGTAGTTTCCTTCTAATGAGCAAGAATATAAGCCGTCTGTACGTGGACTCCCTCAGATCCCAGTCAACTGTAAGTTAACGGGAAACCAACTTTTCCTAAAAGCAAGTCTCACATAGAAAAGAGGGCTGTCTTGTGAGTAATACAGTGTCCATTTAACTCTGATCATTCAACCCCCTAGTCAACATTCATCAGAGGCCCATTCCTCCTTTGCGGTTTCTGAAATGGTGTTTTAGGGCCAGTCTTCCTCATTGTGCCTCCACGTCTCTTTCCTGTGGATCAGTGCAATCCCAGGCCACCCACAGTGACTTCCCCATTCTCTCATGAAATTCAGTTTTATTGGCATTTTTTCCCTTTGCAAAGAAAAGGGTTATTACAGGTGCTGCAGGGAGTCAGTCTGTCCACACAGAACCAAAATCAGAAGTCGTTTTGCTGAAGATAATCTGTCAAAGGTTTTAATATCATCTTTCATGTACTATGATCAAAACAACAGATTGACTCTACTTTTCACTTTTTTTTTTTTTTTTTTTTTTGAGACAGTCTTGCTCTGTCGCCTAGGCTGTGGAGTGCAGTGGCACGATCTTGGCTCACTGCAACCTTCGCCTCCCGGGTTCAAGTGATTCTCCCGCCTTAGCCTCCTGAGTAGCTGGGACTGCATGCGCCCGCCACCACGCCCAGCTAAATTTTGTACTTTTAGTAGAGATGGGGTTTCACCATACTGGCCAGGCTGCTAGTCTCGAACTCCTGACCTTGTGATCCACCTGCCTCGGCCTCCCAAAGTGCTGGGATTACAAGCATGAGCCACTGCGCCCGGCCTACTTTTCAACTCAATGTATAGAGTCTATCATCACCCAAACTCCTTTTTAAGATTTTTTTAAAAAAAAAACATTGTCCAAACTGTTTTTATATACCCAAACATATTACGCAGACTGCTTTTTAAGTTTGTTTTTATCATAGGGACTGAGGCTGCTGGGTCAGCCTGAAATGAGACCACCTCAGATTTTAGTGTGGCTTGGCATGTCACTATTATCAGGAACAAGAGCTACAGGGGGTAAAAATTGCTTCAGAAAGTCTGATTCCAAGCTTCCCATGTACTTGGGTATTTCCCAGAGATGGTAAACTCAGAAATTGCTGTGCACTCATCACTTTTTATTGCAAAATTCATTAAGCTGCTGTGCTATTATCATCCCATCTTGTCAAGATGATACATTACAGACTTCATTGCAAAACTTTAACAAGTAGGAGAAAGTACACCTCTCTCCTGACCACAGCACAGGAAAGCCTCTGGGTATTTTGTGTTTGCCTTCCTATTTTTTTTAATATAAATCTCCTTGTCTTTGTAAAACTTCGCTCTGTCTGGTAACTCCCTTTTCTCCTTGTTTGATCATGTGGAGAGTCTGTTCCCTCCTTTTGGCTCTATGAGGCATCCTGAGATGCTGTTAAAGAACAGTCCTCTTGCCTCTTCTTTTTGCCCTCTACTCTTAGGCACCATGGAAAGTTGGGATATTAGCCTGTATTCTGACAGAGTCCCATGCATGGGGGGAAACCTCCCGCAAATGTTTCGTATTTACCCTCCAGCTCTGTGTATTCAGTGAGCCAGACCTGTTCGGGCCTGCCAAGACGTGTGAATTTGGCTTGGCTCTGTGAGTGCTTTCCTGGCCTCGCCTCTGGGTTCTGTGATAAACAGAGCTCCTGCCTCCCCTGTGTGATGGGGTTGCCATTAGAGTGGGTCGGAGTCACTTGGTAAATATGGAAAGTGAAGTCGCTTAGCTCCCAGATTTCCATGGCAACCCCCAGAACAAGTACAATATCACCAAAATTATTCTGCGGCTTTCCTTTTTTAGTTGCAGTGATTTGGTTGCATACTCATGTTTTTCCGTTCCTGATTTGTACAAAAAACAAAAACTCTGCCCACTGTCATCAGTACTTTGGTTTCAAGGACATTTATGGTCCCTGTCTAAAGCACCTGAAAAATTCAGTCACGCAAAACTACCCCTTTCTGTTCCAGCAGCATAAATTTTTGACTGTGTATTATTCCCTTATATTTAATATTTATCTTATAACCATTCACGGAGCCTTAGTGTCAGTGACCCATGGGCTAGGCACCAGGAATGGATGGCTAATGGTGACCTCACCTGCCACGTTAATGGATGCTGTATGGCCAGACAGCATGTCCCTGCCCTCGGGTAGTTTGCATCCTTAAGGACCAAGTTCACATGCAGTTTGTCACTCCTTATAGAACATATGTTTGTGAAAGCACTGCCAATGCATGCTTACCATTATTTGGGGATTTATTTTATCATGTTCTTGTTGCTGAGGTCTTGTTTTCTGTGATTGATACAAAGACAGATTCCTGTTGACAAACATGTTTGAGGCGGGCAAGCATTCTCACTGACTTCAACCAGTTTAGGCATACTCCTGAGTTGTGGGCATTCTTTCCTTTTTGACATGGTCCTCTGTGATCTTGTTGACTTGACTCATAACTAGCTGTTTTTCTTTTGAAGCCCACTAGCCTATAATTTTTTTCCTTCAGCAACATAATTGCCATCAGTCCTTCTTATACCTTCTATGAGGATACCAGAGCTGGATTGAATCATCAGTGACTCAGGGAAGTCTAGCTATGTTATTTGAAGGATTTGCTTAATTTTAATTTTTATTTTTTAAAGTGTCTTCTAGGCTGCCTGTTCTTGTGCGCTTCTGTCAGGAGCAGTACTCATTTGCCTAGCTGATGAAAAACTTTCCTGTTTCGAGTGACATTACGGGATCATTTTTTCTTTATTATTATTATTATTTTTTAAAGGAGGCAGAGTCTTGCTCTGTCACCTAGGCTGGAGTGCTTTGGCACCATCATACCTCACCACAGCCTTGAACTCCCAGGCTGAAGCAGTTCTCCTGCCTCAGCCTCCCAAGTACATGGGACCACAGGTGTGTACCACCAGGCCTGGCTAATTTTTAACTTTTTTTGTAGAGATGGGGGTCTCACTGTGTTTACCAGGTTGATCTCAAACTCTTGGCCTCAAGTGATCCTCCCACCTTGGCCTCTGAAGGCGATGGGATTACAGGCATGAACCACTATGCTTGGCTCATTTTCTCCTTATTTCCTAATTGACTCCAAATGCTGTAAAATTTGTCTTGGTATAGTTTGCTATAACCACTAAAACATTTGATTGGCTGTTGGTCTTATTCTCTACTCTTTCCCTGGAATAATCCTCACCTGCCTACTTACCGTCAGTAAAGATTGTCAGCCTTTTGGCTTTGATCTTCTACCTAGATGTTCTCAGTCTCATTATGTGTTGTCTACAGATGATGAGACCTTTCTTCTACAAAACTGTAGTCGTTTTATAGTCAGGGAATGCCAGGTTTCTGGGTTTTCTTGTCATATGGCCCAGCAAGGGATACCAATAAAGAGTCAGCCTTTCAAGATGCATATTTGGCCCTCTTGGCTGTAAAACTATGAAGCCTTATGATACATTTTTATACCCTCCTTTACTAATGGATAGTAAGGGAGAAAAATAATCTCCTGGTAACATTTTAGAAAGACGAATATACTTTTAGCAAGATATTGTTTTTAGTTTGTAGAATGATAATCCTCTCCTGGAAAAGTAAATATAATCACAGGAGAAATGTGAGCAATAGTTATGCTCTTCTGTTCCCTAAGAATTCTGAGAATTATGCCATGCAAACTTAGCCCTTTAAGCTTCTCAAACTAAAGTTAATACAACTGTTTTTCTTCCTGTCCTGTGAAGCAGTAAATGTCTCCAGTTGAAGCCCAGGGAACCGTCCTCACTCTCTCTCTTTATATGGTAGCCTCCAGTTCCTCATGGTCTTTCGGGCATCTTTGTATGCGTGTCTTGTGAAAAGGAAAATTTTACTGATACTGATTCATACTGATAAATGGCACATCCAATCTCTCAATGATCCCCTTATTATGTAATCTTAGCGTTGTTTTTCTTTCTGGTAGGAAGTTCCCATTTACAGGCCCTGTTAGTCCTCCTACATCTTGGCTCAGTGTAACTCTTTTGGTTTCTCTTTGTTGTCGTTTCTGTTCAAAAACGAAGCTCTTAAAATATGAACAGTTTTAAATCTCAGGCATCAATTCAATCTACTTTTTCCAAATCTACTTTGAGTACAGTAGTCAGGAGCTAGCCTCACAGGGTTTTTCTCTCTCCTGTGGGGCTTTATCTAGGGCATTAAGGATTTGCTAAGATATCAGGGGTATTGGGGTGAATGTGTATGTATTTAACGTGAGGCTTACTCTAGAATCACTTTGTAAGCATACTTTATTTTTACATACATGACTCGTGCAAAGGGAAAAGTATTTTTATGACACATCACCCTCTTAATTGCCTAAAGAGACCTGAGTTCAAATATTGGCCTTTAAATTATCATACCAGTGACTCTAGACTGTACTCTGAGGGATATATTGTAACATACCCCTGACTCGCTGCAAAAAGGTCCAGGATTAGCCTAGATATGATGTTTAAGTGAATTAATTTTCAGAAATATCAGTTGATTTTAATATGGTATATCTGTAATAAATAGGGGACAAGAATCACATTCCACATCTATAATATTTTGCTACAGTAATGGTGGATGCTGGTACCATTTAGCTAAATTATCTCCAAAATTTGTGTTTTCCATTTATGATTCCAAGTTTTTAAAGATGGGAAGAACATAAAGTTCTGTTCTTTGAGCAGTGTTCTGAAGTTTACAAGATACATTCCTGCCTATGATCCCACTTGATCCTCATGACAGTTCCACAAGCTGTGAAAGGCAGTTCTTGTTCTCCCCATTTTATAGATTGTTAACCAGGAATCCAAGATCAAGTAGAAATTGCCTGAGGCCACATAGCCAGTCAGGGCTTGAAGAGAACTCAGGTTTTCTGTCTCTTGGCTTGGCAGTATTCTCCAAGCATGAATATGACTGCTGGGACTATGGACTCAAGTGTTTTGTTGTTGTTTATAGGCAAACCATTCTGCAGCCCATTACAGAGCGATTTATCAAAGAATTCACTTGAAGTCAAACACCAAGTACATGGAGCTAGAGGCAACACAGAAAGATGTGTCTGAGAAAGGGTCAGGAATTTAGACTGGTGGAGTCGTAAGGACATTGGTGGCTAAATAGTAGATCTTCTCTGGTGAGGCTCTATGGAATTGGAGGTGGGACATGGCCTGATCAATTAGAGCAATATTAGAGGCAGGAGTTTTAGAATAAAAGGTGAGTGTCACAGAAGCCAAGGGGATCTGGGTGAATGTGAGGGGTCTGTGGAGGCTTTTCTCTACTCTGGCAATCTGCCAGTCAAAAGAAGATGCAATTTATGGTGCCATAGTAGGGCCACTCTTAGAAAAAATCCTGGCTTATATTAAAGGGGAGATATATCCTGTTATGACGAGGAAAGGGGTTTGCTTTAAAATTTCGAGTCACCTGTTCCCCCTTGACTCTTCCTTTCCCACTTTTAATTCTTAACCTTTTCTATGTTGTTTCTTAAGCTTCCCTGGGATCAGAGATCTTGATCCAGTCTTATTCTTTATACATTTTTGTGCATGTAGCAATAGACTGTCCCTATGCAATAATATTAATATGGGACTTGTGGCTTTTCCCCCCCAGAGGAACAAAGGAACAGCATCATCAACTCCAGTTTGGAATCTGTCTCATCAAATCCAAACAGCATCCTTAATTCCAGCAGCAGCTTACAGCCCAACATGAACTCCAGTGACCCAGACCTGGCTGTGGTCAAACCCACCCGGCCCAACTCACTGTAAGTATGATGTCCAGCTGCCTACCCCACAAGGGCTTTGGTCAGCCATTCCACCTAGAATTTGCTGTCTGGCTCCATCTGACTTTGGACCATTATCCCCTGAACATTATTTAAACCTCCTCCCTAAACTGGGAGCTCAGCTGGCTTGTTGTGGGTTTTTAAAGCATCATCATCTCAGAGGGAGTCGTTATTCTTAACATACTGCTTCTTAGCCTTGGTGATTTTTGATTTACTGTCCTGCTGAGATGGCTTTGGTGATAGCTATTGCCTGTGCTGGCTGCTAGGCATGAAAAGCAATTTCTGTAAGTTTTACAAACGTCCAGGGACTGTAGCAGCTCTGTGGCCGAGTTTGTTTCACTCATCTATGTTGTCTCGGTTTCCCTCCCCACTGACTATGTTGGAAATGTTCAATGCCAACTCCATGTCCACTTCCATAAGGAAGAGCCCCCAGGAGCCCTTTGTGTCTTCACATCCTCAAACCTTAGCATGACTATGACTTCTTGACAGAGACTATGAAAGAGAAGAACCCTTTTTGCTTTATTTTTCAGCATTGAGCACCCATAGTCAGGACAATTAGTTTGGGGGCTGGTTGTCTAGCCCTCCACAGAAACTAGGTCTACTCTGCTAGGATCAGAAAGTTCTCCCTCATGGTTTCAACCCCACATTGCTTCACATGCTTCCTTAGACTACCCCATAAATCTTGTCAACTAGCGCCTTTGCAGAAAGAATGTGAGGCCATGACCGGAACAGTTGGACTCTCAGGCTACAGTTATGTAAGACTCAGGAAAAACAGATGATTTTCCCATTCTCTAAGTGAAAATACATTGAGGTTCAGCCACAGACTGTCTTCAGGGCAGTTGTTTCACGTGGGGAGACGCTAGCATGGCGGTGAGATGCTAGGATGTCGGTAACCTTTTCCTGCTCCTCCACATGCCATAGTTTCATGACAGCACCCTGCCATTCAATTGCTGTGAGATATTTACAAATCTGCAAAATGAGTCTGATAATTTCTGCCTTAGAAGACACTAAGGGCTATTAAATGCTTGGGAGGAGAGATGACTCCAAATGGACTTAAGAGGTACATAATAAAAATGTGACTATACTGTAGGATGAAATCTGAAACTGAGAATATAAGATCTTTTTAGTTGTTGGCAGCTTTAAATCATACTGATGTTCAGGAAGTTTAATTATTTGCCTGTTGAGTGGTAAATCACATGTTCCTTCACCAAGAAGTGGACCAGTGCCTCAGGACCTCAAAATAATTGAATTTGTTTGGCTTATGGGCAGTGAGTCTCTTCCGGTTCTCCATGGCTGGGCTTGCCTAGGGAGCCTCCCTGCCTTGAGGTTTGACCTTCTCAGGTTCTCCTATACCCACTTTCCTAGACTTTAGGGAGATTCTATTTTCTTTACTTGTTTTTTTCTTCAGTTGGTTTAATTTTCTGTACCTAGCAGTTGCTGAAGTGATTCCTTGCTCTGTATGAGCAAGGTTGAATTTCTAGCCCAAGTTGCTTAACATCCCCTGATTTTAGCCAGCCGCTACCAACTAGTGGTCTGTAATTTTCTTTTCAGTGGCTGGTAACTGTGGGCCCCTGAGTCACTGCTGAGTACAGTGTGTACAAAGAGGTTGCTTAAGCAGCTAAGTGGAAAAGGGGAGGTGTGTCTTTTAAACAGGTCCTGAGGAGAAGGCTTGGGATTTTTTGTTTTTTAGGTGTCTAGATACGATTTATTTTCATAACATCCTGGGAATCGCTCTGCCCACTTCACACCACCCAGAGGGACTGTTGCCTGCCTGGTACAGATCTGGGGGGCTTTCCTGGGGAAGGGAGGGTGATAACAGGAACGGTTCTAATTGTCTCTGGAGGAGAATTAGAAAAAGAAGTGTGGGTGTGCCTCCAACAAGACCACTGTCCTTCCAAGCTGAGTGAGTCGCTGATTGATACCTTTGGGTCTTGAGGTCAGGGAAGGTTGTTCCTGAGGTAGAAGCAGTACCAGCATCAGCCCTGATACCAGCGTCTGCCATGGCCCTGAGTGAGAGCCATGTCAAAGTCCCCCATAAGCTCTGCAGGCAGGCTCGCAGCCACTTCTCAAACCCCAGGCAGTGAGGTGATTTTCCTGGGATCCTGTCTCCCTGATATTTTCTGCCTGGGATTTGCTGGTGTGGATCATGCATGGCTGTTAGGCAGTCCTAACAAATGGACCCACAGTACTTTCCCTGAGCAATTTGATTCTGAGAAATCTGTCGGCACACAGACGTGCCACGGTAACAATCACCTGAGACGACTTGGGTCTCAGCCTCAGGTGTGGACCCTTTTGTTCCCTCCATCGTTGTTGAGTTGGAAGTGTCCAGAGATCCTCCAGTGGGAACACTTAATGATGCAGATGAAAATAAAGAACAAAGGTGGGCTGGGAGGATTACCATTAACTTGACTATTAATTATGCATGAGGTAGGGAACCAGTCACCAGGAAGCTATCTGTTCTTTTTATTTCACTCCTTTATTTCACTATTTTTCATAATGACTGGGATATCATTATGACCAGAGAGAAATCATAGTGAAAGAAACATGTTTGTTACTCATAATACAGTGGTACCTCTGATAATACATTTTGCTGTATTACTAATCTTTCCTAATTCTCCAAGGACATCAGGGCCCTCTTATTTACATGAATGTAATGCTAAATCAGGCATCAAAATTAGAGAGGCCATCATTCTACCTGTGCCAGGGCAAGGCTGCTGGGTTTAAATCTTTGGCAGGTCCTCAGCTTGACTCCTGAAGTAGCCATCTCTCCTGAAGAACAAAGGACAATTGGTAAGTCAGGACCAAAGTCCAGCTAGTCTGAAATTGTTAGCAACTGTGGCTGAACCTATTTTATGCCCAGACCCATGCATGCCAAGCTACCTGGGGTAAACCGGAATAAGAGGGTTCCTGTCTTCCCCAAGAGTTCACAGTCTAGCTAAGAAAGAAAGGCAGTGGCATATGGCAGTGCTAATGGGGACTTACAAGTCATAATGTGTTCAGAGTTCAACCACTGTCAACTGAATATGTGGTGAGTGCACACACTAGGTCGAAGTAGTGGAAAAGGTCGGGTAGATGGAGTGTGAGGTGGGCATTAGGAAAAACTTAGGTGGATGGATGAAGAGCATTCCAGGTAAGAAGGATGAAGGAGGCAGAGATTATCCAGGATGGATAAATGCATTCTGCAGACATGTGTATTAGGGGAGGAGGGAGCTGGAATTCCTCTGGTACCACTACCACCAAAAAAAGACTTGAACAAACCTTTAAAATCAGGAGTCTTCACATAAAATTCAGATTTCATGCTGGAACAACTGGACATCCATATACACAAAAATGAATCTAGATACAGACATTATACCTTTCACAGAAATTGATTCCAAATGGACCATAGGTCTAAATGTAAAATGCAAAACTGTAAAACCTCTAGAAGATAACATAGGAGAAAACCTAGGTGGCCTTGGGTATAATTATGACTTTTTAGATACAACGTTAAAAGTATAATCTGTGAGATAAAAACTTAAGTTGGACTGTGTTTAAACTAAAAACTTCTGCTCTGTGAAAGACACTCAAGAGAATGAAAAGACAAGCCACACACTAGGAGAAAATATTTGCAAAACACATATCTGATAAAGGACCAGTATCCAAAATATACAGAGAACTCTTAAAATTCAATAATAAGTAAACAAAGAACCCAATTAAAATATGAGCAAAAAATATGAACAGATACCTCATCAAAAAGGACATACAGGTGTCAAGTAAGCATATAAAAATATGATTCACGTCTTATGTCTTCAGGGAAATACAAATAAAAACAACAGTGAGATACCACTACACACCTCTGAGAATGGCCAAAATTCCAGAACACTGACAACATCAAATGCTGGCTAGGATGTGGAGCAGTGGGAACTCTCACTCATTACTGGTGGGAATACAAAGTGATACAGCCATTTTTAGAAGACAGTTTGGTGGTTTTTCACAAAACCAAACATATTCTAAGCATACAATCCAGCAATCATGTTCTTTGGTATTTACCCAAATGAGTTGAAATTTATGTCTACACAAAAACCTGCACATGGATTTTGTTAGAAGCTTTATTTATAATTGCCAAAACTTGGGAAGCAACCAAGATGTCTATCAGTATGTGAAAATGGATAAACAAACTATGGTGCACGCAGACAATGCTATATTATTCAATGATTTTAAAAAGTGAACTCTCCAGCCATGAAAAGACATGGAGGAACTTTTAATGCATATTGCTGAGTAAAAGAAGTCAGTCTGGCGGGGTGCAGTGGCTCACACCTGTAATCCCAGCACTTTGGGAGGCCAAGGCAGGCAGATCGCTTGAGGTCAGGAGTTTGAGACCAGCCTGGACAACATGGTGAAACCCCATCTCTACTAAAAATGCAAAAAAATTAGCTGGGCATGATGGTGTGAGCCTGTAGTCCCAGGCTCAGGAGGCTGAGGCAGGAGAATGGGTTGAACCTGGGAGGCAGAGGTTGCAGTGAGCTGAGATCGTGCCACCGCACTCCAGCCTGGGCTACCGAGCAAGACTCCATCTCAAAAAAAAGAAATCAATCTGAGAAGACTACAGTATGATATGATACCAACTATATGGCTTTCTGGAACATGCAAAATTATGGAATCAATAAGAAGATCAGTGATTGCCAGGGATTCTGGGGAGAGGAAGAGGGATGAATATTTGGAGCACAGGGTATTTTTTTCGCGGTGAGACTATTCTGTATGATGCTGGAATGGGATATACACAAGACATTATGCATTTGTCAAAACCCATAGAACACAAAGACTGAATGCTAATGTAAACTATGACCTTTAATAATAATGAACCAATATAAATATTGGTTCATGAGTTGTAACCAGTGTATCGCGTTAATGCAAGATGTTAATAATTAAGGAAACTCAGAATGTAGAAATAGAGAGGGTATGTGTAAAACTTTCATGCAATTTTTCTGTAAACCCAAAACTGCTCTAAAAAATAGAGTCTATTAACACATCTTTTTAAATCCAGATTTCCAGCTTCTTTTGAAGTGTCAGAAGAGTTGGTTACACTAAACCTATGTGAAACTTGGGAGCAGATGATACTCTCTGGTCTCTATAATCTCACAGCTGGCCTGCTTCACTTTTATACCTAATGCCTGTAGGCCCATAGTAGATTAAAAATGGCCATAGAATCTTTGCAACCCCTCCCATTAAGAGCTGGAGCCCTTGAATCTAGGCTGACCTTTACCCTTTGACTTATTTTGGCCAATAGAATGTGGAGGAAGTGACATCATGTGCCTTCCCAGGCCCAGGCCACAATGCCTCACAGCTTTCTCTCTCATTCTCTTGGAACCCAGTCACCATGTAAAGAAGCCTGTTGTAGCCTCCTTAAAGATGACGGATTACTGGAGAGAGAAGCCCAGCTATCTCTCTCAGCGCAGCTCAGCATTGGGACCACCAGTCAGTTGAATGCAGCCACCTGGGTTAGTCAGGCAAGACCAGCCAAAGCTTCCCAGACAACCTATAGATTCATGATAAATATCACATTGTGATTATTGGAACCCAGTGAGTTTAGGGTGGTTTAATATGCAGTGATAGTAAACTGACACAAGTCCTGTGAGTTTGTGACCGCGGAGTCATGGGCAGCTGTCTTGGGATGGGGCTGAGCTGTCTGCATGAATAGAAAGGTATGGAAGAGTCTCACTATAGTATAGTGCAGCATGGAGACTAGCCTCTCGGTTTTCAGAATCTTCTTGGAAAGAAAACAACTTGTAACTGAGATTCTAAGAAATTTGGGAAACAAAATTTATGGCTAATGGCTGAGGCAAACAAGAAAGGTGGCTCAAATATTGGAATGGAAAGCAGGAAACCCTAGGTTTTAGTTCTGGCATCGACATTGCCTGGCTGATGATACTGGTCTCTGGACCTGAGCATGCCCACTACCACCATCTTCCACTGTCTCTGGTGGAAGAAATGGGGCTGATCCACCTCCAAGGATGAGGGTCGTTCAATGGGTGCTTACTGAGGGCTGCAGAAATAAATCATTCTCTCCTTCCACAGTGACCAGTGGGGCATCATGCCAACTCCTTTCTGGGAGAGAGTGATTTTAAAGGAGGAAGTAAACAAATGCTGAGAAAGAAGTCAGGGAATGCCCCACCAGGGACATAACATGCTGCAGTAATTTCCCCAAATTAGAAACTACTAGGTAAATGCCTTCTTTAGACCACAAAGATTGAAAGATTGAAAGAAAGCTAGGAGGGCTGGGATGATTACTGCAATGATGGAACCCAACCTTGGAGTTCTCTCTGCCTAAGTGGTCCCCACCCCTAAAAAATAACTAACTGCTCAGTAGCCTCATAAATAAAACTAATTTTTCTCGTCCTTCTGTCTTAACACACACGCTCATGCATTTCCAAGTTATTTCTGGTGACCTAAAAGACGCACGCATGCCAAACGCCTGCAGATTCTGCCAGAGTCAACCTTCTTCTCCTGTCTTAGTGGCCAGAGAACAGTCCCTGGAATTCAAAGGATAAACAAGGCCTGCGTCCAGACAGAGTTGTTTCTCTGAAACATTGCTGGCTTCTTCTGAGTTTGATTCAGCTGTTCTCTGATGAAATTCAGGGAAAACTTGCCTTCAGAGATATCTCTCAAATTTTACTAATCTTCCACTTTAGTTGGTCAACATTCATTCCACAAATGTCAATTGAACTCCTACTGTGGGCCTGGTGGTGGTCTGAGTGCTGAAGATACAGTGATTTAAAAATATTAAAAAAAAAAAAAGAGTTTCTGCTTTCATGGATTTTATATTCTAGTGGAGACAGGAGATAAATCAGTGTTTAACACAGTATGTCACACAGTATATTGAGAAGTCCCAGGGAGAAAACTAATGGAGAACCAAGGAGATAGGGATTTGGAGGAGAAGGAGGCAAGTGACTTTAGCTCTCTGTACCTCAGTTTTCTCATCTGTAAAATAGTGTGATCATAACCTCCTCAAATAGGTGGCATGAAAATTAAGATCATCTTTTACTTACGTATTTTAGTACTGTGTATGGCAATTAATAGTATTATTTTGGAGGGCTCCCCCCACAAACTGTCCTTACTTTTTCTCCAGTCCCTCAGCCATGGTATGTATTTTTCCTGTGCAGAGAAATGTCCCAGGCTGTCCCACTCACCTTCCCCCACCAGCCTCCTACCTTGAATCTGAGACTGGAGCTATAACTCAGTCCAGGCTTTAAGTGATCAGTGAAGAGGAGGAAGGAACTTCTGCTGTAGAGGCAGGTGCTACCCCTCCTTAAAGCAAGACCAGCTAGGGTAGACACGCCACACCCTGTTCCTGAAAGATTTGGAAACCTCTGAATCCCACAGGGTACCTGATAATTGTGTGCATAGCTGTTATTTATTGAGACCAAATGAATGGCAAAATGAATAATATGCATTAGACAAGTGATAATTCATAGCATTTTTTTTTTTAAAAAGCAATTTTACCATCCCCATGCTATTTTATGCCAAAGGGTTACACCCAAACAGGCTGCTATGCTTTTACTAGAATTGTCTCTATTTGTCATCCTTTGGAATGTGGGGCTTTGAAAGAGGAAGTTTTCCTCTGTGGCTGGATCAACTTTTTGTGGAGAAGGATCTTTCCTTTTAGATGGAGAATTCTGTTTCTCACCCACCTCCAAGCAGAAAAGATCTCTTCAGACCGATTTGCCTGAAAAGTTGGTGACATTCCCCACCTTTGGAAATAACCTGAACGCCTCATTGTTTTCAAAAGGATTCATTTGCCCCTCCTTGCTCCCCACAGTGCCCTTGGGGATTCCAGCTTACTTACTCGTTCATTGTTGTTTCTTGGACATGCCAGATACCCTCCCTCTGTCACCTCAGGCTCCTGGGCTGTGGAGGCCACAGCTCTGCCCTGTAACTAGGCCACGTTTCCTTGACATTTTCAGTTTGTTACTGGTGTGACCCATTTTCTGAGTGGCTTCATGTCCACTTTTCTCTTTCCCTAAGCAAGATCTCACTCATCAATCGGGAGCCCAGCTGGGCTTCCCTTGGTTGAGGGTGGAAATTCCTGCCTTCATCCAATTTTTATGAGATAAATGTGTTGGTTATTAGTGGTGGTTCTTCTTTTTTAAAATATAAAAATTGCTTGAGACAGACCTCACACTTGGTGACCCAGCAGGGTTTCTTTCCCAAGCACCAGGGACCCATCGGTGGCACTTGGATCTCTACAGCCTGTCAGCAGAGGGGGTATGGGAGGAGGTAAGGGCAGAGCGCCGTTTGAATGCCTAGCCACATCCCTGTTTTCCAGCAGAGTGGAAATCACAAATGGAAAAATGTTTTCCTTTACACATATTGTTCTGTTCTTTTCTCCTGTACAAGCTAAAATCATATAAAGGGTCTGTATTTTTTCTATAAACTTATAAATCTTGCTAAATAACCTAAAACAGTTTCCAAAAATTGCCCTGACATACACAGTACATGCTTAAAGCTTTGGAGTTTAATTAAAGGTATGAATGACTGAATTTCATTTTGAATTTAGCTGCCCTCAAATGCCTTATGACACTGTATTTTATTTGTGTAAGTGTTAGGCATTTTAAATCTCAAATTTTTGGTAGAATATTTGGGAAGGAAATAGGCTTAAGATTTCGCATGGCTTTTTCAACATTGTTATGCCTGTGAGGGAACTTTGAAGGAAATCTAAAGTGTTATTTTTCTTATTTAGGATTAGATTAGAATTGTTTCTACCTCTGTGTATTTAATCTGAGGGATCTTATTCGTAGATTCAGATTCTAAATTGGGTAAATTAAAAGTACATTAGAGTTCAAGTACTGCTTTTGAAACCTTTTTTAGTCAATCTGGAAAGCAGATGCTTACTTAGCTAGGAAAGCATTCCTAGTTGGAAACAGCCTTAGAATCTTGTTTTTAACTCCTTCTCTGCATTAGGGATCTGGAAAGCCAGGCAGGATCAACCATAGGCTTCATTTGGTCTCTGTTACACTGGTCTTCCAAGGCAGACCCTTAGCTCTGTGCACTGGTTCTCAGAGTGTGGTCCTGGGACCAGCATCATTGGTGTTACCTGGGAGCCTGTTAGATCTACAGAATCTCAGGCCTCACCCTAGACCTATAGGATCAGCATATTCTGGAAGGAGGGCCCTGCAATCTGTGTTTTACCAAACCCTGCAGATGATTCTGATACATGCTCAAGTCTGAGAGCCATAGTGCATAGTGATCTAGTGCGTTAAGCTCATGGACTTCCACCAGAATAAAATCAGGACTTACCTCAGTGTAAAGCTCTCAGGGCCAAGCCTGTGTCATCACCAGCACCCTATGATTGTCTGTGCAGTGATGACAGTACTGGGGCTTAACTGAGCTCTGCCCGTGGCCTTTGGGATCAGTCACAGCTTATATAGCTGAGGAGGGATGGGTTTGCTTTTCACAGGAACCTATTAGCTCACCAGGGCTGCACTTTCCATCTCCCCCCAAAAGCCCAGTCAGCTGCTTCGCAAATGCGTGCCTGTTGGTTACAAATCAAGACAGGGTGGGTGCATCAATTAATCAAGCCAGTAGATGTTTTTATTGTTTATCTATTGTGTGTGTAACATGAAAAGATCAAGATGCTGGTATTGACAGAAAAATAGCTCTCAGGCTATGTGATACTGAAGGTGATGGATGAGCATCGGCGTGGACAGATTAGAGATGTCTAAATCAGCATTTCCCAAACTGGTACAGGAAGGGAAGGGGGCAAGAGCTGCTTTGGACTAAGTTCAACACATTCTTTCTTTTTTTTTTTTTTTTTTTCTCGAGACAGAGTCTCACTCTGTCATCCAGGCTGGAGGTCAGTGGTGTAATCTTAGCCCACTGCAACCTCCACATCCTGGGTTCAAGCAATTCTCCCACCTCAGCCTCCCAAGTAGCTGGGACTACAGGTGCACACCTCCACATCCAGCTAATTTTTATATGTTTTGGCAGAGACAGCGTTTCACCATGTTGGCCAGGCTGGTCTTGAACTCCTGACCTCAAGTGATCCACCTGCCTCAGCCTCCCAAAATGCTGGGACTACAGGCGTGAGCCACCATGCCTGGCCAGTTCAACAAATTATTGACTAGAGAACTTCTGAGCCTTTAATATGTCCATCTTGAAGGGGCATCTCTTACGCTACATTTCCTAAATACGTTGACCATAGTACATGATTTCTACAGCACTTCTCTTAAGCCTCTTGAAAGAGCATTCCATGGTTTGGGAAATGCTATTCTAAATCGACATTCTACTTTTGAGGGGGGAAAATGTATTTCTCATAATGGATGGCATTACTATGGTAGAGATCCTTTCAGAGAACAGAGATTTTGTTTATATATAAGTGTATGGCCACAAATAGCTTTCCGAAGACTGAAATGGGTTATAGGGTTATATCACGTGAAAAGCATTGGTAAGCTTTAGAATCTGGGGCAGGGCAAAGCCTGTGTGGCCTGATTGTGGATCTACCAGGGTCAAGCCTCAGCTCTGCCATTTCCTAACTGTGTAAACTTGGGAAAGTTATTTGCTATCTCTAAGCTAAACCTCTTCAGTGAAATGGTAGCAATAATAATAATACCTACTTTCAAGGTTATAAGATAATGCCTTCCTAACACTTAGTAAATGGCCTCGTTCAGAGTATCAATCAATAAAACCAATCAATAAAAATTGGTTTCTACTATTATTTTTATTCCTTCTTCTTATTTGCTCTCAGACTGCTCCCCCTACCAATGAACAAACCCCTAGTGTTGATTTCTTTCCGTGGTGGCAGTGGATGGACACTCAATGTTTACTTTTGTTTATTTGTTTGATCCTGATGTAACATAAAGCAACCCAGATTAAAAACATTGATATAATTTTAAAAAGGAATTAAAATACCCCAAATTAAATTAACTATAAATAATAAAATACACTGAAATCAATAGAAGTGCTCCTCTTCCAAGACAGGCATCGAACTGTTTACACAAAGAGCGTTGGTCAAAGCCCCCTACCCTATTGTTCCTCCGTTGGGTGGAGCCAACTGGAAACTACGCTGATTAGGCTAGAAACTAATTGCAATCTCAACTCTCCACTGGGGAAGAATTTAGCCTCAGGAATTCCTCTCCAGCCTAGGACTCTGTGTTGATTTGACTGTCATTATGGCAAAAGGGAAAAGAGCTTCTGAAAAAAAAATTATCTGGAAATGTAGCATCTTAGTCATTCACTGCATTTGCACTATCAAATTCTCTTCTAATATCTATCACCTTCCTTCACAAGGAAGCAGTGGAGTTCTCACTAAGACATTGCTTTAATGTTCCTTCTAATATTCTTTATGAAGTAAAGGCAGCTGGTGATGGGGCTATTCCCTGGCTGTTGTCAAAAATACTCAGAAAAGGGATAAAATAGCTGCATTACAGACTACCCTATTACCTCTTGTTGCCCTATACAGGAGAAGCCTTGTCTTCAGGGAAAACCAAGATGTTATTGTCCACAAACAAACAAACAAACAAAGGCAAAGGTGTTCATTCAAGGTTGATGTATTAGGATCCTAAGAAGAAACTTTGGTGCATTCAAAATAACATAACTCAAGGAGGGTTTATTAACAAAAGAGTTGGTGCCGAGGAATCACAAGAGATAGTAGAGTAAGCCAGGGCTAGCAGCTGCTGCCCAGTCACCACCCTTAGCTGAGAGAACATGAGAGGAAAGTGGTACAGGAACCCAGAAGGATATATGAGTTGGTGTCTTGACAGGAGCAGTGACCTTCAGTCAAGGGACACAGCCAGACCTTTCAGAAATGGAATAAATGCCTTGGCCGTCTCCTTCCCCCTGCTAGTCTAAAGAGCTCCCCATTGGTGAACCCAACAGGAAGCCCGAGGTTGCAAAAGCCCTGTTGAAGAAATCCATGCTGGTTAGATCCCAGAGAAGAGATCAGGGTAAAGATTGTGTCTGGAGAGGCAAATTAATGATGTCCAAAGAGTGGAAACAGCAGGAATAGCTATCAATAAAGGACGGCCTAAATAAATAGTAGAGTTGAGTACTATCCAGTACAACAGAGGAATTAGGTAGTTCTGTATGTGCTGGTCTAGAGCTGCCTTCAAAGGCACATTAAAGGGGGAAAAAATGGTGCAGGACAGTGTGCAGCTGTGACTCTCAGTCCAGATGGCACATCAGCACCACATGGGGAGCCTAAAATAAAAATTACCAACATCTAGGCCCCTTCCCTGGAGCCTCAGAGTTAACTGATCTGATGTAGGGTCTGAGTGGTGGTATGTTTCTGAAGCCTCCCAAGTGATTTTGATATGCATCTAGATTTGAAAACCATCAGTGTACATTATATGATACTATTTTATATAAGAATCCAGGGATATAGACACAGGATTTATAGACACACATGGGTGGGTGTAATATCTGTAATATTTCTGGGAAGATACAGGGGAATGAATCTGTGTGGTTTTCCCTGAAGGAGGCAGATGGGATGGTGATCTGTGGCGGAAGGAACACTGCCTTTTCATTTTAACACTACCCTCTTGTGGTATGGGATTTTTTTTTTTTTTACATGTGTGTGCATTGATTGTTTAGCTTCAAAAACTCAGAAATACATTTGCTTGGTTTTGAAATGACCATTCATTCATTCTCTTAAAGCTTTGGAACATGTCTTAGTGAGAAAAGATTTTTCTTTTTTTTTTTTTTTTTGAGACGGAGTCTCGCTCTGTCACCCAGGCTGGAGTGCAGTGGTGCAATCTCGGCTCACTGCAAGCTCTGCCTCCTGGGTTCACACCATTCTCCTGCCTCAGCCTCCTGAATAGCTGGGACTACAGGTGCCCGCCACCACACCTTGCTAATTTTTTTTATTTTTAGTAGAGATGGAGTTTCACCGTGTTAGCCAGGATGGTCTCAATCTCCTGACCTCACGATCCACCTGCCTCAGCCTCCCAAAGTGCTGGGATTACAGGCATGAGCCACCATGCCTGGCCAAGATTTTTCTTTTTAACCTTAAACTTTTTTGTGTTACCTCAATAGCTAGGAGTCTAAATGAGATGCTATTTGACAGAAGAGTAAGGCCTTTACCAAGAAGTTGTTGCTTTTGGTGGTTTTTTTTTCTTTCTTTTTTTTTCTTTTTAGACAGGGTCTCACTCTGTTTCCCAGGCTGAGTTCAGTGGTGCAATCACAGCTCACTGCAGCCTCAACCTCTTAGGCTCAAGCGATCCTTCCACCTTAGCTCCTGAGTAGCTGGATAGTCCCAGGCATGTGCCACCATACCCAGCTAATTTTTTATTTTTTGTAGAGATGGGGTCTTGCTATGTCGCCCAGGCTAGTCCCCTGGATGCAAGAGATCCTCCCACCTCGGCATCCCAAAGTGCTGGGATTACAGGTGTGAGTCATTGTGCCTGGCCTGGTATATTTTAAGTGAAAATGAAATTAAGGCCATTGGTCATTGAATCATTCCATCAATGGCCAAATGGCTCCCTCTCTCCAGGCTGGCCTCGCCCAGGGCTCTGTGTCAGTGTAGTAAGTGGTAACTGTTGGCACAGCAGAAGAAATCACATATGGAGTTAACTGAGCTCTCGCTCAGGAAGCTGAGTAGAACCAGTTAGACCCCAGCCTCTGGGCTATTTCAGATTTTTTTTTTTTTTTTTTTTTTTGAGATGGAGTCTCTTACCTTGTTGCTCAGGCTGGAGTGCAGTGGAGCGATCTCAATTCACTGCAACCTCCACCTCCTAGTTTCAAGTGATTCTCATGCCTCAGCCTCATGAGTAGCTGGGATTACAGGCACGCAGCACCACACCTGGCTAACTGTTGTATTTTTAGCAGAGACGGGGTTTTACCGTGTTGGCCAGACTGGTTTCAAACTCCTGACCTCAGGTGATCCACCCGTCTTGGCCTCCCAAAGTGCAGGGATTACAGGCATGAGCCACTGCACCCGGCCTCAGATTTCCTATTAAAATTAGGGAGCCCTAACTTAAGAAACCAGAAAGTCAATGTTAACATTGAGCAGCTACTCATGAACTCCTCCTCCAGCCCCCAACCAACATTGTGAAATGTAAGTAGTTCAATTATGTTGAGCTATATATAGTTCTTTCACCTGATCTTCATCTGTCATTCTCCATCTGCTATCTACCCAATTTCCTTTGAAAGCTCCATTTTAAAGCAGAATATATAATGGAAAAACCTTAACTCCTGACCTTTATGGAGATATACTAGAGTTACTCAATAATAATTAGCAGTTGCCCTGGTAAGCTCAGACTTACTGCTTAAATCACCCATATTTGTCACCATCCCCTGCCTGTAGGACAATAAGATCACCTGCTTTGTGCTAATGAAAATTGGGACATTTTAGTAATTTTATAATCCTTTTCAGCTTCTGTTGTAAGGGTAGAAGTGATATTGTTTGTGATTATGCTAAAAAGAGGCTTTTTGTTTTGTTTTGTAGTTACCAAAGCAGTGAGATAGAAATCATTCTGGGTTTCGAGCAAATTGGAAAGCCCTGTTCAGTCTATTTTGTTTACCACTGTATTGAAAACCTTCAAAAACTTAAGTAGGTGAAACTTGCAGACTAGAATTTAAGGATGATGGCCCTGAGATAGAAAAGGAGAATGAAATTGGCAAGTCTGTCATCATATCAGACGTCACAGACAAAGATGAGTAAAGCCCACTAACTCCAGCACTTTGACTTGCGCAATGCTGCTGGAAGGTTGGTAAATCCAAAGCTGAAGCACAAGAGAGATTTCTTCAAATGAATGTGTTGGCTTCTGCTCTGTCTCGGGGGAAGCCTGCATCCCCTCTGTAGCATCCATATACTGTGCCTTACAGCATAGACCTCATGGTAGCATGGTAGGAGCTCCATATAACTCTGCTTCTTCTGGAGGAGAAACAGACACTCTACTCCCAAACACACACATACACACACACACACACACACACACACACGCAATCCCCTTTCCCATTTTTCCCTTGATCCTTTGCGTGGAAGTAGAATTAGAGGAAATATGTCCTTAGTCATCCCATGACAGCACTTAAAATGTTCAGTTGTCACAGTGAAAATAAACTGGCAAGAAATCAGAAATCAAGAAGTGGAGTCATGGGAATCCTGGACATGCTAATCCAATAGAGACAAGATCTACATGTTAGTGATGGCCATGGCCAAGGTAATCATCCCAGACAGCAGTCAGACTCTGCATTATCCCAAGAGAAGACTACAAACATTTCATTTCATATGAGGAAATAAACACCCACCAATTGCCCTTACTGCCCGCTTTCCCCTTCAGCCTCAGTGGAACGCAAACTTATTTTCATCTAATGTTTCCCTTTGGAGTATGGCACCAACTGTTGAATATTTGCTACTGTAGCCTAACTGCTCTCTGGAGCACTCACTAATATCAGCATCCAGAATCGGCCAGCTCTGACAGACAGTCCCTTCCCAGTCAGTGAGCAAACACGCATTGAATGCTTAGTGTTTAAGACACTATTCCAGGGTACAGTGGCCCACACCTGTAATCTCAGCACTTCAGAAAGATCACTTGAGCCCAGGAATTTAAGACCAGCCTGGACAACATGACATACCATCTCTATTAAAAAAAAAAAGTTAGCTGAGTGTGGTGGTATGCGCCTGTGGTCCCATCTACTTGGGAGGCTGAGGGGAGGATTGTTTGAGTTCAAAAGGTCAAGGCTGCCATGAGCTGTGATTGCACCACTGCACTCCAGCCTGGGTGACACAGTAAGACCTCATCTTAAAAAGAAAAAGAAAAAGACACTATTCGAGGCACTGTGAAAAAGACTAAAATATACTCTCCTTGCTGCTGCTCAGATGAGGGAGATCAGATCTACGTATGTGGGGGAGCATTGCTGCCAATGCAAGATACATTTTAAGTGGTAAGTGAGCAGTTGGGTCATTTACTCAAAAATATTTATGGTTGAATGAAGGATCTTGGCAATTGTAGGCAGGGTTTCCAATAATTTCCCTAGTTCGTTTTCTAGATCTGCCTTGAAGTGTATAATTTCCTCATCTGCCTTGGTCTTATTGCTGTGAGTTGGGTAGAAGGAGTTCTAGGTTTGTTTGTTTGTTTGTTTGTTTGTTTGTTTTTTTAAGATGGAGTCTTGCTCTGTTGCCCAGGCTCGAGTGCAATGGTGCGATCTTGGCTCACTGCAACCTTTGCCTCCTGGGTTCAAGCGACTCTTCTGCCTCAGCCTCCCAAGTAGCTGGGATTACAGGGGTGCACCACCACACCCAGCTAATTTTTGTATTTTCAGTAGAGACGGGGTTTCACCATGTTGGCCAGGCTGGTCTCGAACTCCTGACCTCTGGTGATCCATCCACCTCGGTCTCCCAAAGTGCTGGGATTACAGGCATGAGCCACCATGCCTGGCCAGAGTTCTAGTTTTATGATCCATCTTTTTTCTCTTGTTCTCCAGGAGGCTTCCTACCTCTCAGACCCTACCAAGCTATGTCCCCAATTTTTTGTTTTTTTCCCACTGAGACCTCTATGGCTCTAATGTTTTAGATTTCAAGAAAACTTAAAATTTGGACTATAAGAATGACATAGAAAGGAAAAAATATCACAAAGAATGAAAAGCTGCAATTTGATCATTTGCATGTGTTGCATTTTTGAAGTCCTCCCCACCCCATTGCAACAAGAGACTTTATCTTTAGGTTGTATTTGTTCTTTTTTTTTTTTTTCTCCCAAACATCTAGCAGTTTACTAATATTTGTAGTGGGCAAAAATTTGTAACAATTTCTTATATAATGCAGTATATCAAATATCCTATTAAAATAAAATTTAGTTCATATCTTGAAGGATTATTTTCTGACCTTATATGGAAAAGGAAAGTTTTGAGAATGAGTAGTTCTTTAAACCCTGAATCAATGTAACCAGGAAAAAATAAGTGAAGAGAGACTGTGCCTTGCCATGGGTCAGGGGAAGTTTTACTATCAAATTTTCATGCAATACCCAAATCTCTGTATAGGTATGAGGGCTCTCTTTTCTGTTTCTTTGTCTATAAGGAAATTCTAAATTAAATTTCCTCTTCCTTACAAGCCAGTTATTAAGTTATTAAGTTCTGCCTTTAATTTCAGCTTGAATCAATTAGGTTAGATGCCCACAAGCAAGTGCCCTGGTTCATCATTTCAAAGAATGAGACTCTTTTTGCTGTATTTTTCTTTGCATCCATGGCTGATTTTTCTACCCTTCTACTAGCAGCTCTTCTTCCGCCTCCAGGAGTTTATTCTTTTCACTAGTATGCCAACTCCAGTGGCATTACAAAGGGAGGGTTAATAAAACCTGTGTTGAGTTGGTATTTTGACTATAGCTAGCTCTGAATTGGAGCATAGAGAGCGCTGTTAGCCATAACCTGAGTGTTCCTGATGAAACTCAGAGCCAGCTTTCTGCCTTAGTCATCATTTTTGGTTCACTTTGTGTAAGCAAGTTCCCAGTGTAACCCACTGGCCTTGGCACACCTCAGGAAGAATTAGGTCTCTATGTACAAAAATGTTCGACAGAAACCTAAGACCCTCATCTAGAATCTGAATATATAATCAGTGTGTCGGGCCTCAAAAGAGAAGAGCAATGTGATTTCATGTAGAACCCTATTTGTATGCTGCCACAGCCCTATGCTTTGCTTTACTTCGGATTCATATAGAAATCCAAGAATTTGTAGTAAGTAAGAGAAAGAAAACACCATCTCTGCTCAGCTGAGCTGGCCCGTGTGCCGAACTAGGAAGATGGCTCTTTTCCTCTGGAGAGGATATGATCTTTTCAAGGTTGCTTTTTACACATCACCATGGGGCTGGCCTGGTTGCATGCTGAAGCTGTGAAACCTGAGTGTGTATCTGTGCAAAGCTGGGGTCGAATCAGGGCCCCTAGGGGCCCTGCACTGGTTTTGTTGAGTGGAACATACAGGTTGGGGTTTTTGGAGGCTGGGTGGGGAAGAGGGAGGAGAGATGAGGGTGTTGTCAGTGAGGGAGGAACTTTGGGGAACAGAAATATCTAAAAGGAAGTTTAATGGACTTTCTTGTACACGGTGCATAATGTGAATCCTCGTCCATGTCACCTCATGCGGGCTTCGGTAAGAACCACTCCCTCATTCTTCAGTCTTCCACAGTATTAAGAGCTTGGGTTCTGGGGGCAGATTTACTGAAGAGTTCACATCCCAACTTTATTAGTTGTTTTACAATGATCACTTCCTTTTTAAAATTTATTTTAGATTCAGGAAGTACATGTGTAGGTTTGTTACGTGGGTATATTGTGTGATGTTATGAGGACTGGGCTTCTAATGTACCCATCACCCAATAATGAACGTTGTACCCAATGGGTAATTCTTTAGTCATCACCCCACCGACCCTCCCCACTTTTGGAATCCCCAGTGTCTGTCATTTCTATCTTTATGTGCATGATGTGTATTATTTATTCCCTGCTTATAAGTGAAAACATGTAGTGTTTGATTTTCTATTTCTGAGTACGACGAACAGTTCCTTGCCCTCTATAAGCCTCATCTGTTAAATGGAAACAGTAGTAGTATCTACCTCCTAGGGTTGTTAGGATGAAATGAAATAGTTCATGTAGAGCACTTTGCATGGCTTCTGGCTCATAATCAGGGCTCAGTAAAAGTTACCTGCCGTAATTATGGTCATCGTTGCTCTTTTAACAGGCACTGGGGATTTGGAATGTGTTTGGAGGGTTGTACTGAGGTGCAGAGTCCTGCTTCGTGATGGGCACAAGGTGAGAAGGGAGGCTGCCCTCTGGGTTCCAGTCATATCTCAATTAAAGAATAACACACGCCCTTCCCCTAACTCATCTAGAACAACCCCATGTACGTAGCTGGCAGTGAACACAAAAGCTCTCTGAGTAGCCGGAAGAGCCCACAATTTCATCAGCTCTCTAGACCTGTTGGACACCCTCAGATCAGGGTGACTGAGGGAGTGTGGGCAGGAAGCCCAGACCAGGAATCCAGGAGAGGCTGCTTAGGGCTTTGGGGTCCAGGCAGAGCAGGAACTATAAGGAGGTGGAGCCACTTGGAGGAAGGCGAGGACCAGAATGGAGTGGAGTGGCTCTTTTGGCTCCACATGACCACCATTTAGCTACTTGGTGTGTTGGCCTCTCTACATCCAGTTGCTGCTTCTCAGTGCTCCCCTCTGGCTTATTCTTTCCCACCATTCTGTGCCTGGGCTTTACTCTCCCTCACAGCTTCTGCTTCCTTTTAGCTTTGGATTGCCATGACCCCTGACAGCCCCAGTGCTTTCATAGCCTCATTCTCCTTAGAATTTCACCTGCTGCTTTGCTAAATTCTCTGCCATCCAGCCCTGAGGGAAAGCATCTATGGACTGGAGACCTTGAGGCAGGGGATTCTACAGTTTAATCATCTGTAGCCACAGTGAACTGGGTTACCAACCTTTCAGCAGGAACTGAAGGTAGAGCACGTTCGAAGACTGCCAAGTCCAGGACATACCTTTTGCAGACAATTACAACAAACTTGGCTCCTTGGCTTTCTGCCATCCAGTATTTTGGGAGTAACAGTCATACCACAAAAGGTGGTTACATTCACAGAATAGAAAGTTAATAATTGCTGATGAGGCAAAGTCCAGAAGAACTTTTTCTGAAGTCATAAAAGCTGTAATAATACAAAGGTCTGGATAAAGAACTAGCTACCCTTCAAATCCAGCAGCAGCTTCTTTGGTCACAACTGTATAACAGCACAAGACAGTATTGATTTTTATAATTTTCTCACCTCAAGTAAATTGCATTTGATATATTCTGTCTTTGAAGGTAGAAAAATGTGTGCCGTGTTTTAGAAAGGTTTCCTTTGGTTCACCTGGCACGGTGGCCCATGCTTGTAATGTCAGCATGTTCGGAGGCCAAGGTGGGTGGATCACTTGAGGTCAAGAGTTTGAGACCAGCCTGGCCAGCATTGTTGAAACCTCATCTCTACTTTAAAAAAAAAAAAAAAAAAAAAAAAATTAGCTGGGCCTGATGGCATGCGCCTGTAATCCCAGCTACTCGGGAGGCTGAGACATGAGAATCACTTGAACCCGGGGGGGAAGAGGTTACAGTGAGCTGAGATCACACCACTGCACTCCAGCCTGCATGACAGAGCAAGACTCCATCTCAAAAAAAAAAAAAAAAAAAAAAAAAAAAAAAAAAAAGAAATCCATTGTTTGTAATAAGAATAGGGGCGCTCAAATGATTACATTTCATTTGTTTGTAGAGTTGTTCATCAATGATGTAGATTGTGTATCACAATTCCTTAAGACCTAGAGATGGTAATAGTATGGGGGCAAGCGCATGACTAAGCCAGGCCAACCATAATATTTTCATGGATTTTTTTGTTTTGTTTTAACTGGTGCTGGGTTAAGAATTTGTCTTGCCTACCAGAATATCCAGCAGCCGTGTTCTCCATCACATATAGAAAGTTCAGCTGCAGCCATTCCAATGTGCAAAGAGAAACTGACAAGAGATAGTGGAAGCATTTTTTGAGCTTTTTTTTAACTCTCTCTGCCATTCAACAGATTTTTCTGAATGTCTTCAATATGTAAACACATTAAAGATGAGTTACAGGGGATCGTGCCCTTCACGATGAGAAATAACAGAAACATAAAGTACTTGTATTGAATGGTCTAGGTGCTACAGGATAAAGTGCTGCTGGAATTCCTAGGCAAGAGAGATGACTTTGAACTGGGATGATCAAGGAAGGCTTTGTGATCAAATTGGCACTTGAACATGCATCTTGAGGATAGGTTGGATTTAGACAGCAAACAGTGGGAAAAGGCTCAGAGGCAAGATCATACAGGGCACATGTGGGGAGCTGCTCATAGTTAACTTTGAACATATGCTTCTCATCTGTAATATTACAATTGTTTTGTTTTCTTGTGTCAATATGCTTTTTACCTCTTCAGACACTAAAGCTGGGGAAGCCTAGTAATGTTGTCTTCCCATTCCAGAATTCCATGCTAGCTGGCTCCTGATGCAACATCTTTTGTCAATTTATTTCATGTAATTGACTTGCCTGAGACGTTCCCTATTTTCATCACAGCTTTGCTTCATAGTCAAATAGACCTCACCATCTGGAACTCTTTTTTTTTTTTTTTTTTTTTTTTTTTTTTTGCTCAAATTTTCTTCCACAAAGGGCCTGTTTTGGTTTCTGAGTGTCACACAAGATCTTACGACATTCTGCATCATCCTCTTTGCTTTGAGTTTTATAATGTTAAAAAGCCAACAAAATAGGTTCAAAAATAAGCTGTATTCCTCTTCTGTGTTGCAACCCAAGACTAAGCACATCAGACAAATTCTGACACCTTCAGCTTTTAGCAAAGGCTGTTTGGTTGCCTTGGAGTTAGGCTATATCTCTAGGAGATTAGCTCTAGGCTCTGAGAGGGTAAAGCAACTCAGAAACAATCAGGATAGACCAGATTCATGGTGGGATTAATAAGGAGAGGATATAGATAGTGATCACGTAGACTTACAGAAAATGCCTGCTTATTTTTACTCCTTACACAGAGTTGTTTTGTTTAGCCTTCACTTACTATGCTAAACCTGCTAAAGTACATGTGGTATTTATTTTCATTTGGATGGGTAGCATCCCTTCTCTTTCTCAAACTGTAAGTGAACTATGGAAACTGCATCCCAGACATTCAGTGGTGATAGTCTGACACATTGTCACAGAGCACCATGCACTACTAAAGTGACTGTTGGGGCCTTTGCTTTTGCAATGTTTGCATTTCTCTCAATCCAGGGCCTCTCTGGGCTCTAACAGGAGCTATTCCTGTCTTCCTCACATGTTTCTGAAAACTGAACACTGGTGTAAATTTCCCTAATGTGACATCTTTTACATGTACAGACAGTTCTATTCAAGACCCTGTATGTCAGCTTGAGCAGATTTACCCATCAGTGTTCTTGGTTGCAAGTAACAGAAAACCTAGCCCAAATAAGTTAGGCTAAAATGGAACTTACTGGTTTTCCATTGTGCAGGAACATTTGTATTCAGGCATGGCTGGGTCCAGGGGCACAGGTGTTGCCATCAGAACCCAGCTCTTGCCAGCTCTCATTTCAGCTTTCCTCTTTGCTGACTCTCCTTAGATAAGCTCTTTCCTTTTGATTGCAGGGTGGTTACCACCAGCTGGACTTACCTTCTTAAAAAGCCCAAGCCCAGCAGAAAAGAAAGAGAGAGCCTCTTTTTCTCAGCAGTTTGAAATACAGGCTGAGCCTAATTTCTGTTGGTCCACATTGAGTCCCATCCCCATCCCTTAACCAATCTTTGTGGCCAGGGGTATAAGTGAGCCTCTGTGGGGCTGGGCCTGAATCACCTGTTCACCCTTGACTGGGTGGGAGGGGAGAACAACACCCAAGGCACACGGACTCTGCGGATGGAGAAGGGGTGGTCCTCAGAGAAGAGACAGCCACAGATGTCACTACACTGGACCTTTCTTATGGGGACTTCGTGAAGGATTTGGTGACTTTACACTCCAGGATCCAAATTTGTACTGCTTTCTTTCCCCTCAATAGTGTTTTATATGATCTCTGAAAATATCCCCTTTTTTCAGTCCAAAGGCTTCTTGCATAATTTATTTTATTCCTAGTTGACTGACTGCCTCCTTTAAGAAAAACGTATTTTATAGTTTTTTAAAAATGAAGAAAATGTTATCTTCCTACTTAGCCCTGGACACAGTTGATTCATTTAAAAAACAAATTTCTGGGAAAAGGCTTTCATTATCAGTGCCCATTACAGGTTATTAGAGAACAAATGGCAAACACCGGTGTGCTGGGGCTGGCCTCCATTCATTTTAATGACAGTGTTGTGGAGAGTGCATCTTAGAATGTGACTAAGCAGAAGGAAAAGAATCTGAAAAGGACTGGCCCCTTGTCTTCTGTGAGAGCCATGAACATGCAAAAACAGTGGCTCAGCAGCTCTGAGAGCTCCTCAGACACAGGCCACTGGGTGGTGGCATCTTTTGGTGGCCTGCCAGAAACAGTGGGGCAGCCAGCATCCACCTCACGAGCTTTGCAAAAGTCTCCAACTTGTTGTGACATTGTCCAAAACCTATGAGTTTGGATAAGAACTGTTTCTTCTGCCAGGAATCACATTGAGCGGCTGGAAAATTCCACCTCAGTTTGATCTTCCAGTGCCTGGTTCATATCCTGAGAACAAATTTTGTTCTCAAAGGTTGAAATGAAGTCTCCATGAGCTATGGTGATGATAATGGTGGTAATGACAATGATAATTCACATTAAGGAAGCCCCAGTGTCCCAGGCATTTTACATGTGTGTACTTATTTAATCAACATAATGCCGGAGGTACTGTTGTACTCCACATTTTGCACATGAGGCATAGAGAGATTACCTAACTTACCTGAGGGTAGAGGTGGGATTTGAACCCAGGTGGTCAGGTTCTAGTACTGCCCCACCCACAACCACTATGCTTAGTTGCTTCTGCGGGCAATGGTTGGGTATTGGCAAGCTACAGAAGCTGGGTGTGTTGGGAAAGAGACTGAAGCAGCCCAGTCATGTTTCTTCTTTTTCTTGCCCTCCATTCTCTGGTATCGTTCAAGTATCAGATGCTGGGGGAGTTTGGGGAGACAACAAGAGCATGGGAGAATAGGAAGCAGAGAATGAGTACCTAAAAACAGAGGTCAGCGGGCCAGAGTTTAAGAGAAAAAGAGAGGGGAAAAAAGAGCAGGAAATCCTTGAAAGGAGCTATAATAAAGGACAGAGAATATAAAGGATAAAAATGGATTCCAAGGAGGAAAAAGAATGGGAGGAATGTTTATTGACCATCTGCTGTTGCCAGGCACTAGCCTAGGGCTTTTCCATATGTTATCTAATCTTAGAACCCAGTTAGATGAACAACCACTATCAATATTCCCATTTTACAGATGGGGAAACTGGGTTTCAGGGGGATAAAGTGACTTCCCCAAGGTCACAGAAAGCAGCAGTTTGAGCTGAGGCCTGTGTGACCCCCAGCCAACAAGTCATCCATCGTCTTGAGGGCTAGTCCCTCATTCCTGGCCATGGTTTGTAGCCCTAGATGAGAGCCGCACTTGAGATCTTGAGATTTGACAGATACTTGGAGATCATACTCCAAGGAATATGGCCATTCCTTTGCTGGGAGGCAGTTGCTGTGTACTTGCATCACAAGGAGGAGAGGGGAGGGGAGAGGAATAAAGTTTTATGGGACACCTCCTTACTTCCCAAGTTTCAAACTTTTATCAAGCCAACTCTTTAAACTTTAAATATGTTGCCAGAGGTGCTGTCACTTCCTTAAGCATTCCATAACTCTCCAATCTCAGGTAAGCTATTTTTTTCCCATACTTGTGAGATTTCCTCCTACATTTGCCCATTTCTGCCATTAAAAACAAAACTAAAAACTTTCCCTCAAAAGCTGACCATCTGCTTGTCACTACGCTTTCTTCCAAATTGAAGAGGTGGTAGCAGGATGTTTGCAAGCCCAGTATTTATCTCTGGCGTAGGCACAATCCCAGCATCTACTGATTACATTTCCCATTTACTGTTAGGTTTGCGATTTGGGATTTGAACTTCCTCTGCATTTTTTTTTGTTTCCTTCCTTTTATTTCTTAGAATCCAGGTCTAATTGTCCCCTTAAGGGTTAGACTGGTTTCAATAGATTTATTAAGTGATGACTTTACAGTGTGGGTGTTATGTCCATCTCAAAATCTGTGCAGGCAACCATCACATACATGCTTGTCCCCTATTGCCAGCTAAAACTGAGGCAGCATTTTCAAGAATGCCAAGCCTTTACTAAGTGCAGGCATTTGTTTGTTATTTCAAGTCTTTGTATGCTGACAAATTCTGTACATGCATGCGTGTGTTTAGAGCACAGTTGGGTGACATGTGCCAGGTATCTGGTGGCAACTGTCCTCTGAGCATGGTTGATAACCAAATAAAATCCAGGAATGTGAGGCTTGTTACTCTTTAAAAAAAAAAATACATGTACAGTTGAGTAAAATGAGAATAAAAAATAAGATTAACAAAGGCTGAGAGAGGAAGAGAGTAATTCATCATAAAACTGTCCTGAGCCACCTAGCAGCCACGACAAAGAAGGGAAAAAATATAATGGGATGTATAGTTCAATTGTCTGTTCAAAAAAAGCATGCCAGTTCATCAAGAGCTACAAGTTATAATATTAATTTGTCATGTGAATCTCTATATTAATGATTTTGAATAGCTCAATAGATAATATCTTCCAAAGCAGTTTCATGCAAAAAATAAATGAGGCCCTCTATATAGGGCTGTTACTCCCATTGGTTTTGATTAAATACAGAGTCTGATATTAAGCTGAAGTATTGAAAGGTTGTTTTTACTATGGTGCAACAAGGAGAACAACCTGGAGAAAGCATGTTTGCTGGTGATCGGCCTGGTAACAGAATGATAGGTGGAAGGCAGGATCCCTCTTAGAGGATCCCAGTTATCTTGGCCATGCTTTTGATAGGAGCTACATGACATGTATTCTAAATTGAGGTCTGTGGGAATATAAATACCCGAAGGGCAGATACCCATGTTGTTGGTTGAAAGAAGATGCCAGAGGCATAGATCATGTTTTATTGAGGCTGACTGGAATTCTTGTCTCCATAGGGTTCATGCGAGTTCAGCAAGCAGTTACCATGTCTACGGCATGCCAGGATACTGTTGGGAAGGTAGTATTCCGTGTACGTGAGACCTGCACCCAGGTTTCTTTAAGGTAGCCTGGCAGTGCTGTGACAGAGACAGACTCAGGATGCAGTGGGACCCAGGGGAGGGACACTGAGCCTCACCCTCTGGGCTGCATCTTGGTAAGTGAGTAAAAGTTACCCATGGGAAGATGGGGGACATTGCAAGCAAATGGAACTGTGCAAGCACAAACAAGGAGAAAATAAATATGGAGTGCCCTCGAACTCTTTGGCCTCAACTGATCCTCCCACCTCGGCCTCCCAAAGCACTAGGATTACGAGCATGAGCCACTGCACCCGGCTCATGCTGCATGCCTGAGAAGTAACAAACCATTCTGCAGGGTGTGCAGGAGCCACGAGGGCCTAGAGGGAGTGGAGTCAGGAGAGCGGAAAATCACCACAGGCCAGAATTTTCAAGAGACGTATTTTTAGGCAGGTCCAAGATGTTTCTCCAAAAACGAAGTGGCTTTGCATTGTTTTATTAGTAAGAGTCAACATTTCCGAATTCAGGCACTTCGCTTCGCAATTTACATAGGCATTGTTTTTCTTAATCCTCACAGTCACTTCTGACAGGTGGGTATTGTTTTCCCATTTTTGCCGGTAGCAGCCTCAGAAAGGTTAAGTAACTTGCCCAAAGTCCACAAAATCTAACTGCAGAGACTTCCCCACCTCACCATTTGGGAGCTTTTTTGTCCAAAGACTATGAATGTCCTAAATCAGAGCCCAAGTAGAATTGGAGTTCTGAGTCATGCTGTGTGGAAGGGAGAGGTGACCTTGACCTAGACTGCACCCTAGGCTTCCCTATACCTAAAAAATTTACCCTGAAGATGATTTTTCTTTGGTGAAGGCTGTTAGACATTGAGGCTGGTCTGCCCACAAAGATGAATTTGGTTTTGGCAAAACTAAGTAGCTCCTCTTCCCAAGATTCAGTTGCTGTTTGAGGGCAGCATCAAAACAGAGAAGTGTTGTATCTTCCTGTGTGTAAAGCAGGAAGGGTGACATCTGTTTCTTCCAATAGCCTCTCCATGTTGTTTAGAAATCAGTATTTCTTAAAAGGAGGATGGCAGCAGGTAGAACAAAATGTCAATATTCATTCAGTGCCTCTTCTGTTTTATCCAGCTCAGAGATTCTGTCCCATGCAAAATAAAAGATAGGTAACAATCTATTGTTCAGTGTTAAGGATCCGGTTGGGTATGTTGTTGTACATCTCCACAATGGCATGCTACATAGCCACTAAGAAAGAACGAGGAGGCAACTTTTCGTGTAATGATGGAGCAATCTCCAGGAGATACTGTTAAGGAAAACAGTCAGGATTCAGAACAATGTGAATAACTGGTGGTCATTTGTTTTTAAAGGGAAGGGGAGTGTGAAATCACACACACACATCCACCCACACCAGCTTGCAAGTTCATTTAGTATCTCTGGAGAAAATATGAGAAACTCATACTAATGGTTACTTCTGGAGAGGGAAGGAAGAGTTATTTTTCCTGTCTACCCTTTTATACTGATACCCTTTTATACTGTCTGGAAATTTTATCAACTGATATAATAGCCATTCCAAGCAATAGATTAATGTAAAAATTAAAGAGAGAAAATGCCCCATCCCCTAAACAAGTTGAAACATATTCATATAATTTATTTGTAGATATATACCTCTATCCCATGGTTGTGAATTAGCCGTCATATGAGTATTTTAAATTTGTAGTCTATAAGCAGGCAACTTTTTAGCAATATGGGATTACATAGGATCATAGGTAATTGGAACCCTCAGCCAAATACTTGCTGATACACTACCTCTGAGTTTCTAAACAAGTGAGCAAGAAAGTCCTGTATTGAACTTCTAAGCCTCATACCTGTCAGGGACTGATAAGTACACATGGGCAGGTTCTTTGATATGTTTCCAAGTCCATTATCAGAGATAAGGAAGCTTAAGTGTAAATCTGTGATTTAACTACATTTCAAATTTGATGTGGAGCTACAGGAAGGATGCCAGAGAGAACCTGTGTGCTCCGAATACATCTGTTGCTCTAGCTCTTTAAAAGACTTTCTTTTCCCCACATAAAAGGAGCCCAAATGTTCTCTCTGCTATATAAGGCTATTTAACTGACCTAAGGGCTAACTCTTACTTTTTGGTGCTTCACAGATGACTAAGTGGTGGTATTATTTTAACCAGTAAAAATTCAGAAATCTAGGGTCAGGCTTGCAGCTGGCAGAACTTGTAAACAGTTAATGATTGAAAGGACTAATCAGCATCTTGAAAGGCAGCTCATGAGAAGCATAAGCAAAATGCTTAGGGGTGCCTGCAGATAGAGGACTGTGGCACTCTGTGGTGACAGTGAAGGAAAATGTGTTTGATGTCATCTTGTCACAGAGAAAGGCTATCTGTCAGACCTCAACTTAGCATGAGTTTTTCTTTTGTAAGTATGTAAGATATTTTCAGAAATGTTTTAGAAAAAAGATTGTTTTTTAAACCAAATTTTCAGTGTCTACTCGAAAAAAATGGTACACTTTTTTTTTTAATGAAGAATGTTGGATACCAAAATGTAAGAGATTTCTAATAAACAGCCCTTCTCAGTTGGTACAGACTTCAACACCTGGTCTAGAAGTTTTATACTATTGGGCATATGTGGGGTGTGGGAATTATTGTTTGTTTAGTATTTTTGCAAAAGCAGGCTTGGGTTTCTTTCTGATTCTTATTTAGGTTTGAGAGAGAACTGCCATAAGAAGGTTTTTGTTTTTAGCCAATTTTGACTTTTTCCCTTAATTTTTAAATTTCCTCATCTGAAATATGGCACAATAGGCCAGGCACAGTGGCTCACGCCTGTAATCCCAGCACTTTGGGAGGGTGAGGCAGGTGGATCAACTGAGGTCAGGAGTTCGAGACCAGCCTGGCAAACATGGTGAAACCCCTTCTCTACTAAAAATACAAAAATTAGCCGGGCGTGGTGGTGTGCCCCTGTAATCCCAGCTACTCAGGAGGCCGAGGCATGGGAATCACTTGAACCCAGGAGGTGGAGGTTTCAGTGAGCTGAGATGGCACCACTGCACTCCAGCCTGGGTGACAGAGTGAGACTGTGTCTCAAATAAGTAAATAAATAAATAAATAAATGAAATATGACACGTGACAATGAAACAGAATTGTCTTTATGAGATTTATGTCTTCTCTTAGCCAGAGATTAGCCAAGCATTTGTTCCTTAAAAATGAAAAGTCATGATGCCTGTGTAGTGAGCCATCTGCTGCTCAGCAGACTGCATAAGAGACTTGCCAGCCACTTCTGCTTTTATATTTATGAACTGACGTTCACTTCTTAGATGGTAGGAATTAATCCAGTGGGACTCTACTTTGAAAGTAAGTTTCTTATGGGAATTTACCTGCAGGCTTGGCAGGCGAACCCTTTGGGCAGAATAGTGACTCCCAAGCACCATGGCATGTTTGTTTTCGAGAGTTTTTGTGTCCCTCCTCTGGTTCTTCTTCCTGGGAGCACCACCTCCATGCTCATATGCATTGACATAGAAGTCCTTTCACCACTGAATGTAAAGAGCCAGCCTAAAAATGAGAAATTAATTTACCTTCGCCCCAGGGTAGCTTAGAGACAGCTTTTAAATTTTGATGTTAAAAAGCACTTGGAAAGACAGTTCATTTTGGAGCCTGCGGAAGGAATTACTTTAGTTAAGGGCTTAACGTAAACCTAAGTAGCAGACCATTAGGCAGAGGTCTACATTTGGCATTGAAACTTAAATTTCAATACTATAATGAAAATTTCCACCATAAAAGAGACTCGGGTGTCTGATTTTCATCGTTATGCAATTTTCAGCTCATAATCTCAGAATCCGTAAATGCCTTTAGGATCTAATTTGCAAAGAGAATTACGTATTGCAAGGAGCCATGTAAAGTATATAACTAGTTCTGTGGAAAGCAAAGCTGTGAGTGACATCTAATTAGGCTACAATATCAATGTGCTTTGGCTCTGGCACTCATCTGTCATTACTTTGAACAAGCCATTTGACCTTTATATTATATGTAGGGACCATACCTCTTCATTTGCCTGTTAGTTCTGTTGCCCTGGTATAAATTTAATTGCGCCTTTCTGCTTCAATGTGCTGGTTTGGGTGATAAGTTATATGATCACTCACTATATACAATCTAGAATAAATGATAACACTTCATCATATTAGTTTCCCAAGTGTCTTTTTCACTAAGTTGATCATCTGTGGACCAAGGACCATCTAGTTGGCCTCTCAGAATAGTGTTTGGCTTTTGTTTGCTACATAGTGCTTGTCAAATGAAGGAATCAGCTTCTCAGGCTGCATCACGAGCCTGTAGGATTTGGATCCGTGAAATGTATGTGAGATCACCAAGCATAATGCTCCCCAGTGAAAACAGGACTCATCGAATGCCAAGACGCTCAGTCATGGTTGATTACCAGACCACAGAAAACCTGGCAGAGCTGGCACGTCAGTAGCAGACACGTACATGTATTTGATATGCATGCTCACCCATAGCTGCCTTGGAGACAAGGTGCTGTCGGCAGACCAGAAGTTGGGAAAAATTTCTGATAGGCTTAGGATCTGGCTGGCACTGCTGTCAGGAATAACAATAATACTACAAAATATATTTATAGTGCTTTTCAGTTTTCAGAGCCACTTGAAACAGTTTGCAGAGTGTTTCATTTGATTTTGGCACTAACCCAAATCATAGCACTTGGCATACTGTACTATAGTTGCCCATTTTCTTCTCTGATTCCTGCTCTAAGCTGTAACGTAGGTCAGGCCCACACCTGTTTCTTGTTCACTATTGTTTCCCCAGCACTTGAGGGTGCTCTTTCCAGGTGTGTGATAAATACGGATGGAAAGCATGATGAGTGCAGGGCAACTACTATCTCCTACATTTTCTAAATGAGGGACACTGAGGCTCAGAGGGCATAAGTGGCCTGTTCAAGTCTGTGTGGCAGTCCTTTTTTTTTTTTTTTTTTTTTTTTTTTTTTGAGACAGCATCTCACTCTGTCACCTGGGCTGGAGTGCAGTGGTGTAATCTCTGTTCACTACAACCTCCGCTTCCCAGGCTCAAATGATTCTCCTGCCTCAGCCTCCCAAGTAGCTGGGATTATAGGTGCATGCCACCATGCCCGGCTAATTTTTGTATTTTCAGTAGAGATGGGATTTCACTATGTTGGCCAGGCTGGTCTCAAACTCCTGACCTCAAGTGATCTGCCCACCTCAGCCTCCCAAAGTGCTGAGATTACAGGCGTGAGCCACCGTGCCCAGCCTGTGTGGCAGTCTTAACCTGTAAGCTCCTGTTCAAGCCTGGACCTTTGGATTCAAAGTTCAGTGCTCTTTCTGTTGAATCAGTACCCAGAAGAAGGAGCATTGTGTTCATTGTATGAGGGTGACAACTTTGCAAGAAACATAGAAAGATGGGAGACTGCAGTTCCTTCCACATGGGATTTGCTTCCCCTACCTACACTTGCTAACATCTGCTGTTTCTTTTAGGATCCACTGAGTCCTCCTCCAGGGAGCCTTCCCTGCTGCCCTGCCCCTTGACTGGCTTAGGTGCCACTATTCAGCGCTACTACAATAGCTGGTGCTCATTTCTGTCGTTGTACTTAACAACAGCTGCTGCTGCCCATGGGGGCTCCCTTGGTGCCAGACACTGAGCTGAGAGCTTCACATTTCCTCACGATTGCCCCAGGAGGGAGGCTGTTCATACTTCGTTTTTCAAGTGGGAAACTGAGGTTCAGGAAAGTCATCTAACTTGTACAAGGTCACCCAGCTTGTAAGTGGTTGACCTAGAAATCATCTGACTCTAGGCTGCTGAGCCCACCACACCCCACTTAACTATATGATTTTTTTTTTTTTCCAAGGAGTCTCACTCTATCACCCAGGGTGGAGTGCAGTGATGCAATCTGGGCTCACTGCAACTTCCGCCTCCCGGGTTCAAGCGATTCTCCTGCTTCAGCCTCCCAAGTAGCTGGGATTACAGGCACCTGCCACCACACCTGGCTAATTTTTATATTTTTAGTAGAGACCCGGTTTCACCATGTTGGCCAGGCTGCTCTTGAACTCCTGACCTTAGCGATCCACCTGCCTCAGCCTCCCAAAGTGTTGGGATTACAGGCGTGAGCCACCGCGCCCAGCCATTTATCATGTATCATGATAAATACATGATTATCAGACATTAATATACCAGCTTTCCCCCACTGGACTGCACACTCCTCAAGGGCTGGCATGAGGGCTTATTCCTCTTCAGCATCTAGTACCTTTCCTGGCACCAAGGCAGCACTTACTAAATACTTGTTGGGTGTACGAGCAAGAGAGGCAGCGAAGAGAGCTGTGGGAGCCCAAGTGAAAACAGGGACTGCATCAACTTCTTGGACCAGCCTGGGATCTCCTGGGTTGCGTTGCTTTTTGTGACTGACTTTCTGCTCTGCTGGCTGTGATCACTGCTCCTGCACATTGCCCTTGCTGCTCAGAACAGACACTGTGAGCTATGCCTGTAGGCTTTTGGCCCTGGGGCATCTTCCCCACACCTGGGGCTTGGCTCCCTGGGAGAGAAGGAGAGTTCTTAGCTGCAAGCCACTGGGTGGCCACTCCAGAAGACATCTGGAAGGAGGACTCTCCAGAGGGTTTCTTGGGCCTTTTCTTGTCTGAAGTAATTTGCTCCCTTTTATTTCCCATTTAAAAAATCTGGAGTTATTTCCAATGTTTGGTAATTCCACACTTCATTTGTTATTGTGGGGAAAGTCCTGTGCTGAATTTTTTTCATCCCTACTCTTAAAACTAAATATAGGAATGCCTCATGTCAGCCTGCATTTTGTCCCCACTCAACCCACTGACACTGCCTCTCACCAAGGTTACCATGACCTCCCTGTCAAACCTCATGACCCCTTTCACGCCTTGTTTTACTTGATTTCTGGCAACAATGGTCATTGTCAAGAGCCCTGTTGGTTTAAAACCCTCAATTTGCTTTTGTCTTTGGTGGCACCACACTCTTGAAGTTTTCTGGACATCTCTCTGTCTCAAAGGAGCCTCCTTTGAAGGCTCCTTTCCCCTTAAGAGTTCTTATTTCAGAGAGTCAGGTTTTAAATTCTCTCTCTTTTTTTTGTTTTGTTTTGAGATGGAGTTGCACTCTGTTGCCCAGGCTGGAGTGCAGTGGTGCGATCTTGGCTCACTGCAACCTCCGCCTCCTGGGTTCAAGCGATTCCCCTGCCTCAGCCTCCCAAGGGGCTGGGACTACAGGTGCACACCACCACACCCAGCTAATTTTTGTATTTTTAGTAGAGACGGGGTTTCACCATGTTGGCCAGGATGGTCTCGATCTCTTGACCTCGTGATCTGCCCACCTCAGCCTCCCAAAGTGCTGGGATTACAGGCATAAGCCACCTTAAATTCTCTTCTTAACTCCAGTTGATCTTGTCCCTTTCTGTAGTTCCATTTATCAGCAACATATCTGTGTTGGTGCATTTTGTCACTGCTATAAAGAAATACCTGAGACTGGGTGCTTTATAAAGGAAAGAGGTTTAATTGACTTACAGTTCCGCATGGCTGGGGAGGCCTCAGGAAACTTACAATCATGGCAGAACGAGAAGAGACATGTCTTATATGGCGGCAGGCTAGAGAAGTGTTAGGAGCGAAGAGGGAAGAGTCCCTTATAAAACCATCAGATCTCATGAGAACTCACTATCACGGAGCATTCACCCCCATGATCCAGTCTCCTCCCACCAGTCTCTCCCTAGACATGTGGGAATTACAATTCAAGATGAGATTTAGATGAGGACGCAGCCAAACCATATCAATGCCAAAAACCATATCCCAGATCTCCTACCTGTTCTTTAGGCCCATCTACCCAAATGTCTGCCAAGCCAGTTGACTGTTACACATGAATGGTTCCCCTTCCTCCCCTGCACCCACACCTGTGTGTCTCCCTGTTTCCATGAATTCCATCTGGTGCATGGAAACCTGGCCAGCTTCCTTTACTCATCACTGACTTCTCAACAATGATCAAGACCTGTTGATTCTGTTCTCACAGCAGCCTACCAGTCACCATCCCCACTGCCACCACCTCAGCCCAAGCCTTGGCCATCTGGCCTTCCTGACCCTTTTTACTGGCTCATTCTCTACTCTGAAACCTGTGGGATTGTTCTACCATGCAAGCTTGAACACAGCACTCTCCTGCATAAGAGTCTTTGATGGCCCCATGGATACTATATACTCCTTAATCCTTTTATTAACTGGGAGGCCTGGGTGACCTACTCTGGCTTGCCATTGCAGCGTCTGTTTACACTCTTTACTTTGACCTTACTGTACTTGTTGCACTTCTGCAACCTTGCCCTGTTTCCTCTCATCTCTGGGGAACACTGTGTTCTTAAACATCACTTCCTTCAGAAAGCCTTTCCTGCTTCCCCCTCCTTACACCTTCCTCCTCCATGCTCCCTAAACTTGATGGGAGAACTCTCGCGTGTTAGGGAAGCATCATCCCCAGTGGGGCACTTATCAGTGTGTTGTCATCACCTGGTTATTTGTCTCATTCTCTGTGGGCCATACCTGTCTTCCCAGTTGTATCTCCTCAGTGCCAAGCACAGTGGCTGGAACAGAGTGACAAACATTTATTTATACGTGACATGAATGAGTAAACAAATGAATTACACCGGAATAGATTTCTGGACAATTCATTTTGCAAAAAGAGGAACTTTAGCTCCGCACTTTGGAGATGCCAGTGTCTTTGAGATGTTAAGGACTTTTTGTTTTGTTTTTGTTTTTTAATTCTTTAACTATGTTACAGGTTTAGCAATGCCTCCGATTCAGGAATTTGTTTAAAACCCCCCAGTGGCTTAGAGCTGCACATAGAATAAAATCTAAACTGTTTCTCATGGTCTACATGGTCAGCCATTGTTTACCTGACTTAACTAACCTCTCCGACTTCCCCTGACACGGCTGCCTCCCTGGCTTGTACGCTCCTGTGCTTATTCTTGTCCCCGTACAAAGCACATCCATTCTCGCTGTGAGGCCTTAGCAGCACCTGCTCCTGCTGCCTCAGAAGGTTCTTCCCTGATCCTTACATGCTATAGCCTGCCCTGACCCTTCTGTCCCCACACCCATCACTGTCTACCACATCACTCTGTGTTATTTCCCTAATAGTAGTAAGAGTTGACAACTCTTACTACTCTTACTACTGTTAACTCATCTCAGCTACTATTCTGGAGGAACACAAAGCACTCGGCTTTGGTGCTAACCCACTGGGAGTTGGCCTTATCTTGAACAGTTGCAAAACTCATCCACAGTTCATCATCTGCTGAAGAGTGGCTTGCAGATGATGAACTGGGAAACTCCATAGGTTTCCCTCTGAAATGTTCTTGCCCGGTATTTCACTCGTTTGTCTCTCCTCATGACACTAAGCTCCATGAGAGTAAGGCCTGTCCTGTCTTGTGTATCACAGGATTCTCAGCACTTAGGACAAGACCTGGCTCTGATGCTTCCTAAATATTTGTTAAGTGAATCCGTTTTAGTTTAAAAAAACAATAAAACTTGGTTTGTTGATAAGCTATGAACTCCTTTACCCAAACCCTGTCATTAACATGGAAGATGCACAAGATCATTTATTGTCTACTCTAGCTAATTGGCCTAGGAGATAATTCACATAACAATTGATTTTTATATACTCATAGCCCTGAAATTTCCTGGCTATAAAGACAAATCCCTTGCTCTATGTGTGTGGTGGCCTGGCCATGCCAGTTCTCTTAAGTAAACAGTCACTCTGTCGTTATCCACCCAATTCTCAAAATCAAGCCCCATGTAAATAGTCATCTCCATAAATCCTGTCAAGAAAATTAATTTTTAGGGTACAGTCATTGGTTTTATTGTAGTCCTCCTAATCCTGTGTGACATAGATCCTTTGGAAAGTTGGTGCTACCAGTTGGGAAGTGCCCCAGCAGGCCCCGTGGTTGTCTGGCTTTGTTGACTGTCTGAATGCAACACGTTGACAATGGGTTAGCTGCTTTGGTTTTAGGGTTATTCTCCTTATGCCTCATGCAAATGAAAAGTGGCAAAAAAAAAAAAAAAAAAGAAAAAAAAACCTCATTTCCTTTCCTAGATAAGGCCTGTAGGGGAATTTCGGCTGTTCTTGGTGGCAGTATAATCTCACAAAAGATGTATAAACACAGTGCTTTGCCAAATATTTACAGAGCTGAGGGGCAAGAGGTGGGTTGGCATAGGGCCAGATTAAAATGTCCTGGAAGGTTTTCTGTGATTCCTCAGAATGCCAAATTCATATACATGGTCTCCTCACCTGTGAAATGGGGCTAATGGTAGGACCTGCCTGCTGATCTTATCGTGGGGATTGAGGAGATAATGAGAGCCGTGTGCTCCGTGACCTGCCTGGTAATAAGCCTTCAGTAAATGTTAACTCTTAGTACTATTAGCTCATCTCAGCTACTATTCTGGAAGAACACAAAGCTCACAGCTTTGGTGCTAACCCACCGGGAGTTGGCCTTATCCTGAACAGTTGCAAAACTCACCCACAGTCCATCCTGTGCCGGGGAGCAGCTTGCAGGCAACTCATTTCTTGAGCTCTTCCCTGCCCACACGTACTGTGAGTTGCCAAGAAAGCAGCAGCTGCATTCACCAGTGGAAATTCCCCCGGGGCCTCCTCGGACGCCACCCCTACCTCTGGTTATGGGCGAAGGCGTACCAGGGGAATGGCTTCCTCCACCAACTCCTTAGTGTCTGATGTAGGTCTCTGACTACCAGTGTGAGTCCTGTGGCTCCTCAGCAGTGTCTCTGCGCCTGTCTCTGTCGTGCTCCTAAGCAGGCAGAGATGCTGGTGGAGAATATAGTAGAAGGGACTTGGGGAAGGACTCCATTTTCTTAAGTTTCAGTAGAAGTTTGGATAACCTGTAGTTTTTAAAGATTGATGCTCCTGCCTTCTTTCCTCTCCTCATGGTAACCAAATGGTTTGAAGTTCCCTTTGCCCCTGTTCAGAAACTCTGACCCTTGAATAAAGGGGTAAAGTATTTAGATTCTGAAAGTTTCATGGGGGAAAGGGGTTAAGGGAAAGCAGTGTATGTGTGCAAATGCTGACAGTCTGAATATTACATTATCTATTTCAACAAATAAACCTTGGACCAGATCAGGCTATCCAATACAGAGACAACATTGATCTTTCAGGAGGGATCTGCCAAGTCTGAAATGCCAGCTGTCCCTTCCTGCCCATTAGGGGGTAGAGAATGCCTCTTTTGGACTAGCTGAAATACTCATTACAAATATTCAGGCCTCCCCCTAACCTGAATTAATGTATTATTGCTTATCCTTTTGTCTCTCCCGTAAAAACATGTATAAGGAGCATTCCCTGGTGATTCCCTGAGGGTTATGGAGGGACATTTTACCTGCCAGAGTGTCTCCAGCATCACAGCTGGAGGTGCCGTGGGTGGGGGTCTGTGTGCCTGTGTGTGTGCAGCATGTGTGTATCTACTATATAAAAGCTCATTCATTCCCTTGCTATAATTCAGTGTTCAGACTCAGCTTGCTGACTGATGGACTGGGGGAAGCCAGTAATTCTTAATTCAGGAGAAGAGGCTAAGGGAGAACAAATCTACCCTCCTGTCTCTCATCGGCCCCCTTGTTCTGAAACACTGCAGTGGTTCAGAGAAGTCCCCTCTTAGAGCTTTCATTTCTTTTGGAGGGATGGTTTGAACCTAGACTGGATCTGCCCCATTTTTGCCTTAGCAAGTCTTGATGAGTTCATTGGACAGAGGCAACAAAATCCATATACTCAAGAGACTGAAAAAGGGGAGAGGAGGGAAGGAACGTGTGTGAGGCCAAATTGCCCCACTGGGGGTGGGATTATAAAGGAGTGCGACCTTTCTGGCAATACGTGTTGTAAGCCTTATGATGGGCTTATATTTTGACTCAGCCACTGCACCCCTAGTATTTATCAGAAGGAATTAATGAGAGGTCTATGCAACAGTGAGTGGATTTTTACCCCTGTATTATTTACTATAGTAAGAGAAATAATTTAAATGTCCAACAATACTGATGGTTGGGTAGTTTTCACACAGCCATGAACTACAATGCAACTACTGAAAATTATATTGCTGATAACTGTTTATTAATATGGGGATATTACATAACAAAACTACTTTGTTGAAGAAAACAGAGTGAAAAAGTATGTAAATTATGGTGTCATTTTAATGCACAAGATGAAATATGTATGGATACATATATACACAAAGAAAGGTTCTAAAATAGTCACTAATGTGTTAACTGTGGTACCTGGAGTAGGAGTACTGATAAGATTGGTTTGGTTTTGTCTTTTGCCTGTTGTTTTTTAACAATAAGTATGAAGTCTTTTTATAGCTAGAAACAACAAAGTTTCTTTCTGTATTAAGAAAAAATTTCTGCATTAAAAATATATGTTATGGGGCATCCCTCCTTTTTTTCTTTTACCAAAAACGAAGTAGAAAGAAAGTAAGCTGGCTCTGAATATTTGAATTAAGCAGAGCCCTGGAGTCCTCCTTGTTTATTTTTGCTTTTCCAAAAGCAAATTTTTCCAAAAGCAAAAAATGGCTGCACACACCCTAAGGCTATTTATTTCCTTCCTTAACTCCACTACTTTATCCGGTTCAGCAAGTATCAATCCTTGCCATTCTGTCAAGAGAGCACTTTCTGTTTACCAGACACGGTGCCCACCTCTTGATGTATGTTAACTCCTGCAGTCCACACAAACACCCTTTAGGGTAACTTTTACCCTCGTTTTCAAAAGAGGGGAGTGAGGCAGAGTTGTCACAAGGCTGGCGAGCAGAGGAGTGAAGCTTCCCAGCCACACTCTGCCTGCACTACCCCTCCCTTGCTTTCCCACTTGACCTTGCATCCCCGGTGGGAAGTTTCTCACTGAATGTCCTCTAGGCCTGTCTTCCTAAAGGAGCCATCCTATTTAAAGAGCCAGGATTTAGCTTCTCTGCAGAGATGAGGGCAGGGAGAGAAGTAAGAAGTTAAGAGGCCATGGCTCAGAAGGAAAAGGAGGGAGGAAAGCTATTGCAATGGCCCACCTGCCACCCTCAAGAAAGCCATTCTCAGAAGCCTAACATTCAAGGATCCAGTCCAGCCTACCTTGTCCAGCTTAGGAATGGGAACTGTTTGTCACTCACCTTGTGGAATATTATAATATCACCTTGTAGAGTATTATAATAAGAATGAGCAGTGCCATCTCTGGCAGCATTTGTATGAAACGTTATGTCATGCTGCTTTTAAGAACATGGAGTCCAAGGATAAAGCCAACCCCAAGGAGGAAGTAATGCCCTGTGACTCTGTCCCTTTCCCCCAACCCTGTCCCCACTCCATCTCCACATGGGGCTCCTAAGAAGCCATCCACAGCAGTGCCTAGGGACTCAGACTCCTCACTATGCCACCATCAGTATGAGTGTGGACTGGGAGGTACTGATTCTTCCCCATCTTCCCAGGCCTATTTGCTACAACATCAAGCCTCTCTTTGATAACACCAGCTTTTCTTTGAGCAAACCAATGGAGAAACAGACATCTCCTGTTTTCCTGCCCTGAAAGAAGAGTCTGGGGCTTACTGAAGTTTCATAAATGAGCCAGAGCTCAGGATTGACACCTCCATGTGAACATGAAATTTTGAGCTTTGGGCACAGGTAATTTGATACCTGTGGACCTATTTGCCACTGGTAATACAACCTGAGCACCTATGAACTTGTCTGTGAACATTTTCCATTGGGGAGCTTTGCTGTGCAGACACAGTGACAGGGCTGTGCTAAGACAGGAAGTAATCCTAGAATGAAAGCTCTAGAACCTGAGATGTAGTACTTTTTCTCTCTTTCCATTTGGTTGCATGATGATGCAATTCTGTCTTCATTTTCACTTCTGTGTGGATCAGTGCCTTAGGATTTAGAGATGGTACAAATACCAAGTCCTTAAATCTACTCTTCATTTTAAAATAAAAGCAGCATTTTTTCAGGACAAGCCAAGCATATTCTAATTATAACAGCTACCATTTAGTAAACACTATATGCCAGGCTTTAATATACTAAGTATATTGTATATATTATCTCCTTTAATTATCACCAATCCTATGAGGTGTAAGTATTATTAATGATCCCCATTTTGCAGGCAAAGAAAATGAGGGACACAGAGGTTAAGTTGCCCAGGGTGACACAGCTAATAAGTGGCAGAGCCAGTAATTGAAGGCTATCTGACCCTAAACTCCTGCACTTAACTGTTAATTCAGTATTCTTAAGAATATTGTTTTCTTTTAGAAATCTGCTTATCAAGTATGACAAGTTTTCTCTGAAAACAGATAACCCATGAAACTATTGAGAAGCTTCCAAGCCATTTTTTCCTCTTTTCTATTTAATGTGTATTTATGAGATCATGGAATGGCATTTCACCTGTTTCAACAGCTTCTAGGGCAATTCAAGCAAATTTTCTGGAAGTCTGCTTGGTTTGTGTCAGGCATTTCCTGGTCCCTTGTGTCTGCCGGGCTTGTGGAGGAGGCGTGTGGAAGCTTTTTTCTGAGCCATCCGCCCTGTGGAAGCCACACAGGCAAGGCCAGAGGAGAACAGTGGCACAGGCATTCAGAAAAGCCCAGTTTCCCGACGTCAGTTTGCCTGAGGTCAGGCGGAGCACCAGCACTTTCTGGCTCTTAGAAAATGACTCAACCCCTCCAACCTGCAGCTTACCCCTATGCAAAATCAGGGCTGCCCTTGCAGGACTGTTGGGACGAGTCAGTGACAGGGGAGTGTCCAGCCCTACCTGGCATGTCATAAGTGCACTCTATCCATTGGGAGCTGTTATTTTAGAAGCAGGACTTCGTGTTGTTGCTATGTCTTGCCTCAGCAGAGAGAAACATTTTGCTCTTGACACTGATTGTCCCTTCTCAGCTGTAAGGAGGCCACAGCCCCCTTGATTTTGAACCCAAAAATGGAAAATGAGAGCATTCCATCTCACAGGACACTTTCGCAAACTACACCAGCCCAGTCTGATCCCTCCCTTCTCAGAATCCCTACAGTTCTTTTGACCAAATCTCAGATTAGCACTAAAAGTTTATTAATTCAGTGGATAAGAAGCTTACACATATTTCCAGAGCCAAAAAGAATAATAAAATCCATGCAAACAAATAAAAGGTTTTAGAGGAACAAAGTAATCACAACAGTGTTTTGCTACTAAGTACAATACGTGGGGGCATTCACACTTCCCAGTCATTTCCAGAGCTGACCTAGAACACAATAGGAACCAAGATCAGTGGTTCCCATCTCTGGTTGCTCATCAGAACCACAAGGCCAGAGCAGGAATAGTATTTTGAAGATATAGCTTCTTAGGCCCCAACCCTGCCATAGTCATTCAATTTCTTGCTAATGTTAGGACTTGCCATTTTGTAAAGTACATTTGATTTTCTTTCATTTTTGTAATTTTGTCATTTGTAATAGTCCTTCCCGGAGGGGAGTCTCCCTTCCTTCCTATAGTTTTCTGGGAGAATGACAGAAAATTTGAGTATATATAGTAGAGTACCATTTTGTCATGATAAGGCTGGGTGACAATGTTGGAAGAAGGAAGAGCTGACAGAGACATGCTGTGGGGTTTTGGGGATGACATTGTGGAAAGTTTACCCTCACTAACATTTCAGGTAGGTATATTTGAAAGTGTAGACTGATGATTTCTGAAGGGAACTGAATGAGCTTGTACCACTGTGACCATGAATACCGTTGCAAGTGAATTAACATAAATATACTGACAAAAAGTGAGTAGAACTTTAGAACTGTTACATCTCAGGTAGTGAAAGTGAGGGTAACCTAGAAAAAGGAGGTGTAATAACTGTAGTATCAAACAGTGTGTTGCATCCTGCAAATAGCTAGAGATGTGGCAGGTTACACAGAAGAAGAGAAGTCCCTGGGCTGTTTGTTTGGGGCTTGTGTAGTTCCCCGTTTCCAAAATGGAACAAGCGACATACTCTTTTAAGGGTGCACAGAGACTTCATTGAAAAGGCAAGCATTTGTTTCCCTAAACAGAATGACTTTTTAGCTTTACCAAGAAACAATTTCTTGCAGGAAAAGTATGTTTTGCTGTTATCAGCTACTACTGGGAATTCTGCTACAGACAGGCCAATGTTTACCACTGATCTTCTTTCCACAGTTCTTTCAAAATAGGACCCTTTCCATTAAGTTCACATAGTATTCTGGGAAAAGTCTCTGTGATTAAGCAAAGAGACTGTGAAGGAGCTTAGGCAGAAATGGGGGTTAGCTTTGTTTTAATCCTAAATGTTTAACCATAAAAAAGATGCACTTGGGCTTAAGACAGTGAGCCCTCAGCAGTCTACTTTGTTGAGATCTCGGCTCAGATGTCACCCAAAAGAAGTTGCCCTAGCCACAGAATCCAAATTACACCCACACACCCTCCCCACCCAGGCACCTGCTTTCACACTGCCTTGATTTTAGTTGATTTCATAGCTCTTAATACCACCTAAAATTATCTTCTTTGGTTGTTTACGAGTTTATTTTCTGCTTTACACACTCATAAGTAGTATTTCCTAAATTTTTTCCATTAGGATAATAATTAAAATATTATCAAAAAGCATGTACTTCCAATAAGTGTTTGTTTTTATTTACTTAATTATAAAGTGTATACCTGCCTTAGTAATTGCTATATTACACACATTAGAAAACATAAAAAATATAAATGTTATAAGAATCAGATATTTAAAATGCCAATAGGAGCTTTGATATTTTTCTCCTCCACCAGCCTGTGTTCTCGCCCACCCTACCTTGAAGCCTACTGAACTTGAATGTAAGCTGCCTGAGAGCAGAGGGCTTGCTTGGCTTGTTACCTGCTGTGTTTCCAGTGCCTACAACTGTGCCTAGCATGTACTAGGTGCTAAGTAAATATTTGATTATTAAATATTTATTGTTGAGTAGTAAACAAGGCTAAGGCACAATTCACTCTTCCAGGCTCCTAATAGCTAAGGTTTTACTACATCTTTGGAGGACAGAAGGAGGGGGGGGAAAAAAAAAAAAAGACCTGGTTTCTGGGGTTCAGAATGCCTTCCTAATACAATATGTGCTGAATAAGGATTTACTGTAATGATTCAAATCCTTCACCAAAGAGGTAATTACAGCTTCCTTGGTAAGAGCAGAGCTCAGGCAGACAGACAGGTGGTTTCTAGTTTCTCTTATAACAGATGGCACAAATGGACCAGCTTCTGAAGCTTTTTGAGGAAATTTGCTCATAAACAGTTTTAAATATTTTTCTTTTATATCTTCCAACACATGCTTCTTAAAGTAAAAATGCTTCAGTAGATTGCAGGCAAGGGCACATATTATGAATAGTGCTGCACGGGGCAGGGTGCTTGCAGTTTGCCTGAGTAGCAGATGCAGCATGTCAGGAACATAAGAGGGAGGCTCTGTGCGCCATGGTGGCTAGATATACATTGAATTTTCGAAGTGCTTAAGGAAAAAACAAAGCTGTCCACCAAGAATTTTATGATCAGCAAAACTATTCTTCTCAAATGAAAGTGAAATAAAGATATTCCCAGACAATTTCTAGAAGAAAGCATAGGAGAAAATGTGTAGGTTAGGCAAATACTTAGATTTAACATCAAAAGCACAATTTAAAAAGAAAAAAATTAACAAATTGAACTTGACCAAAATTAAAAATGTTTGCCCTTCAAAAGACACCACTGAAAAAATGAGAGGACAAGCCACACACTGGGAAAATATATTTGCAAATATTATCACTAATAAAGAACTTGTATCCAGAATCTATGCAGAAATCTTACTACTCAATAAGAACATGGTGTCCATAGAATGGAATAGAATTCAGTAATAAACATGAATTGACTACTTATACACGCCAGAACATGGGTGAACTTCAGAAAACATGCTAAATGAAATGTCAGACACAAAAGACCACACAATATGCAATTCCACTTTTGTGAAATATCTAGAAAAGGCAGATCTCTAGAGTTAGAATGCAGATCAGTGGTTGCCTGTGGCTGAGCATGGGAGCAGGGCTTAACTGCAAATGGCAGGAAGGACCTTTTTGGGGTGATGGTGGCATTATAAAACTGAATATGGATGATGCTTGCACAGCTCCATCAGTATTCTAAAAGTTGTACACTTAAGTAAGGCAGATAAATTTCATGGTATATAAATTATACCTCAATAAAGCTGTTTTAAACTCTCCCAGGAGTACAAAGCATTCCTTAAATGTTGATAACTGTTGTTGTTTTTATTATTCTGTAGGTAGTGTAGACAAATGATACCAAAATTAAGAGAGAAACATTAAATGACTGTGTACACCTTGCTTGAGTGGACAAATATGCTTTTCATTCATTAAATTGGCTCTTCCAAATAATTAAGTAGATCTTGGGAAAATATATGCCACACTTTTACAAGAGGGTATAAAAGGATTAGTGGCCGAGAACAGAAATTTCCAAAATGTGAGCTGTGTGACACTGAGATAGCTGAAATAGCTTTAAGTGGTGCTTGGGTGAACTTTATTCTATATACTAATAATAATGAGATATTATTTGCAATGGGCTAAAGTAGACATTTGTTAAAGAGATCAATCTAAAGAAAATATTAAGAAAATATGTATTAAAATTACATGTGATACACAGATGTGACAAACGTCATGAAGGTGGGACACTCATGACTGAGTTTGGGCGCCACCACCCAGTAGCCAGGAGCAAGAACAATGCCAGTGGGTGGCTGAGAATGAATACTGAAACACAGGCATTCATCCAAGTTTATGCCCAATGTGCCTGTCTCCCTCCCAACCAGAAATGAAATGTCTGAATGTCCCCTTCCATCGTATTTGTCAGGCCTGTCTTAGGCAAGCCGACAAGTGGCCATATGTGGAGCTGTCGTGACAACACCAGAATGAGAGCTGTACCGTTTTATGACATCAGATAATTCTGACTCAGAAATGTCTGCCTTCCCTGTCTGCCAGCAGTCTTACCCTTGGTTTCTGGTAGATCCATTTCCATTCTTTTAACTATTTACTTGATCCTGTGGAGTCTTTCTTAAAAATACAGTCTTTAGATATTGTCAGTTCTAAGCATTCACAGTGTGCAAGAGATAAAAGAGGGATAAGACAACTGCAATTCAATGTAGCATCAAGACGGGAAGAAAAACACAGCCCTTGAAGATTCCAAGGAGAAAGATCTAACTCACTGGAGAAAGATCAAACTCATCGTGATATCAAAGAAGCCTGAGGAAGGAGGTCGCATTTGAAATGGGCTTTGAGTGGCGGATGAGCAGTGGTTACAGGAAAGGGAAAGGCATTTCAGATGGGAACAGCAGCACCAGCAGGAACATGGAGGTGCAAAAGGTTAAAGCATACTCATGGCACAAGTAAAGCCATTTGTTTAGAACAGGGGTAGGCAAACCAAGGCCCACAGGCCACATCCAGCCAGGTGCCTGCTTGCTCTATGGCTTGTGAGAAAAGAGTGTTTTTCCATTGTTACATTTTAAATGGTTATATAAGTAGCTAAATAATATTCTCAGTTTTGCCTCTTGGCCTGCAATGTCTAAACTATTTACTTTATGGCCCCTTAAGAAAAAGTTTGCTGACTTGGAGACCCCTGGGGACTTTGAAGGCAAGTAATGAGTACTGAGAGGGGAGTTGGGGCTCTATTGTGAAACGCCTTGGAATGAGGAAACCCAGCTAGCTTAAGGGAAAAAAATGGAAGTCATAAGCTGACATTTTGGGAAGTCTCATGGTGGATCTAACCCTCAGCACATTTGGATTTAAGAGCCCAAATTATCATTTTGCTTGGCTCTTCTTCCCTCTTTTTTTTTCATGTTAACTTCATTTGCAGACAGATGTTGGCCATGTAACATGAAAAAAGATCTCTGGTCACCCTAAGCCAATACATTTTATTGTTGGATCCAGAAAGAAGAGCATTCATATGCAGTAGGCGCTCCTCATCTACGGTTTTGCTTTCCTTGGCTTCAGTTACTTATGGTCAATGACTGTCTGAAAATATTAAATGAAAAATTATAAAAACAAATAATTTGTAAGTTTTAAACTTCATAGCATTCCAAGTAGCATGATGAAGTCTTGCTCCCCACATGATGAAGTCCTGCTCCCCGGGACAGGAATCATCCCTTTGCCACACTGTGGACACTGGCCACCCTTTAGTTGTTTAGTAGCTACCTCAGTTATCAGATTGACTCCAGGTATTACAGTGCTTATTTTCTTTTCTTTTTTTTTTTTTTTTTTTTTTTTTGAGGCAGAGTCTCGCTCTGTCACCCAGGCTGGAGTGCAGTGGCACGATCTCGGCTCACTGCAACCTCCGCCTCCCAGGTTCAAGCGATTCTCCTGCCTTAGCCTCTTGAATAGCTGCGATCACAGGTATACAGCCACCAAACCTGGCTAATTTTTGTATTTTTAGTAAAGGTGGGGTTTCACCATGTTGGCCAGGCTGGTCTCGAACTCCTGAGCTCGGGTGATCTACCCACCTTGGCCTACCACAAGTGCTGGGATTACAGGCGTGAGCCACCATGCCCCGGCCTACAGTGCTTATGTTCAAGTAACCCTTACTTTACTTAACAGTGGCCCCAAAGTCCAAGAGTGGTAATGCTGGCAATTTGCATATGCTAAAGAGAAGCCGTAAAGTGCTTCCTGTAAGTGAAAAGGTGAAAGTTACTGACTTAAGGAAGGGAAAATATATGCTGAGGCTGCTACGGTTTATGGTACAGTAAGATATTTTGAGACATTACATTCACATAATTTTCATTATATTGTTATAATTGTTTTATCATTGTAGTTGTTCATCTCTTATTATGCTTAAATGTATAAATTAAACTTTACCATAGATATATACATATAAAAAACATAGTATATACATAGTTTGGTACTATCCACGGTTTCAGGCATCCACTGGGCATCTTGGAACATAACCACCGAGGATAAGGGGGCACTACTTTGTTAGACTCCACAGATGAACAAGGGTCAGTTGTCCACACTGACCACTGTGGCCAGCCTGGATCACATGCCTGCCCTGCAGTGAAATCAGCAGGACACTGGACTCACCTGGGTCACTTAGGATGGAAAAGAACTTCTCCAAGTGAACCAGAAGAAGGGGAATGCAAAAATTCTAGAATAAACTGTAACTACATATTCCAGTCTGCCAGAGTAAGGAATTTATTCTACATTCGTTAAGTAATGAGAAATTTATGAGCAGGAAAATGCTCTTCATTCAACAACATTCAACAAATATTTATTAAGCTATGTCTTTAGCAGGTGTTTGTACTTACAGTGCACAGTAGGATGGACTGGAATGGTAAAAGGTAAAGAAAACAGGCTGGAGATTCTTATAATAGTCTAGGTGAGAAGGCCTTATCCTATGAGCAATGGGGAAGCATTGAAGTGTTTTAAGCAGAGAAATGATGTAATCATCAGATTTGAATTTCGAAATGTTCACCAAGAATAGTTCTCTTAAGTTAAGCATTTATGTATGAAACCTTTTTGCACTATAAGTTTGCTTAGTAACTTGTAGATTATCCAGAGTAAATTTGGATCCACCTCAGATTTGGAAAAAAAAAAAAATTTTGTGAGATCAGAATTGTGTTTTGCCATGTCCATTTTTCATTGACTTCTCTGTGGATATTTGGTTTTGAAGGACAAGAACTAGAAGAGAATATAAAAATGATTTTCCTTCAATTTGTTTTTATTCACAGATGGTGAAACTCTTTTTCTCCAGCGGAAAGGGTGATTTTGCTGGAAAATCATTTAAAGTTTTTTCCAGTCAAGTCAATAAGCTCCTCAGAACCAAATGAACAAGGGGTAAAAATCACCATGAGGCTTAGTAAGATTACATTCCTCCATGGCAGCCTGCGCCAGCCATTGTGGAGGGCCAGCGGGAACACAGGGAGAGTGTCAGGTTTGTGAATGGTCACGCTGAAGGAGCAGGGCCAGGTGTGGAAGATATAAATGGAGTAGAGAAGAAGCTTGAACAGATTAAAATCAGATCAGAGACAATTTTCCACATGTTTAGACTACTAAATAAGCACCAGAATTAGAGGGAAGGCTGCTACTCGCTTGGAGGGAAAGAAAGAGACTTGGAGACTTTTAGCCTTTTCATCAAAGTTCATCTCTCTTTCTCTCTCTGTCTCATCTGCCTTTCATGGTATCCGGACCAAGGTTCGTGCATTTGCAAGAGTTTAACTTAATCATCCTGGACATTGTCCTTGCAGAAGTGCTGCTTCTATTGCTGAAAAGTCCTGAACATAGTGAAATATTATAGTAGGCTCCTTACTCAAGGAATCTCCTCTCCAGGGTTACCTGTAAGCTGAAATGCCTTGGGCCACTGCTGCTAATTTTAGTTACTCCTTTGTTTTCAGCAGTGGACATTTAGATTCTTATTAAATCTTTTTCCTCCCCCTAGTCCAAACAGGAAATATTCCCTGAAAGTAGACCATACAGGAAAGTATGCCAGAGAGCCAATGCCCCTCAGCCTGTGTTGTTAACATGTTGTGCAGCTTACTCAGAATGCTACATCAGAGACATCCTCCTTGACGTCCCCCTACCCCAGGTAAAAGGAAGAGACCATTGATTTACTGTAATAAGTTTCCCAAAATAAAAAAGTCTCTAAAAGAGTCAACATAATTTCTCAGTGCAGTAGGCAGAGAAACAGTACAAGTTGGGAGCTGCCAACTGTATTATGCAACCTAAACCGTGGATTGGTGCAACAAAGGCTGAACTATCATTTTGCCTCTATTAAACATCCTTCTTCTATGGAGTAAAAGTTGTAGTTTGGGTGGCTGGGGAGACTTTTTTTTTTTTGTAATATTTATTAAGTTGTGGTTATAAAAGTAACATGTTAATTGCAAAAATATGTTTTAAAAGCACAAAAACTTTGCGTATGGGAACAAGGGATATAGGGGAATTCTGTACTTTCTGCTCAATTTTGCTGTGAACCTCAAGCGACTCTAAAAAAATAAAGCTATTTAAAAGTTACCTTTAATCTCATCACCCAGGGAATGCTACTAATATGTTAAGGTACTTACTGTTCATATGTTTTAAGATAGGCTTGAACGTGTATTAAAAAGTACATGAAATATAAATGTACGTCTTAACAAATTATTATTTAGCAAACACCCCCTAAATAATACTAAATTATTATTTAGTAACCACCCCCTCACCCCCCACTGGTTAAGAACTGCAGCCTTGCTGGTGTCCACATCTCTTGCTTTCTCCTCCCCCATCACAGTCCTCTTCTTCCCCACAAGGGCTCTAATCTCATGTTTATGGCAATCAATTAGTTTTTATTTATATTTTAACCTCATAAATACAGTCCATTCTTGTTTTTCGCGGTAGTCATGTTCTATAAAGTCACTGCAAACACGGAATTACTGAATACTAAGCCATTGCATGGAGGGGAAATACAGAGTGAGCTTCCTGTAAGCCCCTGGTCACAACATTTTCATCACCTGATCAGTACACCACCCTGTTTTATATGTATTTCTGCCTAAAGTCACCTCATTTAATATTATTGTTGATTTATTAACATTGAACTTAGGACCAGCAGCACTGTTAACTCATGCCTGGAGCTCATCTAACACACACATTTTCTCTATAAGGCACATTACAACCTTCTTGTGCTTAGGAACATTTGACAGTGCTTCAGCTGTATGCTTAGGGGCCATTTTAAATGGCAAAATCACCATTGAAGAGCATGAAAATGTGGTACTAGGTAGACCTCAAACAGACACTTGTTTACAGTATGAGAGCTGAAACAAGAAGGCAGAGCTTTGCCTTGTTTGACCTCAGCTGGGAATGTGCCGTTGGGCGACTCAAGGTTTTTGCTGCTCTGCACATGTCCTCGGATGACCTCAACAGCACCCCAGATGTTGATTTTGAGGTTACAGATACATTTTAGTAAGTAGGTGAATTTGCAAATAAGGAATATGGAAATAATGAGGATAGACTGTATATATCCCTAAATGCAACATTTTATTGTTTTGAGTTCAACTTCATTTGCTCAACCACATTTAAGTCATTTATGTTGCTGTAGTTCATTTTCATTGCTGTAGAGTGCACCATTGTATTAATACACAAAAATTATTTTTTTATTCCACTTTTTCTAAAATTTTGAATTTCCATTTTCTGCTTTTACAAATAATTTGCTCTACACATTCTAATACATGTCTTCCAGTGTACACATAACACACCTTTCTCTGGGGTGTATGTCTAGCAATGGAACTACTGGGTCCAAGGGAATGGTATCTTCACCTTTGCTAGATAATGCTACACTATTTTTGAAAATGATTGTAGCAATTTACACCCCTCCTGCAGCAAAATATGAGTTACAGATGAGAATGAGATGTACCTCATTCTCATAAACCTCTGGTATTTCCAGCATTTTGATGTTAGCTATTTAGTCATTCTGGTGGGTGTGCAGTAACATCTCACTGTGGTTTTAATCTGCATTTCCTGCAGCACAGAAAGGTTGAGTGCCTTTTCTTTTGGATTTTCTCTTTTAACATCCCTATTCAGGTTTCTTGCCCATTTCCCACTTGGTTGTGTTTTACTCACCAGTAAGAAATCTTTACATAGTCTGGTTATAAACCCTTTGTTCATTTTTATGTTGTAGGCTGCCTTTTTACCCTTTTAATATTGTTTTTGATATGCCCTCTCTATGCCCTACTGGATAAATTCCAACCCCTGTTTGGGAACCTTCAGTTTCTGGAATTATTTCTTCTAAAATCTTTATTGTTTGCCTTTGGCATTTAGGTCTATAATCCATCTGGAACACATTTGTTATGTATGGTGTGAGGTAGGGGATTCTGTCATTTTTTTCCATATAGATATCCAGTTAGTCTAGCACCGTGTATAAAAGAGCACTTTCCACTAGTAGCATAAAATCGTATAGGCCCATGATAAATTCCTAACAGTATAAATAAAAAAGTGAATGTCTAGTCCATATCTGTACATCCAGTTCCCCACTCTCAACCCCCTGAGGCAGTCATAGTTTCTTGCTTACAGATTTTAAGAATCATGTTTAAACATCTCTAGCATTTAAACAGTGGCTTTAGATTATACCCCAGAACAACGAAAGATTGGATGTAGTAGCACTATTGCGTCCCTTTTATTTGTATGTTACTTGAGTGAATTTGTTTTGGCAAGCACAATATCTTCATTATGTGGAGAAAGGCAATTGTACCATACTCAATTTAAGAGTTATATGCCTAGTAAGGAAGTATTGGGATTTCTTAGCAACTATTCAGATCTTTTGAGATAGCAATTGTTACCATATGAACACTTTATAATGCCCCCAAAATGCTTTAGTGTTTTCTTACAAATAAATTCACATATTGTGAAATTTTTTAGTTGAGAGAAATTTTTATTCTAGGCAGTTCTGTTGTGCCTGAAATGCGGTATTGGAAAAGATTGAGAGGCTACACTTAGGTTCAACAGGAAAGAATATTAAGGTCAATAAGTATTGTGAGCCACGGTGCACAATAGAAGCATTCTGCCCATTTAACCTTTCTGACCCTTTCCCTTGAGGTTTTTCTGTACAATGAGCAATTGAACTAGGACTGTTGTCCAGATGTCTTTGTTTCCAATCTGGAATTTTTCCCTCTACCTCATATTTCTGTATTATTCAGTGAGAAAAGATTCGGATTATTGACTTGGGGAACATTAAGGATGATGTATGCGCTATTCCAAAATCTTGAATTTTGTTTAAATCATAGAATTACTTACCATTCCTACTCACCCCATCTAAGTTTAAAGTTTATTTAAAACTTCAGAAATTATTTTATTTGTGTAAATAATTTCAACTTTTAGATTCAGGGAGTACATGTACAGGTTTGTTCCATGGGTATATTGTGTGATGCTGAGGTTTGGGGTACAAATGATCCCATCTCCCAGGTGGTGGCCACAGTACCCAATAGTTTAAGAATTATTTTTTAAAGCTAGAAAACAGAACCGCTGCATTGTAAACTAGTCAAGCTATTTTTAAAGTAAATTATTGAAGAAGTATTTTAAAATGCATTTCCCTATTATTGTTAAGACCTTAAGGGGATTTCACTAGTTTCATTAAAATAAGAAACCGAACTCTGTCATTGTTTAAATAAAAATGCATGTTAAATTATATTAGATGAGGGGAAATAATCTGTGCAAAGACATCTGCACATGAGTAGTAGAAAAGAACACGAAACAGTCAAGCTCAGGGACTTGTGGATTTTTTCTGCTCATAAAGTTGTGAAGTACATACTGAAAATCCAGGAGGTTAGGACTTATATAGGATTTCTTTGTTGTAAAAGCTTGAGTGGACACACATAAGGAATATATGTCTTCAGATTTTCAACAGATAAAAACTGGTTTTGTGTCATTTGGTCTGGTTCACCAGTAGCCAATTTACCACTGTTCCTTTTGGCTCTATTTTCTTGGCTAAAGTTTGATTTCCCTTTACCTTAAGTCAAGCCAGAAAGGGATATTTTCCAAGGAAGAAGAATTCAATGAAATGGGATTAGATTAGATAGGACATTTTAGATTTTCATGGAATTTTCTTCTCTTTTTCATCATAGGGGCAAAATCAAAGCCGCCCCCTGTTAGTTTAATAGCACCATCACCACCTAACAGTCTAACCTGGAAGGGGAACTGACAGCATAAAGACCAGCCCTGGGCCGGTGATCCGAGGCTCAGCCCAGGCCTGAGACATATCACTGGGGACCTGGACTGCAGATCATGGGCCACTGCCTGGCAGAGACGTGCAAATGCCAATTTTGCTGCTTCTCCAAAGTCTGACACTGTGGAGACTCTTAGTGCAAGACTCTCAGGCCCTTCCTTGTGTGCCTTATCCCTCTGACTTCATCCTTGTTTTGAAAGTCCTACACTAAGCTACAAATCCACTACTTTCTTTTCCTCTGGGAGCAGCCATACCTTTCAACTAGGGGGTCTCACATCTCCAGGTTGTGGATATCTGTCTCTTTATCCATCAGCCTGTCTCCTTCCCCACACAACCCTCTTGTCAAAATGCCCTTTGGAAAATTAAACATTGCTTCCACGTGGAAACAGAACACAGGAAGGGAATTGTATTCATTCGTACATCACTGAAAAGACCAGGAAAGCAAAGAGTCCAGGGTAACCTCTGAACACTGAAAAAATGTTCATCTAATTTTTTTCTAATGATCATGCTCAATGTTGGTGGGGTAATGGTGAGAAGGAATTGTCAGTGTTGGTGGAAATGCACAGCAGTAGAACCTTTCTGGAAAGCTATTTGGCACGGTATATCAACACCTTTAAAAGAAACTCCTAGCCTTTGACCCACTAATTTTACTTTCAGGAATTTATGCTAAGGAAACAATTGAGACACTGGCAGGGATTCTCTACAAAGATGTGAGTTGCAATGCTATTTATAATAGCTAAAGGGGGATAGGAGTCTGAATATACACAATAAGAAAATGGTTACAGAAATCAGAGTATACCATACAATAGAACAGCCTGTAGCCATTTTAAAAATATGTTATCAAAGGCTATATAATTGCATTGGAAAATGCCTTATTAAGGGAAAAAAAGGAGGGTATTAACTACATGTGTAGTATAATTCTCCAAAAAAAAGCGAGGAGAAATATGCCAAAGTGTTAACAGTGATTATCAGTGGCATAAATTATGTATGGTTGTATTTCTTTTCTTCTTGGTTTTTGGTATTTTCCAATTTTCTACAAGGCCGTCAGTAATTTTCATTATTAGAATTTTGAAAGATTAACTTTCTTCTTCGTGGTCAGCTTACTCCTCCAGTTACAGAACCTCTCATCTTATAGCAGCTCTACTACTGTGGTGTGGAGATCAGAGAGGGTCTGCCACATCCCTTGTCAGACTGGGAGCCTGCCTGGGCAGCCCTGCCACAGTATGGCAGGCATGCCCTGGCTGGTCCAGCAGATGTTCCATCATTCAAGTGAGTCACCACAGAAGGGTGTCAAGCTGATGATATTGCTACACACTGTACTTGAACTATCAGCCACAACCCATTATGCTGCCAAGCCTTTTAGCCTTATCTTCCTAAACCGTTATTCTTTCACTGTCCAGTGAATTTCAGAGACTGACTGGGACTGTCTGACTCCTTTTGAGGACACTGTGGGCCAGCAAACTAAAGTGGATGTAAGCCTACCAGTTGAATCCAAACCAGACCAGCAAATGTTCCTTGCATGCTACAGTGTATGCTGTGTTGTTGCTGTCATTGGGCCTAGATGTGGGGGCCTGGCAGGACCCCAGGAATATTTAGGGGCACTGGGCATTCAGCTTAATACACCCATCTGGACTCTGAGGGTTGTAGGAATGCCTTTAGCAGTCATCTGCTAAAATTGTAGTTATAAAATCATTTTCTCCTCTTTTAATTGTTTGTTATCCTTGGCTTCATTAGTGGGAAAGGGGTTGCAAATTTGATATTGGAGGTTTCAGAGCCAGGAGTGAAATTGACCATTTTGAAATTTGTCTGTTTTGTTTTGGGTTTGGTGAGGGGCAGGAGGGAGCAAGATTTTTATTTTGTTTATTTATGTATTTATTTTTGTCTGCCGTTGTCATTTTTAAGTAACCTACAGCCAGACACTTCTGTAGTGAAAGGAGAATTTAAGATTCTACAAAGAGTCTTGGGCCATAATAACCATCCCTGTGCGTCTTATATCTCACATATGTGTTCTATGAGTATGAGAACACATAGTCATACACCCTTAGTTTTGCATCAGAACTAAAATACAATGTACTCTCTATTTCTTGTCTGTTTACAGTCCTTCTGTTGCGACATGCATCTTTGCAGTACATAAAATGTGCAGTAGTATTGTTGATAGGATTATTGCCATGACTCTAAAGTACAAATAAACAAAAGGCATAATTCCTTTAGTCATTTAAAAAATCACAGAAGTGAAGAGTGCTGTAGATGTCTGTTAGGTCCGCTTGGTCCAGTGCTGAGTTCAAGTCCTGAATATCCTTGTTAATTTTCTATCTTGATCTGTCTAATATCTCAGTGGGGTGGTAAAGTCTCCCACTATTATTGTGTGGTAGTATAAGTCTCTTTGTAAGTCTCTAAGAACTTGCTTTATGAATCTGGGTGCTCCTGTATTAGGTACATATATATTTAGGATAGTTAGCTCTTCCTGTTGCATTAAGTTAGCTCTTCTTTTTGCATTGATCCCTTTACCATTATTTAATGCACTTCTTTGTCTTTTTTCATCTTTGTTGGTTTTAAGTGTTTTATCAGAGACTAGGATTGCAACCCCTGCTTTTTTTTTTTTCCATTTGCTTGGTAAATTGAAGTGAACTGCCATTCACAATTGCTACAAAGAGAATAAAATACCTAGGAATACAACTTACAAGGGATATGAAGGACCTCTTCAAGGAAAACTACAGACCACTGCTCGAGGAAATAAGACAAGGACACAAACAAATGGAAAAACATTCCATGTTCATGGATAGGAAGAATCAGTATCATGAAAATAGCCATAAAATAGCCATACTGCCCAAAGTAATTGATAGATTCAATGCTATCCCCATCAAGCTACCACTGACTTCCTTCACAGAATTAGAAAAAACTACTTTAAATTTCATATGGAACCAAAAAAGAGCCCGTATAGCCAAGACAATCCTAAGCAAAAAAACAAAGCTGGAGGGAACATGCTACCTGGATTCAAACTATATTACAAGGCTCCAGAAACCAAAACAGCATGGTACTGGTACCAAAACAGATATATAGATCAATGGAACAGAACAGAGGCCTCAGAAATGACGCCACACATCTACAACCATCTGATCTCTGACAAACCTGATAAAAACAAGCAATGGGGAAAGGATTTCCTATTTAATAAATGCTGTTGGGAAAATTGGCTAGCCATATGCAGAAAACTGAAACTGGACCCCTTCCTTACATTTTATACAAAAATTAGCTCAAGATGGATTAAAGACTTAAATGTAAGACCTAAAGCCGTAAAAACTCTAGAAGAAAACCTAGGCAATACCATTCAGGACATTGGCATGGTCAAAGACTTCATGACTAAAACACCAAAAGCAATGGCAACAAAAGCCAAGATTGACAAATGTGATCTAATTAAACTAAAAAGCTTCTGCACAGCAGAAGAAACTATCATCAGAGTGAACAGGCAACCTACAGAATGGGAGAAAATTTTTGCAATCTATCTGACAAAGGGCTAATATCCAGAATCTACAAGGAACTTAAACAAATTTACAAGAAAAAAAAACAACCCCATCAAAAAGTGGGTGAAGGATATGAACAGATACTTCTCAAAAGAAGACATTTATGTGGCAAACAAACATATAAAAAAAACACTCATCATCACTGGTCATTAGAGAAATGCAAATCAAAACCACAGTGAGATACCATCTCATGCCAGTTAGAATGGCAATCATTAAAAAGTCAGGAAACAACACATGCTGGAGAGGATGTGGAGAAACAGGAATGCTTTTACACTGTTGCTGGGGTTGTAAATTGGTTCAACCATTGTGGAAGACAGTGTGGCGATTTTTCAAGGATCTAGAGCCAGACATACCATTTGACCCAGCAATCCCACTACTGTGTATACACCCAAAGGATTATAAATCATTCTACTATAAAGACACATGCACACGTATGTTTATTGCAGCACTGTTCACAATAGCAAAGAC